>NC_000005.10:55734807-56359807 GCF_000001405.40 Homo sapiens | reverse complement strand
TGTATTCTCTATTATCTCTTTTGGACTGGGCCCTTTACTCATATAGTCTAACTGTATCTCAAAGGAGGTGCCTAAGCATCGAAGGATTCCTGTAAATCAAGTGAACTTGCTTTAGAAAATGGCATAATCTCTATCTAGAAACTATTCCTCACAGCCCTTTAGGGAATAATCCATTCATGAAACTGAAATATTGTTGGGCTTACTTTATATCTGTTGCTCCTCTTGGCTGTATCTGAGAGTTGGCTCTTGTTCTTGCTCTCTCTTTCTCTCTCTCTCTCTCGCTCTCTCTCCTCTCTCTCCCTCTTTCTCTCCTCTCTATTTTTCTCCCTCCTCTTCCCAACCAAATGATCTTGAGAAGCAAAGATTTATTGCCTGGAATCGAGAGCCACTGCTCACTCAGCCAACAAAATCTGGTCTCCAGTTAAGGCTAAGGGCAACTGGCTGTGAGTGCCTCAACCTGCTGAACCTGCAAAAGTCCCCACCTCCCACACTACGGCCTGCTCATGGAAAATTCCTGGACACAGAAGGGTCAGCCCACGGACAAGGAGTCAGCCAACCATGCTCCCCTGGGCACAAGGACCTTGGCGCCTTTCCAACCACTATCATTAAAAGTGGGGGCTTTTATGTTAGTTTTTCTTAAGTTCACGTTTCGGGCAACTCTTTATTATGATGGTGATTATTTTTTCTCCAAGGCCAGGCCTCCACCCTCACAACTTTGGTGGAATGTGTTAATAATTTGCTCTAGGGAGATGAAAGCCTCTTTGATACAAGTAGAATAAACACATGGAACGCTGCTCAAAGGTCTAATTTTCACAATAGGAGTGTGGTTTTTTGGACTGAGAGTCGAATGGGGAGAGCAGTCTCATTCCTGAGTCACTTTCCACCCTGCTGTCTCTCCTCTGCCTCTGCAGCTCCTCCTCACTTGCCCCGCTGAGGGCAATGCCTGCCACTCCTCTGGGTCGCTCCAGACAGCTGGTGGCCAAGAAAGGCTGTCACTCACCATCGTGGTGAACACTGAAGTCCTGAAACAGACCTGAAGGGCATTTTCCTTCTGGATGATGTTGCTTTGTTTGGGCTGAGGATCTTTTCTAGATGCCAGGCAAAGACTTGCTTGGTGAAACCAGAACATATTAGAGCAGAAAAGACATCTTTGAATCCAACCTCTTCCTTTTACAGATGAGGTTCCAGAAGCCCAGGGAGGCTATGTAACTTCTCTAAAGTCAATAGGTTTTCTAAATCGCAGCACAACCTGTTCTCAAGCACCTGTGCTGCCATATTCTCCTGGTCCCCAAGGATTGACAGAAGCAAAACTCGGAAATGAAAGAAACCCATTTTCAGAATTGTTTTAATTTTCTTTCTGCACCACTCTCATTTTGGGGTGCCTCTCCCTACCAGACTCCATTCTTAGTCCCCTTTGCACTTGAGGCTTGTTCAAGTTTCATTTTAATATTCATTCATTGATACATTTGGTTACTTCAGAAGAATTGGTTTGGGGGCAACTCATGGTCTGGTTTGGTAGAAGAGGCCCAGTTAGGGTGTCCAAAGGTCAAGGTCCAGGGCCTGTCTATTAAGACTTGACCTCTGAAGCTGCTTCTCCCTCCCTCTGCGCTACCTGCTCTACTCAATTTCTGGAATGGTAGAGACATAAGTAAACAATAGATACTAAAGCCATTACTTTTGTAAGTGGATGATAAAGAGTCCTACATATTTAGAATGGTATAGTTTTCATCTAATAATTCTATGGATTTGTAAACAATGGATAAATATTCCTATTTATGGTGGCTATTCTATTAACATAGACTCATGCTTACTTACTCCTACTTTAAACTTCTTTCATGCAACATAAATTAAAGGGCTTTATTTGCATTATCATAATTTTCTCTGTATACATTTGCAAGATTCTTTTTTTGTGAGGTACTCAAATCTTCACATTCAGCCATGTGATCTAAAGATCATTCCATCATTTATTTTGCAAAACTTGAAACATGACAGTAGGGTTCTTTTCATCCAAATTGTGTAGCTTTGATCTTCATTATATCAGCAGTCAAAATACATAGATTTTTTTCTATCATCAAAGTCATAAAACATGTTTTGGCCCAGACACCTCAAGAGATGGAGATTGGTTCCTAGGTCACATTCCTCCTTTGTAACAATTTATCTGAGTAGCCCCAGGCCACATTCCTCAGACTCCTCCTCCTCAGCTCCTCTTCTCATCCCCCTGCCTCCACTCAGTACATACAGTCCTTTCTAGAACACACAGTTCAAAGATTACTTGAGAAAAGTCCTTCTTATTGGTGAATTGTCTAATTCCTTCAGGTTTCATTTCATCTCAAAGATAGTATTTAATTTGTGTTTCTAAACTGATACTCTTTCCAAGATTGAAATGTCCTTGAGAAAAACTAGCAGTATTTTTAATCCACTGGGAATTAGTGGCATCTTGCCCCTTAATACTTGGCAGTTACAACAGTTTGAAACTTCTCCCGGAAACTTCTTACTGAAATAGAGCTCCTTGGTCATTTATGTTCAACGAATTATTAATATTCTTAGATTCTACTGTAAAACCATACTCTGGCTGCATGTCCTTTGGGAGGAAGCTTCCTTCCCCAGTTATCCCCACAGAGAGATGACCCACAACATGCTCTTCTGGGAAGGCACCATCCAGTCTGCATTTGGATGTCTAAAAAGAACACCCAAAAGAGAGATGGGTGACCTCTTTTAGCTGCAGGATCTCCATTCAGGTTCTGGGGAAACCAGTCTTCTTTTTTTTTCTTTTTTTCTTTTTTTTTTTTTTGTATGTCATCCCTACCTCTAACCATCTGCTCCAGTTTGATGAGCATCAAACTGTGAATTAGCATGTGACTAGTTAGTGCTTTTCCACAGAAACAGAGAAATCACACTGACCTCCAAGGAGGCTGTGTGAATTTATTCTTGCTTTGTATCTTACTGAAAAGGATCAAAGCATTCTGTAAAATGTTAACACGGCTCAGCGTTTGAGATTTACAACTGTTTACCCAGCACTGTTGCTGCCACTGCTAATACGTCTTGTCACTTGCCCAAGTCTTGCCCTTGTCTTGCTTTCCTCTGACCACATACAATATGGGAACATAAATATGATTTCTCTAATAATGGTTCCTTTGTGTTTATATAATTGCTTTTCACTCAGAGATGCTTAAGTGTATAAACTTGCAAAGCCAGGGGCTCAGTTACACCAGTATCACATTCCTGCTGGCTTCTGGAGCGTAGTATCACAGGCTTGTAAACTCATTGATAACAGAATATATTTTCCACATGTGGCATTGCAGGAGTTAAGTGATTGGTCTGAGACCAGGAAGGTAGTAAAATGTGGCAGAATTCAACCTGTTTCACAACAGGCTCTGTCTGTGAAGTTACCTCTGGATGTCATCCCCTGTTAAGCACTAGATAAAATGGTTGTTGATACTATTAATTGATAACTGACTGGGACTTTCCACTACAAGGAAATGGCAAAACAATAAGCATTCCAATGAGCTGTGTGAGCTGTATTTTCTCCTGAGTCAAATCAACTCCAGGGTTATCCCTTTGAAACAAAGTGCCTTCATCCATTCAATATGCATTTATTAAATGTCTATTTGTCATTCTGCAGGGACTTATATGTGGCAAAACAAAATTACCTCCGTGTAAGAAACCGGTTTTGTCACTGGAAAGAGAAGATATACATACATGTAAATAATAAGTAATAGTTCAGGCAGTACACAATTAAATGCCAGAAGTAATGATTCACTTAATGAGTGTTGTAGGGTTCCCAAGAAAGGGAAATGAATGGGAGCTGAGAAGGTCTGGGAAGATTCATGGAAGAGGGAACTAGGATCTGGGATTTAAAGAATGATCAAGGCCTGCACAGTGGGCTGGGGAACAAGATGGGCATGCTAGCCAGGAAGCGCTACTGTACATGGCATGTCTTTAAAAGAGGTTAACAAATATGGAAAACTTAGGTTGACAAAGGTAAAAGAAACCTGTAAAGCTGAGAATCAAAAGCAAAACCTTTTGCCTTGGTAATAGGAAAAGCTAAAACTGTCAGTGTTTGTCTGGAAACACTGGGGCTCTGAGAGTCCAGACATTTTTCTAAATGCATTTTGGTGTATTTCTACTTTTTCCCAGGTGAGTGATTTGGCCAAACCAAGTGAAGAGCGTTAGTGGTATTTGCTGTCTCTTTGCTGGATTGCATATATTTTAAATTGATTATCCAATTTGAAATTTGTAAAACATTCCCAGAGAGAAGCCTTATTAACGTACTGGAAAACCTTTGATAAAGAGAAGGTAGTGTCTAATGACACTTTTCTTTATCAAAAACTTTATACCTAGAGATGGATAAAAATAAGACAGGTGGTAGAGAGAAGTGCTTCAGGATATTAGATAAGAAAATTGATACTTAACCAACTGAAATAAAGATAACTATACTAGAAAATATTAGAATATACCTCCATGGATCTTGAAGCAGAGAGGAAGAAGGGGAGATGCTGGCTTGCAGTAGGGCCCTGAGAAGATGAGGTGATGAAGGTTTCTCCTGTACCCTACACTACTGGCTCTGAGCCACATCGACATAGAACCTAGAGAACAGAAAGCCCAAAAATTGAACTTCAGAGATACCAGAAAGTTCTCTAAAAGTGTCATCTTCAAAAGAAGCTTGAAAATGGCATGGTAGAATGGAAAAAAACATGCATAGGCTTTGGAACTATTAATACATGACCCTGATTCTTGGCTTAAATACTTACTTCATCTGTGAGCCTCAGTTCCCTCATCTTTAAAATGGGGATAATGTTAGTATGGTTGTTGCAAAGACTGAATATGATCGTGTAAAGCATTTAGTAGAGAATGCTGAGTACTTAACATAGAGTAAGCTTAGTAGATGCTCGCTGCAAGTAATGATGGAGATGGTGATGGTGGTAGAGAGTGTGCCTTACGGTCCTTTTGCAAATCACATTTTGGGGGGTGGGCGTCTGTGTTCGGAAAGCACTGGTTAAGGTCCTCTGGTTTGACTCTGCCATGAGGAACCAGTGAGAAGTGAGATATTTAATGCTAAAATGTCTGATATAATTGCCAAATACATTTATACTTTGGGATGTTTTCTACAATTTCATTTTAGTGGGACTCATGTGTGACTGAGTATGTTCCCAGTGAAACTATATTTTATTCCTTTCCCCACCACACCTACCACATCTCACACACACACATAAACACACACTTAGCCATTCATGAAACAAGAAGCAAATGAAGCAAAATCCACTCATGCTACAGTCCATAAGCACAGCTAGATAGAATGTAAGATGTGGCTTCTTTTCCTATAACTAATCTGACAAGATAACTCATTTCTGTTGCACACCTTTAAAAATTTAACATTTAGCCCTATCTGATTTCGGACCTAGCCTTAACTTGTCATGTAAACCGTGCCTTTGAGTCACAGTTACTCCTGGGCACAAATTCTCAGCCTTCTAGAAGGCTTCCTCCTTCCTTTCCTGTTCCCACCACTCTCCCTCCCCATCTGTTTTTCCCCCTAAAGTGGTGAATGGAAAAGAGGGAGAGGAGAAGGTGGTTGTAGCTTAAGGTTTCCATGACCTCCTGGAGGTGCAGGGGGAGTCCTCTAGCTGCTGGAATCTCTGGCACAGGGATCCTTGCCCACCTGGGGAACTGTGGTGCTGGTGAACTGGTGATCTAGTCTCTCCCTCAGGCTGGCCAGGGCCTGGTGGAGATCCAGAGATGCATGAGTACTACTCTACTCTAGATAGGGTGAAACCTATTACTTACCCTTCCGCCATGAAGCCGTAGCCTTACTGTCCTGAGAAGCATGAGGCTTCTCTACTCTATGGGGAGAACCAATAGGGTCTTCAGTCTTGGTCTTTGGCTTCTTTTTTTTTTCTTTTTTTTTGAGATGGAGTCTCGCTTTGTCACCCAGGCTGGAGTGCAGTGGCGCGATCTCAGCTCACTGCAAGCTCCCAGGTTCACACCATTCTCCTGCCTCAGCCTCCTGAGTAGCTGGGACTACAGGCGCCTGCCACCACGCCCAGCTAATTTTTTTTTTTTGTATCTTTAGTAGAGACGGGGTTTCACCGTGTTAGCCAGGATGGATCACGATCTCCTGACCTCGTGATCCACCCGCCTCGGCCTCCCAAAGTGCTGGGATTACAGGCGTGAGCCACTGCGCCCGGCCGGCCTTTGGTTTCTTGAAGGAGAGATTTAAATTTGTTCTTGAAAATCCTCTCTCAGAACAATAGCCTAATAAATAGGCCCTATATTGAACACAAGAAGCTGAATGTTACCAGGGCTTTTACAATTGACAAATTCTAATTTTTTTTGTCCAACCCCTCCCATCTCCCCACTCCCCCAGCTCCACTCACATACAGACATATATACATACACCGCTTGAGCCTGCCTAAGTCCAAAGGCAGAAGGTAACAAAGTCTGAAAGCAAGAAAATAGCACGTTCATATTTTCCAGTTTTAAATTACACATGAAAGAAAAGTTAACAAGCCTTCTTCAATTAACCAAACCAGCCCCAGTGATATTTCTGAGATGATATGAAAACTTGGTCTACATAGTCATCCAAAATACCTATGTGTTTTCTCTAACATGAAAGCGACATAGGAAATTATGCAAACCACTTGGAAAGAATGTGTTCCTTCTGCAGAATAGTCCCTTTCCTTTCCAGATCTAGCTTTTACTTTTAGGCCCTGTTTACGTTTTAAAATGCCCTCAGTATTAGCAGCACAATAGCCACCAAGACTTATTTTTAGAAAGAACACCACCACCCTGTATTCCAAGACTCTGCTTTACCAAGGGAGCCTTATCTGTTACATTTCATCTGTTCATGTTCTACAATAAACACCTGATTCACAGCCCTTTGGCAATTACTGTTCTAAAGATGACCACATGGAAAATTTGAATTATTAATAAATGATTCTCTGAGATACATAGGCCCCAGCATAAAAAACAATCCAGCCTCAGCCAATTTCTATACACTGAACTCTGTACCCCCGAGATTCAAATATTTAAACCCTACATTCTAATGTGACTGTATTCAGAGATAGGGCTTTTAGAAAGTGATTAAGACGGACTGAAGTTGTAAGAGTAGGTCCTAATCTGATAGGACTGGTGGCCTTATAAGAAGAGGAAGAGAGAGAGAGAAAGGTCTCTACATACATGTATTGAGGAAAGGCCACGTGAGGACATAATGAGAAGGTGGTTGTCTGCAAGCCATGAAGAGAGCCCTCAACAGAAACCAAATTGGCCAGCACCCTGATCTGAGGCTTTTCAGCCTCCAGTGCTGTGAGAAAGTGAGTTTCTGTTGCTTAAGCTACCTAGTCTGTGGTATTTCGTTATGGTAGCCTGAACAGTCTAATACACCAACCAAGATGAATAGCAACACTACTAGGTAAGACAGCTTTGCTCAACGCCACTTTCAAAGGCAGTTTGAACATCTGAGTTACGTTGTGTGTGTGTGCATGCATGCATGTTTGCGTGATGCATGTGTAGAGAAGATATTATATTTTACTCTGAAGTATGCCCCTATATTTGTGAACGAGTTCACAGAAAATAAGCTTTCAATGGTTTCCACATGTTTATTTTAGTTGATTAAAAGTATAGAGCAGTTTCTTGAACAAAGCGGAGGGATATGTCCTAGCCTAGTATCAGATGTTGCTCACAGCTGTCTTACAAATAATCTCTATGAATTTTGAAAACTTTGTGTTAAAAAATAAAGAATACTGTGAATTACTTGTGCATTGATAGCAGACGTTGATAGCAGAGAGAATCACTTACTTATTTAAAAAAGTCGATGGCAGCCGGGTACTGTGGCTTACACCTGTAATCCCAGAACTTTGGCAGACCGAGGCGGGCAGATCACAAGACCAGGAGTTCGAGACCAGCATGGTGAAACCCCGTCCCTACTAAAAATACAAAAAATTAGCTGGGCATGGTGGCATGTTCTTGCAGTCCCAGCTACTCTGGAGGCTGAGGCAGGAGAATTGCTTGAACCTGGCAGGCAGAGGTTGCAGTGAGCCGAGATCACGCTACTGCACTCCAGTCTGGGCGACAGAGTGAGACTCCATCTCAAAAAAAAAAAAAAAAAAAAAAGGAGATAGCAATTGGGACAATTAGAAAGGGAATTCCCCCTTCCTTGTCTTTAGTTTGAAAAAGAAAAAGTAAGCATATATACTGTTGTACATTTACAGGGAACTAATCTCTTTAGCTGCTTTACCTTGAGTAAGCCTCATAACAATCTGAGGAGGAAGATATTTTGCTCCTTTCTAATTGCGTGACCTTGAGCAAGTTCCTTCAGCCCTCAGTGACTCGGCTTCCACACCTATAAAATGCGGACAATAGTACTACCCATATTTTGGTTTGTTGGAAAGATAAAATGAGATAATATATGTAAAATCCATAGATCAATGTCTGGTACAAAGTAGAAGCTCAATGATAGACATGTTGGCATTATCATTGCTGCTATTTTTTTATAATTGTTATTTTATAGATCTGAAAGCTAAGTCTCAGAGCACTCAAGGATCTTGCTGAAGGTTGCACAGCTAATAAGTGACAGATCCATAATTCCACTCCAGATCCATCTGATACCAAAGTTGATGCTTTTAAATCACCCATCCCTTTATCCTGTCTCCCAGCCATCTATACACAGGCACCATGTGATTACAAACACAGCACTGTAAATACTCCTCACTTACTCAAACGAAGAGTCCTTTCTTATTAATGAAGAGCTAGCCCATTTACCCTTTCTGTCTGTGGGTGAGCAGCTTAGATCACTCCCTCGGGGGAGCAATGACTGAGCCATCCTAACCCTCCTTTGTCTCACTTAACAGCCTTCCTTCTCCTCACTGTACCTTCTCAATGTTGATAAATCAAAGAAATGTCAACAAAATGAAAAGACTAAATAAACATTTTCTGTAAGGGTCATATGAGAGGGGAATTTTCTTTTTCATCAAATATTTGATAACATCTTGGACTTTTTGATGTTCCTTTCTCATACTTGGGACTGAATGAAAGTGTATGAGTCATAGACATGACCAAGGGAGGAAAAGCAAATGAGTCACTTGCCCGTTTGGACCTTCCGGCCTGGATGCTCCCTGGGATCAGCATCCCCAGAGGGCTGGTCTGGCCCATCCCACCTGCTGCAGCTGCCGGCTGAATGGGAAAGGGATTTCCTCAGGAGACACTGGGACTCCTGGAAAACAAGTGAGTCAGGAAAAGTGAAAAACATCAGAGCCTCAAGGAGTTGCCCTGTAACTCTTCCAAAAACCATTTTCTGCTATCAGTTTAGAGGTTTCTCATCCACATTTCGTCACTTCCCACTCCTGGATGTACTCCTGCTATAAGCTAATCACTCCTTAAATGCAGACACACACTTCAAAGAGTTGCCATCCATCGTCCTCTCCTCCCCATTAATGCAAGCTACAAGTGCTTGGACTCATGCATCCTTCGACAGATAAATCTCTGTTTCCTTTACTCTTTTTATTGCTCTATTGGAATCTGTCCAGCCTGTATCCTTCTGGTACCAAAGTGCCCCTGGTTGAAGCCCATACTGCTGGACTTAGTCTCTGGGAGTTGAAGGGAGAAGAATTGCAGTGTCCCTCAGCCCACTGTGCTACAGACCTTTTGAAACTTCCTCTCAGTCAGCTGGTCAGTGAATCACATTTAAAACCCAAGCTCACTGTCCACTTCTTTTCAATGGGTCTCTCTCTCAGAGTGTCATTTTTCTATGTTCACCCTGTTTTTCTCAGTGAGGACTTTGGTGCCTGGAAGCCATGAGTTTGAATTCCTACATCCTCTATTATTTTGCTTATAGACCTTGCCAAGTTTGTCGATCCATCTGAGACTCAGTTTCCCCATCTTGGCAAGGAGATAATTCCCATTTCTGGGTGTTGAGTGAGGATTTGGGGCTGGGTAAGACAGCCAAGAGCATTCAGGTGCTCTTCATTCGGCCTCTCTCAACCCGCATGATCCAATGACTTATTTTTCCCCAGGGGCAATCCCCTTACCCCTCACCACCAAAAGTGATTTTGTGACAATTTTCCACTCATTTTTTGTCACAGGAGGTCTCTCTATATTTTTTCCTCCATCTTCGCCAGGATTATAATTCTGCTGATAGCCAATTCTGAATCATCAGCAAATTATGTCAGCAGTTTATTCCCCTCATCCAAATACACAATAAAAATGTAAAACAAAAGTTCTTCTGTAGCTTGTTTCACAAATGTGCTTAAAACTTCTCTCCACAGAATTTATGTCACTTGTATGTATAGTTATGCACTGCATAATGACATTTTGGTCACTGACAGACCGTGACCCCATATAATATGACGGTGACCCCACAGATATGACGGTGACCCCATAAGATAATAACACTGTATTTTTACCTTTTCTATGTTTATATATGTTCAGATACACAAATGCCATTTGGGTACTGTTATGTTTCAATGACCAACAGTTTTCAGTACAGTAAAATGCTGTGCAGGTTTGTAGTCTAGGAGCAATACACAATACCATATAGCTTTGATATTGATGTATAGTAGGCTATACCATCTAGGTTTGTATAAGTACACTGTATGAGGTTCACACAACGACAAAATCGCCTAATGATGCATTTCTTAGAGCGTATCCCCATAGTTAAGCAAGGCATGACTACAAATCCAAACATGTAAACTGAAAAGTGCCAGAAAGGCTGCCATCATGAGCATCAGTAATTTTACCAGAAACATTAAAATACCCTCAGGTGATTTTTATTATTTTTTTTATTTATTTATTTATTTATTTATTTTTGAGATGGAGTCTCGCTCTGTCACCCAGGCTGGAGTGCAGTGGCACGATCTCGGCTCACTACAACCTCCACCTCCCGGGTTCGCGCCATTCTCCTGCCTCAGCCTCCCGAGTAGCTGGGACTACAGGCGCCCACCACCACCCCCAGCTAATTTTTTGTATTTTTAGTAGAGGTGGGGTTTCACCGTGTTAGCCAGGATGGTCTCAGATCTCCTGACCTCGTGATCCACCCGCCTCGACCTCCCAAAGTGCTGGGATTACAGGCATGAACCACTGTGCCCAGCCCTGATTTTTAAAATTAACACTTCAAGCTCTGTTCATTTTTTAAAAAAAGCAAACAAAAAAGATAAAGCTGTCAATATAATGTACTTTCATTTTATAAGTGTTAATTGCCCTTAGGTGTGTTCACATTAATTTTCTTTGCCTTTCTAGGGTGTTAAGAGATATTTTCTTTGCAAATAGTTTGTTAACTGTAAGTTTGATCCTCTATTTCCTTCTTTTTAGAATAGTGTACAAACTTCTAACACCAAATTCTTAGACATTTATAGACAGTATTCTCCAACAAAACAAAACAATTAAATCTGTCATTTAAATTCAGCCAACCATTCCTCCCTCCACCTTCAATATAACTTGATTTTCCAAATTTCAGTTGTGGAACAGTTTCAAATCCAACTAAAAGAACTACAAGGGAATTATATTGGGATGTATTTTTTATTTAAGTTGATTATTTTAATAGCCATGCCAAATCCACCTGACACTGTTCCCCAAATAGCCAGTGGTCAACAACAAAGTAGTAGAGTACGTCTCCATTAACTGTTCTGCTGTCAACCTAAGGATCATCCTGTTTGCTTAAGATCTTTGTCCATAAAAAGGATCTTAAAATTACAAGCCCAGCAAACATTATTAATCCTAGGAAAAAAAAAGAAAAATTTTCACATTCAACAGTATTTCTGATAGATTACCATTTTAGTTCAGAATATAAATTATGACTAAGCATACAATTAGGCTAAAAGTAAAACATCTCAATTCATTCATAATTGGACATTAGCCATTACTTCTACAGAAAAAGAGAGTTTCAGGGTTGGCAAGTGGTTTTCACTATGATCTAAAACATAATCTAACAAATACACACTGAATCAATCCATAGCAGTCAATTGTTGGTATTGACATATTAATGACAAGATCTAGACTATAAAAAAGAATAACGCCTGTAATCCCAGCACTTTGGGAGGCCAAGGGGGGCGGATCACGAGGTCAGGAGATAGAGACCATCCTGGCTAACACGGAGAAACCCTGTCTCTATTAAAAATACCAAAAATCAGCCTGGCGTGGTGGCGGGCGCCTGTAGTCCCAGCTACTCAGGAGGCTGAGGCAGGAGAATCACTTGAATCTGGGAGGCGGAGGTTGCAATGAGCCGAGATCGTGCCACTGCACTCCAGCCTGTTAGACAGAGCAAGACTCTGTCTCAAAAAAAAAAAAAAAAAAGAATAAATCATCATGCAGACCAGAGAATGCAAGTGTAAGCATCTCCAAAGGCCAGGCAAATGAGTGACTGAAACAGGCTTCAGGGTGTAAGGGCCAGGTGAAAGCTTCCCTTCTACCCTCTGAAGGTTTGCTGAAAATGAACTGACAATAAACAGATTAGTAAGAGAAAAGGCATGCTGCTTATTTAACATGCATAGCACATGGAAACCGCAGAATGATTGCTCAATAACCCAGTGAGGTCTAGATGCTTATATGCCCTTCTTCCTAAGGGAAGCAGAGATGGGGTGTAACAATTTTAAGGAGTAGTAAATGATTTTTTGAAGGGCAGTATGGGAGACAGAAATTAACTTGTAAATTATTCTCTTCATAATTTGAATGAGCCAGAGGCGCAGACATTATCTTGTGAAAAAGTCTTTCCAAGTGTGATTGCATTTCTCAATCTTATTTTCTGGATTTTAGGGAGGGGATGGAAGGCAACTGTGTTTCCTTTGGCAAGTCTGGTCTTAAAGTAGATAAGGGAATATCAGAGTAAAGCCTCATCCTGTGCTTTGGGAGAGACATAAGGCTGAGAGACAGGGCAGGGTTGAGGGGGAGGAAGAGGATCATAGAGACCTTGAGGCTATGACTTTTGAAATCACCTTTGCAAAGATTATGACAGTGAGAGAAGTCCAGCATGGTTGGCCCAATCTAGCCTCCCAGGCTGGCTGTCTTCACTCATTCCTGGGCATAGGCCAAGCTAACCATGGGAGAAATTTAGTTGATGGTTTAACTTTGAAGCAAGGATGATAATACTCCCTCTCTTAAACTGCGTCCTCCTTGTTTGGGGGCTGACACTGCCTTTGTAAAACTGATGAAAGGCTACAAGATTACTATTATGGGAGGGGCCCAAATTCTGCTAAAATGTATGCATAGTTTCTATAATCGCTTACTATTCAGGAGTCAGATGGCCAGAGGTCACAAGATTTGTGGCTTTCCCAATTGCTCCTATAGGTCACTATTATAGAACCTAAGATTGGTCTTTTGAGATGTTTTATAGACTGTTGCATTCCGGCAATTGACTGACCCCACCAAGACTCATGACTCATCGTTCAACTGGTCCCATAACCCCTGCACCCACCCAGAGGCAGACTCAATGCACAGGATCATTTTCCACATGCTTATGATTACATCCTCAATCAGTCAGCAGCACCCATTCCCTAGTCGCCTGCCCACCAAATTGACCATAAAAACCCTAATCTCTGAGCCTTTGGGGAGACTGATTCCAGTGATAACTCCAGTTCTCTTGCATGGCCAGTCTTGCATTAATTAAACTGTTTCTTTACTGCAATACCATGGTCTCAGTGAATTGGTTTTGCCTGTGCAGCAAACAGGAAGAACCCATCAGATGAGTACACTTTAGTTCAGCATATCAGAGCACCATATTTCGGGGTATCATTTTCTGAGCCCCAACAAGGGTGAACTGGAGACTGTAGACCTAAGCTAAGGGGCAGCTGCTACTTAATTTCAGCCATTTCATGACAAAAGAAAAGGCAGGCCCACAAGATTTTCTGATTTGTTGAAAGGAACCAAAAATACTAGATTTTCTTTTTATTTTTAAGTGTGAAATCTTCCCATATTAAAGTTTTTGAACAAAATTGACTTTTTAAACCACTTGATGCAGGCCAAAAGGAAACGCATCTGTGGACAACATTTAGCTTGCCTGCTGCTAATATGTGATCTTTAATTTAGATTATATGACAGAGACTGGATGAATACTTATCAAACCTATATCCTGTTCTTTCTGAGCACACAGCTAAATTATATTTCCCAGTCTCTCTTGCAGTTAGGCCAGAAGAATATTGGTGGGAACAATGGACACTGCTGCCAAGCCCAATCCTCCACTCCCTCCCTCTCCCTTCCTCTCTGCCAGCCAGATGCAGGGGAAGTAGGAGGACTCCAGGGTACTGAAAGGTGACAGAACCTCAAGGTGTAAGAAGCCTGAATGACTGTAGAGGAGAACTGCCCTGCCCACCCACCACAGCAGAGACCTGCACTGCCCTGTGATGAGAGAAAGAAAGAAACTTTTTCTAAAGTCCCAAGATTTAGAGGTTATTTGTTACAACTGCTAGCAGAACCTGATTAAGACAGGTTGTTAGGAATTTCTTTTTTTATGTGTCAATAATTATGTTTTTCAGCCCTTTTGATTCTGAAGCAGTGAAACTTCAAAAATAATAATTTTTTTCATGCTGAAGTAGTAGGAAAATAATACTGATAGTATGTTTTATGTCCACTTTGTTTTTTGAGATCGCAAATGGGCATACGTTTCCATATCCAAACTGCTTTCGTTAAGAAGCTTTACTGCTGGAGAAAGGAAGCCTTCCCTGGTAGAAGGCACTCTAACAGCAAAGACAGGGTTAGGTAAAGAGATGTCTGCATCCCACTACCATACCTTGGGCCCTTTTCCCCATCAGTCTATCTTTCATATTTATGGGTCATCTAAAACCCTATTACTTCTTGAATAGCCTGAATGGTCATGTGTTGAGTAGAAATCACAGTGCTTCCTTCCTCTCCCTCTTACACTTTAGTTTTTCTGTCTATACCTTCACTTTTAGATGCTTGAAACTCCTGTTTTTAACATTCATTCAACCCTAACAGAAATATGACTACATTAGAATATTTTAACCATTTTATTTAAAATCATTTCCTCTTTGGGAAATTTGAATAATTTCTAAATCAGGAAGACATGCATGAATAGAAAATAGAAAAAACACTGCAGAATGCAATTTTTATGACCCCCTGTGGTTCATCCTCAGAGTGGAGAATTCTGTTTTCAACAGCAGATACGTCCACTGGAACACAATAAATTTTTCTGAAATAGCAAAACAGGCTTTGTAATCATGATAGACATTTTTCAAATGATTTAATATACAAGTACTTGAATATCAGAAAATAAGATAGAAAAACTCAGGAGTGATGTATACTTACAGTTAGACTGGGCACCAAATGGGATGCTAAGGAGGCTTCGTGGGACAGGAACAGCCTTTTTAACATGGTCACTGTGAGACCCTGGGGAGAGCATCCCATCCAGCTGTGGTCCACAGCATGGAAGAAAATGCAGTACTTGGAGAGAGTTCAGAGGAGTATCATAAATTTGATGAAAGGGGATGATAACCAGATCTCCTTAGAGAAAGAAAATCTGTAAAGTACCTAAGACACAGTTTCCAAGTAGATAAAGGGCTTTGCTTCCTCTCTTTGGAGAGGGGAAAAGATACAGCAACACAACAAGGAAAAGTTGACTCAGTTTCCATTCTTTGGAGACTTGATTAGACAGTGAGCCAGACAGTGCAGGGGAAACATTTCCACAGCATTATTACCATGTCTGAAGAGGATACCTCTAGTGATGTGACCAGACTGTTCTCTGCTCATCACGCTGCCCACCTCGTATTCAGATTATTCTCTACTTCTTCTGGGGATAGGCCCTCTCCCTACACAACTGAGTATTATCAGAAGTAACCTGCCTCCTCACCTATTCAGTGTTAACTCCAAAGTGGGCAGAACTGATAAACTAGGCTTGGAAAGAATTAATGATATTTTTTAAGTGGCAAATAAGTCTTGATTCCTAATTCTATTTTGTTTATCTTCCCAATGGATACTCATCATGACCTTCCAAGGTAGGATTTTACAAGGTAGGCACTATTATTATCCTCATTTTACTGATGAGAAGACTGAGGCAGGGAGAGGTTAACTAACTTGCCCAAAGTTGTAGAGCTAGCCAAGGTAGAACTAAGACTTGAACCCAGGGTGACTGGCTTCAGAACCATTTCACCGTAGCTACCGTATCATACTGACAAAGCTAGGTAATGACTGGGAATGGAAGGTGTCAACCACCACTATGCTTTAAGTAATTTATGCACTAGGCTTGTTGCTCCAAATGGACCTTGAAGTAAGGGCAGACTCTACGATATCTGGGAGTTTGAGTCATGAAAAAGTTTAGTTTTTAAGGCATTGGGTGCCAGTCCTCAGATGGGGCAAAATACTGAGAAATGTCCGGGAAGAGCTACATCAGTTTCTAAGTATTGGAAAACTACCTGGAGATGACACAGATCAGAGAAAAAATATGGGTCAAACAGAAATGGAGTGTCTTGTTAATAATTCTGGCAAAATCAGATCAGAAAGCTGGGTTTTATAAATCAGTCAATCAGGGTTTTATATTTTCCTTGATTACGCTGATTTTTATATTCCATTGCTTTCAGAAGAGGCCCTTTTGCCTCTTCTGAAATATGAAATAAGAAAGTTCATCAATTTACTACTTTGTTTTGAGGCCAGAGGACTTAATTGGGTAGAGGATCTTGGGAGATACGGGAGGTAATACAAACAAGGAAAAGAAAGGGGTTTTGATTTTGCCCACACTTGAGCCCTAGAGGGAAAGCGGAAGCAATGGGGTCATAAATGGTTGTAACAGAGGAGGTCAAAGTGGAAGAACCCCAATGGGAGAGGGACACTCTAGTCAGGGACCTGTTTGGCCCACAAATCATCCTACGAAAGGCTTTGCCCAGAGCACTCATCTGTACCAACCTTCCTTAGAGGGCACCGAGTTTTAGTAAGGCAAGTTGCTCTCTTCCACCTTCACCTGCCTGCAGCCCTTCATCAGAACTGAATTATGTCCCAGGAGCTGTGCAGTGAAGATTTGTCTCCTCTCCTCATACAAACTCAGGAAGGAAATGAGTCTTCTGAGCTGGGACTTTCTCAAAGGTTAGGAGCATGAAGGAGGAGAAACACAGCTTAGAAAAACACCACTGGATGACAGGGCCCTAAGCAGCCCAGCTTAAGTTTAAAAATGACAGTATTAGTTCTCGAAGATTGTTCTTTTTCAAGACTGTCAACTATTCTAGGTTCTTTGCATTTCTGTGCAAATTTAGAATCAGCTTGTCAGTTTCTACACAAAAAAAAAGTCATAAGGATTTTGACTGAGACTATGTTAATGCACAGATCTGGAATTCACAAACTTTTTCATTTAAGAGTCAGATCATAAATATTTTAGGTTTTGAGAGCAAAAGCAGCCGTAGGTAATATGTAAGTTAAGGGAAGGAAATACATTTTAAATAGCTTTTACTCCACAGAAAAAGCAGTGAACAAGATCATGTTTTAGGGTATGGCTGTGTTCCAATAAAACTTTATTTACAAAAGCAGGCAGTGGGCTCCATTTGGTCCATGGGCCATAGGTTTTTGACCTCTGTTATGGACTAATTGGCATATTTACAATATTGAATCTTCTAATCCATAAATATAATATATCCCTCTATTGATTTAGGTCTTTTTTTATTTTGACTGAACAATATTTTATTGTTTTCAGTATACAAGTATTGTACACTTTTGTTAAATATATACTTTTTTATGTTCTTGTAAATGGGCTCGAATTGACTTTTTATCAGTGAGGTCTATTTCAGGGAGTATAGGACTTATAATTTATTCTCTATTATCAAGGATACAACTAATATTTTGTTACTAAATGATGTTCAAAAATAGAACTAGAATAAAATTTAAAAATCAATCTGGACAATCTACCTTTAAAAGCACATTGACTTTTTCCCCTTCAATTTAGTACTTCCAAATAAAGACTTTTCTAAAAAGCAACTCTGAGGAACAGAAAATGTAGAATTAAAATTACAGAGAGTGAGCTCTCCACAAGTAACTTGTAGGTAGGGCAAGAATGGCTCATTTTTTTAAGAATGGCTTACTTAAAAAAAAAAAAACAGGCTTACCATCATAATTATACCTTTCTTAGAACAACCTTAAGTTTTTGGACACCTATTTGCTTCTGGGTGGCCAAGAAATTAGATCTGGGGTTAAAAATGCTACCACTAAAAGTTCTCAAAGTACAAAGCCATCAACAATGAAAGGTGCTGAGTGTGAATGTAAGCACAGAGGTGAAGAGCATGGGCTTTGGTACTCACCCTGCCTCTTCTGCACTCTGAGACCTTGGGCAAGTCGTGCAGGCCTCCTATATCCCAACTTCCTTTGTGTGCATACTGAAAACAGTATCACCTGTTCTTGATACAGAAGCTGGAGAAGAAAGAAAGAGAGAAAGAAAGAAAGAGAGAGAGAGACAGAGAGAGAGAGAGAAAGAAAAAGAGACAGAGAGAGAAAGAAAGAGAGAGAGAGAAAGAAAGAAAGAAAGATGGGAAGGAAGGAAGGAAGGAAGGAAGGAAGGAAGGAAGGAAGGTAGGTTACCTATTTCACAAAGTTGTGGTGAGTATTAAATGCGATGTGTATAAAATTCTTCCGACAGCACTAGGACACAGCAAATGTTCAATGAGAGAGACTATTAGAATGTTTCTTTTTTATGAAGATAAAATTGGTGATGATTATGAGTTTTGTTATTAAGCTTATGTATGTAGCAAGTATGTTCTAACTTCCTTCATCATCGATATAAGCAAAAAAAAAAAAAAAAAAAAAAACCCACCAATCTAATAAATGGCTCAGCTTCCAGTAGTCAGCTGGAGAAGGGAGAGTAGAAATGGGAAAAATTGGTGGTGTGGAAACAAATAATAATTCCTCCTCACCAGGCATCAATCTAAGAAAGGAAGGCCCAGAAAAGAATACTAAGGTCCAGCTCTATGACTCTTTCTGTTCTATTACCATTGAAAGAATCTCCCTTAAGGGTTGCTGCTTCTGGTCTTTCAGATCCTAAATACACTATTCTCTGTTTCATGTCAAGGCCCAAAATGAAGACTCTGAGATTTTTCCTAAAAAAATACAGCACAGTGAGCTTCCCATGAGGTAGGATCTCCCCAGGGGGAAGTGGTTCACCTTCCAGTAAGACCAACAATAAGCTGATTGTTAATATCCAGGGTCGAACAAAGACAAGAGGTGAAGTCTGAAAGAGTTAAGGGAAGGAAATACATTTTAAATGGCTTTTACTCCACAGAAAAAGCAGTGAACAAGATCATGTTTTATGTGGATAAATTTGGCCCCTTTTAGTACGAAAAATGGCCTGCCATGCACCATAAACTCTCTTTTGTATCATTACTTTTAAAAATACACCCATTTATCTTTCATTATGTTTTATTATTGCTACATTTTATTATAAACATTAAGAAGAGAGTCATTCTTAGAGGAACAGTCAAGAAAGCAACACTTACTCATGACAGGCAGTGATGAAATGCTGATACAAACTGTGTGTGTGTGTGTGTGTGTGTGGATTTTCACATTTTTCTTTGTCTGCTTTCTCATGTTCTAGGTTAGCAGATTTCCTTACGTTAAATTTCTATTGAGAAGCTTATTGTTTCTTTAGGACTCTTAGAGTTCTTAACTCTCTAAGTCAAGCAGTGTGCTAAGCATTGTGCCTGACACATTTATTTAAATTTTCTTTATCCTTTTGGCTTTCCATCATTCCATCTCATATGCACTCAGATTCAAGTCAACAAAAATTTTGGCAATGGTTACAAAGCACTAGCTCTTTCCATCTGCCACCCAACTTCCAGAGAACCTCAAAAAAATTGATGGTCATCTCTGAGCTCCTTATAGTCCTGCAGGATTCAAAGATGGCACTCCTGAGTGTGCCATGTCTACATGGTCTATGAGTAGCTCCACGTTCTGCTGCTCTCTGCAAGCCCAGTGATGTTTCTTCTGACTCACAGGCTGCTTCACACCTTTCAGAAGTCTCGTACTCTGCTCCAGAAATGTGGGACTTTCCCAGGAAAATCCTGAGAATTGGTTCCTAATCTGTTCCCTGCGAACCCCCACCGTCACCATTGGTAGTTATTTACTGAATGCCTACTGTGTTGTAGACATTGTGCTAAGCACCAAGAACATCATAAGACCTATTTCAGGCTCTCAAGGATACACAGAACAGTGGGGGCACATGTGAAATCAACAATTGTGTGATAAGATTTGTTATGTAGGAGTATGCATCTAAATATGGGTGGAAAGGAGGAGGTTAAAAGAATGGTTCTCAGAGAAGGTGATGTTGAAGAGACAATGTATTGAAAGATTATATAGGAATTAGTTAGCTAGAAGTGGAAGAAGGAAGGAGGATGCTACAGGCAGCGAGATCAGTATGCTCAAAAGTATGGAGTAACCAAACAGTGGGGTTGGTTTGAGGAAATGTAAGAAACTCGGTATGACTGAATGAAGAGGGATTTAAGGAGTGGAGGGAGATGAGGATAACATGTAACATGTTGATTGCATAACTTATGGGAAGTAATCATAGACAACTTTATTTTTCCGTACAAATGACTCTTCCAAATTTATTTAGTGTGGTACTTTTCTCCTGCTCATGAAACACATAAGATCCGAAATCATGATTTCATTGCCTACTCATTTGTAGGCAAGGGATGATCTTAAAGCCCCTCTAAGTTTCTAATCATAATCCCTATTAGGAAATTAAAAAGTCTAGTCCAAGCTACTTTCAAAGGCTTTAAAATTCATTGAAAGGTGGAACTTCTCTGTGCTCATCATGCTAAGGCCTGATTAATAGCCACCTGCCTCTGGCAACATGGGTGTGATTGACTTCAACTCTCTCTGCATCCCCACTTCTCCCCCATTTATTAGTTATGGTTTCTGCCCCAACCAGGATGAAAAAAGATATGGGAGAGAGAATTAAAAGAATAAACCAGTTCTAACTTTGCCAGATAACATTGTATGTTTGCTTCTCAGCATATAGTTAAAGCTGACTCTGTCTTATAGGGCATCTTCATGGGTTATTTGGATGTTTATGTCCCTGGGGATTCCTCCCTATGTTTTCTTAATTCAGACAGATGTAACCCTATTCTTATCATCATTTGCAAATCCTTCCTAAGTCCTCAGACATTCAGCATTTACCTTGAGCTACTTGCCAGGGTCCCTCCAGCCATGTACGTGATCTTACTGGACAGAACCTGAGCCAGGGCCCACTGGCTAGTCCATGGGGCATATTCATACAACCTTTGTTCCCACTCTGTGAGTGCAGGTCCAACCTATCGTCACTGCTTCTGCCCTAACACCACTAGTTAGCTTTCCCTGGGCATGAGGGAGGCATCACCACTCGGAGCTCTGAGAGAGCTCATGAAAAACGTCCTATTATGGGTTGAATCATGTCCCGCCAAAAGATATGCTAAAGTCCTAACCCCGGTACCTCAGAATGTGACTTTATTTAGAAGTAGGATTATTGCAGATTCAATTACTTAAGATGATGTCACACTAAAGTATGGTGGGCTCTTTTTCCAATACGAGTGGTGGAAGAAGGAGGAGATTGAGAAGACGACGATGAAGAACAGACGAAGAAGGAGAAGGAGGAGAAGGAGTAGAAGAAGAAGGAGGAGAAGGAGTAGAAGAGGAAGAAGAAGAAGAAGGAAAAGAAGAACAAGAGGAGGAGGACGAGGAGGGGAGGAGAAAGGAGAAGAAGAGGAGGAGGAAGAAGAAGAGGAAGAAGAAGGAGGAGGAGGAGGAAGAGGAAGAAGACAAGGAGGAGGAAGAAGAAGAAGAAGACAGAAGGAGGAGGAGGAGGACAAAGGGGAGGAAGAGGAGAAGGAGCAGGAGGAGGAGGGGGAGGGGGAGGAGGAACAGAAAGGAGGAGGAGAAGGAGAAGGAGGAGAAGGAGAGAAACAAAGACAAAGGCAGGAAATTGAAGTGATTCATCTACAAGCCAAGGAATACCAAGGACTGCCATCCATCACCAGAAGCTGGGAAACAGACATGGAACAGATTCTTCTTCAGAGCTCTCAAAAAGAACTAGCCCTGCTAGCACTTTCATTTCAGATTTGTAGCACCCAGAAATGTGAGAGAATAAATTTCTGTTGTTTTAAGCCTCCCAACTTGGAGTATTTAGTTACGACAACCCTGGGAAACTAGTACATATTCTCATACCCTTGAGTTGAGAAAAATTGCACACATGCTGTCTCTCTCTCTCTCTCTCTCTGTCCTCTCCTCTCCCTTATTGGCAAGTGGAGCTTAGAGCATAGGAACAACTCTCTCCAAACTGCCCTCTTCACAAAATCCAATCTCTACCTTCCAGCCTTTTTTGATACTTTTAATCAGATTGAAAGGATATACGAATTATAGATCCAGTGGTCTTGAACAGATAAGAATTCAAGCACAGGTTGATTTGGGAGAAGACATCAGTGGGAAAAGAAGAAGTAAAATGAAAGAGAAGACAATAAAGGGTGTGTTATCAGGCCAGCTCCTACTTGGGGTGACTGGAGCTTAATCTCTTAGGGAAGCTCTGGGAAAGAGTGTAAAACATAAATCAGAGTTATCTCAACCCATCTGAGGGTGAGGGAACTGAGGTATTTATACATCAACTCTTTCTGTCATTGGTTGAGAGCTGCTACCTTGGGGAGTGGGATAGAACCATTGGTGTGCTGGTAAATGTTTAACAACCATAACAGGGCACTTTTCATGAGGCCTCTCAGATAATCTGTACCTGAGGGGCACCCTCTGGCACTTTTGTCGTGGGAGCAGAGTAGCCTTCTGCAAGGGTATGTAGATACTGGTGAGGGCTAGAGCCAGTGGTGTGCTGGTAAATATTTAACAAACAGCTTTCTGGCTGGGGAGGTGGGGGAAGACTATCAATATATTTTTAAGAAATTAAAAATATATTAAAAGTATTTATACAAAAGTTTATTATATTTTCTAATATAAAGGTTCTGTATCACATAATTTATAAATAATAATAAGATATATAAAGCTCTTTATTATAAATTGGATAAAGCCAATTGATGTTCACAGAATACTTCCATTGCTTTTTTGCTGAGTTCTTGTTTCTGTAGCCAACCAATGATGAATGCGTATAGTTTTGATAGGAATGTTGGTTGATATTTTTATTATGTTAACAAAGTGAAACTGTGAAGATGTGTTGTGGGCATTCATTAGGGAATGATGTCTTTGCTGAATTAGATAATACTTATGGAATAACTATGGAAGAATTTTCCTCAAAGTTTTTGTGCTATTCACAATGTAATAGCTACAGACATACTTTGATTTTAATCTGCCTTACTAAATAATGATAAGGTTCAGTGCTGTAAGCCTGTAAATTTTCCAAAAATTAACCTGTAAGTTCAATGCAATTCTGATGAAAGAAGCAGGAGAATATATAATGAAACTAAACAATTCTAAAATTCATTTGGAAGTTTAAATGTTCAAGAATAGACAAAACAACGTTCAAAAAAGAGAACACTAAGAAGGAGGCTAGTCCTGACATATAAATCTAAATCATTGAGACAGTCTGGCACTGACATAGGCATATGGATCAGTAGATTAGAAAACTAAATAGAGACGCATAAAGCACAAGTTATGTGATTTGTATGTGATCCAGGTGGCATTACAAACCAGTGAGAAAATGGTACAAGTGACTGTCATATAGAAAAAAAGTGAAGTTATGTTCCTACTTCATAATATTCTAAAAAATAAGTTTTATATGGTTTGGATTTGGTCCCTGTGCAAATCTCATGTCAAATTGTAATCCCTAATCTTGAAGGAGGGGCCAAGTGGGAGGTGACCGGGTCATGGGGGTGGATTTCCCTCTTGCTGTTCTTCTGATAGTGAGTGAGTTCTCATGAGATCTGGTTGTTTAAAAGTGTGTAGCACCTTTCTCTCCTCTTCCTCCTGTTCCAGCCATGTAAGATGTGCCTGCTTCCCCTTCACCTTCTGCCATGATTGAAAGTTTCCTGAGGCCTCCCCAGCTACGCTTCGTATACAGCCTGCAGAACCGTGAGCCAACTAAACCTCTTTTCTTTATAAATAAACCAGTCTGAGGTACCTCTTTATAGCAATGTAAGAACAAACTAATACAGAAAATTGGTACCTAGGAATGGGGCATTGCTATAGATACCAGAAAATGTGGAAGCAGCTTTGGAACTGGGTAACAGGCAGAGAGGTTGGGACAGTTTGGGGGGGCTCAGAAGAAGACAGGGAGAGGAAGGAAAGTTTGGAACTTCCTAGAGACTTGCTGAATGGTTTTTACCAAAATGCTGATAGTAATATGGACAGAGATGGCCAGGCTGAGGAGGACTCAGGTGGAGATGATGAACTTATTGGGAACTGGAGAAAGGGTAACTTTTGTTATGTGTTAGCAAAGAACTGGGCAGCATTGTGCCCCTGCTCTAGAGATCTGTGGGAAAGCCTGGATGTTCAGGCAGAAGTCTGCTACAGAGGTGGGGCCCTCAAGGAGAACCTCTACTAGGCCAGTGCAGAGGGAAAATGTGGGGTTGGAGCCCACACACAGAGTCCCCACTGAGGCACTGCCCACTGGAGTTGTGAGAAGAGGGCCACTGTCCTCCAGACTCTAGAATGGTAGATCCACTGATAGCTTGTGCTGTGCATCTGGAAAAGCCACAGGCACACAACACCAACCTTTGAGAGCAGCTATGGGGGCCAAGCCCTGCAGAGCCACAGAGGCAGAGCTGCCCAAGTCTGTGGGAGCCCACTCCTTGCATCAGTATGGCCTGGGTGTGAGGCACAGAGTCAAAGGAGATTGATTTAGAACTTTAAGATTTAATGACTGCCCTGCTGGGCTTCAGACTTGTATGGGGCCTGCAGCCCCTTTCCTTTGGCCAATTTCTCCCATTTGGGATGAAAGGATTTACCCAATTCCTATACCCCTATTGCATCTTGGAAGTAACTAACTTGTTTTTTTATTTTACAGGCTCATAGGCAGAAGGGACTTGCCTTGTCTCAGATGAGACTTTGTTTTCGTTTTTGTTTGCTTTTTTGGTTTTCTTTTGAGAAGGAGTCTCACTCTGTCACCTAGGCTGGAGTGCAGTGGCATGATCTCAGCTCACTGCAACCTCCATCTCCTGGGTTCAAGCAATTCTCCCTGCCTCAGCCTCCTGAGTAGCTGGGATTACAGGTGCCCACCATCATGCCTGTCTAATTTTTATATTTTTAGTAGAGACGAGGTTTTGCCATGTTGGCCAGGGTGGTCTTGAACTCCTGACCTTAGGTGATCTGCCCACATCGGCCTCCCATAGTGCTGGGATTACAGGTTTTAGCCACCATGCCCAACCTCAGATGGACTTTTGAGTTAATGCTGAAATGAGTTAAGACCTGGGGAACTGTTGAGAAGGGATTATTGTATTTTGCAATGTGAGTAGAACATGAGATTTGGGAGGGGCCAGGGGTAGAATAATATGGTTTGGATTTGTGTCCCCATCCAAATCCCATGTCAAATTGTAATCCCCAATCTTGGAGGAGGGGCCTGCTGTGAAGTAATTGGATTTTGGGGTCAGATTTTCTCCTTGCTGTTCTCATGATAGTGAGTGAATTCTCATGACACCTGGTTGTTTAAAAGTGTGTAACACCTCCCCCTTGTCTTCTCTTTCTCCCGCTCCAGCCATGTAAGATGTGCCTCCTTCCCCTTTGCCTTCTGCCATAACTGTATGTTTTCTGAGGCCTCCTCAGCCATGTTTCCTGTACAGCCTGCAGAACCATGAGCCAATTAAACCTCTTTTCTTTATAAATTATCCAGTCTCAGGTAGTTCTTTATAGCAATCCAAGAACAGACTAATACAAAGTTCTGAATAAATTAAAGATCAAATGTGAAAAATAGGACTTAAAGACAGTGTATACATTTAATAGGAAAATCTTCATGAATTGAAGGTAGGGAATGATTTCTTAGACAAGACAAAAAAAGTATGACTTATAAAAAACAGGTTTGGTAAATCTTTAAGCTTTTGATAAAACTTTAATTGAAATTTTTGATAAAAATTTAATTAAAATGTAGAGCTTCTCTCCCTCAAAATACATCATTTTTAAAGGACAATTTACAGACTTACAGAAAATATTTGAACCATAAGTGACAGACTGAGGATTAGTATTCACAAATGTAAAGGACCACCGAAGTTGTAACAAACATGGGTGGAGACTATGAACAGGAAACTCACTGAAGTGGAAATCTAAATGACCAACAATCATACAAAAATATTATCGGCTTCACATGTAATAAGGGAAATGTGAGTAAAATAATAATGAAATACTACTTTACACACTTTGGATTGGCAAAGACTTTAAAGTCCAACAGTATCAACAATTGGCCAAGATGTGGGAAATGGAAAGGAGCACACACTGCTTTGGTGAGTGTAAATTAACACACTCATGACTGGGAGTGGTGACTCACACCTTTAATCCCAACACTTTGAGAGGATGAGGTGGGAGGATTGCTTGAATTCAGGAGTTTGAGACCAGCCTGGGCAATGTGGTGAGACCCCTATCTCTACAAAAAATACAAAAATTAGCCAGGTGTGGTGGTGTGCACCTGTGGTCCCAGCTACTGGGGAGGCTGAGGTGGGAGGATCGTTGAGCTCAGTAGGTCAAGTTTGCAGGAAGCCATGATCATGCCACTGCACTCCAGCCTGGGTGACAGAGTGAGACCATGTCTCGAAAAATAAAATAAAGTAAAATAAAATATTAACATACTTGCTAAATATCTTTTTTAAATTTATTTTGCACTCTTTTTAGCTCATTTTATTTTATTTTTTAAATTTTTTTTTTATTTCAATAGGTTTTTAGGAAGCAGGTCATGTTTGGTTACATGAGTAAGTTCTTTAGCAGCAATTTCTTAGATTTTTGTGCACCCATCACCCGAGCTGTGTACACTGTACCCAGTGTGTAGTCTTTTATCTCTCATGCCCCTCCCACCCTTTCCCTCAAGTCCCTAAAGTCCAGTGTATCATTCTTATGCCTTAGAATCCTCATAACTTAGCTCCCACTTATGAGTGAGAACATATGATGTTCGGTTTTCCATTCCTGAGTTACTTCACTTAAAACAGTAGTCTCCAATTCCATCCAGGTTGCTGTGAATGCCATTATTTTGTTCCTTTTTATGGCTGAGTGGTATTCCATGGTATATATCTACCACATTTTCTTTATCCACTTGTTAATTGACGGGCAATTAGGCTGGCTCCATATTTTTGCAATTGCAAGTAACACACTCACTAAATATTTAAGTAAAGTGGAAACTGCACATGCCCTGTGACTCATAAGTTTAAATCCGTGGAAAATTACTGTTCAATGTAATGCAGGACTGTGTTAGCTCCTGTGGCCGCCATAACAAATTACCACAAGTTTGTTTGGCTTAAAACAACAACAATTTATTCTCTTAGAGCTCAGGGGGCCAGATGCCTGAAATGCAGGTGAAGCAGGGTTGAGCTCCCTCCAAAAGCCCTAGAGGAGAATGCATTCCTTGTCTCTTTCACTTCTGGTGTCTATTGGCTTTCCTTGGCTTATGGCTGCATCTCTGCTCTGTGCTCACATTGCCTTCTCTTCTGTATGTGTGGTATTGAACTTCCCTCTGCCTCTCTTTCTCACATGTGATTGTATTTAGAGCCCACCCAGATAATTCAGACTAAGCTCCTCCTCTTAAGATATTTAACTTAATAACATCTTTCACCATACAAGGTGATATTCACAGATTTTAGGCATTAGACATGAACATATCTTTGAGGCCATCATTCAGTTCACTACAGGGACATACACAAGGATATTTATTTTTTAAATTCTATTAACAGCAAAAAACTAGAAACAGCACAAATGCCCCACCCACAAGATAATGCATAATGTATAATGTAATAAGAATATTATATAGCAGTATAGAGTCAATTTCATCTTCATCTATATCAGCACACATAGTTATCAAACACTTGTCATAAAGCAAGTTGCAGAATGACATATACAATATTATATCATTTATTTAATTTTTAAACAGGAATACATATATTTATTAGAAGTACGCAACATGAGCTAAATAGATATATACAAATATATGACAGTGTTGGAAACTGGGGAGCACCCATGGCATAGAAGATGGGAAGTAGAGCAAAGATGGTTCCATTAAAAGAGAAGCTTCTTTTATAATAATACACAAAAGACAAATTCCAAAATGTGAACAGTCCTTAATCTTGGGTTATAGGCACTGAAGTGTTTGTAATTCTATGCACATTTTAAATGATTTTTTAAATATTTTATAATTTTGTTTTTTATATTTAAAGATAGAAAATATTTTATGGTTATTCAGAAAACAGTATGAAGGATAAATTAGAATAGGCAGGAAATAGAGGGAAGGAAACCATTTAGAGACTACTACAAATAAGAAATAGAAAAGATGTATGAAGATTGGACCTAAGAAAGTGACCATGAAAACAGTGAGAAAAGGGTGATTATGAACAAAATTTACAAGGTAGACTCTTTAGGGCCTGTCTACTGAGTCAATGGGCACCAGGAGCGAGAGCGAGAAGGAAGATTCAAGGTGATGCCAAATTACTGACCTAAGAAACAGGTTGAATGGTGGCAGTGCAGTCACAGACAACTACTAATCTGCTTTCTGTCACAGTGAAATAGTTTCCATTTTCTAGCATTGTATATAAATGAAAGGCAGTAGGCACTATTTTTTTTTTTTGGTCTGGCTTCTTTCTCTCAGCACATTTATTTTAATATCCATCCCTGTTGTGTGTATAGCAACAGCTCATTCCTTTTTATTGCTGATTAGAATGGCAAGTTTCATTGACTGTCAGTCACCCTGGAGTGTCATTCCTGGCTGAGCCTCTCCCTGGCATGTGGACACTCAAGATTCATTCCCCCATCATCTGCCCACCTCCCTCCCACATCTGAATCTGCAGCTGTTTGCCTTCCCCAAATCCTCTTGTCACTGTTTGACGAGCAGTTACTGTTAGAGTGATTTCCTGGTGGGTTGCAAAATGTTACAATGTAACCAAGTATTAAATGAGCAAAATACTCTCCAAGGAATTGGAGGAGGTTGTCTTCAAAGTTGAATCTCAAAAATTCTGATTTTTCTACATTTCTGCTTAGTTCATCCTTCTAAAAAGACACCGTCATTTCTAATATGGACTCACTAAAGACATAAAGATGGCCAGTACAAGTAAGCTAAGACTACTGAATGAACACTCCAATTACCTTGTTTGAGGTTGGTCCCAAATTTATCTTTTGGTTGGCCTGCACGGATAATAAATAAATAAGCAAACAACAATAGAATAAATACCAGTGGCCTAAGTTCCACATCATTAGCATTTTGTGTTCCCAGAGCTACCATGTGGATCAGATTCAACTGGTATCCTGAGGGCTCCAGTGCTGCCTTAGAAAAATGATTAGTCTGGTGTACCAACCTCTGGGAAGTCTGCTATAGCCAGATTCCAGGAAATAGGCACTTTGACAGAGTCTTCAGCATGAATGCCCAAGGGAAGGAGAAGCTCTGAAAGAAAATTGTTTTAAATAGCTGCCTAATGATTGAGCGTCATGAAATGCTTTCACTTGGCAGGGCAAAATTGCACTACCTAGAAATGTCTGGGTGGCATTTAGAGTTGACAGACAGTAATGAGCGCTGGTTAAAAAAAAAAAAAAAGAGGTATTTTAGTGCTCTAGCAATTGCTAGACCTTCAGAAACACATCTCCCTTCTATATTTACACCTGCATTTTAAAAAGAAAAAAGAACAAAGAGAAGGAAAGAGAAAAAGGAAGGAAAGAAAAAAGGGAGAAAAGTATATCTATCATTTTATCCATTTCTAAAGACTCTTACATCAATTTAAAAGCTAACCATAATTGATCTTTTACTATGAACAATGTTTTGTGCTAAGTGCTTTACAAATATTAGCTAATTTCATCTTCACAACAACTGTTTAAGGCATACAACATTATTTCTCCCTTCTTACACATAAAGAAACTGAAGCTTGCCTGAGGTCATCATCTAATTGACAAGTCACGGTTCAAACCTAGGTGAGTCTAGCTTTAGAATTTGGGTTTCAATCACCGTATGGCATTGCTTCTCTTTCCTAACCTGGACTTAGTGATTGTGCAAACAGTGATGTCAACCATCTCAGCTTGCCTGGGTAGGGATGAAGAGAATTTCCTTCGCTCTTGCTTCTGAAGTTTAAATAATTTGAGTCTATAAAACAAACTAACAATAGGCAGATTCACAGGGAAAAAAAAGTGTACAAATTTTATTAATGTGCATATGGACACAGAAGCCACACACAAAGTATGAGACTCAATGGAAAGCCAGATGGCTGAAGGTTATATACCATACAGCAAGGAATAGAGGCTTGGGGCATGGCAAGACAAGTTATTGGAGGAAGAGGGGAGAAAAGGCATGGTGAGCAAAGGCTATCTTGTTATGCAGATAGAGCCCCATGGATAGCAGCCCTCGGAAAGAACAGACAGTATCCTGCTCTTATGTGGTAAAACTTTATCTGTCAGACCTTTTGAAGTGTCAGAACTTTAGTCCCTCTTTCCTGTGATTTAATCTTTCCTAGGTCTGGATAAGGGAGGCCTTATAAAACCCTGTTTGTGTCTGCTGTTAACTTCATTTCACTAATGTAGATTTCCTCTACAGATGCAAATCTCCCCGCCTCCCCAAAAGACAGCTTTTCAAAGCTTTTCCTGTGGTTTGCAGTTCCTGTGAATAGTCATATCAAAATATACCAAAGAAGTATATTTTGGAGTGGCATATTTTTGTTTCCTTTACCTGAGACCCACAGGACCTAAAGCGCTAAAACCTGGAAAGTCCCAGGCTAACAAGCATGAGTTAGTCATCCTCCAAGAATGCAAAAATATGAAAGAAACCTCTCTCTACTCAGTGATAAAGCTTCTCCAACTTAAGTGAAGGGACATTATAGTGTGCAAAGAGACCAGGCCCTAAAAGAACTGAGTCCTTGTCTCAATCTGCTTATAGCCAGCTCCAAGAGACCTTGACCAAGTCAGGTGACCTCTCTGGGCCTCAGCTCCTTCCTTCTTAAAATGATGAAGGTGGGTTAGATAAACAGGTCTCCACTTGGCTGTACATGAGAACCATGTGAGGAACTTTCAGTAAAGGCCGGTGCTCAGACCCCACCCCACCCCTGACCAATCAAATCCCAGAATATCTGGGGTTGGGGAACTGAATTTACTGCAGAGAACAAAGCATACATGTCCCACTTCTTAGAGCTAACAATTTAGTGGAGGAGCAAAAAGGCAAACTATGATTCATATACATATATATATATATATACACACACACACACACACACACACACACACACACATATATATGATCCTCCCTTCTATATTTATGCCTGTATTTAAAAAAAAAAAGAGAAAAGAACAAAGCAAAGAGAAGGAAAAAAGAAAAGGAAGGAAGTAAAAAAGGAAGAAAAGTGTTTCTAATCTGTTTGCCTGTTTCTAAAGACTCTTACATTAGTTTAAAAGCTAACACTAATTGATCTTTTAATATGAATATATATATATACACATGAATCATACACACACATATAATTTGTAGTAAGAGCTATTAAGGTGAAAATAATGTTATGAGAATTATGAAAAATTAATAAGGGGAACATAATTAAAGGGAGAGAGTCTGAGAAGGCTTCTGTGTGTGTCAGAAGAACAAAAAATTGCAGTTAGGCATACACATTACAGGGGAAAGAGCTTTCTAGTCAAACGGATATCTAACTTGGTTATCTGCTTCCGTATATGTCTACATACATACATACTTATACTATATGTACATGAATGAATGACTTACTTGAAGACTCATAGCCAGAACAGAGGGTGGAAAGGAGGGCGGAGAGTGGTGGGGAGAGCGGCACGCAGAGTGCCTGGGGAGGTCGGCAACAGCCAGACCATGTGGCAGACTTGAGGTTTTATCTTAAGTACAACAGCAATAGCAAGCCAGTGGAAGGTTTAGGCAGGGGAGTTACACTTTCAGATTTGTGTTTTTAAAAATTCACTTGTGCTTAAGTGTAGAGGATGGTTTGGATGGGGCATAAGGAAAAGAGAAGTTATAAAGTTATCGCAATAACATGAGTGAAGGTTTTGTTCCTTGATGATGCCAAATTTTAGCAGAATTCTGGGTACCTGCAGAGACTCACTGGAGTAAAGGAACAGGAAACAAATTTGATAGAATGCAAGCGGCATAACTCATGAAAAATCAGGAAATCGCTTTATACTGAATGTAGATGAGTGAGTGCCCTTGGCTTACTGCGTGCTATTCTCAGCTGCCCGAGTGTATTCTGTCCCTCATAAAAGCACACCGAGTTGCCCTCCCGCCATTCCTCTTCTCTCTCCCACTGTGTCTCTTCTTCCTTGTCATTGTTTATGTCTCTATTCCTAGGCTTAGGGTGGCATTCAACCTTGGAGCTCCCATTTTCTATCCTTGCAAGGGTTCCCTTTGTGCACTAAAGCATGGTTGGAGGAGCACACTAATTGTGCAGAGTTTGGCCACGCATTGATTTTTTAGCTTTTTGTCCCCTGGTGGGGTGGCTGGTCCCTTGGCCTCAGTCCATTTCCTAATGGATAGGTGTCAGCTTCACAAAACCATCACCTCGATTAGCACTAATTACCACCTTTCAGAGCCATCATCACCCAAAGGCTCTGGATTGAAAGGTCAGCAGGAAAATGAACTTCTACTCACACCTTCACGGGTGGTCCCTGGCTTCTGATCATGCAGAGGACAAGGGCTAATAGGGACAGACCTTTCCGCCTTTCTGCTCTTAGACCAAATGTTTCTTGAGAAGTCAGCCTTGGGACCCCAAGCCTCAGCTCATGAGATGACTGAACCCATGGCAAAGCACAGTCTTGTTAAACTTCCCTCCCTGTCCTGTCTCCCAGTGGCCTTGGGCTCTCCACACCCAGCCCTCACCCTCAGCCTCACACCATGCTGGTGAAGGAGGTGGCAGAAGCATGCCCACACTCCCTCTAGGTGTGTTTATGGTGCCCATATCCTCTTCCAGGCAGTGAGGGAGCTGTCACCCAAGGATAGGTAAAGAGAGCTCAGCATCAAATACAACTTGTCAGTATAGCAAGTCCATGAGCGTGTCTTTCCATTTAATCTTCACAGTACTTTGGTGGGGGACACAGTGCGAGCATCATTATCTGCCTCATTTTACAGATGAAAAGATAGAGGCCAGAGAGGTTGACAACTTGCACAAAATCCCACAGCCATTTCATGGTGGATTTGGGTCCCCAAACTAAACCATTAGGGGGTACAAATGAAGCCATGTATGCATGCCAAAGCATTTTAGAAACCAAAAAAATACTATACCAACATATAATATCTGTGTTAGTTTCTTGAGGCTGAAGTAGTAAATTACCACAAACTAGCTGGCTTAAAATAACAAATGTTTTCCCTCACAGTCCTGGAGCCTGGAAATCTGAAACACAGCAGGGCCATTCAGCCTCTGGGAGGTTTTGAGGGGCAATCTGCTCTTTGCCTCCTCCAGCTCCTGGTGGCTGTCACCATTTCTTTACTTGTGGCCTTATCACTTCCATCTCTGCTTCCAGGGCCACATTGCCACTTCCTCTTCTCTGTGTTCTTCTCTTCTTTCTGCCTCAAATATCCCTCTGCCCTTCTCTTAGAAGGATACTTCTCCTTGGATTTCAGGTCTACCTGTATAATCCAGGATGGTCTCCTCATCAAAAGATCCTTAATTTAATTATATCTGTAAAGATTCTTTTTCCAAATAAGGAAGGTCACATCCATAGGTCCCAGAGTTTACAGCATGGACGTATCTTTTGGAGGGCCGTGATTAAACCCACAACAGTATTTAAGGCTGCTGCTGGTGAGGGTGGTGGTGGTGATGCTGCCGTGGGGGTGGCAGGGCCCTGGCTCTATCCGCCAATCCATGCTACCCCCATCCTTCTAGTTCTAGTGATCAATGTGAGGCAAAATAGTGCGGTAGATAAGAACACAGACTGTGGAGCAGCCTGCTTACAATTCAAACCCTAGTTCCATCACCTGATGACTGCGTGACATTGAACAACTTTCTTAACCTCCCTGGATCTTAATTTCCTCCCCCGTAACATGAAGGTAACAGAACCCTCTCTCATAAGGCTGTTGCAAGGATCAAATGATTTAATTATGTGTAAAGTGCGTAGATCAGCGTCTACACTACAGAAATGCTAACTGTAATTATCCCTTGGCTGGCACCGGGACTAATGCTAAGTTCTCTCCCCTCGCCTGTTTATCATTAAATAATGACTTGGATAAACAAAGAATGAACTTTCTCCTCTAGAAGAGCACTCCTGAATCATTCATTAATTCCCAGGTATATTTTCTGAAACGCTCTAAATTCTTTGTAAAAGGGGGAAAAACATGAAATGCAATGGGAAGGGACCACTGCTTTAAAATCTTCCATTAGCTTCCCGTTTGATCCTGAAGGTTTGGAAGTCTTTTGAACCCATTATTCAATCTAAAATTTTGGTTAGTTTTGCAAGTACTTGAAAGAGTTCTGCAGGCTGATGAATAAAAAATCTAGTGTTTTATAGAAAGGACTAGGAGTTTGAGCAAAATGTTACCAAACAAGAATGATGTCAAATAGAGTGACCTTGTATAGCTGCAATCCGAACGAGTGACATCAGCTTGCCTGGGATAGGATTGAGTACTATTTTCTTTCTTTTCAGTTTTACCTTGCCTTAAACTCTGCTTTCCCTGGTATTTGTTCAATTGTTTCTATATCTCAACCAAAGACACAAATGTCTGTCCAACAGATTGAAGCCACAGTATCAGAAGATAAGTAAAGTTTGGTGATTTTTTACTCTTGAAATTAGGTTTAGTAAGACAAGCATTACATTTGGCAAGGACATTAATGTAGCCAAAAGAAAATGATGGAAAAACACCCATCCTGTCATCAAAAGAAATGTTGGCAGAACAGAAAAGCTGCCCACATGCAGCGGGTCACACCTGTAATCCCAGCACTTTGGGAGGCTGAGACGAGAGGATCACTTGAGACCAGGAGGTCAAGGCTGCAGTGAGCTATGATCCCACCACTGCACTCCAACCTGGGTGATAGAGTGAGACTGTGTCTCAAAAAAAAATAAGGAAAATAAATAAATAATAGAAAAGCTGGATGTAACTGGATGGATGTCAATTTATCCAATTTCAATAAATTTATTTTTTATAACTTTTAAATTGTAAAGGTAAAGTATATTCATTAAAGATTTTGAAAATTATGGAAAAGTACCCAAGGAACCCCTAAAAACCTAAAATAAAATATCACTATCCCATAATAACTGCTGCCAATATTTTTGTTTATTTCTTCCTATGTAAAATGCAGTTTTCTTTCTACAGCTGAAATCATGCTACCAAAGTTAGGAATGCCTCCTGTCTCTAGAAATGCAGTAGTTTTGGTGCTTTTTTTTTTTAATTATAACAAGATGATAACTTTTATTATAAAAGAGATGCAGCAAAAGAATCTCATTCTCCCTTGAGTTCTAGCTCAGTACAATGCTAAGTAATACTCAACTATTGTCAACACTAATGCTGTCCTCTGCCCAAAGACAGGACTATTCAACTATCCTACCAGATCTTTCACAGCTACTTCAAGTGAATGACACATATGTTGTCTTTTTCCTTTTTTTTTTTTTTTTTTTTTTTGAGAGAGTCTCACTCTGTCACCCAGGCTGCAGTGCAGTGGCATGATCTCGGCTCACTGCAACCTCCGCCTCCTGGGTTCAAGCAATTCTCCTGCCTCAACCTCCCAAGTAGCCAGTATCACAGGCATGTGCCACCATGCCTGGCTAATTTTTGTATTTTTAGTAGAGACAAGGTTTCACCATGTTGGTCAGGCTGGTCTTGAACTGCTGACCTCAAGTGATCCGCCAATCTCGGCCTCCCAAAGTGCTGGGATTACAGGCATGAGCCACCTTGCCCGGCTGGTTGTCTTCTACTTGCAGCTGAGCAGCAATATCAGAAAGCAGACACAGATAAGTTTTTCCAGGAGGGTAGAAAACATTTTTAATAGTCGTAGCTAAAATTCACTGAGGGCTCACTGTTCTAAATGCTTTGAATCTAGTAACTTAATTCTTCACAACAATCCTGGGAGGTGATTCACCCTCAATAGGTGGCAGAGCTGGGCTGAGAAGCCACAGCCTGGTTCTGTAGTCTGGGCATTTCATCACAACAGGGAAACAGCTCTGAAGCTGCCGACAGGGTGATTGCTGATGCTGCAGAACATTCTAGTGCTATAGTCAAACTGGAAGAGATGCCCAGCAAAAGATTTGAGAGTGAGTTAGAAATTCAGGTTCTATTCAAGTGTAAGATAAAATCATACTTAGAGAAAATGAGCTAGTTAATTACATTGAGTTAAGTGCTCAATTTTGTTTTAAAATTAGTATCTTCCATGGAAATGACATGACAATATTCCATAATGCTTAAGTTTACCTTTTTAATGGTTTTCGGTTGATAAAAGTATAATCAAGTCGAAATGCTTCTTAATTTTGCCTCAGCTCATTCCCCCGAGGGAAGGCCATTACCAGGCCATAGGCCATGACCCATAAGGGAGAGTCAAGGGGTGTAAAGGCCATGGACTGCAGATTCAAATTCCTGCTCCATCGTTTGCTAGGTAAGTTACTTACTAGGCACCTCTTTTGCATCCTTAATTTCTCAAATAGGGAAATGGAATTAAATCTCCTTTGCCATGTTTTTCTGAGGACTAAATAAGATATTGTATGTAAAGAGCCTGGCAACAGAAGTCACTTAAGAAATGGTAACTTCTTATCTGTGCCTCCTCATGGCAGTTTATTGAGTTCAAAGCGTAACACTCACAGGAGAAAGAATATCCTCATATTCCAACCTTGGAAATGCAAAATTGGTCATGACGGATGTGTAAGAGCAAGATGAATACACAGGGGAGAAGGAAATAGCACAGTCCCCTGCCCTAGCCTGGTGCCCCAGGCGTCCAGGCAGGGAGTGACACTGGGTCAGGTGGCTGGGAGTCAGCTGGCCTGCTGAGGTCCACTGGGGCCAGAGGAGAGAAGAGCAGCGAGGGGAAGACAGTCAGCTCCTTTCAAAGCCTCTCGCCCGGCCGGGTACAGTGGCTCACACCTGTAATCCCAGCACTTCAGGAGGCCGAGGCTGCCGGATCTCCTGAGGTCAGGAGTTCGAGACCAGCCTGACCAACATGGTGAAATCCTGTCTCTACTAAAAAAAATACAAAAATTAACTGGGCGCATAGTCCTAGCTGCTCAGGAGGCTGAGGCTGGAGAATCACTTGAACCCGGGTGGCAGAAGTTGCAGTGAGCCGAGAGCCCACCACTACACTCCAGCCTGGGCCACAGAGTGAGACTCTGTCTCAAAAAAAATGAATAAATAAAACCTCTGGTATTTCACAGGCCCACCATGAGTCTCCACTCTACAACCCCTGCATCCCTTGGTGATGCAAACAAAGACAGAATAGCTGGAAATATGGCTCCATTACATTATACTATTACAGATTAGAGGTCTGTAATCTGCAGATAGGCTGTAGGGTGGTTGACAATAAAGTACTTCCAATCCCCATAGAAACCTGCCTTTGATATCTCTCGTTTGAGGAGTCCAAACAGTCTTGAAAATAATAAACTCATTATTGCTCCCAATATTGCTAAAAAACAAAGAAAAGGAGAGGGAGAGAGAGAGACTCCTCCAGGGCCCCAGTTGGTGGACACAGTTATTGGGCTCTGTTGAGCACTAAAAGCCAAGGAGGGGCGCACACATTACAAGTGTACAAGGTGCTTGTGAGGGCAAAATTCACCTAACAACTAAATGGCAGAGATCAAGGAACAGTGAAGTAGTTGGGCTTTCCCTGAGAGTTAGGACTCCAGCAGGATGAGGGGAGGCTTGATTATTTTGTTTGTAAGCACTGCTTGAACTTTTCTGAGGGCTGTGGGGGCACATTTACCTGAGGACTTCCTGGGGACCTTCTGTGAGGAAAGCGATTAAAAGGATTAAAGCCCCAACACCTCTTCCCCGAGATTCAAAGTTACTGAAATTCACTGAGGTGAACTAAAGGTGAGTGGGTGACCACAGCCATACCCAAGCACAAGAAAGGCAAGGAAGCCCCTGAAAATCACCGTGAAGGAAGAATGTGACAGGACTAAAAAGAGAACAGCAGAGGAGCCTGTCCCCTAATGCAGGGGTCCCCAGCCCCAGCCCACGGACTGGTACCCGGTTCATGGCCTGTTAGGAACCCAACCCCACAGCAGGGGGTAAGTGGCAGGTGGGAGGGCATTACTGCCTGAGCTCCACCTCCTGTCAGATCAGCGCCAGCACTGGATTCTCAGAAAAGCAGGAACCCCATTGTGAACTGCGCATGCTAGAGGAATCTAGGTTGCACAGTCCTTATGAGAATCTAACTAATGCCTGATGATCTGAGGTGGAACAATTTCATGCCGAAACCACCCCTCCCACTCACACCCCACTCCCCCATCCGGGCAGTGTGTCTTCATGACTGTCAATGACTCTACGATGGTGTCACTGGGAGTCTGGCCCGTGTCTGTGGGAAGTCCTCCTGACTGCAAGTAGCACCTAAGTGGGTAGAGGGCCAGGCTGGGTGGGCATCCTGCTTTCCTTCTGAAGAACTATGAGCATCACTGAGGACCAGAAGCAGAGCTTGAGCCACACCACCTCCAGGAAGCCCTCTTAGCTATGCAAGGAGAGAATCTCTCCAGACCCTTGGATTTCAGCTGCTTCTGGCATCCATAGGAGCACCTGACAGCTGGTAAGAGTTAAAAAGTCCCTGCCTCAAGGGGCACCCCTAACAGAAGAGCTGGTTTTCCTGCTGGCTTGGATGGGAGTGGGCTTGAGAGTTGTATATTTGGAGGCCAACTGAGTGGCAGGTATTTCTATTCCCAAACTGCAAAATAGTTTAAACATGAAAGTCATTCACAGAGGAAGAGAGGGTGGCCATGGAATGGTTCGGAGCATGGTCTTTGTGGCCAGACACGCCTGAGTTTGAATTCCGTTTCTCCTACTTTCTAACAGCTGTGTGTCCTTGAGCAGATGGCTTCTACCTTCTCAGCTCCAGTTTCCTCATCTGTTATCATCCTCAAATGGGGATAATAACAATCCCTACATCATAGAGCTGTTATGAGAATTAAATGAGATAATGCATGTAAAGTATTTGGCACCTAGTGGGCCTCAATAGATGTTAGATTAAACAAACAAGCCAAAACCCAAATAGGCACCAGGGCAAGTTGTGTGTAAGCGACGGGGCCCCCTACACTTAGCGAGCACTCAGAGATCCTGCTGAGAAATGATGAGGAGTGATTTCTCACCGTAATGGAGAGAAAAAGGCAAGTAAGTTTGAGACAGGTCCAAAATAATCCCAAGAAGAATTCGCATGGTGCCTGAATTCAGCCAGGCATCCAGGATTCCTGATTCCAAAACAACTATGCTGTTTTTGGTGTAATTTTGGACCCTCCCTGGTGATTTTCAGTTTTGTACAAGAACAGTTTCTATTTTAGTTTATCTCCACTTGGTTTTTCTCCCCCTCCAATTCTCTCCTGAGGGTTCTATTTCCATTACTTCTTTACATCTTTTGATTTAAATTCTCATTTGAAAATAATTATATGTGCTATTATTCATCGAGTGTTTCTGTTAAACGTGCTTGCCCTCTCTAAGACATGGGAACGCGCTTCTCTGAAACAGCACAGAGGTGAAGCCCAGGCGAGGCCTCTAGGTTGGTGGTGGAAGGGACATAAAACTTCGTGTGTCAGGGATCTTCCTGACAGGCTTTACCAGGCCTGGGTCCAAGATGAAGCTGAGAAAAATGAAAAGGGATTTGGCTGACAAAGCAGATGACAGGCAGAGAGAGCCAGTAAAAGGGAATTGGCCAATGGCAAAAGGGGAATTGGCAAGGCTTTGTGAAACCCCTTGGTGGAAAACCATAAACCTCAGCTTGTCCGTCTGGCGCATCAGTCTTCACAGGCAAATCATTTTTGCCTGTGGAAGGTGCCTGCCAGGAAGCTGCCCCTCAGGGGGCGCCTTTGGAAAAGTGGATCGTGTCTGGCTGCGTGCCCAACCCTAAGTGCATGGGGATGAGAAGAAAATGCTCACAATGAGATCTCTGAGGGCTGGGAGATGGGGAGTGCTCCAGCGGCTGACACTCGTGAGTCACAGAACGATGGGAAAAAAGAAGTTGAGAAACAGAGGAAGAGGACGCGGGACGGGAGGAGGTGGGAAGCCGCTTTGTTTCTGCAGTCCGGGACTGTCAGGGCCTGCCTGTCTCCCTCTTTGACGGGTCCCACTTGGAATTACTCATCGACGCTTTCGAAACTCAAGCCTGTCTTCTTCCAGGTGAAGAACCCACTTGTCTGGGTCTCCCAAATGAGCACTTACATTGTGAAAACTCTCTTTCAGAAACCCTATCTGTGCTTGTGTGCATGACCTTGACAGAGGCTGAGCTGCTGCCTGGGGCACCGGACTGAGATCTGGGGGCTGGGGGTTGGCAAGGGCGTGGCCTCCTCTTCCGTGCCCTCCTAATGTCTGCTTTCTCTTGTCTGAGTGCTGTCTTTTGTCTCCAGGCCATCCAGATTTCTTCACTGGCTTCCTCCCACTCAAGTCTGGTTTCCCAGGGAGGGCCAGTTGATGACCTGTATTTTCACCATTTCCTCTACCAAGATTTGCCTGACATATATTTCCCTTTCATAGAAAATTGGCAGAAAAAAAAGTTTGTTAGAAAAATTCCTGAGGTGTTTAATAACTAGTCATAATTGAGGGCGATAGCCTCTATCAGAGGACAATGCCCTAATCTGGGGGATCCCTAACCTTTTCTCATGTCTGCACACAAAAAAGTCCCACGCCTATAATCCCGGCACTTTGGGAGGCCAAGGTGGGCTGATCACTTGAGGTCAGGAGTTCAAGACCAGTCTGAGCAATATGGTGAAACCCCATCTCTACTAAAAATACAAAAATTAGCCAGGCATGGTGGCACATGCCTGTAGTCCCAGCTACTTGGGTGGCTGAGGAATGAGAATTGCTTGAACCTGGGAGGCGGAGGTTGCAGGGAGCTGAGATCGTGCCATTGCCATCCAGCCTGGGCGACAGAGGAAGACTGTCTCAAAATAAATAAATAAATAAATAAAATAATCAGCATTTTACCACACACTGTGACAAATCAAAGTGAGAGACAATGAGGCCTAGCCCCAGCCACCACCCCACTTGGACCCCCAAGCCACACCGCAGAAGGCTGAAAGGATCCATATCTCCCAACATCTCTAACCCTGGTGTGCACATTGACTGGGAAGCTCCGTCTTAACCCAGTGGAGCTTTTGTTTTGTTTTTTGTTTGTTTGTTTGTTTTTAGTAGAGATAGGGTTTCACCATGTTGGCCATGCTGGTCAATTCCTGGCCTCAAGTGATCCGCCTGCCTGGGCCTCCCAAAGTGCGGGGATTACAGGTGTGAGCCACTGCTCCCGGCCACTGTGGTTTTTAAAATGTGCTTTGATGAGCCCTGGTAGTTTGCCCTTGTGCCTCAGAGGGAGTGGCCAGCTGGACCAATGGGTCGCCTATTTCAGCTACAGCATCTCTGCTTTTATCTATTTTATTTGTTAGATCACTGAAAGAAAGAATGTTGTGGCTTAAAGGGGTTAGAAAATTACTATCTTAAGTCCAACAAATAAAATCTTTAATGGCAGAAGCTCACTCAACCATGACAGGGTAGTGAGGGATGTATTCTGAGGACAGAGGGGTTTTCTGGTACCCTTCCACCGTATCATTCAGGAAATAGAGTCAACCACAGACAGACCTATGTTCGCCCTGTCAATAATCTGTGCACATGCTGCCTCACAGACCATAGGGGTTTTGTTTCTTTAAAAAGTCTGATCCTTGGGCAAGGCATAGTAGCTGATGCCTGTAATCCCAGAACTTTGGGAGGCTGAGACAGGACAATCGTTTGATCCCAAGAGTTCAACACCAGTCTGGGCAACATAGCAAGACCCAGTCTCTTAAAAAAAAAAAAAAAAAAAAGGTCCAATCCTTGAAAAATGATTATAAGTAAGTAAAATCAAGTAAGTAAATACCAGAGACCGCTAATGTCTTCGCTCAGTGAAACATAAACACAATCACCATCCTTGCCTTTGCTACCTTTCCTATTGTAATTGATTTATTTTTGCTATTTTTCAGAGGCCATACATCTGGGAAATCAAAGCTGCTGAAAGAAAGCCTAGCAAAACTAAGTACTGAGATATTTCACAAGATTGAGGCATTGGTTTATTTACTATTATTATTATGTTATTGTGTTGCTATTATTACATATATTTCTACACCACTTTGTTTCACAAAAGGCTTATAATGGGAAAGACTTATTGAATAGTGTTCCATAGAAGAGGTTTAATCTCAAAGTTCAGGTTATTTGGTATTTGCTGGGTGACACCATTTCAAAACTATCAAGGTTTAATGTGAAATTAATTTAAGATTTCAATGATCTGGTTTTCATTTTAAACCTTGTATTAAAATAAAGTATCAATCAGAGTTACAGCTTTGCGTGTGCATGTGTGTGCATGTATGCATGTTTAATTTCCATTCCACATTGTTCCATAAAGGATCTGAGGGCACAAGTACTATAACTTTGCAAGTTAGTGAGAATGCCTAAAATACTAGTAAAGGCTTATCTTTCAGCAGGGATTCACCAGTTGTTGTCTGCCATTTTTCCATTGATGAATAGAATTTTGATAATATGCCTTTTTAATATAATTTCAACTTTTATTTTAGATCCAAGGGGTACACGTGCAGGTTTGTTAGCTGGGTATATTGCATGATGCTGAAGTTTGGGGTATGACTGATCCCATCACCCAGGTACTAAGCATAATGCCCAATAGTTTTTCAACTCTTGCCCCCCTCCCTCCTCATTCTAGTAGCCTCCATTTTCTATTGTTGCCATCTTTAGTCTATGAATACCCAATATTTAGCTCCCACTTGTAAGTGAGAACATGCAGTATTTGGCTTTCTGCTCCTGCGTTGATAACACATTTGAAATATGCTTCTTCACCCTTAGATGTTTCACTACTAGAGTTTTATTACCTTTCAGCACAACAGAGGAGAGTGGAGATACAGACTTAGATAGAGGAGCAGACTCACTTCTGTGGCTCTTGCCACAAATTTTCTTTTGAAGGTTCTGAAAGCTCCGAATACAGTTATCTGATTTATTCTAGGTACACTTGGGCCAGTGAAATTCTAGGCTCTAAAATAGAAAGTTTTAGAAAGAGCTCAATGAAGCTTTATTTCTTGTACAATAAATCCATCTCAGCAAAGAGAGCCTGCCATTACATGGAACTCAGCATCTACTGAGGCAAGTAAGATTCACGCTCCTGAAGACAAAGCAGGAAGTCAGCTCATTAAGGCTGTTATCTTGCTTCTGACTCTATCTTGCTTTGTGCAGTCTTCACTGTCTCAAGTGCTATATTGTCTGTGTGGTATTTCATTTTAAAATTCTTCCGTTTGCTGCTGATTGGTTGGTTTAATAGAAAAATAAATAAATAAAATTTTTCAGTTGAGACATTGTGATGTAGTTGTATATACAAGTTAACTCTAATCTATCCTCCAAGAGGGGAGGCTAGAATTTAAAATACCCTGTTTGGGGGATCCAGCAGTTAACTACTGCTGGAGTTGGTTAACTCAAATGAAGCACCCTAGCCAGAGTCAACATCTTCTAAGATGGTCCACTTAGCATTTAAATATAATTAACTAAACCCATGCCAGGAGGCTTACTAACATAATGGATATTTAAAATAGTTTCTAATTGGTGAGGTGAGTAGTAATCAAACCAGATGGTTGGTTAGGGGTGTTATACCAGAAACTCTGCCCTTACCTGAATGAAGCATAAGCATTGGCAAGCCCAGCTTTCTGAATACAAATGGTGCAAGCTTGCAGTCTAGACCCCCAAGTTGCTTCTACGTCCTCCACTTCACACAGCACCCTGTACCTGACCCTGTACAAAACTGGACACACCTGCCATCAGAATATGCTTGTCCTAAATTCAACTAAGCCTTTTATGGGGAATGCTGAACAGACGACTCAAAGGTAAAAGAGGGCCCAAGGATAAAGACTGGGACTTTCCTAGCTACATGCCATGTTTAAGACTGTTTTTGAGACTTTTTGTGAATAAATGTCTAGGTATTGTCAGAATATTTTCTAAAACCTCTTTTCATTGTAATATGACTCCTGGTAGCCAGGTTGTGAAGGAAGGAATATACTGACTCCCCCAACACTTCCTCACTTCCGATGGTTGGAGCCTATTAATATTTACCAGGAAATTTTTATATTTGCCAAAACGATTGGCTTGGGTAGAATGCCATGCCATGCAAATTTCAAATTCATGTTTTCATATAGAGAATTAAGCTAAAGATGGTTAGCTTAAGGTTGTGGGGTTTTTCTTTGAATTTTGGGACTCCGATTGCATTCTGTAAATGTCCCTTAATGAAGGAACTATTTGGTGGGCCTTATACTTGTCCCTGAACACCCTTTAACTGTGACTTGTAGGATAATTTCTGAACCCATTTAAATTCTGGAAACCTGAGAGTTGCCTGTCTAAGCAGTAGCTGTGCTCCTTCTGTGGCATCTTCTTGTAAAATATTGGATTCTAAACTGGTTGCAGTGGAAACCCAGGGCCACTGAGGGAAGAGTGGAAGCCAGATAGAGTGTCCCCTCCTTCTGTGCTGGCTGGGACAGGCAATCTCAGCCCAGGGGTCGGGGAGAGGAACCGGGATTCATACCCGCAGGATTTTGTTTGAGATTTCATGCCTATCAAGTTCATCCTCAAAGAACCCAATGTCATTCTGATTTATTATTATTATTTGAATGAGAGTCAACCACCGACTAATTGTGTCTGGGATATGTCAGCCCCAAGCCTGCCTTAGGGCAAAAGGTTGGACAAGATAATTAGGACTGTGAGGAGGAATTGAGAGACTTCCTGTGGAAGTATCAGAGTAGAAGAAGCCAACACAAAAATCTGGCATCAGTAATGGTCTTTCTTTTATTCTCCTCTCAGGACGGTTTGGAACTTTGGGATCCTTGAAGGACCCCGTGGCCTAGCAGATGAGCACCCTGCCTGCGGCTGCAGGGCAATGTCACAGAGAACCCCTAGGGGGAAGCACTCAGGCACAAGTCTCAGTGAGATTCTCAGCGGCAGGGCTGTGCATGCATCCGGGGACACCATCTCCTGTTTCTCACATAAAGATTACGGCACAGGCAAAGATAAGGAACATTTTCCTAACAGTAAGAAGGCTTTGAATCCAAGAAAGCAACAAACCAGAGCAGACTCATTTGAAACATGAACAGAGTGATGTGGCCAAAGGAATCCAAGCCAGGTTTCACCAGGTTCCTATTGTGAACACACTGGATGTTTATATGAGAATCCCAGTGTATAGCAATCATAACTAGATAATAATTATGCTTAAGATTTGGTCCTCTTTCCATATATGGATTCAGTCCTTTTCTGTCATTTTGTCATTTTCATGGAATCTGGAGTTACGGAACCATCCAATGTTTATTACAGAGAATGACCACCCATAAGCCTCTCCATGCTTATGGAAGCAACAGTTCTGGGGCCGCTGGCTGCATATTCCTTCCAGGTGTTTATTTCTGGGTCTACATCATGTCCCTCACTCATCAATTTAACTCTATCCAGAGAATTCCTCTATGGTCTTCATCAGATTAGGAAGTAAATCATCAGTCACTTCAAATATTTCAAGCTTGGTTTTCTTTGACATAAATCAGTTCTCCTGACTACAATTCCTGGAAAATATTGTAGAGCCCAGCAGCATTGCAGTATTTCAACCTTCATTTGAGTTGCCTGTGACCCAGATGTGAGCTAGTGCTTCCACAGTCTCAGATGTCTGGGTGAATCCACCAATTCTACACCTGTGAACATCCCTGCCTTTGATTCTTTCTAATTGTCAGGAAACTTGCACTCATAATCCCTCCTGCCTCTGGCTCCTGGGTCCATATGTACTGGCTCTGTATCAGCCTCTCTCAACCCAGGTGTAATACTCAGCCCTTTGTCATTTTATACAAAACAATTCACACTTTAAGCATTTCTTGAGTAATACTTTGTACAAGTAATACCTTGGGATGCAGAGTGAGAGTATGTGGGTGGGTCATGTTACATAGTTCCAGGCTTCCCAAGGTCCTCTACCTCTAGGCTCTCTGTCCTGTCCTCTCTTCCTTCCTTATTTTCCCTGGGAGCTCCATGACCTTCTCCCTCTATCAGACAAATTAGCCCAGTTCCCCTTAGCTCCTACCGCTAAGTGTCCATCAAGGCCCTCAGCGAAACAAAGTGTGTTCTGTTTAACAAAATCTATGTTCCTTAGAACATAGCTAGAATATAAATAACAACAAAAGTTCAGGTGCATATATATATTAGTTGATGAAATCAAGTATAAATCTCTGCCTCCATTGAAAGATAGCACAATGTTTTAGAGAAGGAACTGAATTAGGAATCAGTCTATTCGAATTTGAGGCCCAGCAGCACCCTTCACTAGACAGGTGAAAAAGCCAGCAATTCATTTTCGGTCTCAGTTCATCATCTGAAGAGTGAAAATGTTACAAATATTTTGAATCATTATGCTGATTAAAGGAAATAACTTATTCACATGCACTCTGAAACATTAGAGCAGCGTTTCTCAGGACTTTTTTAGTTTTACCATGACTGAGAGTGCTGCTGGCACTTTGGAGGAGGTGCTGGGGATGCGAGGTGGCTGCCAATGTGGAAAAATTGTATATAACACAGTACTGCCTAATTATCAATAACATACCCATTGAGAAATGCTACATCTGAACACAGTATAAATGAAAGGTACGTTACTTCTGACCTTCCATCTTTTACACAAAATGCTGATGAATTTCTTCATGGTGTAGATAATTCTTTTAAACAATTTTCCTCATTCTGGATTATTTTAGCCCAATCTTTGTTCCAAGGTGATAGTTTCTCTGCCTTCCAATGATGCTGCCAACATTTTAATTGCAATCTTGAGCTTCCTTCTATACAGAGTGCTTCCATTTAGGGTATCTTTGTTTGATCTCTCAGTTGAAACTACATTTTACCCTCCAGAAAACAAAAAGAAGAAAGACAAATTATGGGTAAAGGCTGAGAGAATTTTCCACGTGGTGAAGGCAAGCAGTATGAGGAAGCAGGTGAGCTAAGTACCCACGGGGCAGCTATTCGGGCCAGTAGTTGTTTTCCCAAGGCCAGCGTCACCTGGTGTAAACAGCTGGTGGGCTTTTAATCAGGCTTCAAATCTCTTTCCCACCTCTCCTCTTCTGATTGCAATAAGCAATGTAGCCCTAACTAGGGCCCAGACTTCCAGACTGCAGACTTCCAGGAGCAACACAGTTCTATCCCCATTCTGTGACTTGCCATCTGCCCATGAAGCCTTGAGAGGGTCCATCATCTGCAGGCCTGACTCCTGATTTGCTCTCTTGGCTGTGGTGAAGCACTGTGGTCACCCACATACACTCTCCCTTTATCCTCAGGCAAGGACTCAGGGCTGCTACTCCTACCACAGAGGTAGATGGACCCCATGAGGTGGGTTTGGGGGAGGATTAGCATGTACTTTCTTTGGGCCAAGAGCCAAATGAGCATTTACACTCATCTTACCAACACTACATCCTTAGGGTTTAGAGAGCTGTTTTGAAATGCTTGATACAGTGAGGGTGCTCAGAGATATTTCATCACTTATATAAGAGGGGGGACCCCTGCCTCTATAGGCTTATGGAGGAATGTGATTCAGATGAGAGTAGGAGGGCCTAACTGGCTGGGAAGGTATGGAATCTGTAAGCCAGTTATACTCCTATTTCCAGTCAACAGGCTGAACCCATAAGTTTTTGTTTTTAGATGATATCTCTGATTATTTTGACAATGTCACTTCTCTGAAACTTTCAATGACTCTCTCTGCTGATAGAAAAATTCCAATTTCCTTAGCCTTTCATTGAATCTATCCATAATTTGGGTCCAACCTACTTTTCTAGTCTTCTATTTTGTAACTCCCCTCGCAAATCTTACACCCCAGCAGTTTTGAATTAAAACAAAACAAAACAAACTTTTTCTTCCCTGAAAACAGGTCCTCCAGCTGGTCCTACTATTAGTTAATGAGCAAAATGACCCTGGCAAATCATTAACGTCTCAAAATCCCAGCAGCCTAGCTTTTAAAATCCAGTGGCAAGACCTTGGCTGATGAATTTTTCACAAGTTGCCCAGGTGAATCTAACACATCAAACATCTGGACCTAAAGCCCTCTTCAACTATGATTTTCCCACACATTCCCCAAGCACTGCAATTCTCTGTCTCCACGTGCTTATCAAAGTATCTTTTCCTGGAATGCTTCACTTTCTCTCTGCTTAACCCTGTAAACTCAGGTGCATACACACATGCACACCTGTGCACATACACACACGCCAAGGCCCTTCAAGATCAGCTCCAACACTGCCCTCTCCAGAAGGTCTTGCCTAAGGTTGGAGCTCACCTTTCAATGCCCTCTTTCTTCAAACAGCTTTAAATAGCATTTATCACGATTATTCCTTGGTGGGTCTTAGCTCACCACCGGTAGACTGAAACTTGTTGAGAGTATTCCTTCTTGCTCACCTTTCATTTTCCACATTAATCGTGAAAGTAGCTTGTGAGAGTTGGTTGAATTGAGTTAAATTAACCTGACATGAATTAATTGAGAGACATCTTGCTGAAGGTGACAAGTTGGAGGCTCTTGGGAGGATTATAGATAAGGGTGGAGGGCTTGTGTCTCCTGACCTATGTCTCTGCCTATCGTGGAACTCTTACCAGGCACATCCCCTATCTGTCTCTATCCACATGTGATTGTGGACTCAAAATCAAAAGAAGGGCTGCAGCTGTTTTTTGTCAAAATCGGACAATTTTATATCTGTAATCTTGCAGCCAGAGCGGTTGAGCTGATATATTTCATGACTCACTCTAGACAGATTAAAGTCTGTCCCTGAGAAACGAGGAGGGGGAACCATTAATCTTTCCTAAAATAAACAGAGAGTTATAACAGCTCTTTAATCTGAAAAGTGGAGATCCTGAGCTGGAACACAGCACCCAAGGGCGCGCCAAATTCCACGATGAGTAAAGAGTGCCCAGATAATAATTGATTGTGGGATCCTCTTCCCTGTGGTCCCTGAGGGGCGTTCACAGTGTCGCCAGCATTTAAAGAGGCTTTGGCAAAGTATCTGTCCCAGCTCCATATGAAAGAAAGACTTGTCATCATCTGAACCCTTTGGGACACTTGCTTTGCTAAGCTTGCATGGAAGCTTTGGGGTGCCTATGCAATTAGCATTTCACTCTTGGTGGCCTACCACTGTGTCCCATCCATGCGTCTCCCACCCAGCCACCCCCATCCACAGGAGTTCTTGCTTCTCCCCAGGCATGGCAGAGTTTCTCCTCTACTTTCCCAGTACTCCCTCACTAAACCCTGAAATTTGGCCAATTCCGCCTTCAGGGTCATCAAGCATCACCTTTCTTTATGCCAGTGAGGCTCAACAGTCTCTCTCCACTGCATCCTGCTCCACCTCCCAGGACACAGCAACCAGTGGATTCCCTTTCCTTCCTTGGTTTCCAACCTGATTCTCCTTTGCTTCTCCCTCTGACCTTCTCTGATGCCTCTTCCTTGTCTGTCATTTAATTATCAGTATCCCCAAACTTCTTCCTCAAGTCAGCCTCTCTTCTCCCTCTACATTCTCTTTCTTGACAATGTCATTTATTCCCACAGAACCTCAATGACAAAGACTCTCAAACAAATTACCTGTTCCCAAGCTACAGACTCATTCTTTGAATGGCCTGATAGACATCATTTGGACATTTTACTGGTATCTCACACTTACCATTTCCAAATCTAATGGATTATCTGTGATTCACCCCACCTCCAGCCCCTCTTCAAATAAGCTCTAGTGCCTATTTTCCTTATTTCCTACAGTAGCACACAATTACTCAGTCACTTTATACTTTAACTCATGGAGCATGTACAGCTCTTAGGTTCTTCTCCATTCCTCTCTCTGACATGCCTCTGTTTACCAAATTCTTAGAGTACAGTCCTATAGATTCTGTGTCTAAATTGTTTCTGGTAAGTATTTTCTCCTGTCCACATTCATGACCATAACTCAGGCTCTTACTATTTTTTGTCTCATAATAGCTTTGTTACTGGTTGTCCTGCTTCAAACATTGTTCAGTTTATCATATTCTTGCAGAAGAATTTTTCTAAACCACAGACAGGAACATATTCCACTGCACAACTTTCAAAGACTGAGTACTCCCCATTGCCTGCTGATTGTATCAGAAAATCTTCAGCCCAGAATCTAATGCCCTCCATAATATGACTCCCACCTACTTTTCCAATCTCATTTCCCACCAGAGTCAAGTGTGACTACTCACTGTCCCATGTAAACACGCCAACTTGCATGCCTTACTGCCTTTGCACCATTCTCTCATTCTGCACTGCCCCAAATATCCCTTTTCTGCCACCTAAGTCTTTCTGTGACGATCTTACCAAGGATCAAGGCCATCTCCAAGCCACCTCTTTCCTGAAACCTTTCCTAATCTCTCCAATGTTGGAGAGCACTCTTCCTTTCAGCCCATGCCGTACTTTTCTGTGATTTCCTTCCTTCCTTCCTCCCTTCCTTCCCTCCTTTCTTTTTCTTTCTTTCTTTTTTTGACAGTCTTAGCCTGTCGCCCAAGCTGAAGTACAGTGGCGCAATCTCAGCTTGCTGCAACCTCTGCCTCCCAGGTTCAAGCGATTCTCATGCCTCAGACTCCCAAACAGCTGGAATTACAGGGGTATGCCACCATGCCCAGCTAATTTTTGTATTTTTAGTAGAGACAGGGTTTCACCATGTTGGCCAGACTGGTCTCAAACTCCTGACCTCAAGTGATCTTCCCACCTCGGCCTCTCTAAGTGCTGGGATTAAAAGCGTGAGCCACTGTGCCTGGCCCCTTTCTGTGATTTTTCATTGTAATTTATGTGCTCTTATTTTATTCCCTTCATTAAGTGGATAGTTATCAACCTTTTTCACCCTTATGAAGGATGACAATCATACTTTTTTTTTTTTTTTTTTTTTGAGACGGTGTCTCGCTCTGTTGCCCAGGCTGGAGTGCGGTGGTGCAATCTTGGCTCACTGCAAGCTCCGCCTCCTGGGTTCACACCATTCTCCTGCCTCAGCCTCCCGAGTACCTGGGACTACAGGCGCCCACCACCATGCCCAGCTAATTTTTTTGTATTTTTAGTAGAAACAGGGTTTCACTGTGTTAGCCAGGATGGTCTCGATCTCCTGACCTCGTGATCTGCCCCCTCGCCTCCCAAAGTGCTGGGATTACAGGCGTGAGCCACCTCGCCCAGCCGACAATCATATTCTCTATACATGCTTGTGTCAGGGTCCAGCAAAAAAGCTGTAACTTAATCCTTTTCTATCCCAATCAAAAAGCATATCAAAAGGCAAGATGGGGATATGCTTAAATCTATTTTATTTACATAAAAGGCACATGCACTGGAAAGGGTTAACTCAGAATCCCTAAGTTGCTCAAACTCTTCACATTCCAAAAGAAAGCCTCTCTTCAGGACTGACCCTTGGCTTGGGCAAAACCTCTGAGCTCTTAGAATATTCTGCATGATAAGAGTGTTTTTTGTATGCCTGAGGCCTTGGGCCAGGCTGTACCAGTATAACCAGATAAGTTTATGCTAAAAATGTGATTTTTGATAAATGCCTGTTTTTGCTCTGGGGAGCTAGAGACTGAGTAGCTGAGGTCAGTCACATGGGTGCTGAATGCCTATGTAGCGGAACCCCAGTTAAAAAACCCTAGATACCAAGGCTGGGGAGCTTCCCTGATTGGCAGTACTTCATGTGTGTTTTCACACATCATTGCTGGGAAATTAAGTATGGCCCCTATATGACTCCACTGGGAGGGGACATCTGGAGGTTTGTTCCTAGTTTCTCCTGGACTTTGCCCTATGTGCCTTGCCCTTTGCTGATTTCAATCTGTAAACTTTCACTTTAATAAAACATAACTATGAGTATAGCAGTTTCTGAGTCTTGTGAGTCCTTCTAAGAAATCACTGAAGCCTGAGGGTGGTCTTGAGGTCCCCTGACACAGCACATCATTCACAAACTTCAAAACTTTAGGTTGTAAATTGCTAGTGACTAACTTCACAACTGATTACAACCTACCACCAAGTCCTAACACATGGATTGTCCTTTGCGGTGAGAAGGAATATGTCTTTTTTATCTTTTCATCCCCTGCTATGCTTTGCACAGAGACTGGCCTTCAGTAGGTGCTCAGTTAACATTCAATTGCAAACATTAGAATCAAGATCTTGACCAAATATTAGAAAACACCTCTCAGCCAGGTGTGGTGGCTCATGCCTGTAATCCCAGCACTTTGGGAGGCTGAGGCAGGCAGATCACTTGAAGCTAGGAGTTCAAGACCAGCCTGGCCAACATGGCGAAACTCCATCTCTACTAAAAATGCAGAAAATTAGCCAGGCGTGGTGGTGCATGCCTGTAATCCCAGCTACTTGGGAAGCTGAGGCACGAGAATCGCTTGAACCAGGGAGGCAGAGGTTTCAGTGAGCTGAGATCCTGCCACTGCACTCCATCCTGAGGGACAGAGTGGAAAAAAAGAAAAAGAAAATATCTCTCAAGTTTGGGTATCATCTACAAACCCAAGATGCACCATGTAAGGCTAAGCTGTGGTAACAGAGAGACCCAAACATACGATGGCTTAAATAAGTCAGGTATTTGTTTTTCTCATCAACAAGTCTTGGGGGAATGGTCTAGGTTGGTGGGCAGTTTTTTCCCATGTGTTCATTCAGGAACTCGAGTTCCTTCCTTGTGTTACTCAGTCATCTCTAAGAGCAGAAATCAGCAGACTACAGCCTGCAGGTCAAATCTGTAGTGCCACCTGCTCTTGTAAGTGAAGTGCTGTTGGAACACAGCCATGCTCACTTGTTTATGTGTTGTCTATGGCTGCTTTTGTGCTCCAACGACAGACTGGAGTAGTTGTGACAGAGACTCTATGGCCCACAAAGTCTAAAATATTAACTATCTGGTACATTATATTAAAAGTGTGGTAAGCCTACAGGAAAAAGGAAGAGGGATAGAAGATATACATCAAATATTTTAAAGCCAAAGCATAAAAGTGACAGGTATCACCCTCACTCATATCTCCATGGACCAAGGCTAGTCATATGATTTCACATAGCTGCAAGAGAGGCTAGACACTGTAGTCTTTAGCACGGGAGTCAACAAACTTTTTCTGTAAAGGGCCAGAGAGTCAATATTTTCAGCTTTGAAGGCTGTGTGGTCTCTGTCACAATTATCCAGCTCTGTCACTGTAGTGTGAAAGCAGCTATAGACAATGTACAAATAAATGAGTGTCACTGTGATCCAAGAAAAGTGTGTTTACAAAAAAAGCAGTGGGCCGGATTTAGCCCACAGGCCATAGTTTTCCAACCTATGCGCTAGCTTGATGGCCATGTGTCTATCTTAAACTCTGGGGGTTTCTGTCATTAAAAGGAAGAAGAAGAGAATGGCTATGGGGCAGGGGGCAAGGGATATCAGCCTCTGATACAAATACTTTTTGTTCCCAGGCAAATTTTGAAAACAGATAATCCCATTCTTGATTTATTTGTTGGTATATTGCATGCTGACTCTAGTTGCAGAAGGCATATGTGTTGGAAAAAGTTATCCATTTACCATTTTTAAGAAATGATCTCCACTGGGCCTGAGTTCAACTCCATACTAAAGAAACCTGAAGCCTCTCCATTCAGTGTTCCCAGCAGTCTTCACTGATTCCTTCTGTTTTACTAATTAAAATCCATGTAACCCACGGTATAACTTTGCTGGGTATGGTTGATTGACACTCTCCATTCACTCCACCTCTTTCTATGTACTTTTCTGTACTGCAGTCTGGAAAGCTAAAATCTGCATTTCCCAGACTCTCTTGGATCTAGGGTTCTGGATGCACTTAGGCAAGACCTAAACCACAGCAGTAAGACAGCAGCTATCTCCCTGCTGCTACATCTGTGGACAAGCAGGTCATGAAAATGTGTCAGAGCAGTGGTGGCAGCTGGATTCCTGATTCTGTGATTTTATCATCAGCTTTGAAAGTATGAGGAGGCAGCTGTGGCTGCCATACTGGGACCAGGAAGCCAGGATCAGGAAGCTGCTGCTGGCCCTGGCACAGGCAGAGGCCACCTCAGCAGACAGCCACATCACTGCTAGAGAGGCAGCCAGGAACATTCCAGGTGGGAACTCCAGGATTCAAGGAGAGAAGTCACCACGGAAAAATTACCAATTTGCAGGACGATAAGTAGGCTTTCTTCCATGAGTACATTTCCTGGCCACAAAAAGACAATCATGGTTTTATCTTGGCTTTATATATAAGAATATGTAAGTAGAGTAGTTTGCTTCTGCTGAAGTTCTGACCATATGCCTCACCCTCAGGTCATCATCAGATGCCAGTTGTATATGTTTAGGGATGTCACATAACATCTCTGGGCTTCAGTTTCTTAATCTGCCAAATAACAGCATATGATGAGATGACTTTTCCAAAGACATGTTCTGTTCTAAAATCCTGTGAGCTATTAGTGTAATTAAAAACAGATATCTGCTACATCCTTTTTTGCCCTGAAGGACTGAGCCAGCCACAGATTCATTTCAGTGCTATTAGTGACTGTTATTGCTGAACTGCAGGCCTCTCAAAATTCGTATGTTGAAGCCCCCACCCCCAGGGCCTCAGAATGTGACTGTATTTGGACACAGGGCCTTTACAGAGGTATTAAATTAAAATGAGGTAAATATGGTGGGCCTTAATCCAATACAACCGGTGTCCCCACAAGAAGAGGAGATTAGAAAACAGAGAGACGATCATGTGAAGGCAGAGGGAGAAGCCACCCATCCACAAGCCACGAGAGGAGACTCAGGAGAAACCAAACCTGCCAACACCTTGATCTCAGACTTCTAGCCTCCAGAGTCATGAGAAAATAAAGTCCTGTCTTTTAAGCTACCCAGTGTATAGTATTTTGTTAGGGCAGCCCCAGCAAACTAATACAGTGATATCAAAATAAAACTTTCCAGAAAGCTTTCTGACAGCAAGAGAAAAAAGGACTAAGAAATTTCGCCAGCCAAGATATTCACTATACAATTAATGACCAGGAATGTAGCTAAATGTCCACAGGTAGGAGGCAGAATATCTTACCAGAGAAAGTGGAGACAAATACTGGACAACATTTCCATTTAGTAATAGAAAATGTTGTTAGCTCTATAGAGTATATGTAAAAGGTCCCCTGATGTTAAAGAATTGTTGGGATATCAGAAATAATGGCACAGTCAAAAAATCTAGAGCTCAGAGAATATGTACATTTTCTGCGAGAAAAATGACAATCACTTTATTGGCTATAATTTGAGATGTAGTCTAAGTTACTCTGGTCACTGCTTCCCAAATGTGTTGAGTTCCTCCCTGGGCTTTCCACTGGGTAAGTGAATGACCAGCTCATTGTTTTTGCCCTCTTTAAACATTGCTACCAGCCACTCTCCTCTCAGAGCCTCCCAAGTCTGACAAATATGAGCACCAAGAGGAAAGGAGAAGGGTCTGATTTCTGTTCATGCTATGACCCACTTGGTTCTCTGCATCTGCAGTCCAGCAGTTAGTTCCACACCTGGGACCATTTGGATTCCACTTGCAGGCCTGGCACTGCCTCCCCTCATAAGCTCATTTTAAGCCCAGGTGGATGTAACTTTGTTGATTCAGCATGAAATAAGCTTTGGCCCACCTGGCTTAGATACTGAGCTTCTGAGAGTACAATGACCTGCAAAAGGGTGCCCACACATACATAGTGGTATGCTGATTTCCAGGTCCATTCCACTATCCTAGGGATTCTCAGCTTTTTTCATATTGTGAGACATCACTGTGGGGCAGGAATGACCTAAAGGTTCCAGCCATCTAGGACCTGCCTGTGTTCCCCAAGGGTTGAGAGGATCAATTACTTGGACACGCCTGTTACCCAGTCCTACGGAAGCACACAAGCTGGGAGCTATGATGCTCTACTCCACTGCAACCATTAATGGCACTAAGTAGAACTAAGACTATACCTTATTGTCTACACCAGGGGTCTCCATCTCCCAGGCCTTGGACCAGTATTGGAACCAGGCTGCACAGTAGGAGGTGAGCAGTGGGGGAGTGAGCATTACCACTGAGCTCTGCCTCTTGTCAGATCAGCTGCAGCATTCAATTCTCATAGGAGCGCAAACCCTACTGTGAACTACGCATGCGAGAGATCTAGGTTGTGTGCTCCTTATGAGAATCTAACTAATGCCTGATGATCTGAGGTGGAAGAGTTTCATCCCAAAACCATTCCTTGCCCACCCTTTCCATGGAAACATTATCTTCCATGAAACTGGTCCCTGGTGCCAAAAAGGTTGGGGACCACTGGTCTACACTATAGTAGTACTTGAGGGTGACCATGAGATGCCTACTAAGAACTTAGAAAGAGTGAAATGATATTGCTTTCTACACATTAAACAGCGAGAGCAGTTTATATTAGGCTGTAATAAGAATATACAAATCACTTTAAAAAGACAGCATGTTACCCGGGAAGCACTGTTGATTATAACTTGATTAAAAGCATAGAAAATGTAAAGATAGCATGAACCATCATCATCAAGATCTAGAAAATGGGAGGGTGAATATTGGCTGAGACTGTTCAGGTGTTCAGGGACATGGAGCTTTAGCTGCTAGGCTCCAATTTCTCCCTTTTTCCAGACCATCCTGATGGCAGGATGGATACATCCAGCCATCTCATCCTGATGCTATTATACACATATATCTAAATCTCCTCATCTTGATTCCATGCACACAAAGCATCCTTCTCATTTTAGTTTTGCCTTCCATGTAAGTCTGCCTTGGGAAGGGGAGTGAGGGAATGTACTACTTGCAGGGACTTTCAAGAGTTCTGGTCCCCAAGATGGGGATGTCTCCTGATAAATCAGAGAGATGACTTCCGATTACAACTTGGGTTACCATGAAGATTTTTACAGGGAGAAAATTTTCTGGAACAGGCCAAGAGGAGCTTTCCTGTCCATGTGACGGCTATAGATTTCATGCAGATTAATTGTTTGACATTCTTAAATCTCATGCAAACTAATGTTTATTTTTATTGGCATGGATAACTTACCACCTGATCACCAGCCACTGCCAATGATGAGAATCTGAGTATTTGAAGAAGTGAGCGGACCCTCACATGATGGAACTTAATGAGGGCCTATAAAATGTGGCCATGCCCAGCTGCAGTGGGTACTTCCTTGGGCCGTACCACCACTATTTCCATCTCTGTTCTGTCTCCCAGTTTCTGTATAACTCGTGTCTATTTCAGAAGTAATATATAATCTTGAAGCAAGTGATTGTGCTGGGTGATTCTGATCTCCAAGTTCAGATGACTTTGAAAGAATTATATTTATTTATTCAACAAACCTAGTTTACCCCCAGATCTCCATAGCCAGATAAAAAGACAAAATGAGAATTTTTTCCTTGTGACACTGTGCTTTGTGAGCTATTTATCTAGCACTAGAAAACTGACCTTTTTTGTTTGTTTGTTTTTGAACTCCAGCAATTCCACATCCTCTGAGGCTGTGCTCCTCAAACTTAATGTGCATATGAGTCATTTGGAGATCTTTGTTAAAGTGCAGGTTCTGATATAGTGGGTCTGGACTGGGGCCTAAGATTTCATATTTTTAAAAGTTCCCTGGTGATGCCAGTACAGCTGGTAGACCACACTTTGAGTAACAAGGTTCTGGGGAAAATGTATAGGTAAACCAGCTAGTAGTTACATGGAGGTATTGAAGAGGCAGAAATCGAGGCCCCTGGCCCTCTGCAAAGTACTAACCCCAATATCTGTCATTCAGCCATTATAGTTTTATGCCTTTGTCTCCAGGAATTATTTGTTAAAATGCAAGTATTCATTGATGAAACCATGCATTAAGTCCAGCTAATACCATGATCTTCAGTGGTACCTTAGCAGAGATCCTGGGCTATCAGGAAGGTTGCAGTATGGCATTTCAGAAAGAAATGCTATTCAACAATAAGGAATATTAGATAAGAATGCTTTTAGTTGCAATTAACAGAAATCCAAATTACGAGTGATTTAAGCAATGAATACATTTACTCATCTCACCTAGTAAGAAGTCTAGCAGTTCAGGACTCTGTCATATCATATCATCTAGGTTCATTACACCCTTGATTCTCCATCTTTGGTTCTTGGCTTTTTATCCTTGTGCTTATTGCCTCGTGGCCCCAAAATGGCTGCTGTGGTTTCAAGCATCACTTCTACGTTGAAAATGGAAGGAAAAGAAAGTATTAAATAGCATTGCAAGCCACGCGTCTGTCTTTTAACAAGAAAGTGAAATCCTTAGCAGAAGATTCAAGCAGACTTCTCCTTGCATCTGATTGGTTGGAACTGGATCCCTTGCCTTCCCTTAAACCAGTCACTGGCAAAGGGGAATGAGATTGCCTTGGGCTTAAAGTAATGATGACTCATTCTCTGGAAGTTAGGAGAGGGACTTGCCCTTCCCAATAGGAAGAAAAATCCACCTATTACAAAATCAGGGAGTGAAACACGGGGCAAATGCCAGTGAGTAGGCCATGAACATTGCCTGCCCCAGGAAGAAACCAGTTCCTACTTGTAGAGAAGGCAGCAGAATGCCAAAGCCCAATTTCACCTATGCCACAGTGCAGCCAAGTCCAGCCCTTCCACCCACCCCCTGGTACCTCCCCATGATTTCTTCACTTTACAACAGGAACAGTAATTTGATGTTTACTTTGAGCTCAGGAAGGCTGTGGGGGGCACAGAATGTGCAGTGGGCATTGTCAGAAGAATGATCTGAGGTGTTGAGAGAGAGGCAGAGATGTAGAGAAAGGTGCTCAGAAGCAATGGGTAATAAAGCAAAGTGTTTAATATAAACATTATTTCATTTAAATCTCAAAACAATCCTATGAAGTAGGGTCCTTTTCCACAGTTTATGGATCAGAATGCAGGGAGACTAAGTTTTGCCCAAATTCACATCATTTGTTCAGTATGTCCTCACCTAATGTCACCAATAGGTTCTTAGAAATTGGGACAGGGGCCAGGCACAGTGGCTCATGCCTGTAATCCCAGCACTTTAGGAGGCCAAGGCGGGTGAATCACCTGAGGTCAGGAGTTTGAGACCAGCCTGCCCAACATGGTGAAACCCCATCTCTACTAAAAATACAAAAATTAGCTGGGCATGGTGGCGGGTGCTACTCAGGAGGCTGAGGCAGGAGAATCACTTGACCCTGGAGGCGGAGGTTGCAGTGAGCCAAGATTGTGCCACTGCACTCCAGCCTGGGCAACAGAGCAAGACTCCATCTTAAAAAAAGAAAAGAAAAGAAAAAGAAAAAGAAATTGTGACAGGAAGCTAAACGCTGTACAGCAGGTGCCGAAATAACATCATTTAGCTCAGTGTCATTTCATTATAACATTGATGAGGAAAAAAATGGTTATAGGTCTTTTTGCTTAAAGTCACAATTTCCAAGAACTTATTGACCATGTTAAATGAGGGCTTTCTGTAATTGGAAGACTTGAGATTCCAATGGGCCCATGGATCCCAAAGCTCTGTTCCCTCACACCCATACTCGCACATTCAGATGAGGGTCTTGCTCAAAGAGGTCACCCTGTGAGTTTTGTGCACTTTGTTTAAGGACTCTGTTTTGCTGAGAAAGTCTTTAGACCCCTCCTGTGGAATTGGTCTAAAAGCAGGTCACTGGCCACCCAGTCAGGGTAAGAGAATAGCCTTAAATATAGATATATATAGTTATATTACTTTATGACAGTCACATCTCAAAACATGAAGTTCCATATCTACATCATAAAACATACATCTCTAACTCAGAACTCATCCCTCCTCTCCTCTCTACCACCATCTCTGCTCCACCAGCCATTGTTATCATTCTCCTCTTACAAAAATATTACAGGTTTATTGGGGGAAACACAGCACTTTGGAACAGAAACAAAAGTACCACTCTAGGGCTACTTTAAAAGTTCTACCATTGTATTGCCTTCCTTAATTTTCTAGTAATTTTCCTGCACTGGGTCCCTATTCACTCCAGATACAAAAACTTTCCACCCTTTCATTGGTTATCTTGTCTGATGGGAATCCAACTCAGGCCATTACAGAACTCTGGTGGAGGGCATCTTATTTGGGCCAGCTTGTCTACTAATTTGTTTTCGCCTCCATTGATTCAATTTCTTTTGAGTTGCCTCCAGCAATTAGGCATTCAGATCCTTGAGGCAAGGATCAGTGCTACAAATCCCGAGAGAAACAGATGTCTGGGAAACTTGTCCTTTCTTTTAACTTCTGGCCCTTTGGTTCTCCCTGGTGGGGAAATGACTTGGCTTCTGCTACTGCTATTGACCTTCCTTGGCCTGTGTGCACCCGGCCTGGGCTGCCTTTGCCCTTTTCTGAGATGCAGCGAGTGTTCAGCTAGGATGAGAATGTCCCATTCCTTGGCACAGTTCTCATAAACATCATTATCAAGACTCCGGATAATTATCCAGACTATAGATGCTAGATTTGTGCAGCCTTTTCAGAAGAAATGAAAAGCAGGTATTACCTTCTCTAAAGTGTGAGCTACAGCAAAAATAAAAAGAGATGAATGAATATAAGGGGGTAGAGAGAGGAAGGAAACCAGCTCTGACCACCTACTGGGAACAGGCCTAGGCATTTTTAGCATATATTATGTCATTTCATCCTCACAAGCCTGGCAAGCAGGCATTATTTTTTTACATTTTACAAGGATATTGAGGCTCAGGGAGGCTGAGAAATTTGGCCAAGGTCACCCAGCTTGTAAGTGGAAAATCTGGAATTCAAATACTCTCTCTGAGTCCAGAGACTCTTTCTATAACATTTGGATGTTTTGGCACCTAGAACACTGTATTTGAAAAAGACATGGGAAATGGAGAGATGCCATCCTGCTACTTTTGCTACAGATTTCAAACTGTCTCAGTGTCTCCAGCAATAACATGTAGATGATGCTCGTGGGAATAAAACCATTGCCCCACCATGCTGTGGAAAGCAGAAATGTGGCGTTTTTAATCCTTTGGCTACAAAGAGGAGAGCATGGAAACAGGCCTAAGATGAATGAAGATAGCCCTGGAGATCCCTTCCCTCATTGATAAGGAAGTCCATCGTAACAAACTTCCCAGACTCCAAAACTCTGAGAATCCCTTTTCTTGGCATTTGAGTGGTTCAGTCTCTGACCGGGCCAGACCTCTGGCCCAACTTCAGGCATCTTCCTCCCACAGACAGGCCAAGAACTGGAGCTCTGTTGGGCCAGGCGTCACAGGGCCAAGCTGGGAACGGAGGCAGCCCTGGCCTTTCCGTCTACCCCTCGCATGCCTGGAAGCATCCTTCTCTCTTCTTCTTCTGTTACTCCCTTTCAATTCTAACTTCTAACACTATGGGTGGAACCTTCAAGTTGCCAGCAGCTGAAGCTATTCACGCAGACCTGGCTCTAGAAATGAGTTATTTGGGGAAAACATTGATGCTAAAAATAATTATTGCTGTGTTTCACCTTTCTCCTCCAACTCATTAGCACCAAACATGGACCTGTATTACATTATCCAATTTTGGAAATAGATATTTCCTTGTGTTTCTATCAGTACCAACAATCTCAGGCCAGGTGAGTGCTCAGCACTCTGCAAAAGCCACTTGGCTGTGAAGTCTTATTGGATAAATGAGGTTGTACGTAGTGGAAAGATAAGGTACAGAAATTAAAGAAAACTCATTGCAACACTCATTGAGTAAGCAGGGCAAAACTCCTCAAGGAAGCAGTGGGAGGAAGGGTAAAAGCATTGTGCTTTTAAGTTGAAGAGAGACAGGTTCCAATCCTAGTCCACCATTGATCATCTGTATGGCTGCGAACAAGCTCCATAACCTCTCTGAGCTTTAGGACTCCCACCTTTTAAAGGGAAACTGTAATCTCTGTACTGTATTGGGAAGATTAAATAGAATAACCATTGTATGGCAGCTATGATCATTATTATGATAATGAATATTTTATGTCAGGTGACTAGAGGCAGCAGGTCACTATTGTCCTGCACCTATGGGTTTCCATTTCCCCTATAAAACCCTGAAAACGTGTTGTATGAAAGGAGAGAAGGTTAGCACTCCCCTTGACAAGGATGGAAGCGGCCCTCGGGCCTGACAACACGCATACGGTTAAGGCATTGCCACCTACTTCGTGGCATCTAACCATCGTTTTTTATACATCATGGAATACTATGTAGCCATTAAAAATGATGAGTTCATGTCCTTTGTAGGGACATGGATGAAATTGGAAATCATCATTCTCAGTAAACTATCGCAAGAACAAAAAACCAAACACCGCATATTCTCACTCATAGGTGGGAATTGAACAATGAGAACACATGGACACAGGAAGGGGAACATCACACTCTGGGGACTGTTGTGGGGTGGGGGGAGGGGGGAGGGATAGCATTGGGAGATATACCTAATGCTAGATGACGAGTTAGTGGGTGCAGCGCACCAGCATGGCACATGTATACATATGTAACTAACCTGCACATTGTGCACATGTACCCTAAAACTTAAAGTATAATAATAATAAATAAATAAAAAATTTTAAAAAACCTTGAAAACAGGCTGGGTGCAGTGGCTCACATCTGTAATCCCAGCACTTTGGGAGGCTGAGGGGGTGTATCACTTGAGGTCAGGAGTTTAAGACCAGCCTGGTGAACCTGGCAAAACCCCACCTCTATTAAAAATACAAAAATTAGTTGGGTGTGGTGGCACACCCCTGTAATCCCGCTACTCAGGAGACTGAGGCACAAGAAACACTTGAATCCAGGAGGTGGAGGTTGCAGCGAGCCAAGATTGCACCACTGCACTTCAGCCTGGGCAACAGAGTGAAACTATTTCAAACAAAACAAAATGAAAGAAAAACCTAAAAAGTATAGACAGTGCAGATATATCCTTGGGTCCCATGGCCAGTGCCCAGTTTTCCTTTTGTGGGGAGAAAAGCCTTACCTGCTTTGCAGAGTTGCTTGTCAGAGCCTAGTGTGTCCGAAATTGGTGGGTTCTTGGTCTCACTGACTTCAAGAATGAAGCCACGGACCCTCGCGGTGAGTGTTACAGCTCTTAAAGTGGCACGTCTGGAGTTTGTTCCTTCTGATGTTTGGATGTGTTCGGAGTTTTTTCCTTCTAGGGGGTTCGTGGTCTCACTGGCTCAGGAGTGAAGCTGCAGACCTTCGAGGTGAGTGTTACAGCTCATAAAAGCAGTGTGGACCCAAAGAGTGAGCAGTAGCAAGATTTATTGCAAAGGACGAAAGAACAAAGCTTCCACGGTGTCGAAGGTGACCCGAGCGGGTTGCCACTGCTGGCTTGGGTGGCCTGCTTTTATTCTCTTATCTGGCCCCACCCACATCCTGCTGATTGGTAGAGCCAAGTGGTCTGTTTTGACAGGGCGCTGATTGGTGCGTTTACAATCCCTGAGCTAGACACAAAGGTTCTCCACCGTCCCCACCAGATTAGCTAGATAGAGTGTCAACACAAAGGTTCTCCAAGGCCCCACCAGAGTAGCTACATACAGAGTGTCGATTGGTGCATTCACAAACCCTGAGCTAGACACAGGGTGCTGATTGGTGTATTTACAAACCTTGAGCTAGATACAGAGTGCCGATTCGTGTATTTACAATCCCTGAGCTAGACATAAAGGTTCTCCAAGGCCCCATCAGAGTAGCTAGAAACAGAGTGTGGATTGGTGCATTCACAAACCCTGAGCTAGACACAGGGTGCTGATTGGTGTGTTTACAAACCTTGAGCTAGATACAGAGTGCAGAGTGGTGTATTTACAATCCCTGAGCTAGACATAAAGGTTCTCCAAGGTCCCACCAGAGTAGCTAGATACAGGGTGTCCATTGGTGCATTCACAAACCCTGAGCTAGACACAGGGTGCTGATTGGTGTATTTACAATCCCTGAAGCTAGACATAAAGGTTCTCCATGTCCCCACCAGACTCAGGAGCCCAGCTGGCTTCACCCAGTGGATCCCTCACAGGGGCTGCAGGTGGAGCTGCCTGCCAGTCCCGTGCCGTGCACCTGCACTCCTCAGCCCTTGGGTGGTCGATGGGAGTGGGTGCCATGGAGCAGGGAGCCGTGCTAGTCGGGGAGGCTCGGGCTGCACAGGAGCCCATGGAGGGAGTGGGAGGCTCAGGCATGGAGGGCTGCAGGTCCTGAGCCCTGCCTCGTGGGAAGGCAGCTAAGGCCCGGTGAAAAATTGAGCACAGCGCCGGTGGGCTGGCACTGCTGGGGGACCCAGTACACCCTCCGCAGCAGCTGGCCCGGGTGCTAAGCCCCTCATTGCCCGGGGCCGGCTGCTCCGAGTGCCACGCCCAACCGGAACTCCAGCTGGCCCGCAAGTGCGGCACGCAGCCCCGGTTCCCGCTCGCACCTCTCCCTCCACACCTCCCTGCAAGCTGAGGGAGCCGGCTCCGGCCTTGGCCAGCCCAGAAAGGGGCTCCCACAGTGCAGCAGTGAGCTGAAGGGCTCCTCAAGTGCCGCCAAAGTGGGAGCCCAGGCAGAGGAGGCGCCGAGAGTGAGCGAGGGCTGTGAGGACTGCCAGCACAGTGTCACCTCTCACTAGTATAAGATGATACTTGAGATAAAGTAGATGGGAAGGTGGGATCTCCTAGTGACTCAAACCCATTCACAGTGCATGCTACCAGAGAGCATTGTTTTTCTATCCTCATCCTTTCTTTCCATATCCTTCCAGTAAATGGCCTGTTGCGTGAGGTACAGCTCAATGGGGCAGGACCACTGGACTTGCAGCAGGAACCGAGCTTGAGGCACCACCATCAGCACTCCTCCAACCCAAATGGTCTCCTCGGCATGGGGAGAGAGGGCCCAACTGCATCCACATCCATGGCAAAATGAGGGAAGGGCCTCCTAGCCTGGACACAAAGACCCTCATGGAGATGGCAGACCTTACCAGGATCACCCCTGTTGTCAATGTTCAACACTATTCTAGGGAGTCGTAATTCAGTATCTGCTAAGTAGCTCCATGACATCTGGTTGGAAAATACAAAATAAGCTTATCTATGATTCATCCACACAGACCACACGCAGCTACCTGGGACCAACACAAGTCAGTTCTCTTGGCTAGGTAAGGTGTCTGTTAGGGACTAGGAGCACACACAGAAATGACAGCACTGCTGGCTAGAAGTTGACTTGGGACCCATTATGGGAAGCTCTAAATGTCCAGGTAGGAGTGGCTAGGCTATGTTTCAAGGAGAGATGTAACATCTGGAGCCCAACTCCTTTCTCTTCCACAAATGTGGGTTGGAATACATTTTCTGCTGTGCTCTGAATTGAAACAAGGAAGAATTGCAAGAGTAAAACCAAGAATAAACGCTTCAGAAGCATCTTTTAAGACCATGCAGCAGCCCCTGAAAATAAAATTTGGGGTTATTCTGCATGGGGACATAAAAAACACAAACATAAATGCCCTCTGAAGACAAACATCTCCAAAGTAATATAATGAATAGGGAGTGCAAAAGTAAGAGAAGGAACAAATCTCGGCCTCAACACATGGCAACTTTGCTGTAAATTATAACAAAGTGTGTTAGTTTTAGATTTGTTTCACTAATTCTTTTAGGAACTAAAAAAGTTGCCATGGTCTCTTTGCCACCATCTCTCCTTGAAACATAGCTTCCCATATTTCGGGAATGGAAGGTGCATGGGTCCCACCAGGCAAGGAGGTCCTTCCCTTCTTTTGCCATGGGTGTGGATGCTGTTGGGCCCTCTCTCCCCATGCTGAGAGACCATTTGGGTTGGAGGAGTGCTGATGGTGCCTCAAGCTCGGTTCCTGCTGCAAGTCCATGTGGTTCTGCCCCATTGAGCTGCACCTCACCCAACAGGCCATTTATTGGAAGGATATGGAAAGAAAGGATGAGGATAGAAAAACAATGCTCTCTTGTAGCATGAACTGTGAATGGGTTTGAGTCACTAGGAGATCCCATCTTCCCACCTACTTTATCTCAAGTATCATCTTATTCTAGGCTCTGACAAACAACTCTGCAAAGGAGGTAGGGCTTTTCTCCCCACAAAAGGAAAACTGGGCACTTGCCATGGGACCCAAGGAGATATCTGCACTGTCTATGCTTTTCAGGTTTTTGTTTTGTTTCGTTTTGAATCCAGAATCTACAAAGTACTTAAACAAATTTACAAGAAAAAAATCAAACAACCCCATCAAAAAGTGGGCAAAGGATATGAACAGACACTTCTCAAAAGAAGACATTTATGCAGCCAACAGACACATGAAAAAAATGCTCGTCATCACTGGCCACCCGAGAAATGCAAATCAAAACCACGATGAGATACCATCTCATACCAGTTAGAATGGCGATCATTAAAAAGTCAGGAAACAACAGGTGCTGGAGAGGATGTGGAGAAATAGGAACACGTTTACACTGTTGGTGGGACTGTAAACTGGTTCAACCATTGTGGAAGACAGTGTGGTAATTCCTCAAGGATCGAGAACTAGAAATACCATTTGACCCAGCCATCCCATTACTGGGTATATACCCAAAGGATTATAAATCATGCTGCTATAAAGACACATGCACACATATGTTTATTGCGGCACTATTCACAATAGCAAAGACATGGAACCAACCCAAATGTCCATCAATGATAGACTGGATTAAGAAAATGTGGCACATATACACTATGGAATACTATGCAGCCACAAAAAAGGATGAGTTAATGTCCTTTGTAGGGACATGGATGAAGCTGGAAACCACCATTCTGAGCAAACTATCACAAGGACAGAAAACCAAACACTGCATGTTCTCACTCATAGGTGGGAATTGAACAATGAGAACACCTGGACACAGGGTGGGGAACATCACACACCGGGGCCTGTCATGGGGTGGGGGGAGGGATAGCATTAGGAGATATACCTAAAGTAAATGACGAGTTAACGGGTGCAGCACACCAACATGGCGCATGTATACATATGTAACAAACCTGCACGTTGTGCACATGTACCCTAGAACTTAAAGTATAATTTTTACAAATTTTAAAAAAGAACTAAAAAAGAAACAGTCAGACAAATCCAACTGAGGATTATTTTGCCCAGTAACTGGCCCAGATGCTTTAAAAATGTTGATTTCATAAAAGATAAAAACAGCTAGGGAGTATTGTAGATTAAAGAAATCTAAAGAGACTTGATAAATACAATATTTGATTCTACATTTGTGCCTAGATTTTTTTTAAAAAGCTATAAAGGACATTTTTGAAAAGCTATGAAAGACAACTGGGAACATTTGAATATAAAATGAATAATAATATCCTTAGTTAAACATAATCCTTAAATTTTCTCAGTGCCATATTTACAATTATTTATAATATGACTTTGTATTTGAATGCCCTTGTTCATAGGGGAAATGCACACGAATGGTTAAGCATAAAATACCACAATGTCTGCAACAAACTTGAAAGCTCTCAAATGGTTCAGCAAAATAATGTTGATGATGACAATAATAAGCTCACCCCCAACACACACGTAGAGAGAGGAACTATAAGAAAATGTGTAAAATGTGAAGGCAAGTGGGAGTTCATTGCATTTGCCTAACAGCTTTTCCAAAAATGTTTGACATGTTTCCAGATAAAATAGGGTAAGAGAGAAAAGGGAATTATTATAGACTAAAAATACTTAACAAACATATCAAACAAATGTAATATGTGGGCCATATGTGAATCCTAATTACAATAAACCAACTATTAAAAACCAATATTTTTGAGGCAATCTGAGAAAACTGAACATGCATTAGGTATTAGATAAATATTAGGAATTAACAAGTTGTTAATTCTGTTGAGTGTGATAATGGTACATTGTGGTTATGGAAAGAAGGCTTTATCTGTTAAAGATGCATACCGAAGTATTGGCAAGTAAAACAATATGTCATCTGGGATTTGCACATGATTCAGAAAAGAAATGTTTTAAAATGAGAGAAATGAAACAGGAATGACAGAATGTTCACTGTTGAAGCTGGGTAACAGATATATTGGAGTTATTTACACTATTAGCATCTCAACTTTGTGTCTGAAAATTCTTCATAATAAAAAATTGTTTTAAAAAACTAAAACTCATGCACTCTGCTAGAGAATAAAAGAATTCTTTCTGAAGGTTAGGGATAAATCATTTATATAGATTTGTAAATTGCAGCCTTTATATCTTACCCTTAGGAGCTTAAGCTTTGGCATGCATGCATGTACACATACGCATGCACAAACATACACTTTTCAAAAAAGTACTCTGAGCCACTGTTGGCCAAGTCCCAGTCCCAGAGGTGATGCTGTGATGAGTAGTTACTTCCCATTTGCCAGCTTATTTAGCAGGTCAATAACCTTCCAACTTCAATATCTTAAAATTCATTTTATGTTAGAATTGCTCTCTCCCTCACCCCATTTCTTCCATCTCACCCAGCATCAATAACAAAGTATGTAAATATCACTGCCCAAAGGGCCACATCAAAGATATTTTTTGCTCCTCATTAGCTAAGGAAGAATTGCAGCATGGGGAGTGAGTTATGGACAAGCTCTCAGTGAGTCTGTGGTTGGGCTAGGACTAGGACCTTGGACCTTAGACCTCTGCTCTAACCATTAGTCAACATGTCCTCTCTTGAACATCCAGAATAAAGGCAGCTCTAGTCTCTATAGTAACCAATCTTCTTAAAATAGGAATTATGTGGAGAACAAAACATTTAAAACCAATTGGATCCATTCATGCCTAAACAATGTCAATTTAAGGGCTGTTACCCAAGTTGTTGGCTTTTTGAATGGTCTCCCACCATGTGCTCAACTAAAGGAAGTGGGGTGGCTGTATCAAATGTTCCATTCCATACAGAATCTTGCATGCTTTTATCCCCTTTCCCTTCTTCAAACATTTCTTTATGTCCCCGAGTCATAGCCCTTAAAATAAACTTTTGGTAAAGGCAGTTTTATGGCCACAAGACTCAGACAAAAGTGGACATCTGAGAAACCCTTACAGGCAAAGAAAGCTTCCCAAGATGAAATGGGACTGAGTCCAAATCCCACACAGAAACCTTGCAACTTCATGCATTATTTTCAGTTTATAAGGTAGACCTTTGAACAACTCTCCTACCCAGTTAGCTTCCCCGTGGGTTTCTGGGGAGGAAGTAGAATATCTCTTGAAACCAAAGCTAACAAGGCTCACAACTGGAAACTGAAATTATCCAGTCTCTGGTGGTGAGTACCTGCCTCGTAGGGCTTTGTAAGGCTCTGATGGGGATGCGCTTAAAATATATTGACACAAGTTCACAATAACTAATATTATTTCATTGTCACTATTTTTATTACTCTATATGTTAGCCATAACTCTTGGGTTCCACAAAAGAAAATATTCATCCACTCTGCCTCTATCATTTTTATCCCTTATTTTTGGAAATGCTTTTGATTTTCAAAATATTGCTAGGGCTGGGCGCTGTGGCTCATGCCCATAATCCTAATGCTTTGGGAGGATGATAAGAATCTCTTGAGGCCAGGAGTTTGAGACCAACTGGGAAACACAGCAAGACCCTGTTTCTACAAAAAAGAAGAAAAAATAGCTGTGCATGGTGGTGTATCCCTGCAGTCCCAGCTACTTGGGAGACTGAGGCAGGAGATCACTTGAGACCAGGAGTTTGAGGCTGCAGTGAGTTATGACTGCACCACTGTACTCCAGTCTGGGTGACAGAGTGAAACCCCATCTCTTAAAAAAAGAAAATGCTGGATATAGGGTGCACTATCACTTGGATCTTTCATGTAGCCTGACATTTTTTTTTTAATTTTTCCAAATGTAAAAAAGACAAGTAGTGACATTTATTTATCTTTTGATCTATCTCTTTTTTTCCATCTTTTTTTCTATTTGAGTAACATGTATCCCATAGGAGCTTGTAGTCTGGTTTCTCACTTGGACACAAGTGCCTTTCAGGAGTTCACAGTGAAGTGTAACAGACACATACACAGTTGAATTACAACACAGCTAGGCTTGCCAGATTTAGCAAATAAAAATTAGAATGCTCAGCTCAATCTGAAGTTTAGATACATAACAAATAATTGTTTCATATATGTTCTAAATATGGCATGAGACCTATGTGTAATACAAATTATTCATTATTTATCTGAAATTCAAAATTAATTGGGCATCCTCCATTGTACCTGACAACCTTAATTTACATGACATAGTAGCTACTATCCATGAATATAAATAGAAAGGGCTGTGGGAACACAAAGACCTGAACAAACAACGACCTGTCCCCTTCTCAGGCGAAGGAAAATAAAGAAGGCCTTCAAATAAGGAGCAATGTTGCCAGGTAATGAAACCAGGAACTGCACCTGCCAGTGATCTGAATAAACCCGATCAGAATATTTGGGAAATTGTGAAATGCTTGTGCAGTCTGGAGCATAAGGTGCCATATTGTAGGTGCCTTGAGATCAGCTAAGGAGGTTTGATACTATTCAGTAGGCCCTGGGAACCCTGAAAAAAATTTATGCAGGGGAGTGACAGGGTCAGACTTGTTTTTAGGGTAAGAACTCTGGAGTAGGGAATGAACTATAGGAAGACAGGAAGGTTAAGATGAGCAGTTAGGAGGCAGTTACAGTAATTCAAGGAAAGTTTCTGATAAGGGCTGAAACTAAGCCAATGGCTCTGGAGATAAGAGGAGAAGCCAAATTTGAGAGATGATGACTGTTAGACATGTCAGAACTGTTGACGGGCAAGGCATTTGGCAGTGACAAGCATGACTTTGAGATGTCTAGCTTGGGAGATTGGGAAAACAGTGATGCTGTATTTGGCTATGAACAGTATGCTGTAGTGTGTATATAAATTAACTCTTAGCAGCAGTTAGCAAACATTTAGCAGTAGTTAGCAAACGTTTATCAGCAGTTAGCAAACATTCAAAGTATCCTAATCAGGAATCTACCCCTACCCCTCAGGGCAGTTAATTAGCTATTAGGAATCCCAATCAGGAATCAATAACCTTCAAAGGTGGTTATTTAGCACTTCAAATAGTTTGTCAAAATCTAACCCAGAGGGTTTCTTACTTGGCATAAGGGATAGGCAGAAGGAGCACAGCTCTACCACCCTGGCCTGCAGAATCTGGCACGCCCAGCAGTTTATTACCATCTTCAGGTCTCACTTCTCGATGGTCCTGCATTTTTAACTGCATGAAGATCTGATCATTTTCCTAGGCTGGTCCATTCTGCCTTCAAAATAGTTTTGCATTTGTTTTCATGTTTATGAATAAATATTAATTTATGTGTCTGCCAAAATTCAATCCAAGCCTTACTTTCATTTTAACATGCCATACTCTCTAGTAGTCAGGTTGGGAATAAGGGGACATGTGGTCCCCCCCACACCTTTCTCTTGCCTCTGGATGCTACTATATTATTAGCAGGTATCAAACAAACATGAAATGTTTGCTGGATTGTTAGCAGTGGAATGTATCTGAGTCACATGGCACCAGGTCTGTTACCATCAGTGAATCCGTACAGGTCTGCAGAAACCTGAGTTCTTGCTTCCTTAGAAGAAAGAATTCAACTGAGGGACATAAGGCAGAAGGAGAGACAGAGGCAAGTATTAGAGCAGGAGTGAAAGTTTATTGAAAAGCTTTAGAGCAGGAAAGAAAGGAAGAAAAGTACACTTGGAAGAGGATCAAGCGGGCGACTTGAGAGATCAAGTGCATGGTTTGACCTTTTGATTTGGGGTTTTATATGTTGCCATGCTTCCAGGGTCTTCCGTTGCTTTTCCCATGACTCTTCTTTGGGGTGGGCCATCTTCATGTGCAGCAGCCTGCTAGTGATTGGGAGGGGAGCATGCACAGTGTTTACTGGAATTACATGCATGCTCACTTGAGGCTTTCTTCCTTGCCAGTAGAATGTTCCCGGAAGGTCATATACCAGTTAAACTCCGCCATTTTACCTCTCAGTCCACATGCTTGAGCCCACTCACCCAACTCCTGAGATCTTATTGAGAAGCTGCTAATCACCAGTTTCAGGGGTTTTTTGGTGTTTGTTTGTTTGTTTGTTTGTTTTGTTTGAGACGGAGTTTCACTCTTGTCACCCAGGCTGGAGTGCAATGGCTTGTTCTCAGCTCACTGCAACCTCCGCCTCCCAGGTTCAAGTGATTCTCCTGCCTCAGCCTCCCAAGTAGCTGAGATTACAAGCACGTGCCACCACACCCAGCTAATTTTTGTATTTTTAGTAGAGACGGGGTTTCACCATGTTGGCCAGGCTGGTCTTGAACTCCTGACCTCAAGTGATCCACCTGCCTCGGCCTCCCAAAGTGCTGGGATTACAAGCATGAGCCACCACGTCTGGCCCGGTTTTTTTAATCTGTTGGGAGACTGCCTTTCCCTGGCGCTGGCTACGACCAATTATTATTTTAGAGAGGCAGTTTAACAACCTCCAACCATCACCTGATGGTCGCCTGACATTCCTAGTGGGAGGCAGGGGGCCCTTTCCTGCCCTGCTCATATCTGACTAGCTACCTACTGTAACAGGATGACCAAACTGTTCAAAACAGAAGCCACTGGAAACTGACTCTAGGTAGAAATAAGGAGTTCCCTTTAAAAGTCATGGCATTCATCTGGGTGCAGTGGTGTGTCACACCTGTAATCCCAGCACTTTGGGAGGATTGTTTGAGGCCAAGAGTTCAAGACCAGCCTAGGCAACATAGTGAGACTCCATCTCTACAAAAAAAGAAAAAAAATAGCCAGGCATGGTGGCACACACCTGTAGTCCTAGTTACTCAGAAGGCTGAGGCAGGAGGATTATTTGAGCCCAGAGGTTGGAGGCTGCAGTGAGTTGTGACACTCCAGCCTGGGTGACAGAGCAAGACTCTAACTCAAAAAGAAACAAAACCTGGAACTCATACCTCTGCCCAATAGACACATCCAGAACATGCTGTTTACTTCATGCCTCCTGGGAGATTCCCCTTCCCCAACCCTCAGTGAGCCAGATTGAATTGACCACATTCAGCTGAAGAAACATGATCACACATGATGACTTTCTCAAAAGTCTGGAAAGACTTAAAAAATAAAGTAAAATAAACCCAAGCCTCCCATCGCAAATGTTGGCTCCAAATAGAAGATTTTATTGTAAACCTTCCAGACATTTAGACTCCACTGTTATTTTTGAAAAGACATTCCAATAACAGATGCCCCTTCAGTTGGGGTATGGTTTGATAGAAAGCAGCAGGCACAATTTAAAAAAATAAAATAGCACTCTTGGGATGTCAAAATAAATTAGCTGTGATGCTGAAATTATTTCCTGTTAGGTTTAATGAAGTTAACAAGATAAGTAAATATGAAAAACAGCATTAGCAACCAGGGGCTAATCTCCTCCCAAACATGGAGCACTTCCAGACATTGATAACAATGTATGTGGAATTTCTTTCATTTATTTTTATATATCACAATGCCTTCATTCCATGTCTATTTTTCAAAATCTTTGAGATTTCTTTTGAGCTGAACTTATTTGTAATTCTCTTTTGAAACATAGTTAGAAATCTGTGACTCAAGCATTTTGCTATTTTTCATGTTCTGTTTCTACATTGTTGTAGTACCTCCAACAAACAGATAAATGATAATTAAAGAAAAGGTTGAAGTTGTTATTTAAAAGGCATTTGGAGACTATATGGACTTTTCATTTAACCAAGTTTTCTTGGTCCCAATTAGCATAAATAATTAAGACTTGACAGCAAGTTAGAGACATGACCCCTTCCCGGAGGAACTTCAGATATAAAAATAAACCCCTCCAAAGATGGTTTTCTTACTGTTTCCAATCATTACTCCCTAGCTTATACATAAATTGCCTTAAAAAATGTAGGTAGGGCTGGGCACGGTGGCTCACGCCTGTAATCCCAGCACTCTGGGAGGCCAAGGCAGGTGGGTAACCTGAGGTCAGGAGTTCAAGACCAGCCTGGCCAACATGGCGAAACCCCATCTCTACTAAAAATAGAAAAATTAGCTGGGCATGGTGGCACATGCCTGTAGACCCAGCTACTTAGGAGACTGAGGTCGCTTGAACCCGGGAGGCAGATGTTGCAATGAGCTGAGATCACGCCACTGCACTCCAGCCTGGGTGACAGAAGGAGACTTCATCTCAAAAAAAAAAAATGTAGGTAGGCACACAGATCTTGAAGTCATCGGACACGTTTCTAGTCCCAACTCTTACCCTGTTATTCACTTATCTCTTCGGTCATCAGTTTCACCATCTGAAAAATGAGTGGGTAGTATCCTTGATAATAAATATTATTCATTGAATATTTAATAAGTTATAGGCCCTTTACTAAGGACTTCACATACATCATCTAATTGATGCTAACAATAACCTTTTAAGGTATTATCTCTATTTTACAAGTGTGAAACTGAGGCACAGAGAAGTTAAGTAACTTTCCAAAGGCCACTCGGCAAGCAAGTAACTAAGCCAGCATTCAAATACAGATTGACTCAAGTCCACAGGCCACACCTGCCTATAGCCACAATGCCTCCCACTGTGAGATACCACCTCTGGGATCCCTTTCAGATGAACTTCTCCAAGGTGTTATGATTCTTTTAGAGTACAGTTATTTGCAAAAAAAAAAAAAAAGAGAGAGAGAAAATACTTTGAGTGACAGGAGAACAATGGTTCCATGGATAGAAATATGAAACAGAGAGGGATAACAGGGAAAAAAAAATGCATTCTGGTTTGCAACTAGTGAATTTCCTAGTGCTGGCAGAGATGTCCAACAGGCACTTGGAAACTTCAACTAGAACAAGGGACAAAAGCCAGAGCTGAAGATAAAGAACTAAATCCCTTGCAAGGAGGTAATGACTGAAATTAAGCAACTGAAAGAGAATGCCAAGGGAGGAGCCCTGGAAAGAGGAAGGGTCCATCCTTGGGATCAACTGTCTGAGGATGCAGGAAACAGAGAAGGACATATAGGTGCTGAGTAGGAGAACCTCAAGGATGGCGCTTCTGAAGCAAAGTTAAGAAGAATCTGGGCCGGGCACGGTGGCTCGCGCCTGTAATCCCAGCACTTTGGGAGGTCGAGGCGGGCGGATCATGAGGTCAGCAGATCGAGACCGTCCTGGTTAACGCGGTGAAACCCTGTCCCTACTAAAAATACAAAAAATTAGCCGGGCGTGGTGGCGGGCGCCTGTAGTCCCAGCTACTCGGGAGGCTGAGGCAGGAGAATGGCGTGAACCCGGGAGGCGGAGCTTGCAGTGAGAGATTGCGCCACTGCACTCCAGCCTGGGAGACAGAGCAAGACTCCGTCTCAAAAAAAAAAAAAAAAGAAGAAGAAGAATCTGCAGAGGCGATGGCCCACAATGCCAAGTGCCACTCTCTCTGAAGTCAAGGAGATCAAGACCAGGTAAGAAGCCACCGGGATGGACCATTTGGAGTCACTAACAGTTCTCAATGGGCAGGTAGGTTGTGCTGGGGATGAAAGCCTGAATACGATGGGTTAAGAAGTCAGACTGGGAAGAACTGTTCTGGAGGCAGTAGGTGTCTGTAAACTGGGGCCCAGAGTGTTAAACCTGCCCAGGATCACAAGGTTAGTTAGTGACAGAGCCAGGACCATTATTTGGATATGTTAATCTTTTTTCCTTCATACCACACTCCTTGTAGATATGCAAAATTTTCTTTCAAGTTTCTTTCAAATAATAGATCCATTTAGCTTTGTGTGATATATAGAGGAAAGGATGGCTGTCTTACATATGTCTGACTTGGTGAAATTAATATTTCCCTTGGACATATGATGCTTAACAATCTCACTGAAACAACCTCAACAGGTTGTTTCACTGTCACCTGCCTCAGGCCTGAAAAACCACAGTAAAAAGCTTATTCAGTGCAAGATCTAATCAATGCAAAAATCAGTCAAGACTAAACCGATGCGAAATCAATGCAAGACTAGCTGGATGACTGGATCCATGCAATCCCTGGATCTCCTGAATACCAGGAACTCTACTGACCTTCAGCTGCCCACCCACAGGCATGGTGACACTCTGGGCTTGATCATCACCTGAAGCTTTCCCTCATGAAACCCTGACCCCCCATCTCATCTCCTCATCCCTCCATATCTGCTCTTCTACCTCAGAGACACCACAAGCCCCTGATCCTCTGTCTTCTCCTAGTCATCAGCCTGCTCCAGCCTGAACTTCATTGTTGATCACAAGTCCTCTTCTCTCACAGATTCTTCAGCTCCCTCACACCACAATCCTCCTACTGCACCTGCCCAGCAAAACATACAGGCTGGGCAGCAGCACCATAACCAGCCTCATCTGCTCCTTTCACCCTGGCTGCGAAGGCCAACACAGCATCCTGGACCTCCAGCATCAATCTATCCAATAATCCTTTGATTCATCCAGCGTGAACTCCCTCACCTTCACCAAGCCTCAGCTCAGTCTTCACAAGACCTCTCTCTCCTTCTCTTACATCACACCTGGCCTCCTAATGCACCAGGAGACACCAAGGTGATCAGGAAGGACCCGTTTCACCTTCCTGCCCCCTTCACTGTAAGTACATTTACATTCACACTCATCCATTTTTCCTTTTCCCTAGCTGCTGCAGCTTAGATCTTCCTCTTCTTGTTCAGAGTTAACCTTTGCCCTGAGCCACATTCCTTTCTTTCCAGGTGCTACACGCCCAGCCTCTTCCTCCCTCTGGGATGCTTGCCCCCAAAGCTTATAATTATGAGAGCACTTCTCCAGGTCTGAAACACCCACCCCTTGATCAGGTGCTCCTCTAGCTTCTATCAAATCCCTTTCCTCCCCTTCTCACCCAAACTTTCAAAAATGTAGCCTACACTCTTTCTTCTTCCTCATTGTCCATTCCTCAGTTGCTACAGCCTGGCTTCTGCCCTCCTTCCTCAGCTGAAACCAGTCTCCCAGGCTCCCATATGCCAGCTAATGGGCACTTCCCCTCCTTCCTCAGCTGAAACCAGTCTCCCAGGCTCCCATATGCCAGCAAATGGGCACTTCCCCTCCTTCCCTCACCAATCCCTCTGCTTTGTCTACGTTGTTAATGACTCGTTAGTACTAAAAACTCTCCTGGCTTCTATGACCCTACACTTTCATGATTCTCCTCCTCTTTCATTCATTCATTCAAACAAAAAATCACTTATTGGCACTTACTATGTGCCAGGGGTTGCAGGGATCTAGGGGTGAGGAAAACAGACATAACGCCTGTCCTTGTACACCACACTGTCTAGTGGGAGAGACAACAGTAAACAAGACAGGAAACAGTCAATTCTTGTTATTCAGCCTAGTTATGGTCTAGTCTATAAAGTCTCTGCAGACAATGAATTAGTGAACACTGAATCACTGCTCCTGGGAAGAGCCAGGCTCCTTCCAGCCTCTGGTCACAACATTTCATAAACCAAACAATACATGACCTTGTTTTATATGTGTGTCTTTTACAGACATCTTATTTAATGTATATTTATGAGTGATTAATTATATGCAGCATGTTTTAATAAAAAAAACACTAGCTGAGAAGAGTTTAACATTTTCCTGATCCTGAGTAACAAGATTTCTTCCAGGTCAGAGTCTCTCTGTTCATTATAATCACTTCCTGAGCTGCTTTCTCATCTTGCCCTAGCATTCAGGACCAGTGGCCTTAGATTGATGCTTTTATTAATTTGCTGGATTTATTCTCTCTCTCTCTCTCTCTCTCACTTTCTCTCTCTCTCTCTCACATACACACACACACATGCCCCAAAACACAAAATACACACACATTTAGCATTTTTCAACTCAAGTCATCGGAGCTTGTGTCTCATCTCATTGTCATCCTACAAATCATCTTGACACATTTATTTCTGCTTCTCCAACTTTAATTTCTAGGATGCTGATATGGTTTGGCTGTGTCCCCACCCAAATCTCAACTTGAATTGTATATCCCAGAATTCCCACATGTTGTGGGAAAGACCCAAGGGGAAGTAATTGAATCATGGGGGCTGATCTTTCCCGTGCTATTCTCCTGATAGTGAATAAGTCTCGTGAGATCTGACGGGTTTATCAGGACCTTCTGCTTTTGCTCCTTTCTCATTTTTCTCTTGCCACCACCATGTAAGAAGTGCCTTCCTCCTCCCGCCATGATCCTGAGGCCTCCCCAGCCATGTGGAACTGTAAGTCCAATTAAACCTCTTTTTGTTCCCAGTTTCTCATATGTCTTTATCAGCAGCATGGAAAGGGATTAATACAGATGCTGTGTTTAAAATTCAACCTGACACATCATATTTTCCTAAGAATCAAGATGGAATTGCATTAGCCAGAGGTGAATGTGAAGATTACTGTGGATTCAGCGAGGGGCGGAAGTGTAGAAATGAGAATGACTCCAGAGTCAGACAGACTGGGAAAAGATGATGACTGCCATTCACTAACTGAGGCCTCAGGTTAGGCACTTACCTTCTCTGAGCATCAATTTGCTCATCCACAAAGCGGTAGTAAAGGATCTCAAAAGAATGCTGTGAAGATTAGATGTATATTGCATGCAAGTTCCCTAGCAAAGAGTTAGGGCTCAATTAATGCCACTTTCTCCCCCTTTAAACTTATTCAGTTCTCAAGATGATCTCTGTGCCCACTTGCCTGGAGGAATTTTTTGGGCCCACTGGAGCAGGAGCTGGTATTAAGAGCATCTTTCGGTACTGCAGAGAAGGAAATTCTCACGGCTTAAACTTGGAGTGAGAGAGCTCGAAGAGGAGGCAGGAATCTTGGGAAAAGAAGAAAGGGGTGGTGAGACAAGAGGCAGTTTCTAGCATCATGGGGAGGGGAAGAGGAGATCATAACAAGGCATTGTGATGGGGAAGAAAGAGCTGGAGGAAAAGAAGGGAGCAGGCAGAGTGAGGCAACCAACCAAAGCAGGGAAAGCAAATGACTGTCACCACGCGGGCCACCATCTCTACACGGTGGGGGAAGCCAAGCACCTCCTCAGACTCAGCTCACAAGAAGGTGACACTGCAGGGGAAGGCTCTGGGCAGCCCTCATCAGGGTCCAGGGCCCCCAGCCAAGAAGAAGGAGCCTCTATGAAGTCCATTCCCATGGCTAGGCTGCTGAACCCCTAGTGTGGAGACATATGGGGCAAAAGAGAGTGTCAAATGAAATAGGGAACCCAACTATCAGGCCTGGCTGTCATGTGGGTCTAAACTCCAACTACTTTTAATATAAGGACACAGATTTAAGTAAAAAATGGACATACCTCCTGCATGATAGTACTTACACTTACAGCCACATGGCACACAAAAACTGCTTAGTGCAAATGGAGATATTTGAGGACTCATTTCCATTATATCACCACTCCGCAGGGATCCACAGCCATGGGATTCAGAGCAACTCCAGGAGGGAGAATGAAAACCCCAAAATTTTTCAAGGGGCTCTCTTTTCCAGGTTTACAAAGGGAGAATTGGGGTCCTTGTGCCAATTCTTCCAAGGGAAAGGACCACCTCCTCCCTTCTCCTTCTGTGCTCCAGAGCAGTAGAATCTGACCCTCCTAATTACATTCTTGCCTCACTTGGATTTATTCCCATTTATTCCCCACCCCCATTCCCCCCTTTGCCAAATTCTTCTTCCTGACGAGTCAGGGATTAAAAATGCTTGGCATCCTTGCTGAATAAATAGTATTTGTCCACAGTGACACTGGTCAGTGGCAAACTGCCTTTGTTCTGTGATGAGAAGCATGAGCACACAACTTGCGAGTTGTCTATCCAGGACTCTGGTCCTATATGGGCATCAAACTCATGCCCTTGGCCTTGTTTATGTCCTGTTCCAGCTAGCTAGGCTGGCTTGCACAGAAGGAAGGAGTGAAGGTAGAGGGAGAAAGGGAGAGAAGGGGTGGGGGGGGGAAACTTGTGCTGGTTTCATACAAATCTTCTCCAGTTTAATCATACCTGTGATGTAGACAGAATTAGTCCCATTTTATAGATCCAGAGAAATTCAGTCAGTTGCCAGATTTGCAGGGGTTAGAAAAGCTAGAATTTGAACTCTCCTATTCTGAGTGGGAGCCTGTCATTCTTTGTGCCACATCAAGCCACTGATGGAAGTGAGCAGGCAGTTGACTGAAATTGATTGCCATTCTGCCAGCCTCCAAGCCTTAGGAAATGGCCTGCCTCAGATAGAATGGAAGTTGCAGTGGGCATCAGACAGCACTTTCCTCTTTCCCCTCGGCCTCTGGCGTCAGGCTGCCCCAGAGGGAGATCTGTTGTGTTTTCAGCAGCTCTGGAAGAGACATTTCTCCTGGAGTGGTGGACACAGCAGTGTCCTGTTATTCCCCTGCAAGTCCCACTGGGGTGTGGCAGCCATAGCAGGAATTGCTTACTTCCCTTAGCAGCCCCGATCATCGCATGTGCTCACATTAGCTCAGGAAACTCTGCCATATGGGCTTCTTACGTCTCCTGCCTTCCACAGCTTCAGGCACCTCTTCAAATGCTTTTTAATTCAGCTGGCGTTGTGGCTCACAACTGTAATCCCAGCACTTTGGGAGGCTGAGGTGGGCAGATTGCTTGAGCCCAGGAATTTGAGACTAGCCTGGGCAACATGGTGAAACCCTGTCTCTAGAAAAAATACAAAAATTAGCTGGGCATGGTGGTGCACGCCTGTGGTCCAAGCTACTCAGGAGGCTGAGGTGGGAGGATCACCTGAGCCCAGGAGGTTGAGCCATGATGGTGCCACTGCACTCCAGCCTGAGCAACAGAGTGAGACCCCATTTCAAAAATAAATAAAGTAAATAAATTCAGACTGTCATGAGCCATTCATTCCCAAAGATTCCATTTGTGCTTAAGCCCAATATTTTACAGACAGGATGAACAAGACTCAGAGAAGCAAAGAGACCTCCTGAAGGTCACATGGCAAGTGAATGACAGAACTAGGGCCAGAATCAAGGTCCCTGACTATTCTTCAGTCACTCAGCAGACATTCATTGAGTGACTAGAATCTGCTAGGCACCACTCCGGGTGTTAGGTGTCCATTGCTGTCCTTAGAAGCAAGCTGCGCTGCTCTGCTGGGGCTTCCCTTCTCCCCTTTCCTGGATGCTTTTCATTCCCAGCCCCAGAGTCTAACCCCGAGACCTCCAGGGCCACTCACCACAGCATTCCTGAAGACTTAGAAGAGGTGCTTTTGTGTGCAGCCCTTTCCTCCAAGACCCTGGAATGCACGTTCGCAGGACTTGCTGATTTATAGCCATGTTGCCTTTCAAAGAATTCCCTGGCCTGCGTTAAGTCAACAGATTTGAGAAAAGGCTGGTTAAAAGTTCTGTCACGGGAGCCAGTTGTTCCTTGTGTTCGCAGGATGCTTTCTTTAACCCTGGGTCCTGCTCAGGCCAGTAACAGCACACCCTGGGCCTACAACTGCTCAGGATCTGTGTGTAAGACATGGAAACTCTGTCATATAAATGTATTTAGTGCTCCTCCCTCGAATAGCCCTAAGCCCTGTCATATAAATGTATTTACTGCCCTTCCCTCGAATAGCCCTAAGCCTCTATTCTCTCATTTATCATTCTTTGTTTTTTACTGCCTTAATGGTTTTTGTGATCATATTAGCCTATTTTCTATTTTTATCCTCTTGTCATTCTGCCCATCAACTGAGAGCAGTGGCCATATCCTGTTTGTACATGCCGACCTTTCTGAAAACAATTCATTCATTCATTCATTCATTCATCCACCCACCCATCCATTCAACAATCCTGGCCCTGTCCTGGGAACTGAGGATGCAGCAATAGAGAAATAAAGATGGCTGCTGCCTGCCAGGTGCACTGCCCAGATCCTTGTTCAGGGTCACTCTGCTCATTCCCCAGCTGCCAGGATTGTTACTGGCTGATGACCCACATTGAGTCCTCCCTATGAATTGCCCTTGGCCAAAGGGAGCTGTGTCCCCTTCCTGGGGACACTCTGCATCCAATGACTGGCTGATTTGGGGCCCGCCCCCTTTGTCTCAATTCAGGACATCCCTGAAGCACTTCCCCAGCTTCAGGGCTCCCCTGGGAATCAGTGGAGACCTCTGTTGCAACTGAATCACAGTTCAAGTCTTCTCTGTGCCCAATCTTGCTTCCTTCACACCCTGTGGCTGCTGTGCCTGAGAGCACCCACCGCCATAACCCTCCTTGCACACAAATCTCCAGCTCAGAGTTTTGTTCCCAGGGAAGTCATCCTATGACACCTGCTATCATGAAGCTTATATACTAGGAGTGATAGAAAATAAACACAAATAGTAACACAGTTATGTGAAAAATTACATTGCTGTGGGAAGAAATAGAGTGGGGTCAGGGGATCAGGAATACAGATTGGGAAGATGATTAATTTTTCATATTCAATAGAATGATTGGACTGGCATCTCTGAGAATGTGACACTTGAGCAAAGACTTGAAATTAGCAAACTGAATGTCCAAAAGCTTCTGAATCCAAAATTGAGCCTGGATCAGTCAGGATTTCCCAGAGAAACAGCACCAATAGGATGTGAATGTGTGTATGTGTGTGTGTGTGTACATATATGTGAATATGTACATGCATACACACTCAGATCTGTTTCAAGGAATTGGCTCATGGGATTGTGGAGCCTGGCAAGTCTGAAGCCTGCAGGGAAGGCCAGCAGCTGGAATAGGTGGGAGTTGATGCTTTAGTCTTAGGGCAGAATTTCTTCTTCTCTGGGAAACCTCAATTTTTGCTCTTAAGGCCTTCAAGGGATGAGGTGAGGCCCAACCACATTATGAAAGATAATCTGCTTTACTTATAGTCTACTATTTGTGAATGTTCATCACATCCCCAAATACCTTCACAGCAGCACCTAGGTTAGTATTTGATTAAGCATTGGGTACTATAGCCTAGCCAAGCTGACACAGGAACCTGACCATCACACCTACTCTGTCCCACAGGTACATATCCCAACACCTTTCCCTGCTTTACTTCTCTCCTTAACACCCATCAAGAGCTGACATTCTGTATATTTTACCCTCCCCAGTGTCTTACACCAAGCCCACTTCATTCATTTATGTAGTACCTGTTTATTCTCTTGAAAACATATAAGTTGGTAGCCTTCCAGTGTGAGTATCCCCAAGAGAAAATACGCATCAAAAATTAGGAACTTAGAAATGATAGTTGAGGTGGAGGAACTTCCAGCAGTGGCAGCTCAAGTGGCCAAGACAAGGTGGGTCAAAGTCAGGGTGATGGTCATGGTCCTAGACGTGGCAAGAAGGATGAAAAGGACAAGAAAAATAAGTACTAACCTCTTGTACCAACTAGAGTGGCGGAAAAAGAAGAAAAAACAAAGGGACAAGATGTTGCCAGTAAACTGCCACTGGTGACACTTCACACTCAGTGTCGGTTAAAATTACTGAAGTTAGAGAGAATTAAAGACTACCTTCTCATGGTGGAAGAATTCATTAGAAATCAGGAACAAATAAAACTATTAGAAGAAAAGCAAGAGGAGGGAAGATCAAAAGTGGATGATCTGAGGGGGACCCCAATGTCAGTAGGAAACTTGGAAGAGATCATCGATGACAATCATGCCATTGTGTCTACATCTGTGGGCTCAGAACACTATGACAGCATTATTTCATTTGTAGAGAAGGATCTGCTGGAACCTGGCTGCTCGATTCTGCTCAGACACAAGGTACATGCGGTGATAGGGGTGCTGATGGATGATACGGGTCCCCTGGTCACAATGATGAAGGTGGAGAAGGCCCCCCAGGAGACCTATGTCAATACTGGGGGGTTGGACAACCAAATTCAGGAAATTAAGGAATCTATGGAGCTTCCTCTCCCCCATCCTGAATATTATGAAGAGATGGGTACAAAGCCTCCTAAAGGGGTCATTCTCTGTGGTCCACCTGGCACAGGTAAAAACCTTGTTAGCCAAAGCAGTAGCAAACCAAACCTCAGCCACTTTCTTGAGAGTGGTTGGCTCTGAACTTATTCAGAAGTACCTAGGTGATGGGCCCAAACTCGTACGGCAAGTATTTCAAGTTGCTGAAGAACATGCACCATCCATCATGTTTACTGATGAAATTGAAGCCATTGGGACAAAAAGATATGACTCCAATTCTGGTGGTGAGAGAGAAATTCAGCAAACAATGTTGGAATTGGAACTGTTGAACCAATTGGGTGGATTTGATTCTAGGGAAGATGTGAAAGTTATCATGGCCACAAAACAAGTAGAAACTTTGGATCCAGTACTTATCAGACCAGGCCGCATTGACAAGAAGATCGAGTTCCACCTGCCTGATGAAAAGACTAAGAAGCACATCTTTCAGATTCACACAAGCAGGATGACACTGGCCAATGATGTAACCCTGGACGACTTGATCATGGCTAAAGATGACTTCTCTGGTGCTGACATCAAGGCAATCTGTACAGAAGCTGGTCTGATGGCCTTAAGAGAACATAGAATGAAAGCAACAAATGAAGACTTCAAAAAATCTATAGAAAGTGTTCTTTATAAGAAACACGAAGGCATCCCTGAGGGGCTTTATCTCTAGTGAACCACCGCTGCCATCAGGAAGATGGTTGGGAGATTTCCCAACCCCTGAAAGGGATGAGGTTGGGGGAGTTGCCCAGAGGAATCCCTGTTCCCATTGATTTTTATTAGCAAAGCATCCTGTGTGTATTTTGGAGTACGATGTGTGAGTGCCCAATGGGTGGCCTTCATCTGTCGGTCACTGTGCAGCACTCTGCTTCCAAATAAAGCATGCTCTTTCACAAAAAAAAAAAAAAAAAAAAAAAAAAAAAAAAAAAAGATGGTTGATGCTGAACAAGAGGTGGTCTCAGGTGGGTAACATGAAAGTGCTGGTTAATGTCCCGAGTTAATGGGTTCAGAGATTTCAAAGGAAGATGAAAATTTGACTTGAGAAGGATTTTTTACCTTTCCAAGGTTTCATCTGACAGAGCAAGCCACTTGGACACAAAATGAGTTTATAAGAGCAGCAAACAGAACCAAACCTGAAAGCATCGCCAGTCTCTGTGTTGGGTCCATTTGAGCACCTTGATGCCAACTCTTTAAGCCTGGGTGGGAGGCAAGACTACCTAGAGTTTCTTTACTTTTTAAGTATGTGCAATCTGATGACCTCTTCTCTCTCATCAGGTTCAGCTTTGTCTGACCAGTACCTAAGGCAAATGTTGGCCTCACAAACTTTTCCAAACACCAAGCATTTAATAAGAGTATCAACTCTGGCTCATGCAAAAGTGAATGACTAGTAGAAATAATGGGGACAGAAACAGAGGTGTTCTTGTCATCCGATCATCCCTTTTCCTGGAAAATTTGAATATTTTCCATAAAATTATTATACAGTTATTCACTTTAAAGCTGTTCTCAAATGTCCATAGAGGCTCAGTCATGAACGGATATTCATTGAGGCTTCACACTGTCTGGGCATGTCAGGAACCATCCATGTAATAAATAGACATGAGCACACATCTATGAAAACTTAGCTGGTTACTCAAGACAGTGTGTCCAAGCATAACCTGGAAATTCGTCCCATGAGGACTCAGAAGCAGGAAAGAAAATGTCACTGTTAACTGATGTGCACAGAAAAGGCTTCATTGATGGAAGAAGAATAGAACTCAGGCAGAGAAGAGGAAAGAAGGGCCTCTGGGTGGGAAGGCACCCAGAGCAAAGGCACCCAGGTGGGAATGCGTATGCATACTAGGATGCAGAATTCTCTCCATTATACCTAAGGGTCAAGGAGGTGGGAGCAATGTAAGAACCGAAAAATGTTTTCAGATGTAGAATTAGCATATATAAAGGAATAAGATTTTTTTCTGATTTATAAAAATATTCCTGAAGTTATTCTAAAATTAAGCAACATTTAGTTTAAGATCTAACGAATCACTCTTTTAGAGAAGAAAATAATTATATGAGAAAAGAATCCTCTCCCCTCATTGTATGAGCTGTTAATTCTCCATTGTTCTCTGCGTGTTGGTTATTTATCTATTGTCTCTTGGATCCAAGCCCACCTTTCTATACTCTGCTCTTGGATATGGTAAGCCATCTGGTTCATTTCCCCTTAGATGCTGCCGGCAGAAGCCTTAGAGTGTGACTGGAGGTTGGGAGGAAGGAAAGGGACCCTCCTTCCTGGTCTTTGCACTTTCTGGGAGTGTCTCTCCAGCAGCAGTATTGCTCCAGCAGCATAGTTGGCTCCAGCTTTCAGTAGCCCCAGAACCAGCCTCCCATTCCCCCTGGCAGGCACTAGCAACAGCCAGGCGATGCCCATCTCCAGGGGGTTGAGCTCAGTCAATGGGTCCGCCTCTGAGCCACTTGGTTCTGCTAACTCTACCTCTTGACTGTTGTTTCCCCAGGCCTAGAGTATGTAACTGATTTGTCAAATTAATTTTATTTTTTTAAAGATAAGTTCATGTAACATAAAATTCACTGTTTGAAAGTGTACAATTCAGTGATTATTAGTAAATTCATAATGTTGTGCAACCATTACCATGATCTAATTCTACTATGTCTTCATCACTCCAAAAAGAAACCCTGTATCTCCCAGTTACCACCAATTACCTTTTTTTACTTTGCAGTCAACAAGTGTTTCCTGGAGAGATACCCCTAGACTGTGTAAACATCCCATTCTTTACTCAACTTTCACCTTCCAGCTTTCAAATCTATTGATGCATTTTGCCTAAAATAATTACTATGGTTCTCAAATTGCTCTAAGTCCTTAATTTTTTCAGCATTCATTAGCTGGCATTCTACTTTAGGAAAGAGCATTCTCTTTCCATTTATGTGTTCATTTGCTTGTTATATCAGGACAGACTCATGGATATCTATTTTAATCAATGGGATATAATCTAATACTGTGGTTACTTGGACACACAAATCATCCCAGATTGGGCCAGCTGGCACCCCTTCCGGCTGTCCCATGTCCTCTATGTTGCCATCATTATTTGATTACTTTCTTACCTTCTGGCACAACAAGATATTTTAAACTTGGCATATTTTTCCTGGTCCACCTGTGAGATCGGCCATTTCTCCAAGGAATTCTGGTCCATATTCATGGAAAAATAGTATAATATTTAGAAACTAAATTCTAGGTAGGATCTTTGTTATTGGATTTCACTACTCCCAAGCTCTCTCTAGTACAAAGCTAGGAAATGTATGTATTTGTGTACATGTGTGAATGTGTATACATACGCACACATGAAGATATAAAGTGTATGCACAGACTCACAGAAATGTATATCAACGTTTTGTTTCTTTATCCAACCCCACATAGTGCAAACTCTAAATTTACACCAAAACTTCTCATCCTAATCCCATAGACCACAGCGTTCATTCTAGCTTTCTTCTTTCCTATGTTTATTACTCTTTTCTTGCAGTGAGAAACCTGGCTCCCACCGCCTCATTATAATGACTTATTTCCTCAGCCCTCCTGCCCACTGCTTTTACTCCATCTCCCAAGCCCAGAGAGCTAGCACCCCCATTTAGCCATCTTCCTTGCATGGCCAGAAACCCCATGGGGCCGATAATCTATCTGAAAACATTTCATTAATGATAAAAATATATATTGTGATCTAATGACTTAAACCTATTTCCTTTGCAGAAAGTGTTGCAAATGTTATAATACAGCAAACTCCTTGAATGTGTGTGTCTTCCAGTAATTTTGATAGACTGGCCAGGGTGAAAGTTAATCCATGAATGTGATAGAGTGTTTTCTCTGAGAAAAGCTAACTTTATGCCTTTAAATCCATGAGTTGTACATGAACATGACATGAGCAAACATGTATTGTTCAATGGTTCCTGGTGGCCACTGTTTTTATTCTGGATTTTTGCTTCATAAAAACGATAAATCTGATGTTACAAGCTTTCTAAGAAAGCTCACATTTTTCCTAAGGCTCAAAATTGAAAGGAAAAAGATGTTGCATGGCTTCATGAGCCACTTAGTACTGCAATTCAACTGTTAAAAATTACAAACAAAAATTTTATTTAATTTCTTGCTTGCCCTTAATAGGAAAGGCATCTTTAAAGGATTGTTGACTATAGTTTCTGGAATGGTTCATACTGGAAGATCCTCTCAGCTAATCAAACACTGCTCCTTTTTCTTTTCACTAGATGCATTGTGGCCTGAACATGAACATACATGAGGCTAAGTAATTTTTTTTTTTTTTTTTGAGACAGGGTCTTGCTCTGTCACTCAGGCTGGAGTGCAGTGGCACAATCATGGCTCACTGCAACCTCAAGGGCTCAAGTGATCTTCCTGCCTCAGCCTCCCTAGTAGCCGGTGTGTGCCACCACACCCAGCCAATTTTTTTGTAGAGATGGGGTCCCACTATGTTGCCCAGACTGGTCTCAAACTCCTGGGCTCAAGTGATCCTCCCACCTCACTCTCCCAAACTGTTGGGATTATAGGCATGAGCCACCAGGCCTGACCAGCAATTTATACCTTCTCTGACTCTTAAACCTGCCCTGGGGCCATTGGTGTACTCATTGTATTTAACAACCAGCTTTCTGGGGTGCTGCAGGGAGAGGGGTAGTCCTGATTTGCAGTAAATGGCCATTTTTGTAGCATAAATACTCCCACCATGGCCAACATCAAGCTACCAACATGACATCACTTAACTAGGGGCAGGGAAGAGATTACACAACTGGCTCTCATGAGCTTGTGTGAGCCACCTCCAGCCCGGATGCCCGTGTGTACCTATAAACCAACCAGAACCACCCACCCACTTAAGCATTGTCTCCAAACTGCCAGTGACTTAAAAAAAGTTCTGTACCCTAGAGAGATAAGGGTTCAGGAAACAGGCTATAGTCCTTGATTTTGGGTGTTCACATGCTTAACTCAGAGAGATGACTGTCCTGTATCCATGATCAACAGAGAGGTTTTTGCTGGGAACAAGAGAAACGGGAAGAGAATAAGTGAAAGAAAAAATAAAATCAGCAAACTGTCTTGAAGTCAAAAGTGCGCTTGTGGTAAAGCATATGAGATCAACCACCTCCTATGTTTTCACAGTTCTGCTCTGCCTGGAGGGAAGTACCAGCTCCAAAGGAGGTCCAGCTGGTCTCCTGTGCGCAGGATTTGCAGGCTGAGGGTTAAAGGCGCTCTAAGCCATGGAGCACCTCTGACCCCCACTGGCTGCTGTCATGCATTGCACCTCAGGGATGGCCAAGGCCCCTCAGTACATTGCCCTTTCCTAAACACAAGTGACCAGTTTCTCCTTTGCTGTATTGTCAGGACTTTCCACCAAGTGCCATCTATTTCTCATCCATCTCCTTTGAAATATTTTCACTCTTTATCTACTTCTCTGGGCTGGTAGATATTTCTAAGTCATTGTATAGTGCATGGATTTTATTTTCATTTTCGTTTGATCAGAAAATGAGTCGAGAAGATATGACATTGTTGCATATGTGGTTGATTTTCATTTCTCTTTTTCTCATCCTTTTGGTGACAAACACCAGGAGCTGCTTCTTTTTGTATAAGAAGTCCTTCAGCACCTATACTGGTCATCATCTGAAGCGCATACTCTCTTGCGGTCCCTTTGATAGAGCAAGAGCACCACCCACAGCAACAAAACATGCCCTGAGTCTCTGGAGGGAGCCTGGACAGTTAATGAAACCCAGGGCCAATGGACCACAAAGCCCAGTCCGTAATCAGAGTGCTGCATCAATTGCGCACACTCAAGTGTCTGATTCCATCGGTTCAGTTTGGTATCTGTATGGCGTCTGTCTATTTGTATGATACCTTGGTAATCTGACTCATGAATTAGACCAGACCAAAGCAACCTGGGGGAAAGGCGGAGTATTTGTGGGTAAGGAACATGCCTTCCAGCCTTGTTCTAAAAACCAAACATTAGTTGTACATTCCAGTTATTCCTCAAAGGAATTATTTTTTTCCAGTACCCTGTATTAAATTAATTTTGATTTTGCACCTAGTCTCACTGCTTTAGATCATAACCTGAGTGTGACTTCCCTTTGCTGAGCAGGAAAAGTCTTGCCTCTCTACATCTCTATGTATCACTTTCAAATACAAAATTCTGGGTTTCTTATTCTAAAGAACTGCTTTCTGCTCTTGTTTCTCATGGCCAGCAGAGGGACTCCAGAGAAACCCTCAGACAGAGCGTGGGATTAGGCCACTTTGTGGTGGTGAAAGTTCCCCCAGCTCTCTAGAGAAGTGACATTTAACCCTAGGGTTTCCCAGCACACATACAAAAGGTTTGAGAAATAGAGCCAGGTCTCTCAGGACCACAGGTAACAATAATCTTTACCTGAGGCTGAGAAGAGCTTTGTAATCACATCCACCCCTGGCAGAGAGAAAGAAAGCAGGTTAGCACTTAAAAAAAAAAAAAAAAAAAAAGAATTGTGAAAACTGAAGGAGAAAACAACCAGAACCGTGGACGCGAGCCATTATTCCTCGTTGACGTCACAGCCCTCCAGAGCTGCAGAGAGGGGATATTTGGGAGACTAGGGACCAACTCAATTTTATTATGTTTTGTTGGCTGATAAACTTCACAAATGTCCTAGTCATCACTGAAATTATTTAGTCACTTGTCACACTTTTCTCCTTTATTTCCCAATGTTATAGACAATGAGCAAATTGTATAGGAAATAAACTGTTTGTTTTGCAACAGATGCTGGAGAGCATGTGGAGAAATAGGAATGCTTTTACACTGTTGGTGGGAGTGTAATTTAGTTCAACCACTGTGGAAGACAGTGTGGTGATTCCTCAAGGATCTAGAACCAGAAATACCATTTGACCCAGTAATCCCGTTACTGGGTATATACCCAAAGGATTATAAATCATTCTACTATGAAGACACATGCATGCGTATGTTTATTGCAGCCCTACTCACAATAGCAAAGTCTTGGAACCAACCCAAATGCCCATCAATGATAGACTGGATAAAGAATGGATAGAATGGACATAGACACCATGGAATACTATGCAGCCATAAAAAAGGATGAGTTCATGTCCTTTGCAGGGACATGGATGAAGCTGGAAACCATCATTCTCAGGAAACTAACACAGGAACAGAAAACCAAACACTTTCATGTTCTCACTCATAAGTGGGAGTTGAACAATGAGAACACATGGACACAGGGAGGGGAACATAACATACTGGAGCCTGTTGCGGGGGGTGGGGGACTAGGGGAGGGATAGCATTAGGACAAATACCTAATGTAGATGACAGGCTGATGGGTGTAGCAAACCACCATGGCACGTGTGTACCTATGTAACAAACCTGCACATTCTACACATGTACCCCAGAACTTACAGTAAAAAAAAATAAACTTTAAAAAGGATATGAACTCTTTGTTTTAATAAAATGTATATTATAATCAGGCACAGTGGCCCACACCTATAACCTTAGCTCTTTGGGAGGCTGAGGCAGGCAAATCACTTGAGCTCAGGAGTTTGAGACCAGCCTGGACAACACGGCAAAACCCCATCTCTAAAAAGAACAATTACACAAATTAGCCAAGTGTGATGGGTGTGGTGGTGCATGCCTGTAGTCCCAGCTACATGGAAGGCTGAGGTGCAAGGGTCATTTGAGCCCAGGAGGTCGAGGCTGCAGTTAGCCGAGATCACACCACTGCACTCCAGCCTGGGCAACAACGAGACCCTGTCTCAAAAAATTAAATAAAATGTATATTACAGTCAGACAGGCTACTCTGTGAATTCTGAATGGGCCACTGTCTCTAATCAGAAAGCTTTGTAGATATTCTTGGCACATGGCAATGGCATCCTCAATCAGTGTCTATGTGGCTTTACTAAAAATTAACCAAAGATCGGTTTTATTTCTTAATACTAGACAAGACTGATCAAGCAATAAGAAGTTGTGGTGTACTTGCCATGTTCAGGGAGTATATAAGGCAATGAATGCAAGGGTTGCAGCAAAGAAACATGGGACACAGTCCCTGAATATAAGAAGCTATCTACCTAGGAAGATGAGGCCCAATCCGATACAAGCAATAAAGAAGTATCAAGTAATCTCTTTACTGATAATACTGATCAGGATAGTAATAGTGGCAGTGTATTGAGTGTTTACTCTGTTCCAACGACTGTGCTAAATGCTTTATATAAATCATGTTGTTGAATCCTCAAAACAACTTTATTAAGTAGGTACTATAATTATTGCCACTTTAGGGGTAAGGAAACCAACCCACATAAAGTTTAAATCATTTGCCAGGATTTTATTCCAGGCTGTCCGACACCAAAGACCATGCCTTTAAATATCCAGCAATCTGTAATGCCTCATAAGAGCAAAGGGAGTTCAAAGTGGGGAGATCAGCATGGGATGGATGAGACCTTCACGGAAGAGGGATCCTGGAGATGTAGATGTGGTTTGGGGTAAAGAGAGGATGGAGAAGACCTTCCAAGGAAGGAGGGAGAAGGAGAGGGAGAGCACACACAGGCTGAGAAGTGAAAATGCACAAAGCTCATTGGGGTCCCAAGAGTTACCCTGCTGCCACTGCACACCCTTTTTGCATGGATGTTAGTGGGTGGATAATGGTGGTCAGGTGACAGAAGCACATGGAAGTTAGGATTATGGAAGGGCCTCCTTGAAAAAAGCCTTCAGAAATGAGAGGGAAATAAAAACAATTGAAACCAAAACAAAGTTGATGAGTGGAACCTAATTAAACTAAAGAGCTTTTACACAGCAAAAGAAACTATCAACAGAGTAAATAGACAATCTAGGGAACGGGAGAAAATATTTGCAAACTATGCATCTGAAAAAAGTCTAATATCCAGACTCTATAAGGAAATTAAACTAATCAACAAGCAAAAACCAAATAACCTCATTAAAAAATGGGCAGAGGACCTAAACAGACACTTCTCAGAAGACATGCAAGTGGCCAACAAACATATGAAGAAATGCTCATCTGGCTGGGTGCGATGGCTCATGCCTGTCATCCCAGCACTTTGAGAGGCCTGGGCAGGAGGATCACTTGAGGTCAGGAGTTAGAGACCAGCCTAGTCAACATGGTGGAACCCCATCTCTACTAAAAATACAAAAAAAAAATTAGCAGGGTGTGGTGGCGCACTTGTAATCCCAGCTACTTGGGCGGCTAAGGTGGGAGAATCATTTGAACCCACCTACCTGGGAGGTGGAGGTTGCAGTGAGCTAAGATCGCGTCACTGCATTCCAGCTTGAGCAACAAAGCGAGACTCCATCTCAAAAAAAAAAAAAAGTTCATCATCACTAATCATCAGAGAAATGGAAATCAAAACCACCATGAGACACTATCTCACGCCATTCAGAATGACCATTACTAAAAAGTAAAAAAAAAAAAAAAAACAGATGCTGGCAAGGCTGCAGAGAAAACGGAATACCTATACACTGTTGGTGGGAATGTAAATTAGATCAGCCACTGTGGAAAGCAGTTTGGCGACTTCTCAGAGAATTTAAAACAGAGCTACCATTCGACCCAGAAATCCCATTATTGGGTATATGCCCAAAGGAAAATAAATTATTATACCAAAAAGACACATGCACTCATATGTTCATTGCCATGCTACTCACAATAGCAAAGCCATGGAATTGACTTAGGTGCCAATAAATGATGGACTGAATAAAGAAAATGTAGAACATATACACCATGGAATATTCCACAGACATAAACAAGAATGAATCATGTCCTTTGCAGCAACATGGATGGAGCTGGAGGCCATAATCCTAAGTGAGTTAATGCAGGAACAGAAAACCAAATGCTGCATGTTCTCACTTAAAAGTGGGAGCTAAATATTGAACATACATAGACATAAACATGGGAACAACAGACACTGCAGACTACTAGATGGGAGAGGGTGGGAGGGAATGAGGTGAAAAACTACCTATTGGGTACTATGCTCATGACCTGGGTGCAGTCCATTTATGTAATAAACCTGCATATGTACCCCTGTATCTAAAATAAAAGTTGAAATTTTTAAAAAATCTTTATAAATCTAGATAAGAAACTGTTAACTTTTCACCATTTAACAAAAGTAAATGTCTTACAAGAAAAATGTTTTAAAGGGATAATCTATTGTCTAGAAGAAAGATGACAAAATTATATTTAAAAAGAGAAAGAAAGGGCCGGGTGTGGTGGCTCACGCCTGTAATCCCAGCACTTTGGGACACAGAGGCAGGAGGATCACTTAAGGCCAGGAGCTCGAGACAAGCCTGGCCAACATGGCTTTCTACTAAAAATACAAAAACTCAACAGGCGTGGCGGTGGCACCTGTGGTCCCAGCTACTAGGGAGGCTGAGGCAGGAGAATCACTTGAACCCAGGAGGCAGAGGTTGCAGTGAGCCGAGATCATGCCACTGCACTCCAGCCTGGGCAACAGAGAGAGATTCTGTCTTGGAAAAAAAAAAAAAAGAATGAATGAATGAATGAATGAATGAAATTGGAGATGAAGAAGGCAACATTGAAGCCAGGACAAACAATAAGTAAATTACTTCAACAATTATCCATGTGAAGTGACAAAGGTATGTACTTTGAGAAGAGGGCAGGAAATTCCAACCAGAGATGAGGTGTCACCAGTGGGATCTGGCTAAATTCTAGCCCCAGACATTTTATATTATAATCCCAACAAGGAGGTATCAAACACTAACATATTTTACAACTTTGGTGTGGTCACCTAAAAATAATAACCATCTCTGACAAGTACTATACCAAGTCCTTTCCATATGCCTTTCATTCCCATAAAAAGTGAGCTTAGGAATTATCATCATGATTGATGTTACAGATGAGGAAACTGAGATTCAGAGAACATCTGACTTACTAAAAGCTTCCCAAATAGGAAATAACCAACTAAAAGCTGAAACCCAGATCATCTTACTCCAAGTTATTCACTAATGCTTTCTACAAACATCAACTGAGAAGTCACAAGCACCAAGCACTATGCTACATAAATAATTCATACCCACCACATTAGGAAGCTTATGGCGATTGTACAGATAAACATAATAGATGTGTTAGCTATAGGTGCCAATACATTCCCTAAGTGCGTCAACATTTGTCATTGGGATAAGTGTGTATTAAATATTTGAGGGCACGTTTCATAAGTAAAATTCCAATTCAAATGCAGTTTATTCCATCTTCTTGCATGAGGGTAGCTGAAAAGAGCCAGCTGCCCATCCTACAGAATGAGTCCAGAAAGTGATGCATCTGATGTCTACAGTTTGCCAACAAAGTCATTCTCCCCACTTTAGTCTCTTGGCAAGGAGAAGGCAAGCACTGACTGGTACAAACCTGCCACCTGCAGGAGCCAAGAGGAACAAACCCAAATTCCAGGGAAGTACGGTGACCAGAGGGGGCCATCTAACAACAGACCATCCTGGGATCTGGCTTCACCCCTCAGTGTGAGCCAACACCCTGTCACTGATCCCGCCCACCTCCATTCTTAATGGTGAAGCCTGGTGAAATTGAACACTGAGGAAGCTCTCAGGAAACGAAGGCATGAAGACTTTGCATGGAGTGAAGTCAGGCTGACCTAAGCACAAATCCCAACGTGGCCACTTACCAGCTATATCACTGTAACCATGTGCGTCAACCTCTGTAAACCTCCATTTTATTGTCTGTAAAATGAGATTACTGGCAATCAAATATATGTTGAATGAATGAGAAGAACGCACCAATACATTTTTGTTGGTAGGATTAGAAAAACATGTATATGTAAAGGACCTACTGTAGTACATGGCACAGTCAAAAAATAAATGAGTATAAAATCATTTATTTAAATAATACGAACTTTCTCTGCATTGAGCACCCTGCAGTCAGCTCAGCTCATATATGTGTAATCTAGAATGTTTTTGTGACAAAAGCAAAACAAAACTTTGTCCCGAATCCCTTTCTCGGACTTATATAAGCCACGACCAATCCAGCTTCAACTCATCCAAGACATGAAGTCAAAAAATAAAAGGTATTATCAATATGTGATCGGAGATATTATCAATAGAGGAGGAGATCTATAGAAGAGAGGCTATTCTACCAATTTGACTGTATAAACTTTGGTGAGATTTGCCATCCATTCCTACATATATGTATGTGGTACTCAAAGATTTCAAAAAGCAAGTTTTGGAGCAATTCTCCTTAATCAACTGCTTCTCATGATACTATCCAGGAGCTTAATAATAATGACAACTGAAATAATAGCTAGCATCATGTGCCTTATAGCAGATACTATTCTTACTCCATGTTGCAGATAAGGAAAATGAGGCTCAGCAAACTTAAGTGTAGCAGACATGAGCGGTTTTCTACCCAATACGCTCCCTCCTCATTGACCAATCTCAAATTTTTTTCAAATGTCCACCCCTCCCCAAGCAGCTCTGGCATGCATACAAATTAGGGAGGCCCATCACAGAAACCCACTTTCAATAGCTGGGGTTTGGCTTAGGTAGGAACAAGTGACCTAGTTTTGTTCAATAATTCATGAGATGAGGTCTGCTAGTGGAAGGGGGGAGGCTTTTGGAAAGGATTACTAGATAATAAAGAGACATATGGGAAGAAAAGTTCCTGTTTCTTCCATCAGATGTTGTGTCCAGACGTGACTCAGGGTACCAAGAAGAGTAGCTAAAGATACTACTGGTATGTTGAAGATGGCAGAGTAGAAAGATGGCAAGAACCTGAGTTCTCCCTTATCGGGCCATTGAATCAACCAACTCTAATGAAATTCTACCTCAGCCTTCATAATATATGAGAAAATACATTGTTCTTCTTGTTTAAGGCTTTCAGGCTGGGTTTTTCTGTTTTGTTTTGTTTGTTTGTTTGTTTGTTTTGGCTACTTCCAATAAAAAGCTTCTTTCTGGATTCACTAAGTAAATCGGTGAAGGTCACACACTCAGCAAACGGCAGATCCAGCTCTTAACCTTCCCACCCTCTCATCCCATCCCCAGCCCCAGCCAAAGTCCCTTGGCTCACGGCAGGCCTGAGATCACAGGAATGAAAAACCTCAGTTAAAGAAAAAATCAGAAATATGAGTTTCTCTGTCACAAAGCAAAGAGCATCTAAGTAGAAGTGTACTTACCAGCAAGATTGAAAGCTGCAGGAAAAAATATGGAAGCAAATATATTTCCCCAGAAATGATTTTCACTAAACTACAAATTTTTTAACCATTAAGACTTTCTCTACTGCCAAATAAGAATCAATAGTTATCTTTTCATGGATATTAAAAACCCCTTGTTTTTAAAAGAACAGTAAATAAATAAGTTTCACCAGAAAATTCTTGACCGGGTATTCTTAAAGTGTGGTTTGGAAACTTTAAGCCTCTTTCAGGTCAAAACTAGTTTTCATGATAACACTGAGGCATCAATCGCCTTTTTCATCTCGTCCTCTCAAGTGTGCATTAGTGCTCTCCAGAGGCTACATGATATGTGATATCAAACAGACTAGTGCAGAAACAGATATGAGAATCCAGCTGTCTTCTGATAGAAAGCATTTCTCAAAGAGAGATTTGCCAGATATCAAAGAGATTGGCAAACATTTTATAGAGACATACATCAGTGTCATTTTGATAATTTTTTGTCTCAGAAAATAAGTCATTTTCATAAATATGTGGTATTTATGTTCATTGGTATTGGGTTTATTATTGGAGTTTTTAAAATTAATAAACTTTTTTAAGTCCTCCGGGTTTTATTTCAAGTATAGTAACTATAGGTTGATATAACTCACATATACCAAAGTTCCTTATGGTCCTCTATCACTTGTAAGAGAGTGAAGGAGTCTTGAGACCCAAACACTTGAGAATCTCTGTTCTAGACCAACATATGATGATGTTTCTTCTTCTCCCACTTAGACGCTACCTCTTGAGTGGCAGGGTTTACATGCTTGAAGCATCTTTCTGCCTCCCTCTGATGAGGGATAGATTTACGGTTTCATCCACAGACTATGGGCCTGGGGCCTGTATTGTCTTCAAACTCTGCCACTTTAAACTTTGGTAGAACTTGGGTTCCCCCAAAGGAGACGTTAAGACAGGCTCTAGCCTTGGGAAATTAGTTCGCCTCCCAGCCATCCCTCCTCTCTTCCCATAGAACCCTAGAGCCAGTTTTCAATGCCAGTCTCTCAGAGACCCTCACCTCATTTTCTCTGCCGACACTTTTGCAGATAAGTCTAGCACTGACTAGAACACAGGTTGTAGAGGGTACAGCATAACGTTTTTGTGTAGAAAGATACCCATAACAGAATATTCGGGCCTTCCGCATGAACACCCAAGAACTCACCCTGGAATGGCACAGGCAGGAACATTCCGGAGCCCTTCACATCCACTTCCCAAAAGATCTCTGTAATCTGCAAAATAGGCACAAACCCTCCAGTTAGGGCAGGCCATCTGCTTTTATGCCTTGCCACCCCAAAACTCGCTCTAACCCACCCAATCCAATTCTCACCTCCGTGGCAGCAACTGTGTGACCTGAAGTTTCATCAGTGCATGCCAGCAGGTGGTCAGTAAGGGGCAATCCTCCTGCGGCTTTCGTGGAGGGACTAGAGTGGGCAGATATGGTCCCAGGTTCCTCTGCAGGCGTTGCCAGTGATAATCTCCAACCAGCAGAAAGATGGTGATGGACCTCGATGGAGAGAGACTGGGCACATTGTGTATTCACACAATAGGGTTCCCCTCACCTGGCACCCAAACAAGGAATACGCCAGCAGGGGCAATTTTCTGAAAGCTCCTTCGGGAGCTCTGTTTGTGTTTACTGGGACATGGGACAGTGTTTGAGTGATAGGCTTCTTGCCTTTATCTCTCTGCTTTGTGAGAATGAGAAGGAAGAAGGAGAGAAGGAAGAAAAGGAGATTTTGTCAGGCTCTTCACAAAATCATTCAGAAAAGAATGGGAAGAGTAAGATCCCTTTCAGCTATATATAACATTGTATAATGTTATAATTTTACTCTTTATGTTACAGGAATCTATTGTTTAAATTTAATTGAGGCCAAACCCTCAACCCAAGAACACATCCCAAACCAACCCTCCACTGAGTAAGTTCACTGATTTGAGGAATGCTGAAAGAACAGCCTTCCCCAAACTATTGCCACTGCTGGCTTCCCATGGGGCTGGAAGCTTTCCCCATGACCATCACACTGTTGGGACAAAGAAAGCATTACCTGGTGTAATCTGAAAGCCATTCACATGAATGATCCACGTACTGCAGGTACTGTCCACAAGTCTAGGAAGATTAAAGTGAAAACATCTCCAGTCTCTGTATTGGACATAAACCTTGCCCTTTTTCAAGATTCCCTCAATTGCTGTCTTCTCTCAGTTGGCGCCTCATTCCCAGTGTCACAGATGAAATGCTACATAGTGGGGCACGGCACCTGAGCAGCTGAGAAGGGGCTAGATGATGCCACCCAGAAGTGTAAGGGGCCTTAACTTTCCATGGAGTAAATCTTGACCATTGGGAAACAGGAAATGAAAGAGAATCAGAGTCTGGCCATACCACCCTGAATGAGCCCAATCTCGCCTGCTCTCGGAAGCTAAGCAGGGTGGGGCCTGGTTAGTACTCAGGTGGAAAAAAGAGAATCAGGCAGACATATGTCCTTCCTTTCATCCATTCATAGTATGGCTTCTCTTTAAAAACTCTCCAAAAAAGGCAGGGCGCGGTGGCTCAAGCCTATATTCCAGCACTTTGGGAGGCCGAGGCTGGCGGATCACCTGAGGTCGGGCACTCCAGACCAGCCTGGCCAACATGGTGAAACCCTGTCTCTACTAAAAATACAAAAATTAGCCAGGTTTGGTGGCACACACCTGTAATCCCAGCTACTTGGGAGGCTGAGGCACGAGAATTGCTTGAACCCAGGAGATGGGAGGTTGCAGTAAGCCGAGATCACACCACTGCACTCCAGCCTGGGTGATAGAGTGAGACTGTTTCAAAAAGAAAAAACACAACACACACACACACACACACACACTCCAAAAAAGTCGCATGTGCCAAATGAAGACAGATGCCCTATATCTCTTTACAGCTCATTGGGAAGTTGAAGCCAGCATCCTACATCACACCCCATAGCTTCACCTCTTTCCTTAATTAACTTCTATTTGTTTTCAACATTTTCACACCCCTGGCTTGCACCTCTTAAACCAACTGTCAGATCTTTCCCTTAGGTTTTGTTCTCTAGGAGATCAAGACTAAGACAGTCCATGTTAAGATCTTTGAGAATATCCCAACAAATAGCACCCCTCTTTTCATCTAGGTTCTAAACAAGTTGAGGAGAAGGGGGAAAAAAACATATATACAGGACAAATAGCAACTTTTTGATAGATAAAAGCAAAGTTCTAAGAGTCTACGTTGAGAATCGTATGTTCTTGCTGAATGAACTCAAGGCTTGAACACCCTGTCCCAGTGTCAGATTCAAGGAGACTTTGCCATGTGGAAGGGGACTACCCAAATTTGTCAGTATTATTACTGACAATAAGTAAATTCGTGTTTTCTGTGGGCAGTATGAGGACAGAGTTGAGCTAAACATACACCACAATTCTTCCCATATTTCTCAAACAAATGAGTCATTCCACCACCCCAGAGACACAGTGAGTAAAGAAACAGAGAGAGACCCAGAGTTGTGATAAATGGGCTCCCTTTAGAGGAAGAAACATATGAGTAGGAAAGAAAAATTCTCACTAAATAGTTCTCATTCCATGTGCACTGGCAATGCACCAGCTCTCAGTAATCTGTGCATTTCTCCCAGGCAGTATTTGCTTTTATTTTCTGCTTTTGCTGCATTTTTGTCCCCTCATATCTCATCTTCTATGACTGGTCTCTTCTGTTCACCCTGTGCCAGCCTAAACATGAAACAGTCATTTTCCTTTTAATTCCCCGAAGAAACTATGAAAAGGAAGCCATTAAGTTTAGAAGACTTACTGAAGATAACAGACAGCTCAAGGCTAGATACTTTAATACTTTAAGGCTAGATACTGAGAAGATTTAGGACTCCAGCTATGATAAAATAGCTTGCATCACCTAGCCCTTTCTTCAAAAGTAACTATAAACGCTCCCTCTCCCCCTCCCCCTCCCCCTCCCTCTCTCCCCTTTGCATGGTCTCCCTCTGATGCCAAGCGGAGGCTGGACTGTACTGCCGCCATCTCAGCTCACTGCAACCTCCCTGCCTGATTCTCCTGCCTCAGCCTGCCGAGTGCCTGGGATTGCAGGCACGCACCGCCACGCCTGACTGGTTTTCGTATTTTTTGGTGGAGACGGGGTTTCGCCGTGTTGGCCGGGCTGGTCTCCAGCTCCTGACCGCGCGTGATCTGCCAGCCTCGGCCTCCCGAGGTGCCAGGATTGCAGACGGAGTCTCGCTCGCTCAGTGCTCAATATTGCCCATGCTGGAGTGCAGTGGCGTGATCTCGGCTCGCTACAACCTCCACCTCCCAGCCGACTGCCTTGGCCTCCCAAAGTGCCGAGATTGCAGCCTCTGCCCGGCCGCCACCCTGTCTAAGAAGTGAGGAGCGTCTCTGCCCGGCTGCCCATCATCTGGGATGTGAGGAGCCCCTCTGCCTGGCCGTCCAGTCTGGGAAGTGAGGAGCACCTTTTCCCGGCCGTCATCCCGTCTAGGAAGTGAGGAGCGTTTCTGCCCGGCCGCCCATCGTCTGGGATGTGGGGAGCACCTCTGCCCGGCCGCCCCGTCTGGGAAGTGAGGAGCCCCTCTGCCCGGCAGCCACCCCGTCTGGGAGGTTTACCCAACAGCACATTGAGAACGGGCCATGATGACGATGGCGGTTTTGTCAAATAGAAAGGGGGGAAGTGTGGGGAAAAGAAAGAGAGATCGGATTGTTACTGTGTCTGCGTGGAAAGAAGTAGACATAGGAGACTCCATTTTGTTCTGTACTAAGAAAAATTCTTCTGCCTTGGGATGCTGTTAATCTATAACCTTACCCCCAACCCCGTGCTCTCTGAAACATGTGCTATGTCCACTAAGGGTTAAATGGATTAAGGTCCGTGCAAGATGTGCTTTGTTAAACAGATGCTTGAAGGCAGCATGCTCGTTAAGAGTCATCACCACTCCCTAATCTCAAGTACCCAGGGACACAAACACTGCGGAAGGCGGCAGGGCCCTCTGCCTAGGAAAACCAGAGACCTTTGTTCACATGTTTATCTGCTGACCTTCCCTCCACTATTGTCCTATGACCCTGCCAAATCCCCCTCTCCGAGAAACACCCAAGAATGATCAATAAATACTAAAAAAATTTAAAAAAAAATTATAAACGTTGCACAAAATACATAAAGCAATTGCCTGAAGGCACTGGAGACACCAAGCACAAGCGAGATTTAAAGAAAACCCTATGGCATGAGGTCCACATACATTCCAGATATTCTCTTGAGGACATGTACACACTGCAGAATAGGGATATACAAATACAACAGTCTTAGTGGGCTGAGAAAGTAGAAGTAAGAATTTGGAGCTGCCAAAGCAGGCAGGACTTAGGAAAGTCCTGAAGAAGGGAAACAACAAAGGTGCCTACAATTCTGCAAACTTATTTCCCTAAAGTTTATGGGTTCCTAAGCTGGCACACAAAATATGAAACAAGAAATAAAGAAATAGAAGGAGAGAAAGACACAAAGAAAGAGAGGGGGGAGGAAGGGAGGGAGGAGGGAGAGAGGAAAAGAAGGAAGGAAAGAAGGGAGGGAGAGAGGGAGGGGAGGAGAGAGAGAAAAGAAAGAAAGGAGAGAAAGAGAAAAGAAAGGAAAGAAAGAAGAAAGAAAGAGAAAGAAAGAAAGAAAGATAAAGAAAGAAAGAGAAAGAAAGAAAGAGAGAAGGAAGGGAAGGAGGGAGACAGGAAGGAAGGAATGAAGGAAGGGAGGCAGGGAGGGAGGGAAGGAGGATAGCTGAAGATCTGATCAGAGATTTCAGTACTAGGGAGGCAAAGGTCATAATTAAAACCTTTCCAAAATAGAAAAACCTTGGCGAATGTTCCAGGCTTTGAACCGTCCAGGCTTTGAACCAAATTATGGAAATCCAAGTAGAAATTTATTTAAAGTAAATAGATTTATAGGTGAATCAGATGTTAACAATAACTGACAGGGAGTTTAAAATAACTGTGATTAATATGGTCAAGAGAATGGAGAAAATGATAGACAAAATGGAAGAAAGGTTGGAGAATTTCATTGGGGAAATGAATCTATTTTTAAAAAGAGACAAACAATTGGTAAAATTTTTAAAGCACCAAAAACATCAATTATGTAGAATAAATCTGATAGAAGTTGTATAAGATCTCTACGATGAAAACTACAGATAGTTGCTGAGAGAAGTAAAAGAAGATCTAAGTAAATGACAGGTAATATCATGAACATGGAATTCAAAGATGCAACAGTCTTAAGATATCAAGTCATTCCAAATGGATATATAAATTCAATGCAATCCCAATAAAAATGCTATCAATTTTTTTGGTAGAAATTGATAAGCTATTTGTAAAATTGATATGGAAATAAAAAGAACTCTGAATAGCTAAGGCAATACTGAAGAAAAAAGACAAAACCTGATATCAAAGCTAGAGAAATTAAAACAGTATGGTACTGGAACAAGAAAAGACAACAGATCATGGAATAAATTAGACTTCAGAAACAGACCCACATCCATAGGATTTATGATAAATCTGATTTATGATAAAGGCATCACAGAAACTCAGTGGAGAAAGAATTATCTTTTCAATAAATGGTGGTGGTTCAAGTGTATATTCATATGGGAAAAAAAGACTCTTGTCCCTTACCTCACATTATACACAAAAATTAATTCAAGGTAGATCATATATCTAAAGACGAAAAGTAAAACAATAAAAATTCTAGAAGAAAACACAGTAAATATGTTCAGGGACCTCAGGTTAGGCCATAGTTTCTTAGACAGAACACATGGAAATACTGATAAATTGGATTTAATTAAAATAAAGAAATTCTGTTCAATGAATGACATGGTTAAGAGAATGGAAAAAGCAAACCTCAGACTGGTATAAAATATTTGTTATTCAGACATTTGCATGCACACACACATATGGCAAAGAATTTATATCTAGACTATATTCTTGTATAAAAGTTCTATAAATTGATAAGAAAAAGATATACAACACAATTTTTAATGTTGAGCCAGAATCCTGAACAAGCACTCCACAAAAGAGGATATGAAAATGATCAATATGCAAATGAGAAAGGTGTTCAGCATCATTATTCATGAGAAACAAAACACATCTTGATACCATGTGCTGCTTTGTAGTCTAGAAATGCCAATATCTCCCCTTGAAAAAGCAATTACAAAGCCACAGCTCTGAATACCAGAAAGTGAATTAGAATAAGTGTCAATTATTATAAACAGCCTTGTTTAATTTGGGGAATGGGGTTTCTGCTAAGGTTTTTCATCTTGCAGTGAACGGATTTTGATTCTCTATTGCAGTTATTTAAGTCACTCTTGCCAGCCTAGTGCAAAAAGTGAAAAGTCATAACAGAAACCTTACTCTTGGAATTAAACAGGGCTGCTCACAATTGTTGAAATCCATCTGAATTCACATTCTCATATTCAAAGCTGTGGTTTTGCAATTGCTTTCTTACAAAGAAACTGGAAAAATAAGGCTGCAGGGGTTGAGAATTGTGACCATTTTTGCAATCTAGCATAATGGCTACAAGCACAGGTTCAGGAGCCAGAAAACCTGGGTTTTAATCACTGTTCTGCCGCAGTAGCTGTGTCTTAGTTTCCTCACCAGATATGGAGGACAATGATGGCACATACCTTGTAAAGTTGTGGTAGCTTACATTCTGTCTCACTTTGGTTTTAGCCTAATTTTCTCATTACATTCTGCCTTTTGTTCTAAGCATGTTTTCTAAAATATCATATATTTGTATTTTGCTTTTTAAAAATCATTCTGGGAGTTTTTATACTTAATAGGGGAATTTAATCCATTTACATTATTTGAGAACACTATTATGTTTATTTTTATTCAGATATTCTGTTTTTGTTTTTATTTGTTTGGTTTATAGTTGTTTCTTTTTGCTGTTTCTTATTTTTCCTGGATTTTTGTTGCTTCTTTCTTTCTTATAATAATTTGGAAAATTGCTTACTATTTCTATCTAACTAGTGAATAGGTTTAATTTTTTGATTATCTGACTTTGGGGATGCAGATATTGAAAATAATGCATTCTTTCATAAAAACTACCAAAAAAATAAAAATAATATAGAAAGGCACGAAATAAAATACAAAGTAAAAGTCTTTCTATTCTCACTCTCAATTCACTTCCTCCATGTTAATATTGTGAATAATTTATCATTTTAGTACTTTTGATGGTTGCCATTATTACTTAGAATAATATATTTATCAATATATTTTTAAATTATTCTTTATACTTTTTCTTTAATGGTAACTGATGGTACTAATTATCAATTTATTGCCTCTCTGCTCCAAATTTACTTTTCAATATATGTTCTGAGATAATAGAATTCCTTTAAGCATTTCTCCTTTAAAGAAGGCACTACAGGGACATTGCAGGAGACAAGAGGCTCTCCTGAGGTTTCCGACTGTAGCATGAGAGCCAGTAGTGTGGGTATGAAGACGTCTGCACCAGTCTTAGGCCCAGAAAACTCAGACAACTCAAGAATCCTTATAGCCTCAGACTGCCAATAACATTTCTGTGACCCTCTTGACATGGAAACGAACATCTCGAAGGCCTTCTGAACATGCTGACACCTGGATACCCTATGCAGGCCCCTGTGCTGCCCCGCTGCAGCCTAAAGCACTTTCCTACCCCTGCATGTTCATACCACTGGTTACTGATGACGTTATCCCACCTGCACTCTGAAAAGTGGCTTCATAGTGACTGCTGACCGGCACCAGTCTGAGCATACCAGCAATGAACTTCTCTGCTATCCAGTGGGTTGAACTAAACTTTCTCCATTGAGGTCTGAACCTCTTTCCGAGTTTGTCTTTCCCTGGGTACTCTCCTCTAGTTCTAGGGCATCACAGAGAGTTTCCTTATCTCTTATAGTTACTCTTTTATGATAGTTAATAGTTATTTATATTAAACTTCCTTATTCAATCTACTGCTTGGTTTCTATCTCCTCATTAGACTCAGACTGATATACTAATATAGGCTAGTTTGAGAGGCAAAATATAATTATTGTTTGAAATTTTAATGTTTTATTGCTACCAATATTGAACCCTTTTTCTTTAGTAATGAATTTCTTCATTTATTCAATAAATACTTATTGAATAGCTACCATGTACTAGACTAAAAAAAATGCATCTTTTCATTTCCTTATTGATGACTTATTTTTCCTTCTCTATAAACTATTCACTTGTACCTATTTTTCTGTTATGTTGATGTTTTTCTTATTGAAACATATTATATTTAAATATGAAAGATATTAATTCTTTGGCATATTTGTGGCAAATAGTTTCCCAAGTGTATAGCTTACTATTTATTTTATCTCACTGTTGGTGTATTTTTTTAATTAGCCATATATATTGAGAATTGGATTTTGAAAAACGAGAAGTATACTATATAGTCAGCTATTCCTGTCAGAGAAAAAGAGATTCTACATGTTTATCTTTGTTCCAGCCAAAAACAATTTTGGCAAAGGTTTGGGGAATTGAGAGTGCATCAGATCTGAGCTGGGCTGCTCATTTATGAAGCATTTTGGAATAACAAATAATGACACTCAGCATCGGGCCAGGCACTTAATGAGTGTTCAATACCTACTTCTTAATCAATGGCTGATGGATGAGTTGTTCTAATACACCATTCTAACTCAGCTGTTGGGTTTTTTACTAAGAGAAAAATAAGAATTCTGATTTGGATTCCTATTTGTGCATGGTAGCCATGAAATTTCATACACAGGAGCCCATTGCATGCAGACAGAACTACACGAACATTTCTTCAAGCATTTAAACAGGCTGATATCCTGGTGTAGACTTTATCACTGACAAAAAGGAATTCAGAGATCACCATAACAACCTTTATTCCCATCAAATATTATTAATAGCCTGATGTTGAAAATCACTTCTGACATATCTTAGTTTATCGAGCAAATAGCCAAAACCTTTCCTAGTATGTTATTTTTATCTTGAATTATAACAGAGAAAATATTATAACAAAAGAACAATTATGTGTGTAGGTATGCCCATAGAATTTTAGTTTGTTTGTTTAACTGGATGAAGGAAAGCATAAACCTGTTTGATTAGAGATGTAGAGATTAATTCAGATTTAGCTCTTCAAACTTGTCTTTTGTCTCCCTAAGCCTAGTCATGCCAAAAATTTCCTGCTGCAAATTGAGATCTCATTTTTTTCTCCATTTTTCAATTTGGATTTTAATAGAATTTCTTTCCCTGAGGGAGAAAGAGGGAAATGTCAGAATATAAACTCCTGGAAGCTTAAATCCTACACATAGCTGAAATATTTCATCTAAACTTGCCTAAAGGCTGCCATATTGCTACACGTATAACTCATACATCAGATCTCTCACAGGCAAATAGGACATATTAGGCCAAAGAAAGATTCAGTCACCATTTCACCAAGAAACATACAGGCTGGGTCTATAACATACCAAAAAATGGTCACTTTTAGGGGCCCAAAGTGACTAAAACCAATTGTTTAGCATAATGTAGACCAAATAATACATACCATGGTTTTGCAAAAATTTTAATTTTCTGCTTCATAAGCTTAATGTAAATCTGCTTGCTCTATTTCCAGCGGGAAGGAAATAGATTTTTTTTTAATTCTGTCTTACAAAAAGATTGTGAAATCAAATAGAAAATGTGCTGGGTGTCACTCAACATTTCAAAACTGTTATCTGAAAGAACCACATGTGAAAACATCCTTTGGGAGAGCGTGTAAAGGAAACCTCCCATCTCTTGATGTCATTAAATTGTTGACACTGCATTCATGCAATGGGAGTGTCGCCTTAACCAGCCAAATGATAATTCAAACCTCCTTAATTTTCTTCTTACAAATAAAAGAAAATTACTTTCTCTGATGATGATTGGGTTAATTAGCAGCTCTCTAGGTCTCTGTGTAAACTGAAGATGATTAAGATAACTTCTTGCTCTAATATAGTTTATGACTCTCTGAATATTGGGACTTTTTCTCAAGACACATAACAAGAGGAATTCAGAGGTTAAAATTATCTTGAAATAAAAAAGAAACTGGAGGCAGAACTAGATAGAGAAAAGCTAGATAGATGATACCAGAGAAATACCAAGCTGGCTTAAAGCAGGAGAGGATTTTGCTTGAGCCCCACTTCTCTGTCTAAAGGGTCAGATCTGGGTCCAGCAGCCAACATCATCAACCCTGCATCTCCCTGTCTCAATCTCCCTTCAGAGAGAAACCCCTTTCCAAGCCCCTGGGCTTACTAACTCCTGCCTGTGGACACCTAGGTTATAGGCCCAGATGCCTAACCTCCATTTAGGCTCTCTCAGTGTTTGACCCAACCTGGATAGCAGATGCATTAGCATAAAACTAAGTAGGCAAGAGTCCTGGGTGGTTTGCTGGGCAAATAATTATTTCAGTTAAACGAGTGTTGATTGAGCATCTAACATGTGCAAAGAAGAATGAGAACTTGAGCCCACTTCTTGTGACACCAAGTTCACGATTCTTCCCACCATTCTATACCACCTGGGCTAAAGTGCCAAGGCCCCATTCCCACCGCCAAAATAACAGTGAATGCTTAGATATTGGGAACCCTGAGATTTGCAGGAAATATTATTTAAGTCTGTATGTTTTTCACAGCAGGTGCTGTCAATCAATTCCTCCAACCATTAAAAACTTCAGTGTGGCCCTAGGTGACCTGGATCCTAACTTCCATCAGAACAGTTGTCCATCAGAGCATCTGCACAGTAGTACTTGCCCTCAGCAGCTAGGGAGCTAAAGCCAGATTACATTGGATCAAGCAGAGATTGGGTGGTCTGGAAAGGAAATAGCAAATGTAGCCTTTTTATTCCCAAAATCATGTCAAGAAACAAAGAATAAATCTGTTTGAAGAAACATCACATCATCACAGTTTTGTTTCATTTTTATTTTTTTAAGGCCTGAAGAAGGATATATGTGTAGGCTAAGGAAAAGTTTCTTGAGGAGGGAAAAAGATGAAGTTGCAAAAGAGATGGAATAACTTGGCCAGGCGCAGTGGCTCATGCCTATAATCCCATCACTTTGGGAGGCCAAGGCGGGTGGATCACCTGAGGTCAGGAGTTCGAGACCAGCCTGACCAATGTGGCATGGTGAAACCCCACCTCTACTAAATACAAAAATTAGCCAGGTGTGGTGGTGAGTGCCTGTAATCCCAGCTACTCAGGAGGCTGAGGCAGGAGAATTGCTTGAATCCGGGAGGCGCACGTTGCAGTGAGCCAAGATCACGCCACTGCACTCCAGCCTGGGCAACAGAACAAGACTTCATCTCAATAAAAACAAACGACAACAACAAAGAGATAGAATAACTGATGGAAATCTTAAAGGTAAATGTCTATCAGAATTACGATGTAAGGCATTGCCCTAAGAACTTGACATATTTAAGTCAATTTACTTCACTCAAAAACTTTATGAAGAAGGCACTAAGATATTCTCATCTTACAGATGAGGGAAATAAGGCGTAACTGAGATAGCATCACGTTATAAAACTGGGATTAGAATTTAGCCAGTCAAGCTCCAACGCCCATGTGCTTAGTGGACTGTAGGTTGTAAATCTACCTCTCTGGGGAAAGTTTTTGTGTCAAAGGAGGCACACTAATTGCAGCCTAGCATTCTCAAAAAAGAAAAGACACTTCTTTCTTTTCACCAGAAGGCATTGAAGAGGAGTCAGGGGAGGAAACAGAGAAATGTAGAGGAATAGAAAAGAACAGTTAAAGAAGAATGAAAGATCTATTGGTGTTGGAATGGCTAGGCTGATTGTTAATGTCCCTTACGTTCAGAATAGTAAACCCATGTTTTCAGCACAAATGCACCAGAGGGAAATTACCCCCCTACTTGCTACGGGAGCTGCCATCTTCCAATTAATCTACCAGCTACGATTATTTAGAAAAATGTATGAAAGCTGTAACTGGGTCACAGGCTCATTTTATATTACCTATATACGTACATTGTGTTCCTCCCCATGCTAATTTTGGCATATTCATTATAGTACAAACTTTGGAGAGACAATAATATCTTGGGATCCATCCTTAAACTGTACAGCTTGGAGTCCTGCTTCTTGTGATGGAGATCAAAACGGATGGAGCAATGAACTCCCAAAACTCTGAAATTACACTCAGTGGTTTCCTTGGCAAGGTGAAAGAGCCAAGCATTGACCAATCATGGGATAATGACAGAATATGGTCATACCTCATGTAGCATCCAGTTTGAGAGACCCCAATTTACCATTTCTTGAGAAAAACCCAATTACAACATTTTTTGATAAGAAAGTTCTCTAGACAGCTCTAGACAGTGCTAGTGAGAGGTAAAGCAGGCTAGGCTTCTGGGTCGGGTGGGGACTTGGAGAATTTTTCTGTCTAGCTAAAGGATTGTAAATGCACCAATCAGCACTCTGTGTCTACCTAAAGGCTTGTAAACGCACCAATCAGCACTCTGTCAAAAGAGACCAATCAGCACTCTGTCAAACGGACCAATCAGCACTCTGTAAAATGGACCAATCAGCTCTCTGTAAAATGGACCAATCAGCAGGATGTGGGTGGGGCCAAATAAGGGAATAAAGCAGGTCACCTGATCCAGCAGCTGCAATGCTGTTGGGTTCGCTTCCAAGGTGTGGCAGTCTTGTTCTTTGTTTCTTCCCAGTAAATCTTGCTGCTGTTCACACTTTGGGTCCACACTGGCTTTTCGGGCTGTAACACTCACCTGGAAGGTCTGCAGCTTCACTCATGAAGCCAGTGAGACCACAAACCCAGCGGGAGGAATGAATCTGTAACACTCACTGCGTAGGTCTGTGGCTTCACTCCTGAAGTCAGCGAGACCACAAAGCCGCCAGAAGGAAGAAACTCTGGACACGTCTGAACATCTGAAGGAACAAACTCTGGACACAACATCTTTAAGACCTTTAACACTCACCATGAGGGTCCGCGGCTTCATTCTTGAAGTCAGCGAGACCAAGAACCCAGAAGGAACCAATTCTGGACCCACTAGCACACCACGGCCTTGTTACCCCAGTTTATCCTCACAACAACCTTTCAGAATGGGTATCATGATTATCTCCAGTATACATACTGGAGAAATACTTAGATATGTTCTGTAATTTTTCTGTGTGTGTAGAACTAGAATGGGGCAGAATTCTGAGGAAGCTCTGACATGTATGGCCCTGATAACATCTAGCCATTAGGTGACTCCATTTTTACCTGAAAATAGACACGGGGATTCAAGGTGGTCAGAGTTGCCAGATATTAACCAGTGTCCACCTCTGGCTAACCTCTGTTAGAGATTGATTTTCTGAGGCTCTTTGGGAGCTTAGTTTATATTTATGAGTTTTTACTGTTCAGTAGTGAACCTCCATGGAGAAGCCCTTAAGTGTATTTTTTTTTTATTTAGTTATTGAGAAATATTCTAGCCCCTTGCTGCACAAAAGATGGACCAACTACCAACATAATCTGGTAACTTGCCAGATATCCAGAATCTCTGCCCCTACCCTGGTCTACTAAATCAGAAAGTTCATCTTCGGTTGATCCCCCAGATCACGTTTGTGCCCATTGAAATTTAAGAAGCATTGCTTTACCCTGCTCGTGATCAAAGTGGGGCTCACATATACCAAGAGTGTCACATTGTAAGTTGCTTTTCTTGCAATTGGGAGGGATTGGCGTTGCTGCAGCAACACAATCCTCCTGGACGTTTTTGGCTGGTAGGGGTACAGTCTGGTCACAAAACAGAACAACTCTACAGAGTGAGACTTTTGCCCCATTAGCAACCATTTTAAGCAAACAGCCACAGACTTCTCTTCCATTAACCTTCTTGGTAACCTCACATTTTGTTTTCCTAACTCTACAAGAAACTTTGGAGAGGCAAGTTCAGTTAGATTCCTTGCAAAGACTTCCTCTCAGAAAAATTAATGCAAAGAATAATGTTATTCTAAACCCTCCAGAGTCTGCCAGGAAGGAGCAGAGGGGAGGAGTGAGATTGCTGGAGCCAGATCTCTATGATGTGCTAACTTAATTCAAACCACAGGACTGCATCTAAACTTGGCCAATAATTCACGAGTTAAAAATAGACGGAAAGGATATGTGGTCCAACTTAGAAGTTTTCAAAAACAATTTTGAGATGCTCAGCAAATTCACCATTCACACAGACATTTAAAAGCATCGTGGGTTGTGTTTTTATCCCATTTTGTTTCTGTAATTTCCCAAATCCATTGGATTGCCGTGGAAGAGGCCACAATCCAGATATGATTGAATACAATTCCCAAGGTTTCCAGTTGAGATGGAAATCTAGTAAAGCAACAAATGCAGTTCAGAGGAAGAAACAAGTTCAAAACTATCTATTTGAGATTTTTAAAAGAAAGGCTAACATTATTCGGATCTGTGGATACCCATTGTAATAGCAATGCCCACTAGCCAGTATGAGCCTAAGTACATCGTAGTGTAACAGGATGAGGAACCTCTTTACATCTTTCATTTAGGCAAGGTAGGCTAAGAAAGTTGCCTGTAAGACAGCAGCAAGAGCAGCATTTGTTAGTGGGCTAGAGGGATGGGAGGAAGAGCCTTCTGTCTGCCCAGTTATGGGGAGGGCTATTATGTTCTTATAAAGGTAATCATTAAGAGATGTTCCCTCAGCATCTAAGGACTATGAGATGCCAAAAGACCATAGCAAGCGCCCACCTAAGTTACCTCTAAAGTAAAAGCTTCTTGTGAATAAGGACCGCACGCCTGTTCTAGTCACCACAATGTCCCTAGCACCAAGGCCGTTGCCTAGTACATAGTTAATTCTCATTAAATATTTATCGTATGATTGAATGAATGACATCATAGTTCTAGATCAACCTAAGCATGCTAGATATACCTGATAAGTATGATAAATACTCAAACAATTTTCTATCATTATATGCATAAAGTTTCATAGAAGCCTAGAAACTAAAAACAAAAGGAAAATATATAACAAAGTCATAAAGGGGAGGGTCTGCACTAACTAGGATGGGATCACACACACTGGGAAGGGGCGGGGAAGAGGAGCACGCACTGTGGAGCTAGCAGGCTTCCATCACCTTCTTCACCATTTTTGCAAAAAAAAAAATATATATATATGTATGTATATATATATATGTATATATATGATTTTTCCATTCAGGCATTTAACATTTAGCATTTAACAAACCACTATCTATTACTGGCTACTGACTCTGTTACTGCTACTTGCATAGCATTGTTTTAGCACTGTGAGAGACAGAAGACCTCTCATTCAGCTCCTGCTTTCTGAGAACTTAGAAGTTCAGAATTCAGTTGTGGATATGAAGACTAACAAGACTAGCTGGGCACGGTGGCTCACACCTGTAATCCCAGCACTTTGGGAGTCCGAAGCGGGTGAATCACCTGAGGTTGGGAGTTTGAGACCAGACTGACCAACATGGAGAAACGTCATCTCTACTAAAAATACAAAATTAGCCGGGCATCGTGGCACATGCCTGTAATCCCAGCTACTCGGGGGGCTGAAGCAGAAGATTCGCTTGAACCCGGGAGGCGGAGGTTGTGGTGGGGTCGAGATCATGCCATTGCACTCCAGCCTGGGCAACAAGAGCAAAACTCTGTCTCAAAAAAAAAAAAAAAAAAGTAGCCGGGAGTGGTGGTATGGGAGAATTGATTGGGCCCAGGAGGTTGATGCTGCAGTGAGCTGTGATCACGCCACCACGCTCCAGCCTGGGTGACAGAGCGAGGCCCTGTCTTAACAACAACAACAACAGAAAGACTAACATTACAAAACAATGAACAATATCAGTAGGAAAGGTGTCTAAATATAATTTTTGATTAAGAGCCAAATAGGGCAACAAATGTTGAAATGGTCAAAAAATCTCTATAAAGGACATATATTTTGAGCTATCAGAGTCTCTAATGCAGAGTAGGTGCCAAATGTTTGTTTGTTGAGTAAATAAGTGAATTAATATTAAAAGGTAGGAATTGTACGACCAAAGCAATATGAAAGTTGTCTTATGGGTATAACAAATATGTACATAAAGCATAAGGCATATTTTATAGGGAAAGAGTTCATAGTGTTGCTTCATGAAATGAGGTATGGGTATAGTATAAATAACAGTTGGAAATTTGAAGCGACAGATGGCATCAATATTCAGTAGTGTTCTTCCAGGATTTTATACAAGAATATGGCTCTTAGTAAAACAGTGGGACTCTTAAGTATATGGGCTATCCTTAGAAAAAGTCCAAATTAGCTCATGAACATTGCTCACAGATTTTTAAAGGAATGACCTTGGAAGTAGTTTAGAAACCCCTTGACTTCAAGGATAACAGCAAGGACTCTTTTGTCATATATCTACAGTTCTGTTTTAAATTGGTAATATTCTTGAGCAGCCACTGCTTTTTCATCCCCAACTGTGATGGTCTCATAAGAAACATCCAATCAAGGATCAGGTAGGGAAGGAGTATCAAGGTGAGAAGTGGTCTGGGATTGGAGGGGTAAGAGGTGAGCAGGAAGGCTAAGAGTGGTGAGGAGAAAAGCATGTGACCAAGAAGCGGCTCAAATTCCACAGGGACACAGACACATAAAGCAACTTATATGTTGATACACAAAGAAGGTGGGTGCTTGAATGTTGGGTGATTGGCTTGAGTTATATAGCAAGGATAACAATAATGAAAATGATGATAATGATGACCTTCCAGTTTCCCTGGGCCCTTCAGTGTTTCTTTCTACATCAACCACTGCTGAGCCACTTCTTCATGGTTCACACTTGATTGAAAGTTTCTTCTTCCTCACAAGTACCAGGAGATGGATGAATGTAGAATAATCCAGAATTTTCTTTAAACTGTGTTCTTCTACACATCATGACCTCATCCAAGCCTGTATATAAGTATGACACATTTGATTTACTAAAGGCTTGAGGCAACTAGATAGATAGATAAGACAAACAGACAAACAGAGAGGGAGAGAGAGAGAGAGACAGCTAGAGTTATTATAAAGAATTGACTTATGAAGTTATGGAGGCTGAGAAGTCCCACAATCTGCTGTCTGCAAGCTAAAGACCCAGAAAAGACAGTGATAGAATCCTGGCACAAGTCCAAAGACCTAAGAATAAAGGGCTGCTGGTATAAGTCCTAGTACAAGAACAGGAGAACACTCATGTCTTAGCTCAAGCAATCAGAGACAGAGAGAGGTTTCAGCTTTCCTCTGCCTTTTTGTTGTATTCAAGCTTTCGAGATTTTGCGTGATTCCCCCCAGCATTGGGGAGGGCAATTTTTTTCACAGTCTACTGATTCAAATGTTAATCTCATCTAGAAATGCACTCACAGACACACCCAGAATAATGTTTGGCCAAATGTGTTGGCATCCCATGGCCCAGTCAAGTTGACAGATAAAATTAATCATCACATTTCCACCCCTCATCAACTTGGCACCTATACACCTCTCCATAAACCATACTTAATCTCCAGATAGGACAATAACCACATCATATATGCACCTAACATGATACAGCCATCCCACATACAACTGAAAACACACTAACTCCTTCCCCGGAAGAACATGTAAAGTCCTTAAGTGATGCTTACTCTTCTCCTTGATGTCCTATAACTTAAATGCTATGTATAAATTAACAATATATAAGTACTATGATATAAAGTCAATACATCTCATGTTGAATAATAAAAGCGGAAAGAAAACAAAAAAATAACAAAAGCTTTGTTTTCTTTAAACACACACACACACACACACACACACACTTTTCTTTCTTCTTTATAATATATATATCACTATGTATGTGTATTAGTCCATTTTCATACTGCTATAAAGAACTGCCCAAGACTGAGTAATTTATAAAGGAAAGGAGTTTAATTGACTCAGTTCAGCATAGCTGGGGAGGCCTCAGGAAACTTACAATCATGGCAGAAGGCAAAGGGGAAGCAAGGCACCTTCTTCTTAAGGCAGCAGGAAGGAGAAGTGCTGAGCAAACAGGAAAGAACCTCTTATAAAACCATCAGGGCTGGGCATAGTGGCTCACGCCTATAATCCCAGCACTTTGGGAGTCCAAGGCAGGTAGATCACGAGGTCAGGAGATTGAGAACAGACTGACCAACGTGCTGAAACCCCATCTCTACTAGAAATACAAAAAAGAAGATTGGCTGGGCATGGTGGCACACACCTGTAATCCCAGCTACTCAGGAGGCCAAGGCAGGAGAATCACTTGAACCTGGGGGGCGGAGGTTGCAGTGAGCAGAGATTGAGCCACCGCCCTCCAGCCTGGGTGACAAAGGGACAATCCGTCTAAAAAAAAAAAAAAAAATCAGATCTTGTGAGAGCTCACTCACTATCATGAGAACAGCATGGGGGAAACTGTGCCCATGATTCAATTACCTTCCTTGACACCTGGGGATTATGGGGATTACAATTCAAGATGAGATTTGGGTGGGGGCACAAAACCTAACCATATCATTCCATCCTTGTCGCCTCCCTAATCTCATATCCCTTTAATGTTTCAAAATCAATCATGCCTTCCCAACGGTCCCCCAAAGTCTTAATCATTCCATCATTAACCCGAAAGTCCAAGTCCAAAGTCTTATCTGAGACAAGGCAAGTCCCTTTTTAGATAAAATGGGGGTTCAGGCATTGGGTAAACACACCCATTCCAAATAGGAGAAATTGGCCAAAACAAAGGGATTACAGGCCCCGTGCAAGTCTGAAATCCAGCAGGGCAGTAATTAAACCTTAAATTTCCAAAATGATCTTTGACTCCATGTCTCACATCCAGGTCATGCTGATGCAAGAGGTGGGCTCCCATGGCCATGGGCAGCTCTACCCCTGTGGCTTTACAGGTTACAGTCCCCCTCCTGCCTGCTTTCATGGACTGGCATTGAGTGTTTGTGGCTTTTCCAGGCACGTGGTGCAAGCTGGCAGTGAATCTATCATTCTGGGGTCTGGAGGATGGTGGCCATCTTCTCTCAGCTCCACTAGGCAGTGCCCCAGTGGGGACTCTGTGTGGGAGCTCTGACCCTACATTTCCCTTCTTCATTGCCCTAGCAGAGGTTCTCCATGAGAGCTCTGTCTCTGCACGCAACTTCTGCCTAGGCATCCAGATATTTCCATACATTCTTTGAAATCTAGGTGGAGGTTCCCAAACCTCAATCCTTGACTTCTGTGCACCTGCAGGTGCAACGCCACTTGGAAGCTGCCAAGGCTTGCACCCTCTGAAGCAATAGCCTGAGCTGTACATTGGCTCCTTTTAGCCATGGCTAGGACACAGGGCACAAAGCCCTGAGACTGCACAAAGCAGCAAGGCCCTGTCCTGGCCCCAAAAACCATTTTTTCCTCCTAGATCTCCAGGCCTGTGATAGGAGGGGCTGCTGTGAAGACCTCTGACATGCCCTGAAGACATTTTCCCCATTGTCTTAGCAATTAACATTTGGTTCCTCATTACTTCTGCAAATTTGGGTTTTTCTTTTTCTTTTTTTTTTTGTTTTGTTTTGTTTTGTTTTTTGTTTTTTGTTTTTGAGACAGACTCTCACTCTGTCCCCCAGGCTGTAGTGCAGTGGCATGATCTCAGCTCACTGCAACCTCTGCCTTCAGGGTTCAAGTGATTCTCCTGCCTCAGCCTCCCAAATAGCTGGCATTACAGGCATGTACCACCACACCTGGCTAATTTTTGTATTTTTAGTAGAGACAGGGTTTCACCATGTTGGTTATGCTGGTCTCGAACTCCAGACTTCAAGTGATCCATCTGCCTCGGTCTTTCAAAGCTCTAGGATTACAACCATGAGCCACCACATCTGGCTGGAAAATGGGTTTTTCTTTTCTAGTGCATCATCAGGCTGCAAATTTTCCTAACTTGTATGCTCTGCTTCCCTTTTAAACATAAGTTCCAATCCAAACCATCTCTTTTTGAATGCATAAAACTGAATGCTTTTAAAAGCACCCACATAATCTCTTGAATGCTTTGCTGCCAAAACATTTCTTCCACCAGATACCCTAAATCATCTCTCTCAAGTTTAAAGTTCCAGAGATCTCTAGGTCAAGGGCAAAATGCCATTAGTCTCTTTGCTAAAGCATAGCAAGAGTCACCTTTATTCCAGTTCCCAACAAGTTCCTCATCTCCACCTAAGATACCTCAGCCTGGACTTCATTGCCCATATCACTATCAGCATTTTGGTCAAAGCTATTCAACAAGTCTCTAGGAAGTTCCAAACTTTCCCACGTTTTCCTGTCTTCTTCTGAGCCCTTCAAACTGTTCCAACCTCCACCTATTATCCAGTTCCAAAGTCACTTCCACATTTTTTGGTATCTTTATAGCAGCTCTCCACTCTCTGCAGTACCAATTTATTGTATTAGTCCATTTTCACACTGCTGTAAAAAACTGCCTGAGACTGGGTAATTTATAAAGGAAAGGAGTTTAATTGACTCGCAGTTCAGCACAGCTGGGGTGGCCTCAGAAAACTTACAATCAAGGTAGAAGGCAAAGGGGAAGCAAGGCACCTTCTTCACAAGGTGGCAGGAAGGAGAAGTGCTGATCAAAGGAGGAAGAGCCCCTTATAAAACCATCCGATCTCGTGAGAACTCACTCTCTATCACAAGAACAGCATGGGGGAAGCCACCTCCATTATCCAATTACCTCCACCTGGTCTCTCCCTTGACCTGTAGGGATTATGAGGATTACAATTCAAGGTGAGATTTGGGTGGGTACACAAAGCCTAACCATATCAGTATGTTATTTGTACATCTACGTATGAGGGGTCTTCAAATAGTTCATAGAAAATATGTTTTATGAAAAAACTATGTATGAATTTCAAGTTTTTTACACCAAAATAAACTCATACTAACATATCTGAAATAGACTCATACTAACATGTCTGAACAAGATCTAGTTGAAAGCACTAAGAAGCTTAAGATTTCAGTTTGAAAAGAGCCTCTATCAGAGCAACATGAATTCTGCTAAAAACAAAAACAAATGTTAAATTTATAGTCAAGCTTGAGTGAAGAATGGTGAAATCATTGATCCTTTATGAAAAGTTTATGAGCTCAATCCTGCTAAAATTGAAACAAGAACAAATATTATATTTATGGGGAAGTTTGAGTGGAAGAATGGTGAAATCGTTGATCTTTTATGAAAAGTTTATGAGCTCAACGCTCCCAAAGAAATCAGTCGTTTATCAATGAATAACTCATTTTAAGAAAGGACGAGATCACTTTGGAAATGAAGCCTGAAACAGTAGATCATCCATTTCAATTTGCAAGGAAAAAATTCAACTTGTTTATACCTTAATTGAAGAGAAATGACGATTAACAGCAGAAACAATAACCAATAACATAGACATCTCAATTGGATCAGCTTACACAAATCTGACTGAAAAATTGAAATTAAGGAAACTTTCCACTTGATGGATGCATCAAATAGTAGTTCTGTTTTAATTTATTTGAGAAATCTCCAAACTACTTTCCACAGTGGCTGCATTAATTTACATTCCCACCAATAGTATATAAGTGTTCTCTTTTCTCCACAACCTCTCCAGCATCTGTTACTTTTTGACTTTTTAGTAATAGCCACTCTGACTGATGGGAGATGGGTCTAATTGTGGTTTTTGATTTGCATTTCTCTAACGATTAGTGATGTTGAGCATTTTTTCATATGCTTATTGGTTACGGGTATGTCTCTTTAAAAGTGTCTATTCATGTCCGAGCACAGTGTCTCACTCCTGTAATCCTAGCACTTTGGGAGGCTGAGGTGGGCAGATTGCTTGAGCTCAGAAGTTCAAGACCGGCCTGGCCAATATGGTGAAACCTCATCTCTACAAAACAGTACAAAAAAGTTAGCCAGACATGATGGCATGCACCCGGAGTCCCAGCTACTTTTGGGGCTGAGGCAGAAGGATTGCTTGAACCTGGGAGGTGGAGGCTATAGTAAGTTTAGATTGCACCATTGTGCTCTAGCCTGGGTGACAAAGTGAGACCTTGTCTTGGAAAAAAAAAAAATGTGTCTGTTCATGTCCTTTGCCCATTTTTTAATGGGATTTTTTCTTGTTTATAAATTTGTTTAAGTTGCTTTTAGATTCTGGATATTAGACCTTTGTCAGATGCATAATTTGCAAACATTTTCTCCCATTCTGTAGGTCGTCTGTTTACTCTGTTGATAGTTTCTTTTGCTATGCAGGAGCTCTTTCATTTAATTAGGTACCATTTGTCAATTGCTTTGGTGTCTTTGTCATGAAAGACAACATAGGCATAGGCATATTTGTCAGGGCCTATGTCCAGAATGTTATTTCCTAGGTTATCTTCCAGGATTTTTTATAGTTTTAAGTTTTACTTTTAAGTCTTTAATCCATCTTGAGTTGATTTTTGTACATGGTGTAAGGAAGGGGTCCAGTTCCAATCTTCTGCACATTGCTAGCCAGTTATCCCACCACCATTTATTGAACAGGGAGTCCTTTCTCCATTCCTTGTTTTTGTCAACTTTGTTGAAGATCAGATGGTTGTAGGTGTGCAGCATTATTTGTGGGCTCTCTATTCTGTTCCATTGGTCTATGTGTCTGTTTTGGTACCAGTACCATGCTGTTTTGGTTACTGTAACCTTGTAGTATAGTTTGAAGTTGGGTAATGTGACGCCTTCAGCTTTGTTGTTTTTGCTTAGGATTGCTTTGGCTATTCAGGCTCTTTTGGTTTCATATAAATTTTAGAATCGTTTTTTTCTAATTCTAAAAATTTTTCTAATTTTTCTCTAATTCTGTGAAAAATGTCATTGATAAGTTGATAGGCATACCATTCAATCTGTAAATTGGTTTGGGCAGTATGGCCATTTTAACAATATTGATTCCTTCTTATCCACAAGCATGGAATGTTTTTTCATTTGTTTGTATCATCTCTGATTTCTTTCAGAAAAGAATAATAAAAGAATCTGTTTGAAAGATAATTCTCATTATAGAGCTCTTTCACCTCCCTGGTTAGCTGTATTCCTAGGTATTGCGTATGTGTGTGTCTGTGTGTGTGTATATGTATGTGTGTGTGTATGTGTATGGCTGTTGTGAATGGGATTGCGTTCTTGTTTTGGCACTCAGCTTGGATGTTGTTGGTATATAGAAATGCTACTAATTTTTGTACATTGATCTTGTATCCTGAAACTTTGCTGAAGTTGTTTACCAGATGTAGGAGCTTTGGGGCAGAGAGAATATGAGGTTTTCTAGGTATAAAATCATATCATCTGCAAACATAGATAGTTTGACTTCCTCTTTTCCTGTTTGGATGCCTTTTATTTCTTTCTCTTGCCTGATTGCTCAGTCTAGGACTTCCAGTACTATGTTGAATAGGAGTGGTGAGAGTAGGAATCTTTGTCTTGTTCCAATTCTCAGAGGGAATGCTTCCAGAATTCAGTACAGTCCTGCCTATACTGGGTTGCCCATTCAGTATGTTTTTGGCTGTGAGTTTGTCATAGATGGCTCTTATTATTTTGAGATATATTCCTTCAATGCCTAGTTTGTTTAGGGTTTTAAACATGAAGGGATGTTGAATATTATTGAAATTCTTTTCTGATCTAGTAAGATGATCATGCGGCTTTTGTTTTTAGGTCTGTGTATGTGATGAATCATATTTATTGATTGGCATATGTTGAATCAACCTTGCATGCTAGGGATAAAACCCACTTGATTATGGTGGATTAACTTTTTAATGTGCTACTAGATTCAGTTTGCTAGTATTTTGTTGAGGATTTTTGGATTTATGTTCATCAAGAATGTTGTCTTGTCACCTGAAATAAACTGTTTCTGGTGGTCTTTACTAATAGGTATTGAGAGGAAAAAGCATTTGCCAGAGCAGTAACTGCATACTATGTACCAGAGAGTGTTTTAATTTGCTCAAGGAATAAAACCATATCTGAACAACAGCTGCAATTGGAGTTGCCACCTGGTTAAGCTTACTATAATCCACTGTTATTCTCGAAGATCCACCTGTCTTCTGCCAAATTGGAAAGCATATTGGAGAGTTGAATGGAGATGTGGTGGGAATCACCACCCCTGCATCCTTCAGGTCCTTTATGACCTCTACAGTTCCCCCAGAAATGTCGTATTGCTTTTGGTTTAGTATTTTCCTAGGTAGACACAGTTCTAGTGGCTTCCACTTGGCCTTTCCCACCATAATAGCCCTTACTCCACGATTCAGGGAACCAATGTAGAGATTCTGTGAGCTGCTAAGTATGTCTATTCTAATTGTGCATCCAGAACTGGGGAAATGACCACAGGATGGCATTGGGGCCCATTAGACCCACTGTGAGATGGATCTGAGCTGAAATCCCATTGACCGCATGACCTTCAAAAGTCCCTCCTCTGACTGGCAGGCCACAGTGATATTTTGAGTCTCCTGAAATTAGTGTCAGCTCAGAGCCAATGTCCAGTAAGCCCTGAGAGGTCTGATTATTTCTCTTTTCTCAATGCACAGTTACCCTAGTAAAAAGGCCATACATCTCTTTTGGGGAAAACTGAGAGAAAGATTAACAGTATAAACATTTAGTAGGGTACCAGGGCCTTTCCTCAAGGGCTCCAGCCTCCCCTTCATTTAAGGGGTTTTAGGTTTGTAAACAGGCTCAATTCTGGGAATTAATTGAGGGATCATGATTCTCTGTTTTTATGATTCGTGTTAGACTTTTGTCACTTAACCTAGAGCTTTTCTGCTTATGCAGATTAAGAATTTCATAGGCTTCCTATCTATTTTACTTTGAGAAACGCCATGATCAACTAGCCAATGCCATAGGTTTCTATGACTCAGACAACTCTGATTGCTGCTTGGACCTCTGCTGTCCATTACAGCATAAACCAAAGAGTGACTGAGGTAGATCTTAATTGACTGCAGGTTTATTTTGCCAAGGTTGAGGATGCAACCAGGAAAAAGAAACACAGGTCACAGTGGGATCTGTGACCTGGGCTTTTTCCAAAGAGAGTTTTAGGAACTTCAGTATTTAAAGAGGACAGAGCAAGCAGAAGAGGAGGGAAATAAAGGAGAGAGGATAGGCAATGAAACAAGTGGTCACCTTTTTGTGAGGCTCTGATTAGCACTCAGTGAGTCTACATATTACATGTGGAAAGAGGGAATAGAGTTGGCCGGGCGTGGTGGCTCATGCCTATAATCCCAGCACTTTGGGAGGCTGAGGTGGGCAGATCACCTGAGGTCAGGAGTTTGAGACCAGCCTGGCCAATACGGTGAAACCCTGTCTCTACTAAAAATACAAAAATTAGCCGGGTGTGGTGGTGGGGGCCTGTAATCCCAGTTACTCGGGAGGCTGAGGCAGGAGAATTGCTTGAACCTGGGAAGCAGAGATTGCAGTGAGCCGAGATCACACCACTGCACTCCAGCCTGGGCAACAGAGCAAGACTCCGTCTCAAAAAAAAAAAAAAAAAAAAAAAAAAAAGAGGGAATAGGGGAAAAAGCAATTACACATTTCTCTCATGCCCAGTAACTCTACATATGATAAAGTCAGCATGTGAAAATACAGCTATCTGTTTGGGAACGAAAGAAGACAGCTTTTTGCATGACTCAGTTCTCAAGCTTAAATTTCCCTGTGGCATAGTGAATTTGGGGTGCCATGATTCTATTTTTTTTCCACAACAGTAACTATGCCCACCTTGTCTTTGGCAGTTGAGTACCACCACTTAGCCCTACCATCCTAGGATCCAATTATTCCCACTGCATTTAGGTTTCCCAATTCAATGACTGCAGTTCTCACTGTCTGCAGAGAAGAGCAATCACAGAACTCTTCAAAGATGCTGGGGTTCCCCTCACAGATTTATTCCTATTCCTCACGGTACTGCTAAAAGTATGTCTTCTAGACCCTCCAGTGTGGGTGAGTAGTTCTTAAATGACAAATCCACTCTGACATTCCAATCTCCCTAAGCCTTTGAATCTCTTCCACATTAAACCAAGGCAAGTCCAGTATTTCCAATTTGCTCACCCTGGGCCACTTTTTGGTCCATGTTTCAACCCACTAACCTGACTGTTAGAACACTTTATAACTGCCTGAGCTGCAACAGTAAATGCAGAATTTCTGCTTAATTAGTTAATATCAATAAATTCAACCTGATCTAACTTTATGTTCCTTTCACCATTATTTCACTCCCTTAGTATCCATTCCCATGTTTCCTGGATTTTTAGGAAGTTCAAGTAATTATTTTGGAATATAATGTACTTCATGGGTCACACTTTGCACCTCACCTTTAGGGGCTGCTGGGACTTGAGTCTAGTTATAGGTCTAGAAGCAGAGGAACAATGGTGGTGGCTCCTGAAGAGAATCAGCATTGTTGTGCACGGCAGCTGCCTCAAGGAAGGCCAATACAGTTTCCTCAGGCAATTCAGAGTCAATCTTCTCAGACTGAGGTGAAAAGGCTGCTACCACTGGAGATGGGGAGGCTGCTTCTACTAGGGATTGGGAGTCCACTTCCACTGGCAAAGAAGACTCCTCAGAGTTTAGATGCTCAGTGTCCCCCAGCTTCATCAGGGTCTTCTCACATGTCTCTATCCAATTTACAGTATCCTCTACTTTCCCAATCAATGTCCTCACTTTAACAGCAGACATCCTGTGAAGCTGGGAGTTTGACTTGCGCTGTAATTCAGGAGTTCAATTTGCATTGTAATTCAGGCAGCTGCAGCATGAGAGCCTGCATTTGATTGCAGCATCCTCAGCCTCATGGCTACAGGAGGTAAGACTCTCCTTCAGGGTACACATACACACCTCCAGGTCATCTATATGGCACCTGAGCTGGGAATTAGAATCCGTGAGCTAATCCTTTTCTTTCATCACTTTGTCCAGTGACATTAGGAGCAACCAGCCATATTCATTAAGTTTCCAAAAATGTTTGAGGGTATCATCTACACAGTCACCCAACTCCTTGCCTGTTGTGTCCAGTGATTAATTAGGAATATTCAGTGCAGCTTTTTGCATATCTCTATTACCACTTCACACCATGGACTATCAATGCTCTCTTTACTCCTAGAAATAAAGCTATTAGAATCCTTAAATTTAATCAGATTTGAGAGCCAATTCCAGAAACCCTAGAACCAATCCTCAAGTACATGGTTTCTTGTTTAGACTAGAAAATTTCAAGGACTACAGAAGTTCTTGTCAGAAAGTTCTTACCCCATGAAGGATGGTTAATTGGGTTCCAATGTTACAATGTCAGTGAGCAGGTTGTCAGCTTGAGCAAGGAAAGTTCTTCAGTGAAGTTTCACTCATGCACTGAAATGTACTGAGCACCTCCTTTGTGCCCCTCTCTGTGCTAGGCTGTAAGGACATGGAGTGGACAAAGCAGACAAAGAAAGAGTAGACAAAGACCCTGCCCTTATGAAATGTACCCTCTTGTGGAGAAATATTTTAATTTGGGTTTCCGTAAAAGCAGACCCTGAGACAATGATTCCAATGCAAGTAACTTATTGAGAAGTGCAGGAAATATCAGTAGGAACGTGGGAAAGTAATACAGGGAGGGAACAGCAGCCCATAAAAAGAACGTTATTAGACCTATTCTCACAGGTGGCAGTGGAGTTTAACCCTGAAGGAGTTTAATCCTGAAAGGGAAATGGCAAACGGAGTAAAACACCATGCCTCAGAATCATCCTATCCAAGGGCAAAGGAAGCTGGTGTTTATTATTAGATTCAACAAGCATCTACTATATGGCTATTTGACTTATCCAAAAATCTGGTTGTGCCTAGAATATAGAACTTTGTTTGAATTTAGTATATCATATTTTTATTACAAATACAAGATAATAGATACTGGTTATTAACAAGCCAAAAATACAGAGATTGATACAGAACAAGTTAGAAATCTCCTACTCTAATCACAGTGGCCTGAGGGAACCAATATTAGCAGTTTAGTACGTATCTTTCTACATCTTTTTCAGTGTTCGTCTGAATATATAAAAATAATGTATACAGTGAGTGGTTTCCGGTTTTATTAAAACACGAACAAATGAAATATATAACTTGTTTATTTCATTTAACAATAGATTAGTGACATGTCACCAGATAAATACACAGATTTATTTATGTCAGATTTTTAAATCTAGAGTACGAATTTACTACCATTTACTTAGCTGCTCCCTGAATGAGGTACATTCGGGTGATTTTTCAGGTTTTACTACATGTAATGCTACAATAAACACCCTTGTGACAGCAGACTGTTTTAATTTTATCACCACAGACACTCGAGCCTTGAAATGTCACCTTTCAAATGACGCCTTTCCCCATCCTCCCTGTCAATTGGAGAACGGAGCTGAAAGGGGAGTGAAGAAGACTGCCAACATGGATAATTACTCCACACAGCACATGGCCAGCAGCCTCCTGCTACAATATTTACATCCTATTCCATTGAGATGGCACTCTCTGCTCACATGACCCAAATGCAGTTCTCACTCCGCCAAAAGCACAGCCGAATGCGAACTGCATTGGCAGCTTTGCACATGCTCTGTCTGGCCCTGTGAATCCTCACTCACCCATTCAGATTTCTGTTGGTGTAAAGCGACATTCCAGCTGCTGAAGCTCCGTGATCTGCTGTGTTTTTCCAGCCCAGATCCAAGGCAGGTGGCCCATACAATTTTACTATCTTTTTGGAGTTTGAGTAATTGTGTTTATTGATTTGGGGGTGGAGGGTGTATTATGCCCATGTACAGCTGATGAATGAGGCCATAGAGTAACTCTTTTCCTAGCAGGTATTTACAGGAATAGCATTTACCTATTTTCATCACCTTGCCTTGACAACAACCTGCAGCTCTGATGCACATTTAATCCTGAAACAGAGGTCTTGGCAAACGATGCTGCCTCTGACTGTCATGTTGACAGTAAGGTTTGAGATGGTGTTTTCTCCTCTCTAGAGACCTGGATGCTTTTTGCCATTCTGATGGTAAATGATGAGACAGGCTACCATGGATTTCAGCACCCCTTCTGTGTTTGATCAGCAAAGAGGTAAAATGCTGCTTTAACACATTCTTTGGTTGTTAGCATCCTTAGTCTCATGGTATGGATTTACAGTTGTAAGGAGAGAAAGAGAAGTGTGTGTGTGTGTGTGTGTGTGTTCATGTGCGTGGGTGTGCATGAGTATTTGCTATGTAGGATGTGGAAAGAGGATTTCACCTAGAAAACAAACCTGTTCAAAATGTTCACTTCTAGTTTGATAAGCATCTGAAACAGAAAAATAAGCTTATGATCTGTTGTATAAGCTTATGATCTTGTTGAAGTATTCCTACCTTCAAATTTTAAAAACTGGATTTCAAGCACACCAACTATTTCAGATAGTGTCATCTTTATTCTGTTTTTTCCAAATCTTTTTTAAAAATTAGGGTAAGCAATGTAAGAACACATCACATTTTTTTTGTCATTCGATTAGCCCAGTATCTCATTGCTGTATCTTCGTAAGCATTTTTTTATTCCTTTCAGGAATAGATGTTGCCTGTATTTATGTCGGGTTGATATGTTATCTCATCCAAGGTTGTGTAATGACATATCCCTATGCTATTATTTGCAATGCCAGGGTATATCTTCCTTACTTATAATTTCTGGAGTGGAGGTAATTTTCCACATCAAAATGTTGCTGTGAGATCAACTTATCCTTATAATATCACATATTTGGCCATGTGGTCTATGTGTATACATTTTGCATATGCAATGTGTTTATATACATCTTCGTGTAATACTTATGTGTAATAGTAAATCTTTTTTTAGTATAAACATGAAATTTCCATTTTATAAACATAATAAATATTTTTTAGAATCTTTTCTTAAATATCTATTATTTAAACCACTTTCTACAGTCTCTGAATATTCTTCAAGATCCTAAGTTCCTTTGGTGATTTTATCTGTTTTGGCTACAACATGAAATGGTGGTTTGAAAAAGCCTCATTAAGAAAATGTACTGCTTCATTCTTTTTTCCCTTTTCCTGCTCTAGGCCATAGCATGTTTATTACCCCTCAAGCTACATCTGGCTTTGTGGGTGAATTATTTTAGCCCAGGGGGTTTCTCCAAAAATAAATTTATATTTAGATTCCTGAGTTAGCTAATGTATATATGTGTATAGTGTGTTCTCCAGGTCTTAGCTCATTTGGAATAGTGTTTGTGTATGTGTATGTGTGTGTGTGTGTGTGTGTGTGTGTGTGTGTGTGTGTGTGTGCGCGCCTTCAGAACGTGCCGGCTCATACCGTGTTTGGATCTGAACAGCATAGAGAAAGGCGTTGTCACAGCTGTGCCCACCACCATCCTCTCCTCCTGGTACATTTTATATCACTGATGGCAGTCAGTAAAAGTGAAAATCTGCTAAGAACCAAAGAGCTCACACTGGCTGAAAAATGATGTTGCTAAGCCACGAAACATACAATGGGTTTATTTTTGAAGACTAATTGGAGGGAGCTGGGACTGACTGAAGAAGAACTAGCTCTTCATAATGAATTTACATGTTCCAGTGCTGTACCTTCTAACAGGATTGAGCCCCAAACATAGTTAAGATACAGAATTACAAGACTGATTTTCTTTTAACACCTTTCATGTGAGCAATTCACAGCAATTCCTCCACCTGGGCCGGATTCTCTCCCATGGAAGTTAACCCTCTCCCTGCCATCTTTATCTCTATTTCTCAATCCTTTCTCTCTTTCTAGAGGTTTTATCATATGATGGAAAGAGCATGGGATTTTAAATCTTATAGACGTAGATCAGAATGGCAGATCATCTACTTCTTAGCTGTGTGACCTTGGCAAGTTACCTAACCTCTCTGGGCCTTAGTTTCCCCAGGAATACAATGAAGGAAATGATGCTTACCTAGCAGGGTTGTTGTGAGGATCTAAAATAATAACATATAAAAAGCACCTGTTAGCAATGCCTGATATTCAATAAGTATTTTCCCATTTTGGCTGCAGCTGTTATTATTATTGCTGTTGTTATTATCACCTTGGACTGGGAGTTTCTGAAGTGCAAAAGACTACTCATCTCTCTACCTTCAGCCTGAATGTAGCAGTCCTCAGATCAAATGAGGGCTTAGTGCTGGATGACTAAATTACATTAATTATTTTTTTCAGAACCCTAGGATACCATTTATAGCAAGACCTAGAATAATAATTAACTAAGCCATTCCTGAATAGTTTTATTACCCATTAATCCTTCCTCTTTCTTAAAAGCATGAAAGACCATGAGGGTTGAGACCATTATACAGATTTTAAATACTATATTGTTGGACAAACCAAAGGGAGGTGACTTTCTCGGGAAAAGTTGAACATGGGGCTTTAGTTGAGGGTTTTTCATGAATCGTTACTGTCTGGATAAGTGAACCCTAGCAGTACTGTCTTTACATGCAGATGGGGACAGAAGACATTGCAGCTGGAAGAATCTTAGCAATCAAGTAACCTGTTGGTTCTCACATTGGCTGTACTTAAGAATCATCTGGGCCGGGCGCAAGGCTCACGCCTGTAATCCCAGTGCTTTGGGAGGCCGAGGTGGGCAGATCCCAAGGTCAAGAGATCGAGACCATCCTGGCCAACAGGGTGAAAGCCTGTCTCTACTGAAAATACAAAAATTAGCTGGGCATGGTGACACACGCCTGTAGTCCCAGCTACTCGGGAGGCTGAGGCAGGAAATCGCTTGAACCTGGGAGGTGGAGGTTGCGGTGAGCTGAGATCAGGCCACTGCACTCCAACCTGGCGACAGAGCAAGACTCTGTCTCAAAAAAAAGAAAAAAGAATCATCTGAAGAAATTCTGAAAATGCTGATGCTTGCATCCCACCCAGGGAGATTCCAGTTTAACTGCAGTGGTTGGCCCAACCAACACTCCTTGGGAAGTTCTCATGGACAGCAAAGATGCAGAACCAGTCATCCAACCTACCCCTCTTCCACATTTCAGATGAGGGAACTAAAGCACAGAGAGGTTCAAAGTTGGGTCCTTCCTAATAATAATAACAACACCCCACTAAATAGCAACAGAGGGGACTGAGGCCCAGGTGTTCTCCATCCATACAACAGGGCAATAGGAAGCTTCCTGCACATGGCCAATCCCTGGCCTAGCACTGACTCTGGCTCATGGCTGCCCAGAGAATGGTGGAAGAATATGATGCAGAAGGACCTTCAGGGCTCCAACGAGGTGGGTTTGGTAAGACTGAACCCCTCCACATGCATTTTCCTATATTTCTCTTTAGCTAGAGGCAACGAGGCATGCCAGGGTCTTGGTGACAGATGGTCATTTGCTCAAGTCCTGTCTCTGCCCTCTTCCTAGTTACATGAACTTGCACAAACTAGTTGATCTCCACTGGCTTCTGTCTCCTTGACTGTAAATGTGGATAATACTATATTACATATTCACAGAGCTGCTGGAAGGCCCAACGATCAGATCATTTGACTGGCCAGGGGCATGGTCTCTGGCTGGCTTTGCAAAACTGTGAGGGAGGAAGCCTGGGTCTTCAGAACTCTCGACTCTCTTTTGTGCCTTCAGCTTTCACCATAGCAACATCTCTTCTGGTCCCACGTGTTCTTTCCAGCTGTGTTCCCTCTCAAAGCCCACACACGCAGGAAGCGACCTGTAGTAAAGCCATTTACTACAGAACACAGAGGTTCCTGCTAAAGTCTACATATTATGTAACTGAAGATACTTGCATTGTAAGCTTTGTCACGACTTGTGGAAAGAAAAGTTTTGCTGCGCCTGAAAGAATCCCAAACCTGAGAGAGAAAACAGGGAAAAAAAAAAAAAAAAACAGGCGAGGGGTCGGCGGGAGGTGGGGGGATGGGTAGCCTCAGGGCCTCACCCACTCTTCTGTATTGTTGGGGGTGAGGAGGGCCTGGCCGTGCCAGGGTCTCTGAGGAAATATGCCTGACGAGGCTGAGCGGTGTGTTTGCACACACCTGTGTGGGCTGTGGTCCACCCTCTTGCACAGGTCGTTTCTCTTGTCGAGTTGCTGGAAAAAGAGAGGAAGGGCTTTGTCTTCTAGCCCAGATTAATAGAGTGTGTGATTGTCTCTGTGCTGCTGTAACCAATTATCACAAGCTGGGTAGCTTAAAACAACAGAAATTTATCCTCTCACAGTTCTGGTGCCCAAAAGTCTGAAATCAAGATGTCAGCAGCAGGCCGGGTGCAGTGGCTCATGCCTGTAATCCCAGCAGCTTGGGAAGCCAAGGTGGGCAGATCACCTAGGATCAACAGTTTGAGACCAGCCTGGCCAACATGGTGAAACCCTGTCTCTAGTAAAAATAAAAAATTAGCTGGATGTGGTGTCATGCGCCTGTAGTCCCAGCTACTTGGGAGGCTGAGGCACAAGAATTGCTTGAACTCAGGAGGCGGAGGTTGCAGTGAGCCAAGATCGCGCCACTGCACTCCAGCCTGGGTGACAGAGTAAGACTCCACCTCAAAAAAAAAAAAAAAAGTCAGCTGGGGGCCTTCTCCTAGAACCTTTAGGAAAGAATCTTCCCTGGTCCTTCCAGCCTTGGCTGCTGTGGCCTCATCACTCTGGTCTCTGCCACCATCTTCACTTGGCCTCGTCTGTGTGCATCGCTCCTCTGTGTACCTGTTTCAAAGTTCCTCTGCCTCTCCTTTAAGGATGCATGTGATTGCATTTAGGGACCACCCAGATAATCCAGGATAAACTCCTCCTCTCAAAGTCCTTGGCTTAGTCACATCCTTTCAGATATAAGGTCATAGTCACTCTCTTGCCATGTAAGGGAATAGCCACAGGTTCCAGGATTAGAGGTTAGAACATGTCTTTAGGGCCACCATTCAACCCATTGCAGGGAGTGAGAAGAGGTCAGATCCCAGAAAGCACGCAACACTGTGACTCGGTTTTTGGTAAAATCCATTCTCATTTAAGCTAGGAGAAAAATTGGCAAGTAAGAGGTGGGGGAAGCGGGGAGCATCTGTTTGGTGCAGACTCTGTGCAGGGCTTTACATGGATACATATTGACAAGAGCGAATGTTTATGGAGCATTTAGCAGATCCAGGCTCTGTCCTAAGGACTGCACACAGACTAGCTCATATAATCCTCATATCAGCTTCACATATGACCCCCTTTTATCGATGAGGAAATTCAAAAAGGTTATGACCTACCCAATGTTGTCACAAAGTAAAACAGCAAAGCTAGGATTCCAAGCTAAATCTGTTTCACTTCAAAACCGGTGTTCTTTCTACTGCAGAATGTCTTTTCCTTGGCCAGCAATAAGGTTTAATAAAAAAAAAAAAAGACATCAATGGAAAATCAAATTAATGAAACATTTATTTTCACAATCAAGCTCTTATTCCATTGTGTTGTGGATTTTTAAAGTTCCCACGCACAGATGTGCAGGGGTTTTTTTGTTTGTTTTTTGTTTTCTTTTATACTTTAAGTTCTAGGGTACATATGCACAGTGTGTAGGTTTGTTACATATGTATACATGTGCCATATTGGTATGCTGCACCCATTAACTCGTCATTTACATTAGGTATATCTCCTAATGCTATCCCTCCCCCCTCCCCCTACCCCACAACAGGCCCGGGTGTGTGGTGTTCCCCACCCTGTGTCCAAGTGTTCTCAATGTTCAGTTCTCACCTATGAGTGAGAACATGTGGTGTTTGGTTTTCTGTCCTTGCGATAGTTTGCTCAGAATGATGGCTTCCAGCTTCATCCATGTCCTTACAAAGGACATGAACTCATCCTTTTTTATGGCTGCATAGTATTCCATGGTGTATACATGCCACATTTTCTTAATCCAGTCTATCATCGATGGACATTTGGGTTGGTTCCAAGTCTTTGCTATTGTGAATAGTGCTGCAATAAACATACATGTGCATGTGTCTTTATATCAGCATGATTTATAATCCTTTGGGTATATACCCAGTAATGGGATGGCTGGGTCAAATGGTATTTCTAGTTCTAGATCCTTGACAAATCACCACACTGTCTTCCACAATGGTTGAACTAGTTTACAGTCCCACCAACAGTGTAAAAGTGTTCCTGTTTCTCCACATCCTCTCCAGCACCTGTTGTTTCCTGACTTGTTAATGATTGCCATTCTAACTGGTGTGAGATGGTATCTCATTGTGGTTTTGATTTGCATTTCTTTGATGGCCAGTGATGATGAGCATTTTTTCATGTGTCTGTTGGCTGCATAAATGTCTTCTTTTGAGAAGTGTCTGTTCACACCCTTCACCCACTTTTTGATGGGGTTGTTTGATTTTTTCTTGTAAATTTGTTTAAGTTCTTTGTAGATTATGGATATTAGCCCTTCGTCAGATGAGTAGATTGCAAAAATTTTCTCCCATTCTGCAGGTTGCCTGTTCACTCTGATGGTAGTTTTTTTTTTGCTGTGCAGAAGAAGCTCTCTAGTTTAATTAGATCCCATTTGTCAATTTTGGCTTTTGTTGCCATTGCTTTTGGTGTTTTAGACGTGAAGTCCTTGCCCATGCCTATGTCCTGAATGGTATTGCCTAGGTTTTCTTCTAGGGTTTTTATGGTTTTAGGTCTGACATTTAAGTATTTAATCCATCTTGAATTAATTTTTGTATAAGGTGTAAGGAAGGGATCCAGTGTCAGCTTTCTACATATGGCTAGCCAGTTTTCCCAGCACCATTTAATAAAGAGGGAATCCTTTCCTCATTTCTTGTTTTTGTCAGATTTCTCAAAGATCAGATGGTTTTAGATGTGTGGTATTATTTCTGAGGGCTCTGTTCTGTTCTATTGGTCTATATCTCTGTTTTGGTACCAGTACCATGCTGTTTTGGTTACCGTAGCCTTGTAGTATAGATTGAAGTCAGGTAGCGTGATGCCTCTAGCTTTGTTCTTTTTGCTTAGGATTGTCTTGGCAATGTGGGCTCTTTTTTGGTTTCATATGAACTTTAAAGTAGTTTTTTCCAATTCTGTGAAGAAAGTCATTGGTAGCTTGACGGGGATGGCATTGAATCTATAAATTACCTTGGGCAGTATGGCCATTTTCATATTTATTCTTCCTATCCATGAGCATGGAATGTTCTTCCATTTGTTTGTGTCCTCTTTTATTTTGTTGAGCAGTGGTTTGTAATTCTCCTTGAAGAGGTCCTTCACATCCCTTGTAAGTTGGTTTCCTATGTATTTTATTCTCTTTGAAGCAATTGTGAATGGGAGTTCACTCATGATTTGGCTCTCTGTTTGTCTGTTGTTGGTGTATAAGAATGCTTGTGATTTTTGCACATTGATTTTGTATCCTGAGACTTTGCTGAAGTTGCTTATCAGCTTAAGGAGATTTGGGGCTGAGACGATGGGGTTTTCTAAATATACAATCATGTCATCTGCAAACAGAGACAATTTGACTTCCTGTTTTCCTAATTGAATACTCTTTATTTATTTCTCCTGCCTGATTGCCTTGGCCGGAACTTCCAACACTATGTTGAATAGGAGTGGTGAGAGAGGGCATCCCTGTCTTGTAACAGTTTTCAAAGGGAATGCTTCCAGTTTTTGTCCATTCAGTATGATATTGGCTGTGGGTTTATCATAAATAGCTCTTATTTTTTTGAGATACGTCCCATCAATACCTAATTTATCGAGAGTTTTTAACATGAAGGGCTGTTGAATTTTGTCGAAAGCCTTTTCTGCATCTATTGAGATAATCACGTGGTTTTTGTCTTTGGTTCTGTTTATATGATGGATTACGTTTATTGATTTGTGTATGTTGAAGCAGCCTTGCATCCCAGGGATGAAGCCAACTTGATCATGGTGGATAAGCTTTTTGATGTGCTGCTGGGTTCGGTTTGCCAGTATTTTATTGAGGATTTTTGCATCAATATTCATCAAGGATATTGGTCTAAAATTCTCTTTTTTTGTTGTGTCTCTGCCAGGCTTTGGTATCAGGTTGATGCTGGCCTCATAAAATGAGTTAGGGAGGATTTCCTCTTTTTCTGTTGATTGAAATGGTTTCAGAAGGAATGGTACCAGCTCCTTTTTGTAGCTCTGGTAGAATTCGGCTGTGAATCTGTCTGGTCCTGGACTTTTTTTGGTTGGTAGGCTGTTAATTATTGCCTCAATTTCAGAGCCTATTATTGTCCTATTCAAGGATTCAACTTCTTCCTGGTTTAGTCTTGGGAGGGTGTATGTGTCCAGGAATTTATCCATTTCTTCTAGATTGTCTAGTTTATTTGCGTAGAGGTGTTTATTGTATTCTCTGATGGTAGTTTGTATCTCTGTGGGATCAGTGGTGATATCCCCTTTATCATTTTTTATTGCATCTGTTTGATTCTTCTCTCTTCTTTATTAGTCTTACTAGTGGTCTATCAATTTTGTTGATCTTTTCAAAAAAGCGGCTCCTGGATTCACTGATTTTTTGAAGGGTTTTTTGTGTCTCTATCTCCTTCAGTTCTGCTCTAATCTTAGGTATTTCTTGCCTTCTGCTAGCTTTTGAATGTGTTTGCTCTTGCTTCTCTAGTTCTTTTAGTTGTGATGTTAGGGTGTCAATTTTAGATCTTTCCTGCTTTCTGTTGTGGGCATTTAGTGCTATAAATTTCCCTCTACACACTGCCTTAAATGTGTCCCAGAGATTCTGGTATGTTGTGTCTTTGTTCTCATCAGTTTCAAAGAACATCTTTATTTCTGCCTTCATTTCATTATGTACCCAGTAGTCATTCAGGAGCAGGTTGTCCAGTTTCCATGTAGTTGAGCAGTTTTGAGTGAGTTTCTTAATCCTGAGTTCTAGTTTGATTGCACTGTGGTCTGAGAGACAGTTTGTTATAATTTCTGTTCTTTTACATTTGTTGAGGAGTGCTTTACTTCCAACTATGTGGTCAATTTTGGAATAAGTGCGGTGTGGTGCTGAGAAGAATGTATATTCTGTTGATTTGGGGTGGAGAGTTCTGTAGATGTCTATTAGGTCCGCTTGGTGCAGAGCTGAGTTCAATTCCTGGATATCCTTGTAAACTTTCTGTCTCATGGATCTGTCTAATGTTGACAGTGGGGTGTTAAAGTCTCCCATTATTATTGTGTGGGAGTCTAAGTCTCTTTGTAGTTCTCTAAGGACTTGCTTTATGAATCTAGGTGCTCCTGTATTGGGTGCATATATATTTAGGATAGCTCTTCTTGTTTAATTGATCCCTTTATCATTATGTAATGGCCTTCTTTGTCTCTTCTGATCTTTGTTGGTTTAAAGTCTGTTTTATCAGAGACTAGGATTGCAACCCCTGCCTTTTTTTGTTTTCCATTTGCTTGGTAGATCTTCTTTTGAGCCTATGTGTGTCTCTGCATGTGAGATGGGTCTCCTGAATACAGCACACTGATGGGTCTTGACTCTTTATCCAATTTGGCAGTCTGTGTATTTTAATTGGAGCATTTAGCCCATTTACATTTAAGGTTAATATTGTTATGTGTGAATTTGATCCTGTCATTATGATGTTAGCTGGTTATTTTGCTTGTTAGTTGATGCAGTTTCTTCCTAGCATCAATGGTCTTTACAATTTGTCATGTTTTTGCAGTGGCTGATACCAGTTGTTCCTTTCCATGTTTAGTGCTTCCTTCAGGAGCTCTTTTAGGGCAGGCCTGGTGGTGACAAAATCTCTCAGCATTTGCTTGTCTGCAAAGGATTTTATTTCTCCTTCACTTATGAAGCTTAGTTTGGCTGGATATGAAATTCTGGGTTGAAAATTCTTTTCTTTAAGAATGTTGAATATTGGCCCTCACTCTCTTCTGGCTTGTAGAGTTTCTGCCAAGAGATCATCTATTGGTTTGATGGGCTTCCCTTTGTGGGTAACCCGACCTTTCTCTCTGGCTGCCCTTAACATTTTTTCCTTCATTTCAACTTTGGTGAATCTGACAATTATGTGTCTTGGAGTTGGTCTTCTTGAGGAGTATCTTTGTGGCATTCTCTGTATTTCCTGAATTTGAATGTTGGCCTGCCTTCCTAGGTTGGGGACGTTCTCCTGGATAATATCCTGAAGAGTGTTTTCCAACTTGGTTCCATTCTCCCCGTCACTTTCAGGTACACCAATCAGACGTAGATTTGGTCTTTTCACATAGTCCCATATTTCTTGGAGGCTTTGTTCATTTCTTTTTACTCTTTTTTCTCTAAACTTCTCTTCTGGCTTCATTTCATTCATTTGATCTTCAATCACTGATACCCTTTCTTCCAGTTGATCGAATCAGCTACTGAAGCTTGTGCATGTGTCACATAGTTCTCGTGCCTTGGTTTTCAGCTCCATCAAGTCATTTAAGGTCTTCTCTACGCTATTTATTCAGTTAGCCATTCGTCCAATCTTTTTTCAAGGTTTTTAGCTTCTTTGTGATGGGTTCGAACATCCTCCTTTAGCTCAGAGAAGTTTGTTATTACTGATCTTCTGAAGCCTTTTTCTCTCAACTCATCAAAGTCATTCTCCGTCCAGCTTTGTTTCATTGCTGGCGAGGAGCTGCATTCCTTTGGTGGAGAAGAGGCCCTCTGATTTTTAGAATTTTCAGCTTTTCTGCTCTGGTTTCTCCCAATCTTTGTGGTTTTATCTACCTTTGGTCTTTGATGATGGTGACATACAGATGGGGTTTTGGTGTGGATGTCCTTTCTGTTTCTTAGTTTTCCTTCTAACAGTCATGACCCTCAGCTGCAGGTCTGTTGGTGTTTGCTGGAGGTCCACTCCAGACTCTGTTTGCCTGGGTATCACCAGCGGAGGCTGCAGAACCACAAATATTGCAGAACGGCGAATGTTGCTTCCTGATCCTTCCTCTGGAAGCTTAGTCTCAGAGAGGCACCTGGCTATATGAGGTGTCAGTCAGCCCCTACTGGGAGGTGCCTCCCAGTTAGGCTACTCGGGGGTCAGGGACCCACTTGAGGAGGCAGTCTATCTGTTCTCAGATCTCAAACTCCGTGCTGGGAGAACCACTACTCTCTTCAAAGCTGCCAGACAAGGACGTTTAAGTCTGCAGAAGTTTCTGCTGCCTTTTGTTCAGCTATGCCCTGCCCCCAGAGGTGGAGTCTACAGAGGCAGGCAGGCCTCCTTGAACTGCGGTGGGCTCCACCCAGTTCGAGCTTCCTGGCTGCTTTGTTTACCTACTCAAGCCTCAGCAATGGCACATGCCCTTCCCCCAGCCTCGCTGCTGCCTTGCAGTTTGATCTCAGACTGCTGTGCTAGCAGTGAGCAAGGCTCCGTGGGCATGGGACCCTCCAAGCTAGGCACGGGATATAATCTCCTGGTGTGCCATTTGCTAAGATGGTTGGAAAAGCACAGTATTAGGGTGTGAGTAACCCAATTTTCCAGGTGCCATCTGTCACTGCTTCCCTTGGCTAGGAAAGGGAATTCCCCCACCCCTTGCGCTTCCCGCGTGAGGTGATGCCTCACCCTGCTTCGGCTCATGCTCGGTGGGCTGCATCCACTGTCCTGCACCCACTGTCTGACAAGCCCCAGTGAGATGAACCTGGTACCTCAGTTGGAAATGCAGAAATCACCTGTCTTTTGCGTCACTCACGCTGGGAGCTGTAGACTGGAGCTGTTCCTATTTGGCCATCTTGGAACCTCCCTCAATGTGCAGGTTTTAAATCCAACTGCTCATCTAAAATGGGAATGCTAGACAAAAAGATCTGTGCTTTGCTGAAAAAGCAAAAGTTAAAAATCTGGCATGACAACCAGATGCCTACAAAGGAAGAATAAGCAAATTTTGAATGGTGTTTCAAACAAAGGAGTCCTCTGAAAGGAGTTTTGAAAGGCAAGCATAGGAGATGGGAAAGGAAAGGGAATGATTTGGGCTCAGTTGCTGAGTTCAGGCTCAGAGATCTTGAATGGGAGCCTGGAGTAAACCCAGGAACATTGAGGAGAATTCTGTGATTGATTTTCAGATTGAAGGTCCAGATAAATAAAGACAAGATGCAAACCAGTACTGGTTTAGAAGCAAATTATATGTTGCCTTTGAGAAAGTGCTTAGCCTTCTCCTTCTCTTGGTCAAGAAAGTGGAGAAGAGAGAAAGAGAGATGGGAGAAGAATCTTTTTTTCCTGTTCTTGACCACTCCTGAACAAGTCTAGGCAAGCATGTTTGTTTCAGTGTTTTTTTGTTTTGTTTTGTTTTGTTTTTTGAGATGGAGTCTCACTCTGTCACCCAGGCTGGAGTGCAATGGCATGGTCTTGGCTCACTGCAACCTCTGCCTCCTGGGTTCAAGCAGTTCTCCTGCCTCAGCCTCCTAAGTAGCTGGGATTACAGACGCCCACCATCATGACCATCTAATTTTCGTATTTTTGTAGAGACAGGGTTTCACCTTTTGGCCAGGCTAGTCTTGAACTCCTGACCTCAGGTGATCTGCCTTCCTCGGCCTCCCAAAGTGCTGGAAGTACAGGCGTGAGCCACTGTGCCCCGCCTCTTTCAGTTTTCTTGATCACTCCTGAATAAGTCTAAGTAAGTGTGTTTGACCCCCACCTTTCTCTGCCCCCTTCTTTGTGATGCTGCCTTCTTCCAACCAACCAACTCCTGAGAAAGTGTGTGACAGACCAATCCATTCTGGAGTGTGCTGTGGCCTCCATTTCTTACCCCCTAGGACAGGTTGTGCCCCCAATAACCTGAGCATCCCTTTCCTTCCACCCTTTATGGCTCTTCTTATGGACTCTACAGAAGGAAGCCCCTGGCTGAGCTTATCCAAATAATTACCCTTCACAGCCATCAGTATTCTTCACCACAGGACCACCCAACTGTCCTGGGGGAGGGGGCCTCTTGCCAGAGTATGCATCCCAAGAGGGAGGACCCTTGAGTGGTATCCGGAGAGAATAGAGACTCACTTGGGCAACCACATCTGAATCAACCCTGATGTTTCCCACAACTCATTGGATCAGCTTCAGGAGGCTCTCCCTCAGCTCAGCCTCCGGTGCAGCAGGCAGCTGGGCCACCATGCTGAGCTCTTCCTGTCATCTCTACTCACTAACCCCACAGTGCCAGAACTAAGTAATTGTGCTGGGTACCTGATATTCATGGATTTTCCCTTTGATACCACTATTTTGATACAAGGATATTTTAACCAAAATGGATATGGAATCTAAAAGAAACTACAATAAGCTTGTAGCTGTTTTTTTATTACAAAACAAGCATGAGACAAACATCTCACTCATCACCAAATGTGGGACAAGGTGAGAAGGTGAGGGTATGGATGCACTGAGGTCAAAGGTTCGTGCAAAAGGTGGCATATGGGTGGGGCTAAGACCACTAACCAGGAGTCACATGATTAATGCACTTGTAAATCTCTGTTGGTCATTTAATGCAGGGTCTGCTGAATTGTGTTTGAGAATTCCCTTATATCATGAATGATCTACATGTCAGATTTTCTGATATATCTTTTAAAGTCATGATGGTTTTACCCTAATATTTACCTTCAATCAGTATGTAGGTTTGTGTGCTTAATAAGGGCTCTTTGTTTTCTCTTTGTGAAACCTAAGAAGGGCACTTGCTCATTAATGAGCCTATTCTTATTTTATCAGGTATATTGAGGGAGGAAGAGAAGGGAAGTCATTCCAGTATACGTGGAAAGTACTTCCATTTCTAAGTGTGCTCTCAGAACTTAAGATACATGCATATAATATTCAATAGTATTCAAATTATTTTAAATTTTTCTTTTTTTTTTTTTTTTTTTGGAGGCAGAGTCTTGCTCTATCCCCCAGGCTGGAGTGCAGTGGCACGATCTCTGCTCACTGCAACCTCCACCTCCGGGGTTTAAGTGATTCTCCTGCCCCAGCCTCCCACATAGCTGGGATTACAGGTGCCTGCCACCATGCCTGGCTAATTTTTGTATTTTTAGTGGAGACAGGTTTTTGCCATGTTGGCCAGGCTGGTCTCGAACTCCTGACCTCAAGTGATCCGCCCGCCTCGGCCTCCCAAAGTGCTGGGATTACAGGTGTGAGTCACTGTGCCTGGCCTAAATTTTTCAAAAATAATTTCAAACTTACAGATATGTTGTAAAAATAAGAATCATATAAAAAAACACTTGTATGCCTTTTACTCAGATTCATCTAACGTTAACATTTTGCCCCGTTTGCTTTATCATTTGCTCTTTCTGTCTCTGTCTCCCTCACTCCTTCCCTCCCTCTCTCTCTCTCTCTGTGTGTGTGTCTCTCTCCCTCAACATGTGTGTGTGCTTTTTGTTAATCTAGCATCTGCATTCTAATTTTGTCTATTGACCTAATACAGGTATACCTTGGGGATACAGTGGGTTTGTTTCCAGACCACTGCAACAAAGTGAATATTGCAAAAAGTGAGTTACACAAAGTTTTGGTTTCCCAATGCATGTAAAAGTTAGGTTTATGCTGTACTGTAATCTATTAAGTATGCAACAGCATTTTGTCTAAAAATGTGCATACCTTATTTTAAAAATACTTTATTGCTAAAGAAAAGCTAACGATCATCTGAGCCTTCAGCCATCTTTTTGCTGGTAGAGGGTCTTGCCTCGATGTTGATGGCTGCCGACTGATCTGGGTGGTGGCTGCTGAAGGTTGGGGTAGCTATGGCAAGTTCTTAAAATAAGACAAAAATAAAGTTTGCTGCATCAATTGACTCCTTCTTTCATAAAAGATGTATCTGTATGTAACATGTGATATGGTTTGATAGCATTTTACCCACCGTAGAAATTCTTTCAAAACTGGAGTCAATTCTCTCCAACCCTACCACTACTTTATCAACTAAATTTATGTAATATTCTAAATCCTTTGTTGTCATTTCAACAATATTCACAGTGTCTTCACCAGGAGTAGATATGATCTCAAGAAATCACTTCCTTTACTCATCCATAAGAAGCAAATCTTCATCCATTCAAGGTTTATCATGAGATTGCAGCAATTTAATCATATCTTCAGGCTTCACTTCTAACTCTAGTTCTCTTGCTATTTCCACTACATCTGCAGTTACTTCCTCTACTGAAGTTCTGAACTCCTCTAAGACTTCTTCAAAACTCCTGTTTGGAGAGTTGAAATTAACTTCTTCCAAACCCGAATCATGAATTTTTTTTTTTTTTTTTTGAGACGGAGTCTCGCTCTGTCACCCAGGCTGGAGTGCAGTGGCACAATCTCGGCTCACTGCAAGTTCTGCCGCCTGGGTTCATGCCATTCTCCTGCCTCAGCCTCCCAAGTAGCTGGGACTACAGGTGCCCCCCACCACGCCCGGCTAATTTTTTTTGTATTTTTAGTAGAGATGGGGTTTCACCATGTTAGCCAGGACGGTCTCAATCTCCTGACTTCATGATACACCCGCCTTGGCCTCCCAAAGTGCTGGGATTACAGGCATGAGCCACGAATCATGAATGTTTTTAAGGGTATCTTGAATAGTTAATTCTTTCCAGAGTTTTTCTTATTTTTTTTTATTTTCTCTGGCAGAAACTAATAGAGCAAAGGTTTTCAATTTACTTTGCCCAGATCCATCAGAGGAATCACTATCTATGGAGGCTATAGCCTTGCAAAATGTATATCATAAATAACAAAATTTGAAAGTCAAAATTACTCCTTGATCCATGGGCTGCAGAATGGATCCTGTGTTACAGGCATGAAAACAACATTAATCTCCTTGTACATCTCTATCAGAGCTCTTGCTTAGAAAAAATGATTCATTTCAAAATATTACTGCTCATTGACAATGTATTGTCAGTATTGTTTTGAAAGGAACTTTTCTTTCTGACCAGTAGGTCTCAATAGTAGGCTTAAAATATTCAGTAAACCATGTTGTAAATAGATTTGCTATCATCCAGGCTTTGTTATTCCATTTACAGAGCAGAGGCAGAGTAGATTTAACATAATTGTTAAGAGACTTCAGGTTTTGGAATGGTAAATGAGCACTGGCTTCAACTCCAAGTCATCAGCTGCATTAGCCCCTAACAAGAGTCCTTTGAAGCATTGAAGCTGGGTAGTGACATCCCTTCTCCAGCTATGAAAGTCCTAGGTGGCATCTTCTCCCAATAGAAGGCTGTTTTATCTACATTGAAAATCTGTTGTTTACTATAGCCACGTTCATCAATGACCTTAGCTAGATCTGCTGGATAACTTGTTGCAGCTTCTCCAACAGCACTTGCTGCTTCACTTCCATTTTTGTGTTATAGAGATGGCTTCTCTCCTTAAACCTCATGAAACAACCTTTGCTAGCTTCAAACTTTTATTTTTCATCTTCCTCATTTCTCTCAGACTTCATGGACTTGGAGAAAGTTAGGGGCTTCCTCTGGATTAGGCTTTGGCTTAAGGAAATGTGGCGGCTAGATTGGTCTTTTATCCAGGCCACTAAAACTTTCTCCATATCTGCAATAAAGCTGTTTCTCTTTCTTACCATTCATGTGTTCACTGGAGTAGCACTTTTAATTTCCTTCAAGAACTTTTCTTTGCATTCACAACTTGACTAACTGACACAAGAGGACTTGTTTCTGGTCTGTTTTAGCTTTCAACATGCCTTCCTCATTGAGCTTAATCATTTCTAGCTTTTGATTTAAAGTGAGAGATTTGTGACTCTTCCTTTCACTTGAATACTCAAAGACCATTGTAGGGTTATTAGTTGGCCTAATTTCAATATTGTTGTGTCTCAAGGAATAAGGAGGCCTGAGGAGAGGGAGAGAGATGGGGGACTGGTTGGTCAGTGGAGCAGTCAGAGAACACATTTATCCATTTAAGTCCACCATCTTCTGTGGATGCGGTCCATGGGACCCAAAACAATTACAATAGTAACATCAAAGATCACTGATGACAGGTGACCATAACAGATATGATAATAATATATATTATATAGAGTATAAAATATTCACATCTATTTCCTTATACTTATTTCCTAATTATGAAATTAATACTACCTTTTTCAAAAAATTCAAGCAATACATAAATGAATACAGCATAGAAAGTGTTACACTCCTTTAACTAGCAAAGAGCTATGTTCTTCAGCATCTCTTAACCCCAGCCTATTCCCAGCTTCTCAGCCACCAAGATGTATTCATGACAATTCACCCTCCATGCCAGGGTTGGGGAATCACCTCCAAAGAGAAACAGGAGATCTGGCCAAGAATACTAGCCAGTACTCCTAATTAAAAAAAGAGCTATCACTCTGGGTTATTAAGCAGTTCCCATGTACCAGGCACTGTGCTATGCTCTTTCTTCCTATTATCTCACTTAATCCGTGCCACAGACTTTGAGACAGATTCCATTTTTAGTCCATCTGAGGTTACATAACTTGCCCAAGGACACACAGGACAAAGGACAAGGCTGTCATGTTAACTCAGGCTTCTGACCCCCAAGCCCTCCCACACTCCTCTTCATACCAAGATATACTTTCTAGATTCTGACAGTCCACCCAATCAACCCCTTTCTGACACCTAGCACGAGAAGGAAAAGGTGATGGTGGCTAGAGTCCTCAGCAGAGTGCCCGACTCCCTCTGTGATTTGCTCAAGGTGAGCTGGCAGGGACAACAGCCATCACTGTGGCTCCACTGGGCTGGGCTTCCCTTTGGAATGAGCTCTGCTAAGAGGCCTCAGCTCAGTGTGACAGCCCCACCTCTTCCAGAGAGGATTCAGTCTCCATGGCAGTCTGCCCTTGGAGCAAAGAATGGCCCCAGCATCCCAGGAGGAGGAGAAAGAGGTTAAAAGGGTGAAATATAACCGGAGGAACTGATGTGATGCGAACTAGATATTGCCAAGGCCAGGGCTTGGCTTTTATCACGGAAGCTTCTGAAGATGGGTTGTTATTTACCTACTCAGCCCATTTGTTCTATGCAGCAACAAGTGGACCTTTCTCCAAGAGAGTTCAGAAATCTCTAACCCTGTAAACAAGGTCACACAAAAACAACAGTTGATTAAAAAAAAAAAGAATTCTTTCAGCCTTGGCATCTTGCTCTTTGGTTGTGGGCCCATCGACTTTACCCTTAGACCACTCCTGGGATCTTCAATTCACCACAGTAAATCAGCACACAGTCTGCTATTTTAAAAAACTGTAAGAGGTGCACCTGAAATTCACCCAGATTGACACTTTTATCCATCTGATCACTTAATATTATTTTTAAAATGGCATCCTAGAGTTCTGGCCACAACTGGGCCGGCCCAGCAGGGACCACTGAATATACAGTGGAGTTGAGATAGGTTGGTTGGTTTCAGGTGGCCACAGCAGGAACCAATTTAAGGATGGATCCTGGAAGTGTTTCATCTTAGAATAGCAGTCCCTTTAGAATTAGAAGGAATCTTAGTGAATATATAACCCAGCACCTTCACTGTTTATATGTGAAGACTGAAACATAAAGGGATTAGCAGTGGTACAGTGGAGTAAATCCCATGGCCACTGGAGCTGATTGGACACTCAGATCCCAGTGCTGCTGCTTACTGTGTGCTCCAGCTGGTGATATATTTATCCCTTGCTTTCCTTACCTTGTAAGTTAAGATGATTATACTACAAAAGATTGTTTGAAACTGTTGGTGTGGGTTATAGGATCGTTGTAAAGATGATTACAACCATCCTCAGAGGACTGTTATAAAGATTTAATGAAGTAATGCATACAAAGTACCTGGCACCACGCCGGGCCCACAGAATCACTTAGTAAGTGCTAGTGATTATTATAAATGACTCACCTAAGGTCACATGGATGACTGGTCTCCCCAGGTCAAGTGAACATCCCACACTCCAAGCCTTCACTTCCTCTCTAATGAATTCGTGGCAGAGCACCCTGATATTGTTTGGCTGTGCCCCCACCCAAATCTCACTTTGAATTGTAATAATCCCCATGTGTCAAGAGCAGGGCCAGGTGGAGATAATTGAATCATGGGGGTGGTTTCCCCCATACTGTTCTTGTGGTAGTGAATAAGACTCACAAGATCTGATGGTCTTATAAATGGGAGTTCCCCTGCACAAGCTCTCTTGCCTGCCACCATGTAAGATGTGCCTCTGCTTCTCCTTTGCCTTTCACCATGATTGTGAGGCCTCCCTAGCCATGTGGATGAGTCCATCAAACATCTTTCCTTTATAAATTATCCAGTCTCAGATATGTCTTTATTAGCAACATGAGAACAGACTAATACATACCTCTTTTTCATTTGGAAGTTGGAAGAGACAGAATTGCCTGAGCAGGTAAACCACATCAGAAGGAAATTAATCCTTCAGGGACACTCATAGGCTTTGCAGTGCTTCTGCTTTCCCTGCCCTCTGGTCCTGGTGTTCTATCTTCCGAGACTACGACGCCTTCTGGATAAAACTCTCCCTTTGCTCGTAAGCCAGCCTATCTGTTTACTTCCATCTGCCATGCTAGTCTCAGGCAAGTTTCTGGACTCTTTGCTGCTCTAGTAATCTATCTAGTTTTGAAGCAGAATCTCACTATTTTAATTATTACAGTTTTATATGTTGTACTATTCGATAGAGGAAATCTCCCTCAATATTGTTTTTTTTTTCAATTTTATTGGATATTCTTACCTACTTTTTGTTTGTTGTTTTCTTTGTTTTTGCTTTTAGAATGGTAATATATTCACACACTTTTAAGGTATTTAAAATGTCCGATGAGTAATCCATCCCCGCTCCTACCTTCAGTGGTCCAATTCCCTTCCCTGGAAGCAAAATAATGTAACCAATGTCTTATGCATCCTTCCAGAGAGATTCAGTGTACTAATAAGCAAATACTTAAATATATTCTTTTGTTTTCTTTAAAACATAATTATCTATTTATTTTTACAAATAAAAGTTAATGTTTTCCTGACACCTCCTCCCAAACAATTGTTGGAACTTTGATTGAAATGAGAGTAAACATATTTTAATCTGGTAATAATTAAAATTGTATATACTCTTTAGTCCTCCTGTCTAGGACTATGGTATGCATTTCCATAAATCCAACTTTTCTGTTATATCCCACAATAAAGTTTTTATCCAGAAGGCATCTTAGTCTCAGAAGGTAGAACACCAGGACCACAATATAGTTTTTCTCATTTAAATTATGATATTTTGGTGAGGTTTATTCCTGGGTATTTTATATTTTCATGTAATGAATTATTTTCCCCCTTATGTTATTTAATATAGAACTATCTCGTTTTATATTTATTTTTAAATCTGACTAACTTAATTGAATCTTATTAATTCTACTTATTCTATGGATAATTCCCATGTGCTGTCTGATAGATAATTAAATCATTCAAACCCTGATGGTCAGTGCCACATAGTGGTTGAGAACCCCGGCTTCAGGCCAGATGGACTGGTTTCAAATCCTGTCATTTAATAGCTGTGCAACTCTGGGAAAGTTGTTGAACCTTTCTGTGCTTCAATTTTCTCATCTTTAAATGGAGCGGAGGGGTTAAATACTACCTACTTCATAAAGTTGCTGAAACAAATAAATGGCCTAATTCCAATAAAATTGTTAGGACAGTGCCTGAAAGAAAATTCGTCTGTAAAAGTTAGCTATTAATAAATTATTATTATTTTGCTCTTCCTTTATAATTATTACATTTCATTTCTTTTTGCTTCATATCTTACTGCATTTGTTAGAATTTGTCTTATTTCTTCCCTTCTCTATTGTTTCACTATTACGTATAATGTTTGCAACTGGTTTGAAATAGATAAGCACTTTTTATCTGTTTATCTTATAGGGGTCAAATTTCATAAATGCCTTTCTGGTGTTTGCTCATACAATCACTTATTTTTCCTTTGTTCTATTGGTATGACATATTTTATTAATAGATATCCTCCAACCAAAGTATCTTTATATTCTAGAATAAACTGTATTTGGCCATGATGCATTATTTTATTTCAATACCCAACTGAAATTGATCCAGTAGAATTTAATTTGAAACTTACAATTTTGTATTCACAAACCGAATTGGTCTATAGGTACGCGTGTGTGTGTGTGTGTGTGTGTGTGTGTGTGTGTGTGTGTCTTTACCAGTTTATGCTAATCTTAGAAAATAAATTTTAAAAATTTTACTTTTTTTCTGTGCTTCAATATGAGAACTATTTGTCCCTTGGCCATTTGATATTTATCTTAATGTTTTAAAAGAACTTGTTCAACCTCACTTTAGAATATTTGTGCTATTACCACTAGCCTTAATTCCCTCCCTGTTGTACAGCCAGCCAATTGTTCACAGGTGTGCTTCCAATTTTGGGTTAATATTTAAAGGTTATTTTTGCTACAGTGAGTATAAACTCTAGCACAATGATGTGTAAGGCAAAACACCATGCCACACAGCTTGTGCAACAGGGTGGAAAGAAGGGTACAAGCTGCCGTGAGTCAGTGAGAATGGAATGTGAAAATGTGGAATGTCCATCCAGCACCAAAAAGAGGTCACAAGTTCACTGGAATATATGAGGGCTTTGTCTCTGAGTGAAAGAGTGCTTCCAGACCACAGTGCACAGGGGTCAGAGGGCGGGATCCAAGGCCTGACAGGCTGCAGCCTTACCTGGGTTTTACCAATTGCCACCTGTGCAAGTTTGGATAAGTCACTTTGTTTCTACTCTGTACCTCAGTTTCCTCATCCATAAAATGGGAATAATTGTAGTACCTACCTCAACCTCATACAGTGAGAATCAAAAGAGTCAATTTCTAGGAAGTGCTTACACAGTGCTGGGCATACAGTGAGATACAGTGAGCTCTATGTTAAGTGCTGGCCATCATTAAGACTGTTACTCAGGCATTGAAACGGTCCTGAAAAGATCACATGAGCAATGCAGTACCAGCGGGTGCTCTTATAGAGACTCGGAGATACTGTTTTTCTGTGGAAGTAATCGTGTAGCAGTCTTCACTAACTTTAGGGTTATTCTGAGTCTTTTAATTCCTTCAGATGTGCTACCAACAATTCTAGAAGCTAAGAACTTTGACTGGGGACCTACCACAAGACTTATGGAGTGTGCCTGAAATGGCCTTTGGCTGTACCCCCAAATTCACGCACACCACTACAGAGAGGGTATATCTGGGGTCCCCGCTCCCCAAGCCACAGTTCCAGTGAACAGGCTACAGGAGGAGCCTCCTCTAAAGTGTCAATAATGATTGAGTATATATAAGGTTGCCATTACAATTAAGCAAGGAAAGGGAGAATTAACTAATAACTGACTATTTTGAAAAAAATTGATTGCAGAATACAAAAAGAAAGTTTACAAATTTATATTAAGTACAATTCAATATCAAATAAATAAGCACAAGGTTTCATAAAGTTATTTCTAATCATAAAAGCAGTGAAATCAATTTAAAAATGCAGTATCCATAGATTTTGACTATATAAATGCTGAAAAGATATTTTTTTACCAACAAAACCAAACTGAGAACTTAATTGGCAAACAGGGAAAGGTAACTGTAGCATTATAACAGATGAAGGGTTAGTGTCTTTACTGTATATAAAGCACTTTCTTTTTTTTTTTTTTTTTTTTTTTTTGAGACGTAGTCTCGCTCTGTCGCCCAGGCTGGAGGCAGTCGCGCGATCTCGGCTCACTGCAAGCTCCGCCTCCCGGGTTCACGCCTTTCTCCTGCCTCAGCCTCCTGAGTAGCTGGGACTACAGGCGCCCGCCACCGCACCCGGCTAATTTTTTGTATTTTTAGTAGAGACGGGGTTTCACCGTGGTCTCAGTCTCCTGACCTCGTGATCCGCCCGCCTCGGCCTCCCAAAGTACTGGGATTACAGGCTTGAGCCACCGCGCCCGGCCTATAAAGCACTTTCAAATAAATTGGGTAGAGACAATAGAAAGGATACCAACAGATAATTCATAAAATGGACATAAACATAAAAATACTTCTCTCTCAGGAATAAAAGAAAAAAATGACCATTTCGGGGGTGGTGGCACACTCCTGTAGTCCCAGCTACTCAGGAGGCTGAGGTGGGAAAATAGCTTGAAATCGGGAGGCGGAGGCTGCAGTGAGCTGAGATTGTGCCACGGCACTCCAGCCTGGGCGACAGAACGAGACTCCATCTCAAATTTTAAAAAAAGAAAAAAATGACCATTGAAAATAATCACTATTCTCCTTTCACATCAGCATTAATTTTTTTTAATTGTAAAGCACACTATCACTGATAATGGGGTGAAGTGTGCTCTCAAGCACTGCTTGGGAGTGTGTATTGGTCCAACCTTTCTAGAGGGCAGTTTCACAAAGAGTCAAATCCATTGACTTCCAAGTTCCTTTCTAGGAATGTGTCCAAAGGAAATAATCACAAATGCACAAAGGGATATACATGTAGCCGGGCGCGGTGGCTCACGCCTGTAATCCCAGCACTTTGGGAGGCCAAGGCGGGTGGATCACGAGGTCAGGAGATCGAGACCATCCTGGCTAACACAGTGAAACTGCGTCTCTACTAAAAATACAAAAATTAGCCAGGCGCGGTGGCGGGCGCCTGTAGTCCCAGCTAGTCGGAAGGCTGAGGCAGGAGAATGGCGTGAACCCAGGAGGCGGAGCTTGCAGTGAGCCGAGATCGCACCACTGCACTCTGGCCTGGGCCAAAGAGTGAGACTCCGTCTCAAAAAAAAAAAAAAAAAAGATATACATGTAAAAATGTTTTGGTATTATTCAGAATAGCAACAGAACTTATAATCACAAAAAGTAAGCTATTGAAATGCCCAGTAATGAGAAAATAATTATATTAGTAATGCTGAGTCCAGTCCATGGGATTTTATGTCACATTTTACAGGCAACATTTTCAAATTTTATCTTATGACATGGGTAAATGTTTATAATCTAATATTAAGTGGTCAGCAGCGATGGCTCATGCCTGTAATCCCAGCTCTTTGGGAGGCCGAGGGGGGTAGATCACTTGAGGCCAAGAGTTTGAAACCAGCCTGCCCAACATGGCATAACCCTGTCTCCACTAAAAATACAAAAATCAGCAAGATTGGTAGTGCATGCCTGTCATCGCAGCTACTCAGGAGGCTAAGGCAGGAGAATCGCTTGAACCCAGGAGGTGGACGCTGCAGTGAGCCAAGATCACACCACTGCATTCCAGCCTGGGTGACAGAGCGAGACTCTGACTCAAAAAAAAAAAGTGAAAAAGAGCAAAAAACAAAACTATACAGTCATGTACCTCATAGTGACATTTCGGTCAACAATGTACTACAAATATGATGGTGGTTCCATAAGATTATGATGGAACTGAACGTTTTCTGTCACCTATTGATATCGTAGCCATCATAATGTCATGGCACAACACATTATCCAGGTGTTTGTGATGATGCTGGTATAAACAGATCTACTGCATTGCCAGTTGTTTAAAAAAAGCACACACAGGACTGGGCGCGGTGGCTCACGCCTGTAATCCAGCACTTTGGGAGGCCAAGGCGAGCAGATCACCTGAGGTCAGGAGTTCAAGACCGGACTGGCCAACATGGCAAAACCCATGCCTTCTAAAAATACAAAAATTAGCTGGGCATGGTGGCGGGCGCCTGTAGTCCCAGCTACTCGGGAGGCTAAGCCAGGAGAATTGCTTGAACCCAGGAGGTGGAGGTTACAGTGAGCCGAGATGGTGCCACTGCACTCCAGCCTGGGTAACAGAGTGAGACTCTGTCAAAAATAAATAAATAAATAAATAAATAAATATTTTTTTTAAAAAAACACATACAATTATGTACAGTACGTTAATACTTTATAGTGATCTATGCTACTAGTTTATTTACTGTACTATAGTTTTATCATTATTTATACTCCTTTTACTTTTTTTTTTAAGCTATTTTTTAAGCGAACAAGAAGGTCCCTCAGGAGGTATTCCAAAAGAAGGCATTGTTCTCATAGGAGATGACAGTTTTTTGCATGTTACTGTCCCTGAAGAGCTTCCAGTGGGACAAGATGTGAAGGTGGAAAATAAGTTATTGAAGATCCTGACCCTGTGTAGGCCTAGGCTAATGTGTGTGTGTTTGTGTCTTAGTTTTTAATGAAAATATTTAGAAAATGAAAATAAATAAATCATTTTAAAAATAGAAAAAAACTTAAAGGATAAGGATATAAAGAAAGAAAATATTTTTGTTCAACTGTACAACGTGTTTGTTTTCAGTGTTATTACAATAGAGCCAAAAAGTTGAAACAAATTTTAAGAGTTAATAGAGTAAAAATGTTATAGTAAGCTAAGATTAATTTATTATAGAAGAAAACATTTGTTTATAAATGTAGTGTAAGCTGAGTGTGCAGTGTTTATAAAGTCTACAGTAGTGCACAGTAATGTCCTAGGCCTTCACATTCAATCACCACTCACTCATTGACTCACCCAGAGCAACATCCCGTCCTGCAAGCTCTATTTATGCTATGTGCCCTACACTAGTGTAGCACATTTTATCGTCTATACCATATTTTTGCTTTACCTTTACTATGTTTAGATACACAAATGCTGTGGTACAATTGCCTACAGTATTCAGTACAGTAACATGCTGTACAGGATGGCAGCCTAGGAGTAATAGTCTGTACCATGTAGTCTGGGTGTGTAGTGGGCTATACCATCTAGGTTTGTGTAGATACACTCTATGATGTTCTCATAACGACAAAATCACCTACTGACAGGTTTCTCAGAACTATCCCTGGCATTAAGTGACTTATGACTATACATAGTGTGATTACATTTTTGTAAATAAAAAATACATGTAACTCCAGCACTGTGCTCAGAACAGTTGGTGGTAGTTAAATGTTAAAATCTTTCTATGCCCTCAGATCAACAAGGATTTCTCCATTCTCACTGCTCTAATCATTCCTCAGGAACACACACATAAGACCAGCAAGTACAAAGTCATCTAACCTGCCTAGATGTTAGGCCTGTTTCCATCCTGTTCCAGGCCCCTGAAAAGGTAGTTGTTACATGCTCATAATATCATCCTTGACCCAGTCCATTCTCATGGAAGGGAACTTCCAAGGGGGGAAGGGGAGGAGAGGATAGAAGGGCGATTCACTTAGTAAGTGAGCAACAAAATGGCCTTAGTGTTAGCCAAACTCACACAGCATCTTCGAGACTTTCAGTCATTTCTTCAGGTTCTATCATTGTATCCCAGCCCATAGGAAGATCACACTGTGGGAGATTTAAGATTTGCACTGCTAGCCGGTCCACCAGCCCTGCCACCCCGGCAGACACTACCTGCCACTGTCCTAATCCCTGAGAGCTGTACCCACCTCAGGCAGTAGCACCTTTCAGAGCTTCGTCCTGTTCTTTGTTTTCTGGCCTTGCAGCTGTGAGGACCTTTCAACCACTTTGCCTTCTCCTCAGGAACTTGCCTTGTCCTTCTTGTGGCCTTTGGGTTAGTCACCACCCATTTTCAGCCATGCTTATTTGGAGTGCAGAATGGGGAACAAGAGACAGTTCAGATTCTGCTGGTGGGGGTTGTGGGAGGGATGGAAAGAGCAGAGGTACACAACTATGCACTATGAAACAACCAGACCCTTCAGGCTTCTGAGCTCACCTACCACTAACACTTCTCCCCACTCCTCCATTGCATGATGCAGGGGCTCCGTAAAGGAGGTGGGGTAGGATGCAAACCCATCCTGCAGCATAAGTCAAGTGTATGCAACATACCAAAATTTCAATGATCACTTTTGAGTTTATATTTTCTTCTTATCTGTGTTTTCATAATTTTTGTAATCCAGTCATTCGGGAACTACTGCCAATCTATGACTGTACGGAAAGCATACTCATACACTTTAAAGGGTCAGTAAAATTTTTAAGGCAATTTTAAGAAGGAATGTGGAAATGCATCATTGAGGCCAGAAGCGGTGGCTCATGCTTGTAATCCCAGCATTTTAGGAGGCTGAGGGAGGAAAATCACTTGAGCCCAGGAGTTTGAGACCAGCCTGGCCAACATGGTGAAGCCCCATGTCTACTAAAAATACAAAAAATTAACCAGTCGTGGTGGTGCACATCTGTAGTCCCAGCTACTCGGGAGGCTGAGGTAGGAGGGTCATCTGAGCCCAGGAAGTTGAGGCTGCGGTGAACTGTGATTGCACCACTAAACTCCAGCCTGGGCGATGGGAGTCAGACTCTGTCTCCAGGAAAAAAAAAAAAAACAAGAAAGAAAGAAAAAAAAATGCATCAGTGATGAAGAAAAAACAGAGTTCAGAAAAGGAAGGCACCCCTGGGAGACCAGCTGACAGAATGCAGCCACTACAGGGTGTCAGGGATAACTCAAAGCTCAGGGACTGCAGGGCAATAGACTTGTTCAGTCTCTGACATTTGAGCCAGCCACCCAAATTACACTTGTTTTCTTAAACTATTTTCAGGAGACCAAGGCACTAGGGGCAGTTTTATAAGTGGGCACAGTAGAGGGCCACAAGGAGGGTGCCTTTTAAAAGATCCAAGGAAGACCCCCTTCTCCAAATCTCCCCCAGCCCAAGATTCACTGTTTGGTTCTCCACAGATGCTAGCTAGACATGCAGAATATCAATCATGAAAGGAAACTTAGAGATCAACCTTCTACTCAATACAGCTGTCTCCTCAAGAACACTGCCAAGATGGGTTTGGTCAGAACCTGCTTAAACACAGATAGTGATAAGGAGCGCACTAGCTTGTGAGGTAATTGCCTCTGTATCTGAACAGCTCTAGTCATTCAAAAGTCTTATTAATTCCAACTTCTACCCACCAGAACTAGTTCTTCCCTGTGGATTTACAGAAAACAAGTCTAGCCCAGGTGCAGTGGCTCACACCTATAATCCTAGCACTTTGGGAGGCTGAGGCAGGTGGATCACTTGAGGTCAAGAGTTCAAGACCAGCCTGACCAATATGGTGAAACCCCATCTCTACTAAAAATACAAAAATTAGCTGGGCATGGTGGCAGGCACCTGTAATCCCAACTACTCAGGAGGCTGAGGCAGGAGAATGGTTCGGACCCAGGAAGCGGAGCTTGCAGTGAGCCAAGATCATGCCAATGCACTCCATCCTGGGCAACAGAGTGAGACTCTGTCTCAAAAGAAAAAAAAAGAAAGAAAAGAAAACAAGTCTAAACTCTCTTCCAGCTTTTTCAAAATTGAAAACAGCTATCATGTTCAACTGAACATGAACATTCTGCTCTGCTCCAGACTAAACAAACCAATTCCTCATTTTCCAGAGTTGGCAGTTAAAATGGCAAATGCCTGACTCCAACACCTGCCATTCCTGGAAAGTGAGAGGTAGGTGGAGTCATGTATTTGATTCAGAAGAAAGTAAGGAAGATTGGAGGAAGGATGGTTTCATAACAACACTTAACTTACTTTTCAATTTCCAAAAGCCAGCAAGGCTAGCATAATCCTTCATAAAATTAAAGATTTCTACCTACCTGTATTAGTCCATTCTCATGCTGCTACAAAAAAACTACCCAAGACTGGGTAATTTATAAAGGAAAGAGGTTTAATTGACTCACAGGTCTGCAGTGTCGGGGAGGCCTCAGGAAACTTACAATCATGGCAGAAGAAGCAGCAAATGCATCCTTCTTCACATGGCAGCAGGAAGGAGAAGTGCCAAGCAAAGGGGGAAAATCCCCTTATAAAACCTTCCTTACACCTTATACAAAAATTAATTCAAGATGGATTAAAGAATTATATGTTAGACTTAAAACTATGAAAACCCTAGAAGAAAACCTAGGCGATACCATTCAGGACATAGGCATGGGCAAGGACTTCATGTCTAAAACACCAAAAGCTATGGCAACAAAAGCCAAAATTGACAAATGGGATCTAATTAAACTAAAGAACTTCTGCACAGCAAAAGAAACTACCATCAGAGTGAACAGGCAACCTACAAAATGGGAGAAAATTTTTGCAATCTACTCATCTGACAAAGGGCTAATATCCAGAATCTACAATGAACTCAAACAAATTTACAAGAAAAAAGCAACCCCACCAAAAAGTGGGCAAAAGATATGAACAGACACTTCTCAAAAGAAGACATTTATGCAGTCAAAAAACATGAAAAAATGCTCATCATCACTGGCCATCAGAGAAATGCAAATCAAAACCACAATGAGATACCATCTCACACCAGTTAGAACAGCAATCATTAAAAAAACACAACAGGTGCTGGAGAGGATGTGGAGAAATAGGAACACTTTTACACTGTTGGTGGGACTGTAAACTAGTTCAACCATTGTGGAAGTCAGTGTGGCGATTCCTCAGGGATCTAGAACTAGAAATACCATTTGACCCAGCCATCCCATTACTGGGTATATACCCAAAGGACTATAAATCATGCTGCTATAAAGACACATGCACACATATGTTCATTGTGACAGTATTCACAATAGCAAAGACTTGGAACCAACCCAAAGGTCCAACAATAATAGACTGGATTAAGAAAATGTGGCACATATACACCATGGAATACTATGCAGCCATAAAAAATGATGAGTTCATGTCCTTTGTAGGGACATGGATGAAGCTGGAAACCATCATTCTCAGCAAACTATCGAAAGGACAAAAAACCAAACACCGCATGTTCTCACTCATAGGTGGGAATTGAACAATGAGAACACATGGACACAGGGGAAGGGGAACATCACACACCGGGGACTGTTGTGGGGAGGGATAGCATTAGGAGATATACCTAATGCTAAATGACAAGTTAATGGGTGCAGCACAACAACATGGCACATGTATACATATGTAACTAACCTGCATGTTGTGCACATGTACCCTAAAACTTAAAGTATAATAATAATAAAATTAAATTAAATTTTAAAAAAACCATCAGATCTCATGAGAACTCACTATTATGAGAACAGCAGCATGGGGGAACCACCCCTATGATCTAATCACCTCCCACGAGGTCCCTCCGCCAACATGTAGGGATTACAATTCGGATTACAATTCAAGATGAGATTTGGGTGGGAACACAGAGCCAGACCATATCACTGCCTAATTACCAAAGTATTTCTTGACATAATATTTTAACATCAGAAAAGTTTCCACAAAACCCCAGTGGGTGAGAAAGCCCATCTGAGCAGAACATGTGTACTAAATTAATCAGTAAATGTGTATATTGCCTCCATCCTAAAGGCCCCATACATAAAGATTAAGATATTTTTAAGAATTAATATTATTAAAATAAAGATGCATTCTATTAAAGTGCATTCTAAGAGGCATCTTTACTGAATTTCAACACAGAAACACTCCTTAAAACAGAAAATTCCATTCCCCAGGTCCTCTTCATGCAGGAGAGATGCTCAACATGAAATGCCATTCACAGCTCAGAAAACCTACCCCCGCAAGAGCACAGAGATGCTAACATTCAAAGAAACACAACATGTGTTGCATCACAAATTTGGTTAGGAAGAAAGATCTGATTGCAGTCAGATATTTACTCTTGAGATAATATTGTTGCAAGACTTCCTCCCCACAGAATGAAATCTCTTCTTTTCCACTCCCACGGTATGAAGGTCACTTTGCATGTTTGTTCCCTCAACTGGTACATGTGGAAAGTTCGGAGCTATTTTTCCCTTTAAAATGTTAGAAAGAAACTCTCTTCTTCTCATATGACTGACACTTTCTAAAACACTCTTATCATCTCAGGAAATACACCCTGAGGGACTGGAGAAGACATGAGAAATGGTAAAAATGTTTCTGCTCACAAAATTACTACAGCCTGCTGCACAAGGCAAAGGGTCTCGTTTAAGAGCAAGGAGACACAAGTGCCTATCAATGTCAAAGTAGTAATTTGGATAATAATAACAACAGGCACACTTTGTTTTTTTTTTTCTTTAACTTTCATTTTAAGTTCAAGGGTACATGTGTAGGATGTGCAGGTTTGTTACATAGGTAAATGTGTGCCATGGTTGTTTGCTGCACAGATAATCCCATCACCTAAATATTAAGCTCGGCATCTATTAGCTCTTCTTCCTGATGCTCCCCCTCTCCCCACACCACCCCCTCTGACAGGCTCCAGTGTGTGTTGTTCCTCTCCATGTGTCCATGTGTTCTCATCATTCAGTTCCCACTTATCAGTGAGAACACGTGGTGTTTGGTTTTCTGTTCCTGCATTAGTTTGCTGAGGATAATGGCTTCCAACTCCATCCATGTCCCTGCAAAGGACATGACCTCGTTCTTTTTTATTGCTGCATAGTATTCCATGGTGCATATGTATCACATTTTCTCTATCCAGTTTATCACTGATGGGCATTTAGGTTGATTCCATGTTTTTGCTAACAGTGAATAGTGCTGCTATTGTGATATGCATGCAAGTATCTTTATAATAGAATGATTTATATTCCTTGGGGTATATACCTAGTAATGGGATTGCTGGGTCAAATGGTATTTCTGCCTCTTGGTCTTTGAGGAATCACCCCACTAATTAACACACTTTGAATATTTACTCTGGGCCAGGCACTGCTTTAAGCACTTCATATGAATTAATTCATTTAGCTCTCAGAACAGCCCTAAGGGGGAGGCACTATTCTTATCCATTTGGCAAGTGAAGAACGGACATAGAGATGTTAAGCAACTTGCCTAAGGTCACATAGCTAGCAGGTAAGTGGCAGTGCCAGAATCAGACTCTAGAGGTGAGGCCCCAGAGCTTGTGCTCTTACCATTTTTCTATATGTATGCTTTGTGTCACCTGATATATTTGAAAAAAGTCACATGAGACTAATTTTGTTTCAATGCCAGCCAGCTGTATCAATGACCTTTAACTTGTTCTTGCATGGCCAAAGAGTTCCAGATTGACTCAGGGCCCAGGTGAAGGTCCACAGAGACTCTTTATTACCAGTGGGTGGCAATGTTGTCCCATGAAGCCATCGTGGTGCAGTGTAAGGCCTGGCATGCTCCTTAAAGGTGGAAAGACGCCACTTTGTGGATAGGTCATTCTGGGTACCCCTAAGAATGCAGTTTCTTCAAAGCATTCAGGATAATCCCGCAGGGGGAGAGAGGGAATTAGAGGAATGCCCAGGAAACTGTTCATTGAAGTGATTCTTCCCGTCCTGCCATAATATCTCCAGTATGTCTCAATCATAAATAAGACATTTGTCTTCCCACTAGGGCATGTCTTTCTTAGGGACAGAAACTCTGTAGCCTTTGTAACTACAATTTTACTAGCATATGGTAGATGAGTAAATGGATGAATGAGTTCTTCAGAGGCAATCAATTCTATTTCAAGGAACAATCTAAGAAAGAGCTTCAGAGTCCTCTGTGGTTGTCCAAAATGAATCCAGACATCATTGGTGACCCTAGGATGTGTTTAGTCACCCAAGAATCCTCAGAATAGAATAAACCAAAGAAAGCCTCCCCAAATTACCCTGGTCTGAGCTCTTGAAATTGCAATACCCAATGTGCCCTTCCACTGACCTGGCCCTTTTGCAAAAGGGTCACAGCTTAGGCAGAACAAATGTCAAGCTAACTTCTGGGTAATTTCAACAAAATGGGCCCAGTAACCGATGCAGTCAAGGGCTTTCCCAAAGAGCTCCATAATAACCCAAGGACAGAGCCACCATATGAAGCTCTAAAAAAGGAACTTTTTGTAAAACTTGAGATACTCTAAGGAAGGTCCTCTAATCTAAAACATTTTTAATAGCCTATTACGTGTCTGACATACCAGTATTAATGCTAAGCCCTTGACATTGGATAATTTATGATACATCCAGAAATCAGTTAGGTTTTTTGACCATGAAAAATGAAGGAAAGAAATGATCTTAAGGCTGTCTATTCTTCCAATTTTTAGGTAAAAATTAATAAAAATTAAAATACATACCTATGTCTTTTTTAAAAAAAAACCTACTAGAGTATTTATAAAGGTCAGAATTAGCAAAATACATACTTTTTTCTTTTTTAGGATGTTATCAAACAGCAAGGACTTGCTTTCTTAGTTATAGATATGCTAGGCTCTGTGTACCCCCTTAGTATTAGTTTATTAAAGCTAGTAAGCCTGAATTTGGTTTATTCTGACAGGTATAAAAGAACATAAATTCATTATAGAGAATTTGAAAAATATAGAAAGTTCTGAAGAATATCCAAGAGATTATCTCTATAGACTTTTTGATGCACGTTCTTCCAGGCTTTTACGGACTTTTACACATTTCATATATATACATATTACAATTAAAACACAATTGTAGAGATGCTGTGTTGCTCAGGCTGGTCTCCAACTACTGGTCTCAAGTGATCCTCTCACCTCGGCCTCTTTTTTTTTTTTTTGAGACAGAGTCTCACTCTGTCACCCAGGCTGGAGTGTAGTGGTGCGATCTCGGCTCACTGCAAGCTCCACCACCCGGGTTCATGCCATTCTCCTGCCTCAGCCTCCCAAGTAGCTGGGACTACAGGCGCCCGCCACCACGCCCAGCTAATTTTTTTGTACTTTTAGTAGAGACAGGGTTTCACCGTGTTAGCCAGGATGGTCTCGATCTCCTGACCTTGTGATCCGCCCACCTCGGCCTCCCAAAGTGCTGGGATTACAGGCGTGAGCCACCAAACCAAGCCACACCCAAGTTTTTTTTTTTTTTTAACTTTGAACATGGTAATTTATCTTATGCATTATTTAAATCAACTGTTTAAAAATGTTCAAAAGCCACTTTAAGAAACATTTAAAAATACATTTTTCTGACTTAATGGTGATCACTTAAAATAAGCAAGTCACCAGACATTTTTAAACCATTCATAACACCATTACCTTAAATAATTGTTAGATTCCAAAACACAAACATTCACTATGTAGTACAACACACTGCTCAGCAGTAAGATTAGTTTCCCTCTGATAAAATACTTCATGTAGGTTATTAATTTGCCGGGCCCTGCAAAGTTATTAAAATTTAACTAATATAAACTGAAAACTAGAGAGGTAAGGGAATTGAAATAGAGCACAATTCAACCCTAAAACTTTAGAGCTGGTTTCTCTAAAGAGAATTTGTAAAATTCCTTATTCCACCCTTTGTTAAAGTTTTTATTTCAACTCTTAGATATAAACACGTGTTTGGGTTTTTTTGGGTTTGTTTGTTTGTTTGTTTGTTTTGAGACAGAGTCTCACTCTGTCGTCCAGGCTGGAGTGCAGTGGCGCGATCTCGGCTCACTGCAAGCTCTGCCACCCGGCTTCACACCATTCTCCTGCCTCAGCCTCCTGAGTAGCTGGGACTACAGGCGCCCGCCACCACGCCCGGCTAAATTTTTTGTATTTTTAGTAGAGACGGGGTTTCACCATGTTAGCCAGGTTGGTCTTGATCTCCTGACCTCGTGATCCGCCTGCCTCGGCCTCCCAAAGTGCTGGGATTACAGGTGTGAGCCACCGCTGCCCAGCCCCTAAACACGTGTTTTTAAATCAACAGAGGTAACATTAACATTTAGCATAGGATCTATCACAGGTTGTCTCCCAGATTGCTTCAGTATGTTTCTGTCAGGCCTACTATAAAGAAGAAAAACAAAGCAAATGGGTTTTGGTTTTTTTTGTTTTTGAGAAAAGGGTGAGTGGAAGAATCCAAATAACTTTACTTCCTTTAATAATTGTAGATGTGGCTAGGCGCGGTGGCTCACGCCTATAATCCCAGCACTTTGGGAGGCTGAGGCAGGCGGATCACCTGAGGTTGGGAGTTCAAGACCAGCCTGACCAACATGGTGAAACCCCGTCTCTACTAAAACTACAAAATGAGCTGGGCGTGGTGGTGCATGCCTGTAACCCCAGCTACTCGGGAGGCTGAGGAAGGAGAATTGCTTGAACCCAGGAGGCAGAGGTTGCGGTGAGCCAAGATCACGCCTGGGTAACAAGAGCGAAACTCCGTCTCAAAAAAAGAAAAAAAAACAGTAATAATAATAATTGTAGATGCAGAATTAATTTAAAATTCTAGATTTTTAAGTAGGGCAACTATCTTGAGAGCCAGCAGGCATTATTCTTAGACTTTTACTTTCAATCTCATAGGGAAACCCAGTTCGTAGGTTTAAAATTTTCAATTAAGTAATAAAAATTTTAGTCACTATTAACAGCCAAATTAACCCTTTGAAGGCAGCATTTAAGAGTAACTAGAAAATGGGAATTAGTAATAAAACAAATAAAGAAGGGCAATAAATACAAAGCAGAAACTGTCAAAGAATAATAGTCTAATGAACTGAAAACAAATGGAGAATAAAATGCTAGATATAATTTAATCAATCAAGGGATTCTTTCAAGTACAAAAGTGCATCAGCCTGCTAATAACTATGGTTTGACAGTCTCAAAGAAGTGAAAAATTAATACTCAAGAAAACAATTGTGAAAATAACCAGTTAGCAAATTTAATGCTCAAATCCAATTCCATATTCAAATAATATTAAAAGCCGATCAGTGGTTTATTTTCGTATCTCATTACAGTAAGAAAAACTCCTCTGAAATTTATGATATTTGAAAACAAACTGCGACAAAAATTGGCTTTATCTATGAACTTTCCACTAGAAAATATAAGCATACCATCATTAGAGAACATAAGACATCAAAAGCCTTATGTTTTAAAACCATACTAAAATAATTTATCTAAATAACGAAGATCTTAATCTAAAAGATAGTGAATACATCATCATCATGAAATCTGGTTTTATGTGCTCTATGAAATACTTGGAGAATTGTTTTTGTTTTTGCTTTATTAGGTCACACAAAACAGAATGAATTGGCAGAAAAGTGCTCTGTATGTTATAAAATAGCATTTACTACTTCAATTTAAATTGTTTTTACTAACAATTGTAGACCTTTTTGATGACACTGATTTTATGTATGCTTTTAATAAATTTTGTACTTATTAGTACTTAATGAACCCTTCCTGCCTCAATATAAAATTACTAAACTTGGAGAATTACAGATTTTATCGTGGACCCTGATATTAGTCACTTTGGAGAAGCTACAAATTTGGCCAAAATGAAGGATCCAATGACCCTTTAAATTATCTTTATTTTATATTTAATATTATGTGATCCTGGACTACACTGATTTAAAACATGCTTTTTGAAAAATGTCTTAATAATGGGGCAGTAATCTTCAGTGTGCTTCAAACACTATTTGCACCAAAATCATGTAGGTATTGGCAGTGGTTCTCAAACTAGGATAACAAAGACACCTGCAGAGTTTGCTTAAACACAACTGCTGGCCCCTGCCCCTGCTCCTAGAGTATCTGATTTAGTAGATCTGAGATGGGGCCCTGAGAGAGGTTGCATTTCCAACAGGTTCCCAGGTGATGTTGATGCTGTTTGTTGGGACCACACTTTTGACAATCACTGTCCTAGGGTATTTGGTAAGAATGCATATACTCTTGGGCCCCATGCTTAAGTTAGAATTTCTGAGACTGGGGTCTGCAGATCAGCATTTTAACAACATCCTAGGCAAGTATGCTAACCACAGTTTAAGAATCACTATGATAACTTGGCTGGGTTAATTTGGGTATTACTGGCCAATGTATCAGATGTCATATATCATATAAATAAAAATGGAAATAATGCTAAATGACTAACTCCAAGCCTGATACAGTTCAAATGAACACACACGGTTTGAATATAAATCCTGCCTCTGTTACTTACTAGCCTTGTGAAAGTGGCAAAGTTACTTTAATTCTCCAGGCCTCAGTTTCCTTATCTATAACATGGGAATAACACCCAAATTTTGAGCATTAACACTATTATACACAGATTATCTAAGCACAATAGTTAGCACACAGTAGGCACTCGATAAATACTAGCTATTACTTATTAAGAAATGTATGAAATATTTCCTTCAGTATCTGGTCAAAGCAAATTTTTTATTCACTTAAATGCAATAGCTACACTCCAAGGTAATAGAATAATAATACAATCTTCTATTTATTGCTCCCTTATTCTGGGACAGACAGTGTTCTAAGAACCTTACATTTATTTAATCCTCACAAAAATCCTGTGAGGTAGGTAGTATTATCATCCCTAATTTACAGATGAGAAAATTGAGACACGGAAATATTAAATAAAATTGCTCAAGGTTACAAAAACAGTAAGTGTTGGAGCAAGAATTTAAACCCAAGCAAGTCTGACTCTAGAGCCCAGGATTCATGACAACATTCATTTCCTATGAGCAAATCTTAAGGTTTTTGGATATTTATAGTAAACCATTTATACTTCTAGTCAAGTAACACATATGAAAATTCATGTCCACACTATGGTAAAGAGTTGTTCAAAGAATAAAATGAATGCCTTGAAATTTTGGCAGATGATACTACCATGATAATAGGTAAAAATTGGTGCATGTTTTCACTATGTGGGCAGAGTAATCCATGGTTAGCCAATGAAATGAACATCCTCTCAAATAAACCATTCAAAGAGTCATGATTTTGACATGTTTTGGCACAATAAATAGAAATTATTTAGCTAGCCAGGCGCTGTGGCTCATACCTGTAATCCCAGCACTTTGGGAGGCGGAGATGGGTAGATCACCTGAGGTCAGGAGTTCAAGACCAGCCTGGCCAACATGGCAAAACCCCATCTCTACTAAAAATACAAAAATTGGCTGGGCATGGTGGCACACGCCTGTAATCCCAGCTACTCGGGAGGCTGAGGCAGGAGAATCGCTTGAACCTGGGAGGCAGAAGTTGCAGTGAGCCGAGATCGCGACACTGCACTCCAGCCTGGGGGACAGAGTGAGACTCTGTCTCCAAAAAAAGAAATTGTTTAGCTAAACAGCAGAGTAAGTGGCATGACAGCCATGTAAAATTGGCATAATGATAAACATAAGGGAAATGTAAATCTTTTGTGCCACTAAAGATAATCTCATAGAAAGTCTGTAAAATATTCTGTTATGACACACTCAGTATTGCTAAAGATAATAAAAATAAAAATGTTCTTTCCTTTCAGAAAGTCTTTAAACAGAGTCACTAAAAATAGAATGAAACATTTGTGAATGTTTTTGATGACAGCCTTGAATAGGTATTCTGCGTTGTTAGAATTATCCATTGGCAAGACAATTATCCCAAAATAGTAAGTCAGCATCAACCTTCAGATTGCTATTTATAAGTTAAGTATCTACTCTTTCAATATATCACATTTAAGCACTCTGCATTTTCTATTGTTTTTAATTAATTCTTGTCAAAATCTTGCATTCAAAATAATCTTGCCAGTGTAACTAATAGCCACCTTAGATCCTAAAAATGAATTCTAAAACTCTGCTTTAAACAAGTTATGAAAGGCACAAACACGTTCTCATCTCTCAACAGGATGAGAATGAAAGAAATCATAACTATGTAGTTAGAAAGAGTTTAAAATAATCAATTTAAAATGTCACTTAGTAATTCCTGAGAGTGGCACTGATACAAGAAAAGCATCCTCAAATAGCATTAAATTTATTATTAGTCACCCATAATTAACAATGGGTAAATTTGGGAACAAATATTATCAAATACATGTTTACAGAATGCTGTGAATACTTTGAGTAAATTAATATTAATAGTGGAGAATGGTATTCAAGGGTGGCTAAACATATTTAGAAAAGAGACAACAGAGATTCAGTAAAGGATTACTAATTAGAATCAAATATATAATATAGTCAAGGCCCATGATAATTTTAAAGTGCGGTTTTATTAAGGAACTTCAGGATAAGTGCCAGTCTTATTTTAGCTTCTTCTGGAAGAAATACTGCCAATTATAAATAATCACAGCAAAATTTCCATTAGACAAAAACTATATGTGTTGGGGGGGTTGGATCATTTATATCATCCTGCAAATATAAACTCAACTCTTGAGCTGTATTAACAACACTGAGCAACAATATTTCTTTATAAAATTTTCTTTTTTTTTTTTTTTTTGAGATGGAGTCTCACTCTGTCACCCAGGCTGGAGTGCAATGGTGCGATCTCGGCTCACTGCAAGCTCCGCCTCCCCAGTTCAAGCAGTTCTCCTGCCTCAGCCTGCCAAGTAGCTGGGACTACAGGTGCGCGCCACCACGCCCAGCTAATTTTTGTATTTTTAGTGGAGATGAGGTTTCACCATGTTGGCCAGGGTGGTCTCAATCTCCTGACCTCGTGATCCACCTGCTTTGGCCTCCCAAAGTGCTGGGATTACAGGAGTGAGCCACTGCACCCAGCCCTAAAATTTTCTTTAAGGCAGATCTGTTTATTACTAATATGGTGCAGTGTAGTTTTAGCAAATTCAATTGTTTTAGTTTCTCAGTGACAATAATACAGATGGTCAAAAATAGACAACAAAATCTCTTTTCTAGTTCCTCTACTTGGCCACCATTTTAAAAACACAAGTTCTTCTTATATATATAGATATATTTTTATATGACTGTATCAAAACACATTTTAACAGACTTCACAGCTCATTTAAAGCTTCAGTTTATAGTCATTCAAGTGAAAGATTTCTATATGGAATGTTCACTTAGAATTCCTCACTGGGATTCCAGTGCTCTATGTCAGAAATGCAGAAGTCCTTCTTCAGGGCAATGCTAGACATTTTACCTTTGTTCATTCATGATTTTCTTTCAAGGGTTTCCTGACTTCACTTTTGTGCCTTCATTTTTGTTTGCTTGACTAATTTCCTTTAGTATATTTTCAGGTAAGGTAGCTTGATATCTGTATAAATAACCATATGGATGAAGATGATAAACGAGGTATTCTAACACATACACAGTTGTAAAATCAACATAGTGAAAAGAAACTGCAAGATCGGAACAGCAACCAGGACCCTCTACAGGAGGATAATAGTTGTAATTCCAGTACCAAAAGGTTCTAGGTAGATAACCTTTATTAAATGGTGTTCTGAAACAAAGGGATGAAAAGTTTCTTTTCCAGTGGGATCTCTGGAATCTCCTGCTTCTACATTTATAATTTCCATGCATCTCCCCAGTGCTAAGTCTTCAGTGGAGGAACTATGTGACACTTGTCTGTTTTAAATGCATCAAGAAATCTTTTCAAGGCTTTCTTTGCTTAGTAAATATCCTGCTCCTCCACTCATACAGCCCTGTTTTACAAAGGGCTTAAATCTTCTCCTAAAATAAATGTGTTCTTTAGAATCATATTTTGAAAGAAGCCATCTCAAATTATCTAGTATGAAATATGTGTCATCATCTGCTTTCAAAAACCAATCAGCATCTTCTAAATGATGTTCATGAACATACTGAAAAGGTTTAATTGTTTTCCAGTATAGCTCATCTCTGCCTGCTTTGGTTTTCAATCCCACAGCACGGAAGTCTTTATTTTCTTCTGAACTCATAAAAAATACTTTTAGACAACGCTGGGCCCATGTAGCTTTGACATGTTTGGCCTTTTTCTGTAGGTTTTGAGAGCCTGTCATAACCCAGCAAAGAATTTTAACTTGCTAATAGAGGTTTTCAGCGATGTCTGTGTTCTCATCTTTACGTTGGCTAGAATCTGCATTGAAGTTCATTTGTCCTCCTAGATGATTCTGTCCATTATCATCTGAATGCCTCGCATGAGGATCATTATGAAGAACATTAGTCTGGGTGTCACCCTCTTCTCCCAACAAAATACTAAGTAGCTGAGAAAATAAAATAAACCCTATTGCCGATCCATAGAGGAAGGTTAAAAAATTCAGCCAGGATTTAGAGGCCATCTCGGAAAGTGTATTTCTGTCATCGGCCGTGGCTCCCTCTTGCCCCTCCTGGGGGGCAGAGAGGGCGACGACATGGGACCGGCGACTTTTGCTTCTCTGGGCACCCGCAGAAGTGGCTCCTGGCCGCTAGCCGAGGCCGCCAACTGCCGCCCAGATCAGTCTCCGGCAGCAGCGGCAGAGTTTTAAATAAAATATAATCTGCGTGTCTTCACATGCTTCTTTCTTCCTATTTCTTCATGTTTCTTCCATTTTCTACCCTCAGAGTCTCTCACCCTGTGTGTATTCTGGAATCTCTCTTTATGCACCCGTACAGAAGTCTATCTGTTTAAAGCAGTGAGAGAGGCAAGACCATTCAAAACATGCTCCTCATGTAAGCAGTGTGGAAAGAAACATAGATGACAAATAGATGAGAAAGAGAGAGAGAGAGAGAGGAGCAATAGGAAGGAGACAAGGAAGGACTGAGGTATTGTTTGTTTATGTAGATCTTTTAGACATCTTAATAAGTGGGTTTCTGATTGTCAGTAGAAAAAAACTTTCCTGCTCTCATTTTAGATTCCATTAGGACCATCAGTCATACTTTTCTTTGTACTTGTTATTTCTACATCATGCTTCCTCATTTCTATAGAAATTCTCTGTACAGTTTCTAAGTTTGTGCCCAATTATTTGCATTGACCGCAACTTAGATTGGCTCTTTCTAAATAACTTCTAGGGAAGCTCCTTCATTTCCTATTTCCTTGTTGTGCTGTGGTTTAGTGTACATCGCAGGGCCAGAAGGAATTCTGAAGTACATGCTATTCTGCTTCACACGTCTTCCTTTTCCCCCTACACTGTGCTTCACTTTATGTCTAAATTCCTTCTAAACAGGTTTGGTGGTCATCTAGCCAAGAGAGGTCATCTTCAGTGACAGGAAGCTCACTACTTCTTGAGGTGACTCGGTCCATTTTTATAAGCTCTAATAATAATTAGAATACCTGTCTCTCTGTCACTCTCACCCACTGCTATTTCTAACTACTGGAGTCTCACACAGCAATTTAACCATAAAATTGTTTGCATAAAAGCCCTTCGAAAAACAACTCTATTTACAATAGTATGAGAAAGAATAAAATACTTAGGAATAACCAAGGAGGTAAAAGACTGGTACACTGAAAACTACAAAGCATTGCTGAAAGAAATTAAAGAAAACACCAGTAAATGGAAAGACATTTTATGTTCCATGAATTAGAAAACTTAATATTATTAAGATGCCAGTACTACACAAAGCAATCTACAGATTCAATATAATCTCTGTCAAAATCCCAATGATGTTTTCTACAGAAATAGAAAAATCATCCTAATATACATATTGAATTTCAGGAGACCCCAAAATAGCCAAAACAATCTTCAAAAAGAACAGTTGGAGGTTTCACACTTCCTGATTTCAAAACTTACTACAAAGCTACAGTAATGAAAACAGTGTGGTACTGGCATACAGACAGACATATAGATCAGTAGAATAGAACTGAAAGTCCAGAAATAATCCCATACATTTATGGTCAACTGATTTTCCACAAGAGTGCCAAGACCATTCAATAGGGAAAGAATAGTTGCTATGACTTGAATGTTCCCACTGAAAGTTGTGTTGAAATTTAACTGTCATTGTACCAGTATTAAGAGGTAGGCTTTTTAGAGGTGATTGGAGCACGAGGGCTCTGCTCTGATGAATTGATTAATACTGTTATATTAGGAGTGAGTTAGATATCTTCTGGCATGGGTGCCTGATAGAAACAATGAGTTTGGCCTGATTTCCTCTTCTGTCTCAGATGCTCGCTTCTGCCTTTCACCCTTCTGCCATGAGATCATCCTCACCACATGTTGGCATCATGCCCTTGGACTTCCTGGCCTCAAGAACCATGAGCCAAATAAGTTTATTTATAAATTACCCAGTCTATAGTATTGTGTTATAGCAGCAGGAAACAGACTAAGACAATAGTATTTTCAATGAATGATGTTGGAAAAACAGGATAGCCATGTGGAAAAAAATGTATTTGGACCCTTACTTTACACCATATATAAAAGTTAACTCAAAATGGATCAAAGACCCAAACATAAGACCTAAAACTGTAAAACTCATAGAAAAAAGCCTAGGGAAAAGCTTCATGACACTGGATTTGGCAATGATTTCTTGGCTATGACATCAAATGCACAGACAACAGAAGAAAAAATCAACAAATTAGACTACATCAAAATTAAAAGCTTTGTCATCAAAGGACACTATCAACAGAATGAAAAGGCAACCCACAGAATGAGAGAAAATATTTGCAAATCATATACCTGATAAAGGTTTAATATTCAGAATATATAAAGAACTCCTACAACCCAGCAACAAAAAGCCAAACAACTCAATTAAAAATGGGCAAAGGATTTGAATAGACATTTCTTGAAAGATATGCCTATAGCCAATAAGCACTTGGAAAAATGCTCACTGTCACTAATATTAGAGAAATGCAAATCAAAACCACAATGAAATACCACTTCACCATCATTAGGATGGCTATTATTTTTTTTAAAACCCAAACAACAAATAATAAGTGTTAGCAAGGATATGGGGAAATTGAAACTCTTGTGCACTTTGGTGGAAATACAAAATGGTGCAGCCGTTTGGAAGACAGTATGGTGGTTCCTTCAAAAATTAAAAATGGAATTATCACATGATCTAGCAATTCCACTTCTGAGTATATACCCAAAAGAATTAAAAGCAGGAATGCAAAAAGATTTGTAGACCCATGTTCACAGCAGCATTATTCACAATAGCCAAAAGATGGGAACAACGCAAGTGTCCACTGACAGGTAATGAATAAACAAAATGTGATGCATACATACAATTAAATATTATTAAATCTTAAAAAGGGAGATAATTCTGACACATTCTACAACATGGATGAACCTTGAGGACATTATGCTAAGTGAAATAAGCCAGTCACGAAAGGACAACGGTTATTGATTCCACATACATGAGGTGCCTTTAGTAGTCAAATTCATAGACAGAAAGCAGAATGGTGGTTTCCAGGGACTGGGGATGGGAAAGAATGGGAAGTTACAGTTTAATGAGTACAGAGATTTGGAAGATGAAAAGATGAGTTTTAGTGATGGTTACACAACAGTGTGAATGGACATAATGCAATTGAACTGTAAGTACACTTAAATGGTTAAAATTTTAAATTTTATGTATCTTTTACCACATTTTTTTTTTTTTTTTTTGAGACAGAGTCTCGCTCTGTTGCCCAGGCTGGAGTGCAGTGGCGCGATGTTGGCTCACTGCAAGCTCCGCCTCCCGGATTCACACCATTCTCCTGCCTCAGCCTCCTGCACAATTTTTTTAATTAAAAAAACTCTTTAACTATCTGAAGGCTACTATCATGACCCCTGGAATAATCTTCAGAGTAGACACATTTATCTCCTTCAACCATTCTTCACGTGACATGATTAAAGTCCATTCATACCTCCAGTCACTCACCTCTGAATGTTCTCCAGCCACTATACCCCTGTTTAATTGAGACCATAGACCTCAATATGACACTGACCAGTTAAGAATGGAAAAGGCCTATCACTGCCCTCAATATGGCTACTAGATTTGGTAATTCAGCCAGACTTCCTACTAATTTATTACAACGCTGTTTATTTCTATAGAGCTAATTTTCCAGCTAAAACTCCAAGTTCTTTTTTAAAACGTTTTATCAGTCAGAACTTTTTCAGTGATTAAAAAGAAAATCCAAACGAATACACAAAATCTATGTAAATTGACTTAAGCTGGAGGCATCACATTACTTGACTTCAAATTATACTACAAGGCTATAGTAACCAAAATAGCATGATACTGGCATAAAAACAGCCACGTAGACCAATGGAACAGAATTGAGATTCCAGAAACAAGTTCACACATTTACAGTCAACTCATTTTTAACAAAGGCACCAAGACATACATTTGGGAAAGGACAGTCTCGTCAATAAAAGGTGCTGGAAGACTGGATATCTATATGCAGAAGAATAAAACTAGACCCCTATCTCTCACCATATACAAAAGTCAAATCAAAATGGATTAAAGATTTAAATGTAAGACATGAAACTACCAGAAAACATTGGGGAAATGCTTCGGGAGATTGACCTAGGCTAAGATTTCTTTTTTCTTTTTCTTTTTTTTTGGTTGTAGGGGGGTGGCGGGGTTGCGGGGGCAGGGCAGAGAAAATATCTCCACCTTTCTCTGGTAAGAGAAAGATGTCACCAGGTGGCTTCCAGGTTCATGGGTGGTAGAATAAAGCAACAGTATTGTTCTCGACAACCCCAGTCAACATATCAAACGTATCATTGCTTTTCGTGGGCTCTAATTGGGTCACATCCCTGAATCCATCTCCATGGCCAGGATAATGCTAGTGCTGAGTGGCTTAGTTCTAAGCCACATGTTCTGCCCCTGACCAGGGATATAGCCAATTCCACTGAATCAGCCTGTGGGCTAGAAGAGGAGAGGAAGTAGTCCCTAGAGAATAATCAGGTTTACCTTATCAACAGGGAGAGGGGAAGTTGAGTGCAAAAACTACATACTTAACCACCCTTCAATCAGTTCAACTGGATATTTTGTGGACCAAGATATTGTTACCGGGGGTCCTTGTTCTTAGAGCTCCGAAGATGGTGGCGGGGGGCTTCCAAGATGGTAGCCAGCCTCGTGTTATCTGACCTGGGGTTCTTGGCCTCACGTATTCCAAGAAATGGAATCTTGGGCCATGCAGTGAGTGTTATAGCTCTATTAGAAGCCGTGGGTCACGGAAGAGAACCTAGAACCCAGTGACTAGCGTTCAGCTCGATTAGGATGAACCCAGGCAGTTAGCCGTGCAGGAACAATGGCAAGCCTTTAGCCCGATTGGGAGCAGCAATGGGTGCCTCGCTGGATCAGGAGCACAGCGGTCACCCTGCTGGATCCAGAGGGATAGAAGTCAGCGGCGGGTCTGCGACAGCAGCAAACAGCAGTGGTGGACAGTGAGCGAAAGCTCAGCTCAAGCCGTAACAAACACGGACCAGAAGAGTGTGCAGTTGCAAGATTTAATAGAGTGAAAACAGAGCTCCCATACAAAGGGAGGTGACCCAGAGAGGGTAGCCGTTGCCAGCTCGAATGCCTGGGTTTAAATCCCGGTCATTGTCCCTCCCGCTGTGCTCTCAGACAATAGATGATTGGCTATTTCTTTACCTCCTGTTTTTGCCTAATGAGCGTTTTAGTGAGCTCTCTTTACTACCTGATTGGTCGGGTGTGAGCTAAGTTGCAAGCCCTGTGTTTAAAGGTGGATGCAGTCACCTTCCCAGCTAGGCTTAGGGATTCTTAGTCAGCCTAGGACATCCAGCTGGTCCTGTCTTTCAATATGTTACTCTACCTTTAGCTCTATTAAATACTATCTAATTAGATTTCTGGCAAGATATTTTGGGGATCATAATTCTATCAGGCAATGCATTCATTGTTTCTCTCAGCTGTATGTGGTCCACAGTGTGATGAATGTGCCTTGCATATTTTATTGCACTCAGTGATGAACGGATTGTGAATACATTTATGTCTGTTATATAGGCACATTATATAACATATGAACAGGCTGTTAAACACAGAGCTCCTCAGCCCACCACCAGGATCTTCCTCCTGAAGTGATACCACCAGCATCTTTGGATGTGGTCACACAACCAGATACCAGCTCCATCTTTGTCCTGTTTCTGGGCCCTATTTCTTGTGCCCAAATATACTGTGAGAAATCTTAACAAAATGTCTAGAGTCCTAGGAAGGTTCCTAATGGGGACTAATGTTCTGTGCAATGTATGGACTTTTTGTCTAATCATCATCAACAAGAGACTATTTTCTCTACATGTCCCAGATTTCTAATGCTTTCTAAACGCACCAAAAAAAAATTTTTTAAGTAGCAGTAGTCACAGCAAATATATACACTATTATATGCCAGGCCTTGTTCTAAAAGCACACAGAATTAAATATTAATTCATTTTTTTCCTCACAACAAACTTATAAGAGAGGTAGGTAGTTATCCTAATTATCATCATTATTACCTTCATTTTAAAGACAAAGAAACTGGCCAGGAACAGTGGCTTACGCCTATAAATCACAGCACTTTGGGAAGCCAACATGGGAGGATCATTAGAGACCAGCCTGGGCAACATGGCAAAACCCCATCTCTACAAAAAATACAAAAATTAGCTGGGCGTGGTGGTGCATGTCTGTAGTCCCAGCTACTCAGGAGGCTGAGATGGGTGGATCACTTGGGCCTGGGAGGTCAAGGCTGCAGTGAGCCAAGATCACGCCACTGCACTCCAGCATGGGTGACCCAACGAGACCCTGTCTCAAATAAACAAACAAACAAACAAAAACAAGGAAACTAAGGCCTGGAGAGGGGACGGTCCAAATCCACACAGCTGGTCAGTGCAAGCTGATACTGAGGTTGTCTGCCTCCATAGTCCTTGCGCTCATCACAGGAGTGGCATTTGACCTGGACACCCCTCCTCTTTCACTTCTGGCCCCCAGGCAAATGTGCAAGTGAGTCTGACTAAAACAAACAAACGAAAACAACAAAATACTACTGTGAGTAAGTTAGGGAACAACTACTCACTTTACAAAACAGTTTGTTGTCATAAGTGAATCATTTCCAATAACAAGTTCCTTTGGGGACAGACAGGTCAACCGGCACTTATGACTTCCCAAAAATACTGGGACAGAGAAACCGAGGCAAAGGGTTAGGACCACTGCCAACGAAAGATCAATTCGAACTGAAAACTAAAAAGTATCTTTGACATAATATCCACATTAGCAGAAAAACACAACTTAAAAAAACCTTTTTCTCTTTTTTTACTTTTTTTTTTTTTGAGATGGAGTTTCACTCTTGTTGCCCAGGCTGGAGTGCAATGGCGCCATCTGGGCTCACCGCAACCTCCACCTCCCGGGTTCAAGCAATTCTCCTGCCCCAGCCTCCCGAGTAGCTGGAATTACAGGCATGCACCACCAGGCCCAGCTAATTTTTTGTATTTTTAGTAGAGACGGAGTTTCTCCATGTTGGTTAGGCTGGTCTCAAACTCCTGACCTCAGGTGATCCACCCACCTCAGCCTCCCAAAGTGCTGCGATTACAGGCGTGAGCCACCACACCTGAACAGTGGCTATGCTTGAGGGGCAGAGGAGGCGTGCATGGGAGGAACGGTGTGAGTTGATCAACACAGCCTCTCCCTGGAGGCCTCCTCTTGAGCAGAACTCACCTCCCAGTCCTCCCCGTTCTCCACTTGACCCACAGTTCTTTTGTTGTTGTTGTTTTGTTTTGAGACAGAGTCTCGCTCTGTCGCCCAGGCTAGAGTGCAGTGGTGCAATCTCGGCTCACTGCACCCTCTGCCTCCCGGGTTCAAGCAATTATCCTGCCTCAGCCTCCCAAGTAGCTGGGATTACAGGCACATGCCACCACACCTGGCTTATTTTTTTGTATTTTTAGTAGAGACTGGGTTTCTCCACATTGGCCAGGCTGGTCTTGAACTCCTGACCTCAAGTGATCCGCCCGCCTCGGCCTCGCACAGTGCTGGGATTACAGGCATGAGCCACTGCACCCAGCCCCACTTGACCCATAGTTCTGTTGTCGCCTTTCTTTTTTTTTTTTTAAGACAAGGTCTCACTCTGTTGTCCAGGCTGGAGTATAGTGGCACAATCATAGCTCACTGCTTGAACTCTGGGGCTCAAGCAATCCTCCTGCCTCGGCCTCCTGAGTACCTGGGACTACAGGTACCCACCACAATGCCCAGCTAATTTTTAAATTTTTTGTAGAGAGAGGGTCTCACTGTGTTGCCCAGGCTGATCTCGAACTCCTGGGCTCAAGCCATCCTCCCACCTCAGCCTCCCAAAGTGCTGAGATTACAGATCTGAGCCATCATGCCTGGCCTGATGTTGCCTTTGACCATGCTATTAGTTGGTTCAGGCATGCACAAGGCATAATGCAGGTGGCTACCAAATTCAAAGGAGTTGCCTACAGTTCTGTTTCTTCTGGGAATGCCCTCTCATGAAATCTCAGGTGGTTGAAATGAAGAGACTTTCATGAAGGGACAGCTTGCAGAGATGACGCAGGGCTGAAAGAATGAACTAGGGATGCTGAAGCTCCACAGACTAACATCAGTGGGAAGCCAATCCCATCCTTACAGCTAAGAAGGATGGGAGGGGACCATTTTATCAGGGAACCCAGAGAGACTGACTCTGCAGAGGAAGAGACTGGCTCTGCCAAGAAAGAGCCTCCTGTTGGGAGAGAAGTGGCTCCTGCCGAACACGGCACTAGGGGAAGGCAGGAAGAAATGTCCCATCTCTCTCTTCTCCCCATCAGGCTCCTGCCCGTGCCTCTCATGGGCAAGCAAAAGGGTGAGGGAGCCTGGGTGGAGCACTCGGCAAGGGTCAGTCCTCAGGGTACAGAATAGGGTGGGAAAGGCTGCCTCACCCTCCACATCTGGAGAACGGAGAATGGAGAGCACAATGTCTCTTTGAAAGGTAGTAAACTGAGTTATTGGGAGGACAAGGAACATGTTCCAGATCAAAAAGGGCAATGCAGAACCAAGATGAGGGCCCCACTTCCCACTTTCCTCTCTGGGCTCCCTGGCTTCGAGAAGCCTGAATGCCTGGAAATAATCAGAAAATCTCAAATGACATCCAATCCCTCAGGTTCCTTTCCAATACACGGCGGTGTTACAAATGGCATGAGTGATCCACCTTTCTTCAGAAGTGGTGAGGGAGTGTGTAGCCAGGATGACCCAGACTTCTGCCTGGATTCACTTGAGAAGTTTTAATGAATCACTTGTGTGGGTGACGACTTGGGTATTGTTATTCTTTCAGTGAACTGGCTCCACACACTAACATTGTGTCTGTTTTATGCATGAAGGTGACTCATCTGAGGAAGTTGACCTGACCATGGTTTATCAAGCAGCCTCTAATGGAGATGTCAATGCTCTGACTGCAGTGATTCGGGAAGACCCTTCTATCCTAGAATGCTGTGACAGTGAAGGTGAGATATGTATGCATTTTGAATCCAGAATGTTCTGCTCTATTTTTTTAGAGATGGCCTTCAGACATGAGCAATGTTAATAAATGTATATCTGACCAGCCATTTTGATACTGTGCCTATGTGCAGGTACCACATCGCCTCTTATAATGAAGTCATCAGTTTGAGTTTGTTTTCAATATCTTTGTATGAATGACCAAAATAGATAGGTCAAGTAGTTAGGAAAAGGTACGGAAAGAGCAGGCTACTTTTGGTAGCAATGGATGTTGAGAAAATGTAACTGTAAAAGGCAAAGAGCAAGGATTTCTGCTTCTGGGAAGATGGAGTAGATGCATTTCTTTGGTATTATTTCTGCTAAATGCAACTAAAAACCCTGGACGTTATATGTAAACATAAAAAGACTCTGGAAGATGAAGATAAAATGACAGATGAGCTGAGATCTTCTGACTCAAGGAATGACATGGTGTAAGTGCCCAGGGTTTTCTTCTTGCCTTGTCTCTCCCAGAGCTGATGCTGAAGAAGCTGGCAACCCAGAAATGTCAACAGGCACAGACCAAACAGCAAGAAAAACAACAAAAGCCTTCTCTCTCTGGCAAAAGGACCAGGAAAGAAACAGCCTAGAAAGACAGAACACTTTTTAGACAATAAGTCCCTACTCCAGCCAAACACCACAAAAAGCCATGGGGCTCCAGCCCCACTCGTTCCAGCAAAGACTGAGTAGGAAACCTGGATTTCTAATGCCACCTTGCAATAATGAGGTGGCACCCCTTTACTTCCCCTTTACAGCAGTGCCCATGGAAGCCAGCTAAAATAAAAGGTTTAAGATCAGGAATCTCATAATATAATACCCCAAAAGTCCAAGTTTCAATCAAAAATCACTCGTCATACCAAGAAACAGGAAGATCCCAAACTGAATGAAAAAATAATCAACAGATGCCAATGAAAGAGATGTTAGAATTATCTCACAAAGATTTTAAAATAACCGTGACAAAAATGCTTCAATGAGCAATTGAAAACATGCTTAAAACTAAAGAAAAAAATAGAAAGTCTCAGCAAAGAAATAAAAGACATAAGGAAAAACCAAATGAGAATTTTTAAAAATCAAAAATACAATCATCACAATGGTAAAACTCAGTGAATAAGCTCAGCAGCAGAATGAGGATGCAAAGGAAAGAAGTAATGAACTTGAAAACAGAACAGTAAGAAATAGCCAATAAGAAATAGGTAATCTGAAGAGCCCTATAATTAGGAAATTGACTTCATAATTTTAAAATCCCCCCCGAAAAAGATATCTCCAGGACTAGATTATTTCACCAGAGATTTGTGATCCTCCCACCTTGGCCTCCCAAAGTGCTAAGATTATAGATATGAGCCACCTCACCTGGCAGATTTCTACAAACTTTTAAAGAATAACCAGCATCGATTCCACATAATCTCTTCCAAAAAGAAGAGATGAGAAAACACGTTTCAGTTATGTTTATGAGCTAGTATTACTTCACTATCAAAACCAAAGACGATGTAAAAAAAAAATAAGCCTATAGACCAGTGGTCTTCATGAATGTAGATTTAAAAATCCTTAACCAAATATTAGCAAATAGAATTCAGTAATATACAGAAATAGGCCGGACACGGTGGCTCACGCCTATAATCCCAACACTTCGGGAGGCCGAGGCAAGCAGATCACTTGAGATCAGGACTTGAGGTCAAGACCGGCCTGGCCAACACGGTGAAACCCCGTCTCTACTAAAAATACAAAAATTAGCTGGGTACGGTGGCATAAGCCTGTAATCCTAGCTACTGGGGAGGCTGAGGCACGAGAATTGCTTGAACCGGGAGGCGGAGGTTGCAGTGAGCCGAGATCGCACTACTGCACTTCAGCCTGGGTGACAGAGCGAGACTCTATCTCAAAACAAAAACAAAAAGAATATCATACACCATGACCAAGTAGGGTTTGTTTTAGGGATGTTAGGGCTGTAAGACTGGTTCAATATTTGAAAGTCAATGTAATCCACCGAATTAACCAACTAAGGCAGAAAAATCACATGTTCATATCAATTAATACAAAAAAAGCTTTAGACAAAATTTAACACATATTAATAATAAAAATCTCAGAAAAATAGGAATAGACGAGAGCTTCTTCAACATAAGGAAGAGTATCAACAACAACAACAACAACTCTAGAGCTAAGGTTTTACTTAACGGTGAAAGTTTGAGTGCTTTGCCCCTAAGACCTGGAACAAGGTGTGAATGTCCACTCTCACCACTCCAATTCAGCATAGTTTAATATGAGTGCAAAAGGGCAAGAAAAGGAAATAAAAAGCATACATCTTTCATTTTTTACCCAGACTGGGGTGCAGTGGTGCAATCTTGGCTCACTGCAACCTCCACCTCCCGGGTTCAAGCAATTCTGCCTCAGACTCCTGAGTAACTGGGATTACAGGTGCTCACCACTGCTCCCAGCTAATTTGTGTATTTTTAGTAGAGACAGGTTTCACCATGTTGCCCAGGCTCTTCTCAAACTTCTGACCTCTCAGGTGATCCTCCCACCTTGGCCTCCCAAAGTGCTGGGATTACAGGTGTGAGCCACTGGCCCGGCCAAAAGCATACATCTTGAAAAGGAAAAAAGAAAACTATTACTTTTTGCACAATTTGATTGTCTTCATAGGAACTCCTAAGGAACCTACCAACATACTCCTACAACTAAGTGAGTTCAGCAAGGTCACAGGGTACAAGACATAGATTTTATTTTTGTATACAAACAATGAACATGCAGACATCAAAATTTTAAACCATAATACCATTTAAAATCACTCAATAAAAAGAAACATTTAGGTGCAAATACAATAAAATATGTACAGAACTTGTATGTTGAAAACTATAAAGTGCTAATTAAATAAATCAAAGATCTTAATAAATGGAAAGGCATACCATGTTTGTGGACTAGAAGGCTCAACATAGTAAACATGCAGTGCTCTTCAAATCTGTGTACAGATTTAGCGCAAATTCTGAAGAGACATCTTGGCATGAGATGGAGACCACAATTTCTACCAAACCCCAGCAAGATTTTTTGTGTATATAGACAAGATTAGCTAAAATGTGTATAGAAATACAAAGGAACTAGGATAGTTAAAACAATTTTGAAAAAGAATAAAGTGGAAGGAATCAGTATACCCAATTTCAACTACATTCAAGCTACATGCTATAGTTCGAATGTGTTCCCTCAAATTTCATGTGTTGGGAACCTGGTCCACAATGCAGTATTGTTGAGAGGTGGAACCTTTGGGAGATTATTGGGATTAATCCACTCATGGGTCATTGTGGGAGTGGGTTAGTAATCATGGGAGTGGGTCTGTTATAAAAGCTAGTTTGGTCATCTCTCATGAGCTCCCTTGCCATGTGATACCCTGTACCACCTCAGGACTCTGCAGAGAGTTCCCACCACCAAAAAGGCCCTCACCCAATATGGCCCCTCAACCTCGGACATCCCAGCCTCCAGAACTGAAAGAAATAAAATTCTTCTCTTTATAAATTACCCAGTCTCGTGTATTCATTTACAGCAACAGAAAACAGACTAAGACAGTATAAAAATCAAAACTAGCTAGGTTAATCCATCTAGAGTATTCAAAGTTATGCCTGATACATAATAAACACTCAATAAATACAAGCTATTATTGTTGCTTTTGGAATTTCATAACCTTACTGTAATTACTTTGCACCACCCAGGACAAGACAATGAGTCTCGAAGTGGCTAAGTTTCTTAGCCAAAGTTTCATAGCTAATAAAATAGTTGGAACTGGAACCCAAATATTCTGTGTCCTTGGTTAGTGCTGTTTCTGCTCCTTATCTTGTAGTGCAGATGTCTTAAAGTTCTTGAACACTTTACCATGTGGCAAAGTGGATCATTTAAGGACGCAAGATGCTGAGGCTACCTTCCTGCACACCTTACCTAACCAAGTTGCTCCACCCTTTATTTTGCAGAATTTAACAATTTTGACAATTTGCAATCTTTTCCTTGGATTTTTTTAAAGGAAAAAAGTTACAGAGCAGTTGAAGGCCCTTTTTATTCTTTTCTGATTCCACCCCTTTTCCCTTCATTCCTCTAAAATAACTAACCGCTATTCTGAAGCTGGTGTATATCTTTCCTTTTTCTGTTTTTGTGCTTGAACTATTTTTCCTGGGTTTATAGCAATCTGTTGTTATTTTGATTTATAAAATTTACATAAATAATAGTGTGTATCTTTGCAATTGGCTTTCTTCACTCAAAATTATGTCTTTAAGATTTATTCAAGTGGATCTGGATTAATTTAACTCAGACATTTTAATTGCTCTATGACACTTCTTTGCATAAATATAATTTATGTATTTCTCTATTAATGTTCATTTATGCCATTTCTTGTTAGTTTAGTTCTTCATTATCATCTTTGATTATATCTCTTTGTTCATCAATGTGAAATTTTCGTTATGAAATAAACTTGGAAGTGGAATTACAGGGTTATAAGGTATAAGCACCTATGATTTTATTAAATGTTGCCACATTTATCCCCAAAAATGGTTGTCCCAACTTATACTTTAACCAACAGTATGTAAGAGTTTCCCAAATCCTTGACAACACCTGGCATTTCAGATGTTTTATAATTGCTAATCCGATATGTATGAAGTGGTTTTCAAGTTTCACAACAGCTTTGTTGAGTTTTTATTAGACTTGCAATGAATGTATAGATTCATTTTCAGGAAATTGATAGCTCTATTATATTGAGTCTTTTCCTTCATAAACATAGTATCTTCCCATGTTTAGTTCTTCTTTTATGTCACCCAGTAAGTTTTATACTTCTTATCCACATAAGTCTTGCTCTTCTTTGGTTAGATTTATTCCTAAGTACCGTATTTTTGTTGTTGTTGCTTTTGTTTTTTGTTACTTTTCCTATTGCTTTTGTTTAAGGAAGACCTTTTCTTTTATATATGAATTTTACATACAGGAACAATGCTGTACTGTCTTACTTGTTTTATTTTGAGGGTTTTTTTTTTTCTATTTTCTACAAGGACAAATGTACCAACTTAAAATAAATTTTGGAACCCCATTTGGAGATAAATCTGTCATTCCTCCCTAAACCTCAGTTAGAGACACCTCAGGAAAATTATTTTAAACTTAAGAAATATTTGGGCCAGATGCAGTGGCTCACGCCGGTAATCCCCGTACGTTGAGACATTGACGTGGAAGGATTGCTTGAGCCTAGAAGGTCAAGGCTGCAGGGAGCCATGATCACACCACTGCACTCCAGCCTGGGCAACAGAGCAAGATGCCGTCTCAAAAAAAAAAAAAAGAAAGAAAAGATTTGTTCAGTAATCATTTGGTTATGCATTTCAGAATTGCTGTTTAATATCTTCCCGGTACCAGGTACAGTGGTTGGTACCGAGGATTCAGTGATGAGCAGGAGAGATGTGGTTCCTTCCACTTCGAATTATAGCTTAGAAGAGACAAATTTTAAACACGTGATTATGCTCAATCAATACATAATTGTAAAATATTAAAAGAATTACTAGAGAAAAATGAAGGATGATGAAAAATTATAACATGGACATCCAGTTCACAATGGAGGGTCAGGAAGGTGTTCCCTGAAGAAATTTATATGTAAGCTAGGCTCTCAAGATAGATGTAAATTAGCCAGACATAGCATGTAATTTTATGAAAACAATATCTAGGGATTCTGTTTTTGTTTCTTTGTGTGTGTGTTTTTTTTTTGAGATGGAGTCTCACTCTGTCACCCAGGCTGGAGTGCAGTGGCACAATCTCGGCTCACTGCAACCTCCACCTCCCGGGTTCAAGCAATTCTCCTGCCTCAGCCTCCTGAGTAGCTGGGATCATAGGTGCGTGCCACCATGCCCGGCTAATTTTTTTTGAATTTTTAGACAGGGTTTCACCATGTTGGCCAGGCTGTTCTCGAACTCCTGGCCTCAAGAGATCTGCCCACCTCTGCCTCCCAAAGTGCTGGGATTACAGGCAGGAGCCACCACACCCGGCCTATCTAGGGATTCTTTAGCTTTACTTACTGAGCATTTCAGATTCACAGATTGCTTCAATAATTGCCTTTTGCAGCATGTCCTTTTTTTCTCTCAATAGTTATAATTACCACTTGTTGACAGGAAGAAAGGAAGGGAGGAAGGGAAAGGAAGGAAATTTTGCAACTATTTTAAGACATAGCACTTCATTGCTGCTTTTTCCCAGTACAGATGACTGAAAGAGTTTCAGAAGGAAAAAAATTGGAGAGAAATTGAGTTGCCGACTGCAACTCAATTTCTGGTGTCCTAGGGACTGCACTGCAAAGCTCATCACTCCCTCCAGGCAATGTTCAAATTCAAATATTAAAGAAAACTTTGGCAAAAGGGACACTTAGAAGTTAAGACTCAGCCACAACTCTGAACTCGGTGTTCTTTCAGTGAAAACAGAAATCTTGGGATTTACCCTTTCTTGGGGATTTCTCAGGGTCATAGCTTGCAGTTCATCTGGAGAAGAATCACAATCTCCAGTCCAAAGACATCTACACAAGTCTCGACTGGGCAAGGAGTGAATCTGAGGTTTGAGTTCTTCACCTGAAGGAATAAGAAGCACCTGGATCCTGCTTCATGAGGCTGGCTTGTTCCAACAGCCCTGCAAAGTTCATCAAAATGTGTAATTTCATCTCTATTTTTATTCAGAAAGAAAACACATAAAAAACTAAATGCCTTGACCTATATTGATTCTGAAAACAGAGAAGCATTTCAGTACAGGTGGCCACTTTTTCAGCAAGAGTTTGTGCAATCCAAGGCTGGGTACTGTTGCTGCCCCTTAACACCTGCCACCCCCTATAAAAGTGTGCTGAACCCATCTGCCTAGATAGAGCGGCTTTCCAAAGGCACTCCTAGATTCTACATGGTTCAAGCCAAGTCAGGATAAATCTGCCTGTTATGTCTTAAATTATGCTGATCCCTGACACAGTCATAAGCAATTTTTATCATCTACCCAAAATGTTTTACTCAGCCAATTATTGCAAAATTGCAGAAGATTGAAAAGAGCCAGTAAAAAAAATACATAGTTTATAGAGATGTAGCAACAATCAGCTTCATCTCCCTTCAGTCCCATACAAACAGCTGGGTTTGTATTGCAAATAGCAAAATAAATGAACAGGCCAATAAAGCCTGCTCATCAGTTTCATGGGTCACACATGTTTAAAGGCTGTTGAAATGTCTCATTCCAGGATGCACGCCCTTGATGCATGCGGTTTCTGGACGTCAAGCGGACACAGTGAAGCTGCTGTTGAAGATGGGAGCCAATATTAACATGCAGGATGCTTATGGCCGCACAAGTTTATGCCTGGCCACCTACCTGGTACTGACTTGTGCCTGTCACAGGGTGGAAGGAGCAGGGTAGGCGAAGGGTGTCATTATGGGGTCCCAGTTGCAAAGGAGCATTCTTGGATCTATGCAGCTGGCTAAAGGAGCTGGAACTTGAAGCTTTACTCCAATCATCTTCAACGTTTATATCCCCACTTAGAGTTGGTTTCATGAATTTGGGCCATTTTGGATCTTCCTAACAATCCTCTAAGATAGAGGTGATATGGCCATTAGGGAAACATTCTTTTCTATCTTAATGGCATCAGAATTTCTCTTGGGATATTTCTGGACACACTTGGTGCTTCTAAAAACAATCTCCCTAAATAACCCCAACAGGGTGGGAATACTGTGAAGATCCAATTAACATCTGTGGGGTAGGATTGGTTGAGTAGAAGCTTGAGGCTAAGGAATGTGGAGAACAACGAGAACTGGGGAAGGTGGTGGGAGGGACTGGAAGATAAAGAACAGGGGAGACAAAGCAGGCTCTTAAAGGGACAACGCCAAGCAGATGACTCAGCCCACAATCAGGGCTCAATTTAACAACTGTGTCATAATACTAGTCCTCACCGGTAGAGATTTCAGTTCAGCATTTCCCAACATTAGAGCAAGCCTGGTTAAGCCTTACTGAAAATCCTCAAGACCCTCTCCTCTCAAACTCTTCCTGCAATCCTTTTGGGAGGTCCTAGGGGTGCCTTGAGTCCATGTCAAACAAGTCCTAACCACCACATGGAGGTCATCCTTTTTCTTCCTCTCCAGAGAGGTACCCAGAAATCTTCACTATGACCACCATTGCTACCAGTGCAGCTTCTTGCATTTGCTATGGCTTGCATTTGCTATTGCTGCCCACTGATGGTGGTGAATTCACTCTGGACCAGCCCCATTGAGGGTGTCCTGCTGAATTAAATCACTTCCCTTTCCCAAACACCACCCCTTTCTGCCATGACCTATCATAGATTGCAATGAAGCATTGCCCAAGTCTCACAGAGATTTCCTTTAGAGCCTACTTTTTCATTTTCTATTTGTGCTCTCTCTCTAGAACTCACATGCAAATCTGGGAAGAAATTTTCAAACTGTGGTCCACAGATCTTTTGTGTCAATATCCCTTGGGGTGCTTGTTTCAAATGCAAATGCCAGGCTGGTCTGATGGTAGAGGGTTATCAGAACTTATTCACATTAGTGTCAAATGCAGGTACCAGGGGTATACCCTAGACCTTCTGAGTCAGATACTCTGGGAGCAGGACTGGGGTAGTTGGTGTTGGGGGAGTCTGCATGTTGAACAAACCTCCTTGGCAATTTTTTTTTTTTTTTTTTTTTTTGAGACAGAGTCTCACTCTGTCACCAGGCTGGAGTGCAGTGGTGCGATCTCAGCTCACTGCAGACTCTGCCTCCCAGGTTCAAGCGATTCTCCTGCCATAGCCTCCCAGGTAGCTGGGACTACAGGCATGCACCACCACACCCAGCTAATTTTTGTATTTTTAGTAGAGACAGGGTTTCACCATGTTGGCCAGGATGGTCTCGATCTCTTGACCTCATGATCTGCCCGCCTCAGCCTCCCAGGCGATTTTTAAAAACTTGCCCATCAAGTTTAAAAGCCACTGGTCTGTGCATATTAGCCGAAGTCCCATATCTCAGACAGACATATGGCTGTCCTCCTAGCCCCCTCCCTTCTAGCACATGCCTTAAGAACTGCTCTTGCTATGGACTTTTCCAGTGTCTGAGCTGAAGAAAAGAGAAAACTGGGATAAGGGGGTAGAGGAAGGGCATAGAAGGGGTTTCTAAAGTTGACTGCCACTAGCAAATAGAATGTAGTGAAAGCAAACTGTCCCCCTTTCAAAGTTCAAAAATTCAAAATTTTACATTTCTTTGACTAGAGAGCTATGCAAGGGACTGGGAAGAAGTACTCCTCTAAATCACGGTGAATAATGATGGACACCCTTGGAGCCTGGAAAGTTGACACCTTTGCAGACAACTCTTTCTAGGAATATATTCTAAGGGCTGCATGAGAAGAGTCTGCCAGCAGGACACCATGTGGTGCCACCTTTTTAACTCTGCCCCCATCTCCCTGTGGCTCCCCAAGGCAGGACCCTCCATTGTTCTGCTGGGGCTCACGGGAAGCAGTTGTCCTGGGGACTGCACTGTGAAGCTTATCCCTCCCTCCTGGCAATGTTCAAATTCAAGAATTAAAGAAAAATGTCGCAAACGGGACACTTAGAAGTTAAGTCTCAGCCACAACTCTGAACTCAGTATACAAAAAAACCTTACCACAGATGTGTCAAACTCAAATAAAATATGTAGAGTTGAGGCCAGGCACGGTGGCTCACGCCTGTAATCCCGCTACTTTGGGAGGCCAAGAGGCTAGAGGATCACCTGAGGTTGGGAGTTTGAGACCAGCCTGACCAACATGGAGAAACCCTGTCTCTACTAAAAATACAAAATTAGTCGGGCGTGGTGGCGCATGCCTGTAATTCCAGGTACTCGGGAGGCTGAGGCAGGAGAATCACCTGAACCCAGGAGGAGGCGGAAGTTGTGGTGAGCCAAGATATATATATATATATATATATATAGAGAGAGAGAGAGAGAGAGAGAGAGAGAGAGAGAGAGAGAGGCGAATCTCTACATTTAACGTATTATTTGATATATAAGAATTGGAGCCGGGCATGGTGGCTCACGCCTGTAATCCCAGCACTTTGGGAGGCCGAGGCAGGTGGATCACCTGAGGTCAGGAGTTCCTGACCAGCCTGGGCAACATGGTGAAACCCCGTCTCTACCAAAAATACAAAATGTAGCCAGGCGTGGTGGCGCATGCATGTAGTCCCAGCTACTTGGGAAGCTGAGGCAGGAGAATCACTTGAACCCAGGAGGTGGAGGCTGCAGTGAGCCGAGATCGTGCCACTGTACTCCAGCCTGGGCGACAGAGTGAGACCCTGTCTCAAAAAACAAGAAAAAAAACAATTGCAATTCAGGGCATACACACAGACCAGGTGGTCCTCGATATGTCCAAAGAATGAAGAGGAAGTTGTAGGTTTTATTAGAAGGAGAAATGTTACATATTGTTTTTCCAGAAAGTTCATTGGCACTAGTCGAGTTTTGGGGAGCTGGCAAGCTCTGACTGGTGAGTGACCATGGTGGGTAAAATTTGTCTTTGAGTTGCAGCAGGTTTTTCAGAAGCCATTAGATAAAACTAGTTACTACAGGCAGTTTCAGCAGCCAGGCTCACAGCTAATTGCATTTTGGGAGCAATGTTATGTGCCCTGCCTGCTTTTTTTCCCTGACTTCTCAACTCTGGTTTAGTAGTTGGATACAACAAGAAGGACCCAATTCAAATGATCAGATTTCACAGGTGTGTGACGTTGGTTAGGCAAATCACTGTATCTCTTTGTGCTTTCTCCTTCATTTGTAACACGTAATAAAAAAAAAATGCCCATCACAGCTGACAATTAACACTTGGGGAATCAGCCAGCACATAGTAGGTATCAAACTCATTTGTTGGTTCTTAATAGTGACTGACCAAGGGTTTCAGATAGTATATTCAATGGTTTTCTTCTTTTTATCTTCAGGAAAAAAAAAATCAGAAAACCATTGACACACACAGAGTTCCAGGAAATGTTGCAATATGATTTTTAAAAGTGTTTCAAACTTTCCCCCACCAAAAGATCTGCTTTTCGAAAACTGTAAATCTTTGGCAACTCTGAAATTTGCCCAGCATGCCTTTCTTTTGGGTCTCTGAGTCTCATTTCTTTTAATCTGAGAACTTGATGATTTAGACATTAACAACTAGAAACAGATTTAATGCATCAGTAAACTATGACTCAAGACTGGAAATGCCAGAAAAATACTTGCTTCTACTTAAGACTTAGATATTAATGGTCAATTCTACAAAATCATATTCAATATTTATACTCTGAATTTTGATGCATTTTTGTTGATTTTCCTTCCAGACTTTTCAAAACCAAAAGGTTCTTTTCTTATCATTATCTTCCTTCTTCTCCATGCATTTATTAACATTTTGATTTTTTTTTTTTTTTCTTGAGACAGAGTCTCGTTCTGTCGCCCAGGTTGGAGTGCAGTGGCGCGATCTCGGCTCACTGCCAGCTCTGCCTCCCGGGTTCACGCCATTCTCCTGCCTCAGCCTCCCGAGTAGCTGGGACTACAGGCACCCGCCACCATTCCCAGCTAATTTTTTGTATTTTTGGTAGAGATGGGGTTTCAACCTTGTTAGCCAGGATGGTCTCGATCTCCTGACCTCGTGATCCACCCACCTCAGCCTCCCAAAGTGCTGGGATTACAGGCGTGAGCCACCCTGCCCAGACAACATTTTGATTTTTATTGCTTTCAGTATAAGGAGGAAAAATCTTCAGTCATCTTTCTCATTTTACTGGATAATTTTGAGGTTTACCTAGACGCGAATGTAGGAAGGTGGGAAGCCTGCTTCTGAACAAAATAGAGGGTTATCCTATTATTCTTCATAATAATAATTTCATCTATTTTTAAGTATACTTATAATTGGGCAAATAACCCAAGCCATTCTGGATGAACGTAGGAGACATCCTCTTTAGCATGCGAGCCAAACTTGGTTATCAATAGGTATGGGTCAGTTAAAGTAGCATGGGAGGGAGGGCTAGCCTGAAGTTATACCTGCCCTTTGAAATGGGAAAGACAATGAGAAGATGACCCAGCAGTAAATGTTGACCGAGGAGGAGACAAGCATGAGATGTGGCCATATCAGGTCTCAATCTAGACAACTGTAGACAGCAGGTTTCAGCAGTTCACGTAAAGTTTCTTGAGGACTTTACAGGTGGATAAAACATAGCAATGGGAAACCTTTGGAAGGTGCTGGTGATGCCTTATATTTAGGAATTCAAGCTTTCAGCATCAGAAAGATCAGTCAACAAGGTGGCAGGGTCCCAGCCATTGCAGTGGAGCTCAGGTTAGACTGCTAGGCACTGGGAGGGGGACTGACCTGAATAAGCAAGGTGCTGTCCTTGTGGTTACTAGAAAAGGAGCTTGCAATAGAAGACCAAGGCCCATTTATCATGTGTCTGAGCTTATACATGTAATACCAGTGAGTGGCCCTAGAAATGGGGAGGGGGAGATGGAGAGATTCTAAGGTCAGTCTGCATCTAAAGGGGAAAGGTCCTCTCATAAACCTGGGAATCTGTACTTCAAGACCTTCGGCCATCTGTTGAGGCATCTAAGATGGAGTTGTGGTTCTTAACCACTTCAAGTCAAATAAAATATGTTTTTAACCAAACCAGAGAAAGGGAAAAAAATCTAGAGAAAGTTTGTTGGACCATGTTACGTGAGCTTCTGTTATATAATGATGTGGTTGCTCTTGTATTTCAGGGCTGGCTTGAAGGCTGTGTGAGTCTACTCAGAAACGGTGCCAAGCACAATATCCCAGATAAAAATGGCCGCCTGCCACTGCATGCTGCCACTGCTGAGCCCGATATGAGGTAAGTGGCCAGGTTTACATGATGCTCAAGTTGGGAGTGACTCAACTTGTATGAGAAGGTCATCTAATCCATCCCTCTGTGGCTGATAAAAAAAGAAAAAGAAAACCATCTTTTTTTTTTTTTGAAGTTGCAGCAGATAGGACCACAACAAAATATTCTAGAATAATTTCAAATTCTCTCCTCCTACTTTGATAAAAGTTTTGTCTCCTAATCTTTAAGAAGACATGCTGTTTGTCATTATCAGAATTCATATATTCATTCATTCCATTAATCAGTCAGTCAATTATGCATTCAACAACTATTTTTCGAGCACATGTTATGGACCAAGGACTGTTCTAGTCCTTTGAAATTCTACAGTAAATAAAACAGAGTCTCTGATGTCACAGAGCTTATATTCTAGTGAAGCTCTTAAGCATACCAGTTAACAAATAAATAAGATCATTTCTAATAGTGATGAGGGCTATGAAGAAAATTAAATAGGGCAAAAGAGCAGTGACTGGGCAGAAAGGTTAATGTCTAAACCCAGGGCCATGCCAGCCTCTAGGAGCTGGGAGGAGGCAAAGGAGTCAGCAGCAGGGAGATCAGGGGGTTAGAAGGAAACCAGAAGTGTGTGCTCCTAGAAGCCCTGTGAAGAAATACACTGAAGTAAATTGGATGATCAAGAAGGCCACCTTTTTGTAAGATAACTGAGCAATGAAGGAAAAGGTTTTGTCCATACCAAGGGTAGCTTCTCCATTCCTCTGTGTCTACATGGCCTCGGTCCCCATTCTTTAGAAAGCCCCTCAGAGCAGTTGCTAACAGCATTTCTACTATGGAATCAGTAACATGGTGGACCCTTTCTGCTGTGCAGAACATGCCTCTGACAGGAATTGAGCATTTCCAAGCCTAGGTCATAGGCCAGCAGCACAAGGAGTATATTCTATATACTTCACCCTCTCAACTCTGTGTCCAGAACTAAAACCTGAAGCCCTGTCTGGGTTGAGGAGCCCAAGGCCATAATCTTCCAGGCTGAGGAATAACAAGATTTCTTTACTTCAATCTCTTTTACAGTAAAATAAAAGGTCCTGGGAAATTCCAGGACTATTCCCAAGGCTTGACTCTTATTATATTGGACTATGTCCAGAAATAACAGAAAACTAGGATTTACCCAAAGCCCAACAAAACAAGGATGTTTAGAAAAGGAACAGCAAACCCAGACAGTTAACAATCAATAGACATCGTGAGGGGATGACTCCCTCTTGATGAATTAGGAAAAAAAAAAAAAAGAATGACCCCACAAAAATGCTTAGTCACAAAATCATACTGTTTTCCCAAGAGTGGTCTTTAGAAAATAACTTTAAAATGTACCTTTTCTGTTTCTTCTGTCTTAATTTACTCTACGTAATTGCTTTTACTTGCCTCACTCAGAGTGGTCATTTCAAAACCTATTAACTGATTCTGGAAGATTAAAAGAGCCCATTTAAGTTATGGTAATTATGGCTGTTGTAACACATAAAATCCAAAGCTTCAGTGTTTTAACACAATAAAAATTATTTCTGGCCAGGTGCCATGGCTCACACCTGTAATCCCAGCACTTTGGGAGGCCGAGGCAGATGGATAACCTGAGGTGAGGAGTTCAAGACCAGCCTGGTCAACATGGCAAAACCCCACCTGTACTAAAAATACAAAAATTAGCCAGATGTGGTGGTGAGTGCCTGTAAGCCCAGCTACTCAGGAGGCTGAAGCAGGAGAATCACTTGAACCCAGGAGGCGGAGGTTGCAGTGAGCTGAGTTTGCACCACTGCACTCCAGGCTGGGCGACAAAGTGAGACTTCGTCTCAAAAAAACAAAAAGTTTATCAGACATGTAACCATCCAATGTAGGGGGGTGGTAGGTGGCTCCCTGCCACATGGCAATTCAGGGACCCAAGCTTCTTCCATTCTGTAGCACCTTCATCCCCTAAGAGCACAGAATGCCCTTCATTCAGCCTGCAGATGGGGAAAGAGGAGAACAGTAGTCTCCCCTCACCCTGGAGGGGATATGTTCCAAGACCCACATCGATGTCTGAAACCTCAGATAGTACCAAAGTCCATATATGCTATGTTTTTTTCCTCTACATACATACCTATAAAATTTAGCGTACAAATTAGGCGCAGTAAGAGATTAACAACAATAATAATAAAATAGAACAATTATAACAATATGCCAGTATCACTACTCTTGCACTTTGGGGCCACTGCTAAGTAAAATAAGAGTAATGTGAACACAGTGCTGCGATACGGGGACAGCTGATTTGTTAACCGAGCTGTCTCCTAAGTGACTAATGAGAGCGGAGTGTAGTTAGCGGCAGATTTCATCATTCTACTCAGAATGCCGCACAATTTAAAACATGAATTGTTTATTTCTGGAATTTTTCATTGAATGTTTTTGAACCACAGTGAACTGTGGGTAACTGAAATAATGGAAAGCGAAACCGCAGATTAAGCAGGGACTACCCTATAGAGAAGCCACACTCAGTTCTTTAAAACCTCAGCCTGCAAATGACACAATTCATTTCTGCTCATATTCCATCAATAAGGACTAGTCATACAACCACATCTGGTTATAAGGTGCTCTGGGGAATATAGTTTCTAGCCAGGAATCTACCTCCCAACAATGCCTCCAATCCAAGAAAGGGGAACATGGATTTTGGTGAAAAGCTCTCTGTCTCTGTTCTTAACCCATTGCACCTAAGGGGTAAACTAAGCCTTGTCAGTCAAAATTACATTCAATGTCAATTGGATCAGTTGATTAGGTTCATTCTCTGAAATCACTGCAATAATAAATTGAAAATCAACCCAAGTGTACTTCCTCTTTGTGGACTTGTGTTTCTATTTCTTATTATGCTTATCAGTACTCCTCGACTCTTGAGGATCTACATTAAGTTGCTATAACTAGGAGAGCAGAGAGTTGTGGCTTCCCCTCTCTTGAAACTGTACCTAACAGCCCAGCCACCACCCTTGGATGAGTTGAAATAAGAAAAATAAACATCCTTCTGTGTGCAGATGACGTAGTTAGTTATATTGTCCAAAAAGCCCTTAACTGATTCTGAAAGATAAAATTCTGCTTTAGTTATGGCAATGCTAGCTGCTTTAACTAATAATCCCAAAAAGTTAAGATTGACTATTCCAAAACCAAAATTGTTATTTCTGGTAAATGCTCTCCAAAGATTAATTGGGTTAAGTCCTAACAACCATACAGCAAATCAAATAGAGTCACACGCTGCATAATGACATTTCAGTTAATGGCAGACTGCATGTGTAATGATGGTCCCATAAGATGATTATATCATATTTTTACTGTACCTTTTCTATGTTTAGATACATAAATACTTACCACTGTGTTACAATTGCCTACAGTGTCTAGTACAGTCACATGCTGTGCATATTTGTAGCCTAGAAGCAATAGGCTCTACCATATAGCATAGGTGTGTAGTACGCTCTACCATCTAGGTTTGTGTAATACACTCTATGATGTCCACACAATGATGAAATCGCCAAACGACACATTTCTCAGAAAGTATTCCCATCATTAAATGATGCATGACTGTAGTTTGGTTACCTACAGAATATTGGAAACTAGTCCACCCTAAAGGATTCCCTATGGAATTACATTGTTAAAATTACATATTTTATAGTTGTTTGAGAAATTTTAGGTCCATGGCAGAGTTTGATACATCTGCATTAAATGTTTAAAGTAGAAACCGAATTTATTTTAATGGCCATATTTTGACATTAAGCCCTTGGTCTCCGTTGAGAAGCCTTATAAGAAACAGTCTTACAAAACTTCCTGGCTCATGATTCATTAGCACCTCCGAAAAATTCTATATGAGAAACCACAAGAAATATTTCTACTGAAGAAGGAATTGCTATGCTGCTCCTGATAAATCATTTTTTTTAATTTTACTATACAGACACTGTGACTTCAGAGCATGTTTCTTTCTTTATATATTTAGAAAATTCAAAACTCAATTTGTGTCCCACCTCTGGCATACATGTAGGACTATAGATCATGTCTTTTTTTTTCCTGCCCGTGTTTTCTCTTTGTCTTGTTTCTTCACTCGTTATCTTATTTCACCATATTTGTCTGAAAACAATCTAAAATCCCTGAAGGGGCCAGGCATTGTGGCTCACACCTGTAATCCTAGTGCTTTGGGAGACAGAGGCAGGAGGATAACTTGAGGCCAGGAGTTCAAGACCAGCTTAGGCAACATAATGAGGCCTCATTTCTAAAAATGATTTTTTTAAAAAAGTAGCCAGGCATAGTGGTGTGCTCCTGTAGTCCTACCTATTCAGGAGGCTGAGACTGGAAGATTGCTTGAGCCCAGGAGTTCGAGGCTGCGGTGAGCTATGATCGTGCCACTGTAATCCAACCTGGGCGACAGCACAAGACCCGAAGGAAGGAAGGAAGGAAGGAAGGAAAGAAAGAGAGAAAGATAGAGAGAAAGAAAGAAAGAAAGAGAGAGAGAGAGAGAGAAGGAAGGAAGGAAGGAAGGAAGGAAGGAAGGAAGGAAGGAAAGAAGAAAGAAAGAAAGAAAGAAAGAAAGAAAGAAAGAAAGAAAGAAAGAAAGAAAGAAAGAAAGAAAGAAAAAGAAAAGAAAGATCCCTGAAGGGTGGCCAGGAGTGCCAGCTCATGAGTATGAGTCAGACTGACTGAGTTTAAATCTGGCTCCAGCTCTTATTCTCTTGGGCAAGTTAACATGTCAAGGCTCAGCTTCCCCTTGAAATAAGTACTATTTTTTTTTTTGAGACAGAGTTTCACTCTTGTTGCCCAGGCTGGAGCGTAAAGGCGTAATCTTGGCTTACCACAAACTGCGCCTCCTGGGTTCAAGCAATTCTCCTGCCTCAGCCTCCCGAGTAGCTGGGATTACAGACACGCACCACCATGCCCGGAAAATTTTGTATTTTTAGTAGAGATGGGGTTTCTCCATGTTGGTCAGGCTGGTCTCGAACTCCCAACCTCAGGTGATCCGCCCACCTCAGCCTCCCAAAGTGCTGGGATTACAAGAGTGAGCCACCACACCTGGCGAAGTAAGTACTATTAAATATATTATTCCTGCTTACTTCACAGGGAAGTAGGCAGAAGTAAAGGAGAAAATGTGTGGAAACGCTGAACTCAGCACCTAGTACATTGTCCGTGTTCAGAAAGTGAACATGGTGATGATGATGGCGTGATGATATGATAATGTTGATGGTCATCAATGATGATGATGATGGAAGATAGAAAGAAACACCATAAACATTATAAGAAGCTAAGGAATGAAACACTACTACTGCCACCCCACTGGTGCTCATCCTGGCCTTCTTCACCTCAGCACACTCAGGTCCACAAAAATGTGTGCACAGACACAGGCCCATGTAAATGCAGTCCTACATCCTACTGCCGGGCACACAGGTTTACTGCAATGGTTGTTGGGGTGTGTTGTTTGTGTGGATCTATGCACACCTTTGTAAACTGGCATATGTCTGCATTTTCCCCTAATCATAAACAGTATGTACAGGCCACATAGTGCCCTTGTGCTCAGGTTTTTATACTGATTTAAAATCTGCTAACACTTAGATTTCCAAACAGCAAGCTCCTTCTATTTGGTGCTCACTGGAGGTTATTCAGAGAGAAGCCTCAAACCGAAGCTGCTTATAAACAAGCTAAGGGACGCTTCAATTAGTCCTTTGCCTCCAGAGGGATTTTAGTGCTCAGATGGAAACAACTCCTGAACAAACCAAACAGTATGAATCTGCATCCTTAACTAAACACCCGCTCAATGGGGATGGAGGCTGATGCAGGGATAAGTGATTTATAATCATGAACGTGAAGGCACACTGGGTTTACAAAAGCAAAGATGCACAGGTTTCCTCTCATGATTCCCCTTCCTACTTTGAACCCTCTGCTTCTCAGCAGGTCCAAGTTTTCCCCCTTTCAGCTCCCCAAGGCTTTTCTTGCTTCCTTGGCTGGGACATTCAGAGGGCGCTGGTGTGAAAGAGGGGGCATGATCATTAAAACAAAGCTCCAAAGAGAACAGAGTTGTGTTTGTACAACGCTGCACATGCTAGTGTTGGAAGGCAAGCAGCAATTTTCTCTGAAAGCAGCCACGGGGCTCTCTGAAGGTCTTTTTCATGGTCTCCATGGCTACTGGCAGACTTTTTTTCCTCCCTGTCAGAGTGCCAGCCACTCTGCCTCTTTTCATCACTCTTGACTGCAGCCCAAGGGAGGAAGAAAATCATTTCCTTGGGGTCCTGTTCTCTAGTTACCAGGTGGTGTGTTCTGACCTGCAGTGTTTGTCTCACTGCAGCACACTCTAATACAGGCAGCTCCAGGGACAGGAAGGGGAGACGGCTGGTTGTGGGACCATTTTTTCCCACCTGTCACTGCGCTGGCCAGCTCCAGGGCTGGGAACATTCAGAGGGGCCAGCGAAACAGGAAAGCTCATAGGGATGAGTTGTCCCCAGGATGCTTCTAGCTGATCCTTCTCTGAGACCCACCATTCACCTAATGATAATCAGTGGAGACCCAGAAAATAGAAGGTAGGAGCTATTAAAAAATTAATCATTTTATAGAATTTTTTGTTTGTTTTTTGTTTGTTTTGAGACAGAGTCTCAAGCTCTGTTGCCCAGGCTAGAGTGCAGTGGCATAATCTCGGCTCACTGCAACCTCCACCTCCCAGATTGAAGCAATTCTCCGACCTCAGCCTCCCTAGTAGCTGGAATTACAGGTGCCCACCATCATGCCTGGCTAATTTTTCTATTTCTATTACAGACGGGGTTTCACCATGTTAGCCAGGCTGGTCTCAAACTCTTGACTTCAGGTGATCTGCCCACCTTGGTCTCCCAAAGTGCTGGGATTACAGGCAGGCGTGAGCCAGCGCACCTGGCCATATAAAACTTTATTATGGCATGTAAGGGCTATTCCAAGTGCTTTGTGTGCATGGAGTCAAAGTCATGACAGATCCTGAGGAAGTAGGTATTATTCTCTGCATTTTATGGATAAGAAAATGTAGGCACTGGGAGCTCGCCCAAGGTCACTGGCTGGTTGGTATGGAGCAGGGATTCTAACAGTGGCAGTCTGGCCCCAGCATCAGTGCTCTTATGACTCAACACACCACCTGTCTGGGACTGCTCTTGCTGGGGTCCAAGCCTGCTGTACTGGCACCTGAGATGAGATGGGTCTTACATCACTTACTCAGAGATCCGAGGACAGGAGGGAGTCTGAACTTGGCTGATGGGGGTGTAGAATGACTCCTGGGCCATGGTAACACAAAATGAGAGCTCGGGGGAAGCACAACAGAGGGCTGCAAATCATCTAGGAATTGACATAGATGCTGGACAAGTATCTCGCAGGTCACCTCCATACCACAGAACAGCAAGGAAGTCCCAGGCTGGCAATGAGACACCTGGTTTCTGGTTCAGGCTGTATCACTGAGCCACTGTATGGTGGTCTTGGCAAGCCAGGAAGGGCCTCAGGTTCTTTGTTCTCACAACATATGAGAGACAGCCAGAGCCAGAGTGAGGGCAAGAATGCAGGAGAGGGCCTTGATCTGTCTATTTGTGTCCAGCTTTGACGATCAATGGATCTCAGAGACTTCACAGTCAAGTGGAGTTGGGCCACATAGATCATCACATATCAGTCACAGCCATGACAGAGAAGACATGGGAATTAAAGGGTGGCAACTGGAGAAAGTCTAGGGAAAGACTATTTAAACTTGACCAACAAGGCTGGATAGGGTGATTCACGCCTGTAATCCCAGCACTTCGGGCGGCTGAGGATCGTTTGAGTTCAGGAGTTCAAGACCAGCCTGGGCAATATAGTGAAACCCCATCTCTACTAAAAACACTAAAAAATTAGTTGGGCGTGATGGTGCACACCTGTAGTGCAAACTACTCTGAAGACTGAGGCAGGAGGATGAATCGCTTCAGCCCAGGAAGTCCAGGTTGCAGTGAACTGTGATTGTGCCACTGCACTCCAGCCTGGGTGACAGAGTGAGAGCTTGTCTCAAAAAAAAAAAAAATTGACCAAAAATTGACCAACAAGAGATGATGGTTGATGTTCTAACCCCCTACCCCACCCCCACTTTCCCCAAAAGAGCAGGAAAATGTTATCACTTTCTAGACCTAAAGGGGCAAGGAAGGGGCTGTTACTGGAAACTTCTGAGAGCTGCAGTGGTAGCTTAGCTGTAGGAGAGGGGCCACCTGGCAAGAACTGAGGCCTTTGGTAGAGAAATACAATTATTGCCAGAAAGGGAGCTGGCTTCTCTCCCTCCTCCTGCCAGTTCCCCCATCGGCAAAACCCGATAGGAAGCCAAGGGCAAGGGAGCCTGGTTGATGCGGTCCCTAGAAGTCAGCCTCAGAGCAGGGCAGTATAAAGAAGAGAATGGCTTTGAAAGCCAAATAGAGAACTATCTAGGCACACGGTTCATCCCACAACCTTGGGAGGCCACCCAGGATATGACAAGAGGTCCTGCTCTCCCTACCCCCATTCTAATCTGGTTAGAGCCCCAGAAGATCCTGTCTGGCTACAGATAATCTCTGTCTGCTCAGGAGTAACCAAGGATAACCACACTGGACCACAGCTGACCTCCTGCCTTGCCCTTCCCTCCTCCCCCAGTCCCTCAGACCAAATGGGCCCTAGAGAGTAAACAATGGCCAATAATGAGCCAGAGAAGACAGAAAGGAAAGAAAGAAAGGAGAAGCACAGTCACAAGGTAAGCCCTGCCCCCACTCACAAAGCAGCCACAGGGAAATATATCCAGTGGTGAAATAATTGCAAAGATAAAAATTGTGTGACCCAAAATGCAATTATTTTTATATGTCTTCCTACCAAAGGCTACATCTAGAATTCAGAGAGCATAAAAGAGATGTACTGTATGCAGTCATAGCCATTGTCCCTTTAGTGTATGTGACCCAGGGTCTTTCTGCCTGTTGGATCACTCAATCCTTTACACCACTGCGTTACTACCCCTCTGATATACATGAAGATACAGAAACTCAGATCGTGCAGTAGTGAGGTCAGAATTAAACCTCAGCATTATCCTGGCTCCCCAAAAGACTATGATACAACAAGATTGAAACCACAGGCTTCCTGGTTATTTCACCTCCACCGCAAATAACCAGAAGTCCATCTCTATTTAAGCTCTCTGTGTATTACATTTACTGCTAAGGCAATATGATTAGTGGATCTTTCTTTTCTTCTATTGCAAGTAACAATTTAATACTTAGGGCTTTAGATGTCTTCCAATCTGAGAGACGATAAAGATTTGATTGGAGAAGAGACTAAACAATTTCATTTTACAAATAATTCTTCCAAAAGCAATTTCTGAATTTCCTCCATTGACTGCCCATACACTATTCTTTATCATCTTGATGAGTATCCATTGATTAATTCTTTCAGCACCTTTCTCAATTGTTTCCAAGCCTGGCTGTTTACCATAATTTCCTGAATAGCTTTTTTTAAACAGTAGAAGCTGGGCTTCTCCAGACCTACTGAGTTAGAAACCCTGAGTACAGAGTCCAGGTATTTGTGGTTTAAAAAAAAAAAAAATCTCTCCAGGCAATTCTGAGATGGAGCCAGGGTCCAAACTTCTGGGGTTAAGCACTCTAGAAATAACAGCATGTTCCAGGCATGCTCTATATGTTGTATGCATATTAACTCATTTAATCCTCACACTGAGCTGTGTGATAGGTAGTTTTTATCACTCCTATCTCACAGATGAGGAAGTTTAGGCAGGAAGAAGGTAAGTAACTTGCCTGAGGTCACAGAGCTCATCAGTGGCAGGGCTGGGATGTAAACCCAAGCCATCTGGCTGCAGAGCCCGGGCCCCTCTCCACTATGCTCGGCTGCCCCCCTCTCCCAGATGGAGCGTTGACTTCAGTCAACTGAGCAGGAGATCCAAGTCAGGTAAGAGCCTGAATCTGAGAATCATTGATAGCTGTTTTACACTGATTACTGTCATCTTGTGCTTAGGCATGTGTGTATTTTACAAAGAATGAGCAAACTTGCAAATACTGACAACCTCCTGGTATAATCTATGCATTAAAAAGGCATGACATATGCAGCTAGGAGTGAAGCAGGTCGAAAGCACTCTGTAAGTTTCTATAAAGTGAATCTTGTGCTTAGGCATGTGTGTATAAAGAATAAAGAATAAGTGGCCGGGCACGGTGGCTCACACTTGTAATCCCAGCACTTTGGGAGGCTTAGGCGGGCGGACCACGAGGTCAGGAGATCCAGACCATCCTGGCTAACACGGTGAAACCCCGTCTCTACTAAAAAATAGAAAAAATTAGCAGGGCGTGGTGCGGGGCGCCTGTAGTCCCAGCTACTCGGGAGGCTGAGGCAGGAGGATGGTGCTAATCCGGGAGGCGGAGCTTGCAGTGAGCCAAGTTCGTGCCACTGCACTCGAGCCTGGGCAACAGAGCGAGACTCCATCTCAAAGAAAAAAATCATAATAATAATTGCTACATGATTTTGGATCTTAAAGGGCATGGCTAGGAGACAGAGGCCTGGTGAACACAATGAGCCTAAAGTTTCTCCATCCCCTTGTGCCCCTCGGGAGTGCTGAGATGAAGAGAGGGTGGGAGAGGCAGACAGTAGCCCTCCACACAGGTGTCTTCTAACCTATCACACTCTTGCTTCTTTTCTGTGGATCTTTTTCCCAGAGAAACGGAAAGGGCCCTCATCTTCATTTGGAGTCTTTCAACTGACGGTTTTTCTAAGGTCATGTTTTTATACCGATTCCAAGAGCACCGTGACTGCCTGTTATTTTGAGCCATTTCTCCTATTTTTTCCTTACAGGCTCCTCACGGTCCTGTTGCAACAGTCGAACATCAGCGAGATTAATCACCAGGACAATGAGGTGAGCCACACTCTCAAGCAACAAGTGGTCATTTTGCATGTGAGGGTGAAAGGAAGGGCGTTTCTGAACCATTGTGCTTCCTCTTAAAAGCTACGGGGAGACATGAGGCATGGTTCTGTGTTCCTACCCTGAAAGGGAGACCTGTTTTCACTATTAATCCTCAGCAGAAACTTATCCCCACCATGGGTGTGTGTAGCTTCTGATAGGGAAGGACTTTATTGCATTAAGTACTTCAGCATTTATCATACGACTGAAATTTTGTAACTTCCCTCTGGACATTGAGAAATAAATATTGCTCTCTCCTGTCTTCTCAAGTCCCAGAAACTTAGTAGCAAGCGGTGGCTCAAGACGTGCTCTCTTTTTTTTTTTTTAAGATGGAGTTTCGCTCTTGTTGCCCAGGCTGGAGTGCAGTGGCACCGTCTTGGCTCACCGCAACCCCCGCCTCCCAGATTCAAGTGATTCTCCTGCCTCAACCTCCCCAGTAGCTGGGATTACAAGCAGGCGCCACCACACCCGGCTAATTTTGTACTTTTAGTAGAGATGGGGTTTCTCCGTGTTGGTCAAGCTGGTCTCAAACTCGCGACCTCAGGTGATCTGCCTGCCTCGGCCTCCCAAAGTGCTGGGATTACAGGCATGAGCCACTGCACTCAGCCTAAGACATGCTCTCTCGTGTAAGATGGCAGAGAGGTGGGTGTAGTGGCGCGTGCCAGTGGTCACAGCTACTCAGGAGGCTGAGGTGGGAGGATCACTTGAGCCCAGAAGTTTGAGAGTCCAGCCTGGCAACAAAGTGAGACCCCCCTCTCTGAAGAAAAAAAAGAAAGAAAAAGGAAAACAATGACAAGACTGGACACTGGCTCATGCCTGTAATCCCAGTGCTCTGGGAGGCCAAGGTGGGAGGCTCACTTGAACCCAGGAGTTTGAGACCAGCCTGGGCAGCAGAGCGAGACTCCATTTCTACAAAAAGTTTAAAAAGTAGCTGGGTGTGGTGGCACATGCCTATAGTCCCAGCTACTCTGGAGGCTGAGGCAGAAGGATCACTTGAGCCCAGAAGTTCAAGGTTACAGTGAGATATGATCACATCACTGCACCCTAGCCTGGGTGACAGAGTGACATCCTGTCCCCCTCCCCTCCAAAAAGAAAAGAAAAAGATGACAGAGAGATAATATTAATAATTCCGGGTTACCTGCTCCAGACATCACATTATTAATCCCAGTGATCGTAACTGCTGTTTAATTCATGTTGCAAGTAGAAGGCTTCCAAAAAGGTCGTTCAACACTCTTCAACAAAGTTCTTGAGGGAAGGTGGCTCAGACACTAAGCAGAGCTGTCCAAGAGTAGCTTAGAGTCTTGTTAGATCTGCTTAACTCTTTTAAAATGCAGTACTAATTTTCCTTAGCCAGGCTGATTTCCTTAACAAGGTTCTTAAAATCAATTTAAATACCTGGTTTTCAATGGAATTTTAAAGTAAATATGTGCTTGGTTTGGTTGCATTTCACTAAGAAAGTCTGATAACATTAAAAATGTACATACACAAAGATGCCGATTACATTATTTTCAAGGAAGCTAGGTGACCATAGGCAAGGGGGCGGGGGTAAGCCTCCTAATCACTTTCTTCTGGGGCAGATGCCCCCGCATCTGCCTTTTTTTTTTAAATAGACAGATTCTTACTCTGTCGCCCAGGCTGGAGTACAGTGGTGCAATCTCAGCTCACTACAGCCTCCGCCTCCCAGATTCAAGAAATTCTCCTACCTCAGCCTCCCAAGTAGCTGGGACTACAGGTGTGCACCACTATGCTCGGCTAATTTTTGTATTTTTAGTAGAGACGGGGTTTCACCATGTTGAGCAGGCTGGTCTCAAACTTGTGAGTGAAGGGGTGGCCTGCCCCTCCATACCTGTGAACGTTTCTCGTCAGGTGGAACGAGAGACTTGAGAAAAGAAAGAGACACAGAGACAAAGTATAGAAGAAGAAAAGTGGGCCCACGGGACTGGCGCTCAGCATAAGGAGGACGCGCGCCGGCTCCGGTCTCTGAGTTCCCTCAGTATTTATTGATCATTATCTCTACCATCTCAGAGAGGGGGATGTGGCAGGACAATAGGGTAATAGTGGGGAGAGGGTCAGCAGGAAAACATGTGAACAAATGTCTCTGTATCATAAACAAGGTTAAGAAAAAAGTGCTGTGCTTTTGATGTGCACATACATAAACATCTCAATGCCTTAAAGAGCAGTATTGCCGCCAGCGTGTCTCATCTCCAGCCCTAAGGCGGTTTTCTCCTATCTCAGTAGATGGAATATACAACTGGGTTTTACACCAAGACATTCCATTGCCCAGGGAGGAGCAGGAGACAGATGCCTTCCTCTTATCTCAACTGCAAAGAGGCCTTCCTGTTTTACTAATCCTCCTCAGCACAGACCCTTTACATGTGTCGGGCTGGTGGACGGTCAGGTCTTTCTCTTGCCATGAGGCCATATTTCAGACTATCACATGGGGAGAAACCTTGGACAATTCCTGGCTTTCCTAGGCAGAGGTCCCTGTGGCCTTCCACAGTGTTTTGTGTCCCTGGGTACTTGAGATTAGGGAGTGGTGATGACTTTTAACAAGCATGCTGCCTTCAAGCATTTGTTTAACAAAGCACATCCTGCATAGCCCTAAATCCATTAAACCTTGAGTCGACACAGCACATGTTTCTGCGAGCACAGGGATGGGGGTAGGGTTACAGATTAACAGCATCTCAAGGCAGAAGAATTTTTCTTAGTACAGAACAAAATGGAGTCTCTTATGTTTACTTCTTTCTACATAGACACAGTAACAGTCTGATTTCTCTTTCTTTTCCCCACAGTGAGTTCAGGTGATCTGCCACCCTGGCCTCCCAAAGTGCTGAGATTACAGGTGTGAACCACTGCGCCCGGTCCACCCATCTGTCTTGAGCCTTCTGATTAAAGGCCTCCCTCTGACTAGCATTAATGACCACATCAGAAAGCCCCTGCTGCTTTCACTCCCCATATCTTCAGTGGTTTAAAGCAAAACCTCAGAGGAAAGAGGGTTGCACTGTTAGAAACTTCTGCTTTAAAGATGAGAACCAGAGATGAGGTAGCACACTCTGGTCACTCTGCCCATGGTGTCGAAGCAGGGAGCTGGAGTGGCGGAGTCCATGTCAGCAGATTGTGAACCTCTAGATTTCAGGGCAAGTTGCCAACTACTTCCTCCACCTCCAACCTCTGGGGTAATCCCTAAACTAGGTCTTATTTAGAAAGATGACAAATTTGCTCATTTATACCCTAAAGCTAAATTCCACTTATAGACCTACAACTCCAGCACCCCTCAGTAGAACTAGCAACCCCCCAGCAAAGACATAGTTCCCTATTTTTCTCCACCCCAGGAGGCACCTGGCGGTGCAGACAATGAAAGCAGACATGGATCTTTCTAAGAGTGGTAATTGTAACACCTTACATAGAATATGTGGTAAATATTGGAAAAGTCCCTGGTTCCTCCTCATGCAAAGGGACTTCTGCAAAAAGATTCCTCCTGCTATTACACCAGCATATGGACCCGTTGGGTTTTAAGCCCAGAAAGCAGACCCAGCAGAGCAAGGGCCTCAACAAGGCACTTCCTACCCATGGTCACAGCTTCCTCTTTGGTCCATTCACAGCCTGCTGTCTGGAATCCATCTGAAACCAACTGCTAATGCTTGCCTGTGTTTTTCATACACATGGACTCCGCCACTCCGGCTGCCTGCTTCCACACCATGGGCAGAGTGACCAGAGTGTGCTACCTCATCTCTGGTTCTCATTTTTAAAGCAGAAGTTTCTAACAGTGCAACCCTCTTTTCCCCTGAGGTTTTGCTTTAAATCACTGAAGATTTAAAACAAAACATAGGGATATATATGTGTATGTATATATTATGTATCCATATATGTATGTGTATGTGTATATATATGTATCTGTATATAGATATATACATGGTTTTGGTTTTTTTTTTTTTTTTGAGGCAGGGTCTCATTCTGTGGCCCAGGCTACAGTGCAGTGGTATGGTGCGATGTCAGTGCACTGTAACCTCCGCATCCTGGGCTCAGGTGATCCTCTCACCTAGCCTCCTGAGTAGCTAGGACTACAGGCAGACACCACCATGCCAGGCTAATTTTTCCATTTTTAGTAGAGATGGCACTCATATAACTCTGAGGCACTCATAATTTTGTTTTTGACTGAGCTCCTGTACTAGGTCAACAGACCAGGCCAAATATCAAAATGGAGTCCCTCATACTTAAATTCCAAGTTACCAAACTGAGACCGAGTTGTTATCTGACCTTCTGAGAAATCAGGAGAGAGATAACACCCAAATTTCCCAAACAGGCTAGTTTTACTTAGCATAATAATGAAATTTCCTCTGCTTTTAATCCTGACAACAAAAAGTAACCTAAAGTAACCTGATGTTAAGCAATCAGTTTTTTCTCTGTTGTTCTGTTTCCCTGTTCTCATCTTTCATCTTTCAAGGAAAGTAACTTTGAAATAACCAATCTGCTTTTTGTTCTTTGCTTCTGCTTTTTTCAGTCCTTCTCTGTCTACAAAACCAACCTCCTCTGCTGGGCTCGTTGGAAAACTTTTTTTTTTTTTTTTAAGACAGTCTCACTCTGTCACTCAGACTGGAGTGCAGTGACACGATCACAGCCCACTGCAGCCTACTGCCTCAGCCTCCAGAGTAGATGGGACCACAGAAACCCTGCACCACAGGCATGCACAACCATACCCAGCTCATTTTTTGTTTTTGGTAGAGACAGGGGTCTTCCTATGTTGCCCAGACTGGTCTAGAACTCCTGGATTCAAGTGATCCTCCCGCCTCAGCCTCCCAAAGTGCTGGGATTATAGGCGTGCACCACCATGCCTGGCCAGAACATTTTGGAATGAAGCCCAGTTCTAGAATTGCAAATGAAGCCAGTTAAGATCTTTGAGGCCCGGCTCCACGGCTCACGCCTGTAATCCCAGCACTTTGGGAGACTGAGGTGGGTGAATCACTTGAGGCCAGGAGTTCAAGACCAGCCTGGCCAACATGGCCAAACCCCGTCTCTACTAAAAATATGAAAATTAGCCGGCTGTAGTGGCTCATGCCTGTAGCCCCAGCTACTCCAGAGGCTGAGGCAGGCGGTGGAATTGCTTGAACTTGGGAGATGGAGGTTGCAGTGATCTGAGATGGCGTGACTGCACTCCAGCCTAGGCAACAGAGCAAGACTCTGTCTCAAAAAAAAAAAAAAAAAACTTTAAAACTAAATCTTCTGCTGTAATTCCGTTTTTGCCAATTATTTATTTTATTTAGTTATTGGTCATTGCTAGTGAGAGCCAATCACGATAAATTTATAACAGCAAAAGCTCTTGCCATTGAGAAATAAATACAATTCTGAAATGGAAAGAACACAGCCCAGGCTTTCTTTTTCATTCATTACTTTGGTGGAGTTCCTGTATTTGGCTGCTCAATGTTTTGAACAAGTAATCTTCTCTCGTCTGTCTTTTTTCAACAAGCTCCAAGCATGATGTAGCCTCCATTGTATGAGGGGTAGCGGGGAGTAACAGTTAAATTCATTGTTTAAAAAAAGGTACCACTCTATGTGTTCTGCAACTTTTTTTTTTTTTTTTTTTTTTTTTGAGACAGAGTCTTACTCTGTTGCCCAGGCTGGAGTGCAGTGGTGCGATCTTGGCTCACTGCAAGCTCCACCTCCTGGGTTCTGCCTCAGCCTCCGAAGTAGCTGGGACTACAGGCACCCGTCACCACGCCCAGCTAATTTTTTTTGTATTTTTAGTAGAGACGGGGTTTCACTGTGTTAGCCAGGGTGGTCTCAATCTCCTGACCTCGTGACCCACCCGCCTCAGCCTCCCAAAGTGCTGGGATTACAGGTGTGAGCCACCACACCCGGCCTAACTTAGTTTTTTCAACTCAAGCATTTGTCTTAGAATTTTTGATACATATAGATCTGGCTCATTCCTTTTTTGTTGTTGTTGTTTTGTTTTTTTCGAGATGGAGTCTTGCCCTGTCCAGGCCGGAGTACAATGGTGCGATCTCGGCTCACTGCAACCTCCACCTCCCGGGTTCACACCATTCTCCTGCCTCAGCCTCCCGAGTAGCTGGGATTACAGGCACCCACCACCACGCCCAGCTAATTTTTGTATATTAGTAGAGACAGGGTTTCACCATGTTGGCCAGGCTGGTCTCGAACTCCTGACCTCGTGATCCACCTGCCTCGGCCTCCCAAAGTGCTGGGATTACAGGCGTGAGCCACGGCACCCAGCCTGTGGCTCATTCCTTTTAATGGCTTCATCATGTTACATAATATCAAAATACCCCCATTTATTTTGCCATTCCCCTATGAATGGATATTTAGGTTGTCTCAATTTTTCACCATCATAAACACCAGTCTAAAGAGTGTTTCTTGTACAAGCCTCTTTGCATACTCTGTGCAAGCATTTCTCTTAAAAGAATAATTGCTGGGTAGTAGAGAGTGTATGTTTTTATTTTTAATACACACTGCCTAATTATTCCCCCAAAATAGCTGCGTGTCGTTGTTGTTGTTGTTGTTGTTGTTGTTTTTAGTGGAAGTACTGGTTTTTTCCCAGTTGTTGCTGGATTTTCTTGTTATTTGCATTTTCCCTGATTAATGAGATGAACATCATTTCATAGACATAATGGTCTTTATTATATCTTCTTTTGTGACTTGCCTGTTTACATTCTTTGTCGATTGATCCATTGGGTTGTCATTTTCTTATTGATCTATAGGAGTTTAGTTTATATGCTGAATATTAATGCTTTGCTGTTGGGTTGTAAATACTTTTTCGTAGGCTGTTGGCTATTTTGAAATAGTTCATAGTACCTTTTCTTATTCAGAAATGTAAAAATCTGATATAATTAAAATGATCATTCTTGTCTGTTTCTGCTTTTTCTTTTGATGTCTTTTTAAAGAAGGCCTTCTCTACCCCAAGAACTGGATTATGTTATGTTAAATTATGTTTTTGTTTGTTACCAGATTTTTTTTAATATATGGTTTCATTTTTGAACTCTTTGTTCTGTTCCAATGATCTGTTTGTTTTTCCTGTTTCATTAACCACACTGCTTAATTATAAACTGACTTATTTAGAAGTTATCCACACTGCGGTTAACACTGAAAAAAGCAAGATAGGTCAGATTGTCCTTTGTGCTTTTGTTCTTCAAAACAGGACCTCAGAAGAATCATTGACATAGAGTGAGGCTTGTCTGTTGCAGCTACCGGGAGTTAAATGGAAACTAACCTCTCCTGCTCTCATTTTAGCCTTGACAGGAAGAGTGTTCTATCAAGAGAGGCTCTGAGCTGTTGGCATCTGGGTTAGAACTTTGAATGCATTTAACCAGAGAAGCACTGTTATGCACAGCATTTAGGATATATATATTGTTTAGGATATATTAAATGCACATTCTTATGTAAGCAGATTTTTGTGAGCAGTCTGACAAACAAAACTTCAATTGTAGAACCACTCTGAGAAAATAAATTTAAGTTGCAAAAACAGATGTGACCTTTTGGACATAATTCTTAGCATCACTTCTACTTACCACATTCCTGAGATAGAACCAAAAGCAGAAGAAACAGTCCCTGACTTGAAATTTTTAACTTTACAGTTAGCAAAAGGTAACATAACAAACAAAAGTTTTTAATGAATCAGAAGTTTTAGCCTAAGACCGAACATCTAAAAAAAAAAAAATGGAGTAGGGTCACCACTACTTAGGAGCCCCCACCTCCCTCTCCCACTCTCCTCCAACCCTATAAACTTCTAGAGGCAGACCATGCCTTTTTTTATCTTTGTATCCCCAGTTTCTAGTTCAGTAGCTTGCACAAAAGCTTTAGTGAGGCACAAAAATTTTTTATATATATATACACACACATATATACATATATACATATATGTGTATATACACACATATACGTGTGTATGTATATGTATATATACACACGTATATATACATATATATACACACACACATATATATATATAGATTTTTTTTTTTCCGAGATGTGGTCTCACTGTGTCACCCAGGCTAGAATGCAGTGGCACTATTTTGGCTCACTGCAACCTCCGCCTCTTGGGTTCAAGTGATTCTCCTGCCTCAGCCTCTTAAGTAGCTGGGATTACAGGTGCCTGCCACCATGCCCGGTTAATTTTTGTATTTTTTGTGGAGATGGGGTTTCACCAGGTTAGCCAGGCTGGTCTCGAACTCCTGTCCTCAAGTGATCCACCTGCCTCGGCCTCCCAAAGTGCTGGGATTATAGGCGTGAGCCACCACGCCCAGCCTAGATATATATTATATCTAGATATGTTATATCTAGGGAGAAAGAAAGAATTAAATTCAAGAAAAAGTCATGTTATTTTATTTTATGGCCCTTTCTTCTTTTGTTTTGTTGACTCAGCTATCCAATTTATTTCCCAGACTTGACTCCAGGTGACTGTTATTTCCAAAACCTACTCTCAAAAAACTAAGATTTTCATGGTATTAGAGGTGTTTATGAGATATAAATAAGTAAATAAAATTTTATACCAATTAGAATTTTTTAAAAATGTCCTGTAGACTTTAGAGCAGGAGTCCTTACCCATATTTATGACATGGACACATCTTCATGTGTTTGTGAAACCTATGGATAACTTCTCAGAAACATACCTGAAATTAGGCTGGGTGCAGTGACTCACACCTGTAATCCCAGCCCTTTGGGAGGCCGAGGCAGGAGGATTGCTTGAGCTCAGGAGTTCAGGATCAGCCTGGGCAACATGGCTAAACCTCATCTCTATTTAAACTTCTTTTTAAAAGGAAAAAAATATCAAAAAGGAAAAATATCTGAAATTACAGAAAATGAAACATATAAGATTGCGAAAGAAATCAAAATATTAAAATACAGCTATCAAAACATTCTTTTATTTATTTATTTATTGAGACGGAGTCTCGCTTTGTCGCCAAGGCTGGAGTGCAGTGGTGCGATCTCAGCTAGCTGCAACCTCCACCTCCAGGGTTCAAGTGATTCTCCTGCCTCAGCCTACCGAGTAGCTGGGATTACAGGCACCCACCGCCACACGTGGCTAATTTTTGTATTTTTTAGTAGAGGCGGGATTTCACCATGTTGGCCAGGCTGGTCTCGAACTCCTGACCTCAAATGATTCATCCACCTTGGCCTCCTAAAGGGCTGGGATTACAGGTGTGAGGCACCACGCCCAGCCTATTTATTTATTTATTGAGACGGGGTCTCACTCTGTGAGGCCAGAGTGCAGTGGTGCAATCTCAGTTCACTGCAACCTCTGCCTCCCAGGCTCAAGTGACTCTCCCACCTCAGCCTCCCAAGTAGCTGGGACTACAGGCGCATACCACCATACCCAACTAATTTTTTTTTTTTCTGTAGAGGCAGAGTTTCACCATGTTGCCAAGGCTAGAAAACATTTTAAAGACCAAATTTATGATAATAACATATAAGGTTGTTTATTAATGCGTTAAATAAGATTTGATGGTAGGAGCACAAACTGCTACAATTGTTGAAGTAGTGAGACATGTAGTGATCTGCAATCACTAATGTAATAGCACTGTACCTATAATTTATAGAGGTGGCAAAGTCACAGGTACTGTTTATACTACTGTGGGTTGTTGCCTATATTCATAATTGAAAAAGATGTTAAATTTCAATTAGAAGTTAGTGAAAATAGGCCGGGCGCAGTGGCTCACGCCTGTAATCCTAGCACTTTGGGAGGCCAAGGCAGGCGGATCATGAGGTCTAGGAGTTCAAGACCAGCCTGGCCAATATGGTGACGCCCATCTCTACTAAAAATACAAAAATTCAACGGGCGTGGTGGCTCGCACCTGTAGTCCCAGCTACTAGAGAGGCTGAGGCAGGAGAATCTCTTGAACCCAGGAGGTGGAGGTTGCAGTAAGCCGAGATGGTGCCACTGCACTCCAGCCTGGGTGACAGAATGAGACTCCGTCTCAAAAAAAAAAAAAAAAGAAGTTAGTGAAAATAAAGATGTAATTATTTCTCTGATGAAACTCACACATCCTTATTTCTATCCATGGATAGAGCTCTTGCTCTAGTGGCAATTTCCAAAAAAAAACCTCCCAAAAGTATTTTGAGCAATGAGTAGAATAATTGTATAGCCTCCCAAGGTGATCTCCTTGGAACAGGAAGATTGTTTTATTTTAATTATTCAACAAATATTTGTTCAGTACCTGCCATGTCTCATGTGGGCTTCATCCCTGCTATGATGGAGTTCACAGTTTAGTGCAGAAGAATGTAGATGTTCTTTTTTTGTTGAAAATTAAATCTATCAACTTAGGCTTCTATTCTGAAGGCTTTGTTTTATAAGTTTGTTCTTGTTAGAATTGGCTCCTAGACTTCTATGGCCTAAGTTCGTTTTATTGTTTTTCTTGTCTGATTTAAATTATGAAAACTCCCATTCTAAAGTCTTTTTTTAAAAATGTCAGACATATTATTCTTATAATTATTACAGGGAGAAAGTGAGAGTTTTTAAAGAGTGTCGTTATTAGCAGCCCTTCCTAGTGCCCTAAAATCCAACCTCAGAGTATTCTTGGCCTTCAGTTACAGTCTTTGGCTATCGTGATGCTCACCGTCTATCTACTCAGTTTAGGAAATTCCAAAACAAAGACAATGAATTAATTTACTAAGCTTTCTGATGTATAAGATTGTTTTTCAAATAAAAATGAAAGAAAATGGCTTTCATTACTGTACTTGTAACACCATCTAGTTTTTAAAACTAGATCTACTTTTAAAGTACATATTAATTCCAATTTTTTATCTAAGGGAGACCCTCTATCACTTTTGTTGGGGGTGATCATATATGATTAGAGGATTAAGTATGTTAATTTTTAAATGTCAACCAGAGCCAAGCTGCTGGAAATTCTAGATCCTTCAAAGCATCTGGAATTGTTTACTGACCTCTCAGCCAGCAGACACCTGCTATAATTCTTAACCCTCCCCCTCCACCACCCCACCCCGAACCGCCAACCAAGACGGGGAACAAACCAAGCACCCAGCCACATCAACATTTCTCTCTGTGTGCCTTTCAGTGTTGTCTAGAGACACTCTAAAAGTACAGTTCTGAAACATGAAACCTGCTAAGCACTAAAGCAGATTTCTGGTTCAGAAAACACAAAAGTGGTTTTGAAAAAAAAAAAATGTTCTGAGAAGCTGATAGGACTTGTAAGCCTTTAACTGAAATTGTGGTGGCACAGGTTCAAGGCGCAGAATTACTCATCAACACAAGACACTGTTCCAAAGCAACCCTACTATGCACCCAACAGTTAGAACATACATTTTGTCTTATCAGCAATCTAAAATCAGATCCCAAGTCAACCAAAACTTAACATTTCCCCTCAAAACATTCTGGAGAGCTTATATTTTTAACTGAATATGTGTTCCTCCTCACTCTTTGAGCCAATCAATACTTTTTGATTTTCAGAAGAGTAGAATTCTCCCGTCACCAGGGCCATCTGGGTGTTTGTTGCAACATGCCTGATAGTGACTGCTAGATTGTCAGCTCCTAGATGCTTCGAAGGCTCAGTTTATCCCTCAGTGAAACTCCAGGAAGTAACTGGTTGGAAAGGTCTCCATAACTTGGACACAGATGGCTGTCTTATCCAACAGACTCTGATTTTATATTCCCTATGAGTCCAAGTGATCTTTGATAAGCTGCAATTCACTAATTAATTCTTCCAGTAAGCATTTCTTGAACACTTACTGTGTGCTCAGTGCAGGGAGCATACCATGCTGAATATGCCACAGCATCTGCCTTTATGTGCATCACAGCTTAATCGTGATTTCTGTCACTGCTTAGTACAGATACCAATTGCTAAGCCTGATGTTTGCCCCTTAACTGGTCACCAGAATTTTAACATAAGACAACTACAATTTCTGCGGGCCCAACAGAAGTTGAAGAAAGAAGAAGAAGAAAGGAGAAGGAAGCAGTTGTAGGAAAATGTTCCTAAATAAAGTGTGCAATACCAACCGCTGCCTTTGAGCTGCTTTTGAAAGCTTTGGTTTTCACATTATTAACTCTAAGAGGATTTATTCTTATTTCTCATCAGCCCAAATGAAAAAAAGAAAAAGAAAAAAAAGCGGCAGGAAATTTCCCTTTACTTGACTGAGTGTTCACAGCCCATTTATATTGCACAAGTATTTAGAAAAGTAATGAAGTAATTTGGGTCTTGATTTGGAGCCATTCAGAGGATCACCAGTTATTTTCAAGATGTTCTCAAGTTTTGTGGTGACGGTGAACTGGGTGGGAGAATATGTATTATGTATGTGTATATATCTTATAAAAATAAATGTTTGCCAACTGCACTTTCAGGAGGACCCTTGAGGCAATGCCAAATGAAACAAAAATATAGGGTACCAATCCTTACACTAGTAAGAACCATCATTTTAGAAAGTAAGACAACCTTGAATCCAGCTACAATTACAAAGAAAGGAATTTTTTAGCATCTGAGCTCATTCCCAAAATGAAATTCTACCACCATGATGTGTGGAAAGAACATTTTTTTCTCCAGAGTCAGAGAAACAAGTATTGAACCCTAGCTCTACCATGGACTCAGTCAATGGCCTTAGGCAAATTACTTAATCTGTATTTCAGTTTCCTTGCCTGTAAAATAGGCTTAAAACTACTAACCCCTTAGGATCATGTAAAGATTCTATGAGATAGAATATACAAAGCTCTTGGCACCAAGTAGGTGTATGAAAAATGATAGCACTCCTCCCACCCCACCCCTTCACCAAACTATGCAAGAGTTGGGTTTTGTGGGGGGGTTTCTTGCGGTTGTTTAAAGAGAATAACTCTTAAAGTCTGAAACTGTATTTAGGAGACAATAATTAACACTGCATTACCATTGTTTAATTCACAACCACATTTTCGCACTGAATTCCCACATCTCTAAATCATACTTCTGCATATACTCATTGCCATCTACCTCACGTTTGACAGTGCAGTGGTCTATGGCCAGAACCACCCTGAACGCACCTGACCTCAGAAGTTAAGCAGGGTTAGGCCTGGTTAGTAATTGGATGTGAGATAGTACAGTAGTACAAAGGACAAGATTGTTTGGAGCACTCATCAAAAATCCTGACAAGTTTCAGCTAATGAGTTGGTAACAATGATCATATCAGACAAGTTCATTGTCTATAAAGGAGAGGTCATGTTCTGCCTTTCTTCTGTGTATGATTTTAAAAAGCAAAGCCAAATTTTTACGAAGAAATTCGGCCGGGTGCAGTGGTTCACTCTTGTAATCCCAGCATTTTGGGAGGCTGAGGTGGGCTGCTAAGGTCAGGAGCTCGAGACCAGCCTGGCCAACATGGTGAAACCTGTCTCTACTAAAAACTACAAAAATTAGGCAGGCGTGGTGGCGGGCACCTGTAATCTCAGCTACTTGGGAGGCTGAGGTAGGAGAATCCCTTGAACCTGGGAGGTGGCAGTTGCAGTGAGCCGAAATTGCGCCATTGCACTCCAGCCTGGGCGACAGAGCGAAACTCCATCTCAAAAAAAAAAAAAAATCAGTGGAGCATAGTAAGTCATTCGTTCCGTTAATAAGTGTTTACTCAGCATCTATAATGTGCCTGGCACCATTCTAGGATCTAGGAATTCAGACTGGCAAACAAAGGCCCTGCTCTCATGCAACTTACGCTCCAGTAACTTGAAAAGTTTTGGCACTTCGTGATGAAGCCAATGACTTCATTTCATCACTTCATTTGCAATGAAGCAAATGGGACTAAGAACTGGGAAACGGGCTATCCATGCATTATTTTTAAAATATAATTTAATTTTAAAATATAATTCCCTTGTGTTAGATTTCTAACCCCAGTGTGCCCAGTTAAAAATGAAGAGGACCAATTAGAATGTACTGAGGTATTCTGATTTCCAAGTAAATATTCAGCTATTGGAATAAGAATAAGAAGTTCCATTGCTTTTATACCAGCATTGTTTTTCATATGGAACCAATTTCTTGAAATATCCTCAAGAGTATCTCTGGAGGTTCACTGTCATATGATACTTGAAACTTGAAAGCAAACCATAATATAGGAATTTAAAATATGGAACTGGTTGAAGGGATTTTCTAATTCTAGTGTCCCACAAACCTTAAACCCTAGATTCAGTTCCATGCTACTCACAAACTCAGGAATTTCTCTAGAGCTCAGCTTCCTCTTCTATTAAATGAGAAGTACAATGGCACCTATCAGAGCTGGCTAACTGCTCTAGCAAACGACTTGAAATCTCAGTAGCCTGACACAATAAAGGCCTATTTCTTGCTCATATCATAATCCAGTGCTGTTTGGCAGGGTGGTCCTATTCTCCCTCATTGATCAGAAACCCAGGCTTTTCAATCACATGATTCCAGCATCTTCCAGAGCCTTGTCCTCCTCTGCATTCTGTTGATATATGAGGAAAAAAAGAAGATGTGGAGGACCACATGGGCTTTTTTTCTAGCCCAGGCCTGGGGAAGGTTTCCATCTCCTCTGTCCACATTCCAATGGCAAGGACTCAGTCATGTGGCTGCACCTATCTGCAAGGAGGCTGGGGAATGTAGTTTGACTGTGTGCCCTAGGGGAAGAGGAAACAGCTTGGTGAACACGTAGGAGACATCACCACAGTACTTACTCCAGAAGTTTGTTTGGAGGATTAAGTGAGACAATAGATAAAAGAACTCATAAAGGTCTCTAGATCAATAAATATTAGCTCTGCGCTATTATTAATGTGCTCCTGTCTAGGCTGAGGCCCATCTTCTCCATGCAGCTCACCCTGGAAGGAACAGAGAAAGCCAAGGTGTTGTCTCCTAGCTTTATGCTATCAGCAGAGATAACTATAGAAAGAGAGTCTTCAAAGCTGCCCATGCCCTTTGCCCCCTTTATCAGGCATCTTCATTTCAATTCATTCTAGATACATTTCATGGAATTGAGATGAGTGAGCAAGGAGAAGAGCCAATCTTTTCATCATATATACGTTCAGATAACGCTGGCTCTTTTTGGCCACCATTTCTCAGCATAAGCTCACTTAATGTTAAATTATACCTAACCCATATGACCCTGAACTCTGAAAGAAGCTGGGATTCACCATTCATTTATCCAGCTCTGTTCTCCAAGCTGCCACAGTGATTTCTTCTAAACAGTGTACATCTGATCATGCCAGTACCTGCTTAAAATCCTTCATTGTCTCTCCACTGAATTAGAATAAATTCCAAATGTGTTATGCAGAGACAGTTATCCCCCATCCCACCCTCCCAGGATCAGCCCCTGCCTCCCTCTCCAACCTCATTTCACATTGCTCTCTTCCCCTCCTACCTCATTCATTCATTCAACAGCTATTTCTCCAGCCTTTAGCCTAGGCATTAGAGATAGAGGAAAACAGACAGCACCCCTGCCCTGGTGGTGGGGGATTGCACTCCAGTCACAGAGGCCTTCCTTTAACTTACTCTCTGCCTCTGTGCTTGGTGTTGGCTGTCCTCTTCCTCCATTTCTTCTTTCAGAGGCCTGTTTAGAACAGTCCCTCCACCCTTGGTTACTCTCTCACCAGCATCCTACGTGCATTCTTCATAGTATTTATCAATCTGGAAGATTGTTTGACATGTTTTTGTGCATTTAATATCTGCCTTCCTTTACCACAGAGCAATTTCCATGAGGGTAAGGATCTCATTTACCTTATTAACTTTTGTATCCTGAACAACTGCTTGCCTGGCACAAAGCAGACAGACAATAAACATCTATGGAATGAATGGATTAATGAATGAATGAATGAACCAGCAGGAAACAACCAACGCATCTGGTGATGGCCCCCAGGCCTGAGGAGAAAGTGTGAGCTCCAGTTTTCTTCCTGGGAGCCTGTGCTCATCTCTGTCCTCTCTGACTGTTGTTTTGCAGGGAATGACACCACTCCACTGGGCGGCTTTCCACAACCAGCCTCAACACACACAAATGCTGCTGAAGAAGGGGGCAGACCCCACCCTTGTGGATAAAGACTTTAAAACCGCTCTCCACTGGGCAGTCCAGGTGAGAAATTGACCTGTGGACTGGTCTCAGGTTTAAATGGTGGAAAGCAGTGTTAACAATTTTCTGAGTAGGTCAAACTTTAAAGATGGAGGTTTCAGCTCTTGATTCAGCTCCACCACTTGTTGAAAAGAAACCCTGCCAAGATGCAAAGGGGAGTAGTTATAAAATATCAAGCAGAGCCTGCCTTGGGTGGCACACACAGACACACACATACCCCTCTCATTCTCTCTGTTTCTCTCTCCATCTCAATGTTTGCTACCGGCTTACTGTGTCCCAGAGTAAACCTTCAAAGAATTGCTGGGAAAATGCCTTCAAAGTCTTTGAACCATGACTCTCTGACTCTCTTCTTGCTTCCAAATCCTCCCCAGCAGAGTCATTTCAGGTGATCCTGAATTCTACACCCGACAGTGAAAGTAGTGGCTCATGACCCTGCATCACTATCACATAAGGGAGTCCACGTCAATACACACAACCAAACAAATCAGAATAGGCTCAAGAAATCTATTGTCCAGAGAGGGCAAAACCAAGAGTAAGGTGAAAGAATAATAATCACTAATGTGTAACCGAGTGCTTTCTATTTTCAAGGGGAATGATTAACTAAAAGTTATCTATTCCTTTTTTCAAGGAGAGCATCCTTTGCATAAACTTGCCAGCCCGTCTCTGTCTTCAGCACAGACACCCCCACAGTTGATTTCTGTTGGCCCAGAAAGGGCACCTGTCTGAGCTACTGCCAGGACCCTGTGAGAATAGTTTCTGCTGCCCTGACTGTGGTTTCAGTCAGCATTTCCATGTGCCAAGTACAGCAGAAGTGGGCACCTGGGACTTTCAGGATTGACATGTGTGCCTGATGTAAGGGGAAAACAGAAGTGATCTGGAAACTGCTCTGTTTTCATCCCTCTAACCTTGGCTTCAGTTTCTCTGCACCAGTTTCTCTGCAAAGCTATGCAGTGAGCAAGGCTTGTTTTGTCATCTCCACCTGCCCATAGCACCCTCCTACATACTTTCAGTATCTAATCACCTGCCCTGCCACCATCGCTGCCAGTCTCTGCCCAGGACTCCATGCCCTGGGGCTGGCCTCTGGCTGGTCAGGGGTCACCACTGTAGCGGTGGCCACAGAGGAACCTGGCTGGGCTCCCAGGAAGCTCCTCATGTGTTGGTTCTCAGCTGAGATGAAAGTGGCACCAGAAGCAGGCACTTTCTACATAGTCACCTCAACACCACTGCACTCTGATTCCCTAGATCCAGGATGCATGTGCATTTTGAAAAACCTCCCCAGGTAATTCTGACTGACATGCGTCCCCCTTCCACCATCCCAGCCCCAGTGTAGAGCTGCTGTCTTAGACCTGGCCTTGCGATGGAATCACCAGCAGTGCTTGTAAAACAACAGATTCCCAGACCCCCGCTGGGCCCTCACAGGGTGGAATCGCTGGGTTTTTGTTGTTGTTGTTTAGTTTTGTTTTGTTTTCTGAAATGGAGTCTCACTCTGTAGCCCAGGCCAGAGTGCAGTGGTGCGATCTCAGCTCACTGCAACCTCCACCTCCCGGGTCCTGGTTCAAGCAATTCTCCTGCCTCAGCCTCCCGAGTAGCTGGGATTATAGGCACACACCACCATGCCCAGCTAATTTTTGTATTCTTAGTAGAGATGGGTTTTCACCATGTTGGCCAGGCTGGTCTTGAACTCCTGACCTCGTGATCTGCCCCGCTCGGCCTCCCAAAGTGTTGAGATTACAGACGTGAGCCACTGCACCCAGCCGGGAATCCCTGTTCTTATCCTTTAAGAGGCACTTTGGCAAAATCATAAGAACAACCTACTCAACTCTGAATATCTGAGTTTGCATTAATACACTTGGGCTTGATCTAAGGCAAGTCAACACTTGCTTGGCTTAACTGATAAAGGTATCTTTGATAAGGGTATGCATGGTCAGAATGAGACCATGCATATGATAGTGATATGTAACGTACTATGTAATTGGACGAAATGGTCATTTTTATTAGGGTTCCTGATTTTCTCCACAGGAAACTTAGTTATTATACCCATGCCTTCATATTCTTTCTCTTTTTTTTATGTTTACCAGTTCGTTATAAATTATATAGCAAAGGATGAAGATGAACAGACAGGTAGGGCAAGGGTATGGGGGAACAGGCATGGAGCTTCCGTGCCCTCTCTGGGTGTGCCACCCTCCAGAAACCTCCACATGTTCAGCTACCTGAAAGCTCCCATACTCTTTGTCTCTACTAAATGTCACAGCTTTTAACCTACTACATTGATTTCAGCCCTGTCTGCACAATGGAATAATCTGAAGAGCTTTTAAACAATACTCACGTCCAGGCCTCACCTCTTAGATTTTCATTCAGTTGTTCTGGGGTGGGGCCCAGCCATCAATATTTTTCAAAACTGGAGCTGGGCATAATGGCATGTGCCTATAATCCCAGCTACTTGGGAGACTGAGGCAGGAGGATCACCTCAGCCCAGGAGTTTGAGACCAAGCTGTGTAATGCAGTGAGACCCTGGGCTCTTAAAAAAAATATTTGTATTGGCTGGGAGCTGTGGCTATAATCTCACCTCTTTGGGAATCCGAGGCAGGAGGATCACTTGAGGCCAGGAGTTCAAGACTAACCTGGGCAATATAGCAAGACTCCATCTCTATATAAAAAAAAAAAAAAAAAAAACTGTGTGTGCATGCATGTACACACATACACACACACACACATATATATATAGATAGATATATTTTTTTGAGATGGAGTCTTACTCTATTGCCCAGGTTGGAGTGCAATGGTGCGATCTTGGCTCACTGCATCATCTGCCTCCCGGGTTCAAGCAATTCTCCTGCCTCAGGCTCCTAAGTAGCTGGAATTACAGGCACACACCACCACGACTGCCTAATTTTTGTATTTTTAGTATAGATGGGGTTTCACCACATGGGTCAGACTGGTCTCGAACTCCTGAACTCAGCTGATTCACCTGCCTCAGCCTCCCAAAGTTCTGGGATTACTGGCATGAACCACTACGCCCAGCCACACATACATTATTTAAAGCTCCCTCCTTTCCATAGAAGACTGTAATATGCAGCTAGGGTTTAGAAGCACTATGATAAATGAATTCATATTAATGGGTGCTAATACTTTACCTACTATTGGAGATGTTTGCATTTTGACCATGATTGTATAAGCATAATGCCTCGTTCATTTATTTACTCAATCACTAAATAAATACTTCTTGAGCATCCACTATGTGTCTTGCATTGGAGGCAAAAAGATTAAAAAGATAGGTCCCTCTAGAACCCCTACAATTGTATGTAATACTGTATATATGGTGTGTGAGCATGTTTGCATTCATTTTTCTGAGGAAGGAGTCCACAACTTTCTTGACCTCCTCAATGAGGAACAGTGACTACCCACAAAAGGCTAAGAACCCCGGCTCTGGAGAAATTGTGCATTCTCCTTCCCTATGGTTAGCAGTAAAATTCAGAAGTGGTGTACTCTGCCATTTATACTGCAAAGACTGAGGGTAATTCCAAATGTCAGCTGAAATCATTATTACACTTGCCTTCTTTAGACTTCTTGTTCATTTATAACACAGGGCTAGCATTGTGCTCATTTTAGAGTTTTTCCATACGAATGAGTCTATTTCCCGTTGTCATTTATTCCTTTTTCTGAATTTCCTGCTTTTCTCTTGGACCATATAATGAGATCACATTTAAAGCTATAGTTCATTGAAATAATAAGGCCTTTGTATTTCACCAAAATAAACAAAGCAGTAAAGATTGGAAACAGTAGGCCTACTAGGTAAACTAAGTTTTACCCTGGGCTCAAGCAATTCTACCACTCGGCCTCCCTAGTAGCTGGGACTACAGGCACACACCACCATGCCTGGCTAATTTTTTTTAAAGTAGAGACAAAGTCTCACCATGTTGCCTATGCTGGTCTTGAACTCCTGGACTCAAGAGATCCTCCCACCCAGGCCTCCCAAGTGTCGGGATTACAGGCATGAGCCACCACACTTGGCCTTCCAATCTATTCTTACAGAGCTCTTCCAACAAATCACAAAGACATGTACTAACATAGCTATTATTATACCAAAACAATTACGGTCACTGTTGGTCCTTGGTTCCCCACCCCTGACCTTTCCTCTCAAGCTCACGTAATCTTGGCTCTAATCACACTGGAATATTAGTAATCCTCACAATACATCATAAAGATTCCTTCTCTCTCCCCTGCTGTCATGCTCTTCCATTTGGGTAAAATGCTTCTTTCTTCTTGCACTCCCTGTATCATTCCTTCTGCCTACAGAATATCTGCTTATTCTTTCTTATTTCTCAAAGCCCAACTAAGTGTCACCTTCTTTGTTGAGCTCCCTTTCCAAATTCTTCCCTCCACGTTACTTCTAGAACTTTGTTAAAATTGGTGAGGTGCCTGTGTCTTCCCTTCTAGACTGTGGACCTAAGGGCAACGTGCCTTATTCATCCAAATGTCTCAACACCCAGAACAGAGCTTTGTGAACCGTAGGTCCCTAAAGAGGTGTTCATTGAATTCACTCCAATAAATTTATTCATCTCAGGCCAATGGGGTTAATGGCTTATTGGGTTCTTTCTCTCTGTGGAAAAAAACATTTCATGTAAAGACTTTAGTTTTCTAGAGCAGTTTTAAGTACCCAATAAAATTGAGAGGAAGATTGCAGAAATATGTCACATATTAATATCTTCTGCCCCCCCGCCCCACTGACAATAAATTGCCTCCCCCGTTACCAACATCTCCCACTACAGTGGTACATTTGTTACAATTGATAGCCTACACTGACAGGTCATCAATGCCCAAAGTCCATAGTTTACCATAAGCTTCACTCTTGATATTGTACATTCTGTGGAATTGGACAAAGGTATAATGACATGTATCCATCATTAAAGTATCATGCGGAATACCTTCATTGCCCTAAAAATCCTCTGAGCTCCCCTTATTCTTTCCACCCTTACCCTAATCCCTAGCAACCACTGATCTTTTTACTGTCTCCATAGCTTTGCCTTTTCCAGAATGTCATATGATTGGAATTGTACTGTATGTAGCTTTTTCAAATTGTCTAGTAATATGCATTTACATTTCCTCCAAGTCTTTTCATGACTTAATAGCTCATTTCTCTTTAGCACTGGTTAATATTCCATTACATGAATATACCAAGGTTTACTTATCCATTCATCTATGCAAGGACATATTGGTTGCTTCCCAGCTTTGCCAATTATGAATAAAACCACTATAAACATCTGTGTGCAGCTTTTTGTGTAAACATAAGTTTTCAGTTCCTTTGGGTAAATATCAAGGAGCACAGTTGCTGGATCTATGATAAGGGTATGTTTAGTTTTGTAAGAAACTACCAAAATGACCAGGCACGTTGGCTCACACCTGTAATCCCAGCACTTTGGGAGGCCAAGGCGGGCGGATCATGAGATCAGGAGTTTGAGACCAGCCTGACCAACATGGTGAATCCCTGTCTCTACTAAAAATACAAAAATTAGCTGGGCATGGTAGTGGGTGCCTGTAATCCCAGCTGCTCGGGAGGCTGAGGCAGGAGAATCGTTTGAACCTGGGAGGCAGAGGTTGCAGTGAGCCAAGATTGCGCCATTGCACTCCAACCTGGGTGACAGGGTAAGACTCTGTCTCAAAAAAAAAAAAAAAAAAGAAAAAGAAACCACCAAACTGTCTTCAAAAGTGGCTGTACCATTTTGCATTTCCACCAGCAGTGAATGAGAGTTCCTGTTGTTCATTATCCTCACCAGCGTTTGGTATTGTCAGTGTTCTGGATTTTAGCCTTCCTAATCAATGCACTGTGGTATCTCATGGTTGTTTTAGTTTGTGTTTTTCTGATGGCGTATGATGTGGTGCATCTTTTCATGGGCTTATTAGTCATCTGCAAATTTTCTTTGTGAGCTATCTATAAAGATCTTCTGCCCATTTAAATATCATTGTTGTTTTCTTACTGTTGAGTTTTAGGAGTTCTTTGCATATTTTGGCAATAGTCTTTTATTAGATACGTCTTTTACAAATATTTTCTTCTAGGTTGGGGCTTATCTTGTTATTCTTTTGGCAGTGTCCTTCACAGAGAAGTTTTTGATTTTAATGAAATCTAGGTTATCAATTTTTTCTTCCATGGATTATTATTTCAGTATCTAAAAGTCATCACCAAACCCAAGGTCATCTCAATTTTGCTCCTGTTATCTCCTGGAATTCTTTTTTTTTTTCTTTTACTTTTAATTGCATTTATTTTAATGCTGAATTTACTCTCGTGCCATAAGTTTTTGTTTCTTCAGTTTCTTCTGGGATATCTTTTTCTTCTGGGCAATCTCCTCTTCTGGTTTAGGAACATTTTGTTCCTTTTCAGTAAGGATCATCTCAGTGTGGCAGGGAGAGCTCATGTATGGGTTAATCCGACCATGAGCTCTGTAGGTCCAGGGGCACATCTTAGGTGCTTTGTTCCCATGGATATGCTCAATGACCAGATAATCTACATCGAAACCCATAAGTTCAGCATTACTCTCTGCATTTTTAAGCATGTGCAGCAAAAATTCAGCACTCTTTTTGGGCCACCGACCTTGTGTCCAGCCCCACTGCTTGGCCTGGGCACACTTGCCAACTCCACCACTGTAACGTCACAATGGTACACACTGTTTCTGTAAAGTGACATCTTTCAGATACTTTGTGGCTTTTCATATATGCCTACCCTGATGGCCTGGGCATTTCACAAGTGTTCGTAAAGTGAACACGAAGACTTGAACCTCTTGATTTGCATGATTTTGTGGGGCTCTCTGGGTCAAGTGAAGAGCGAATCATTTTCACAGATTAGCTGAGGCCACTTAGGGAAAGAGCATCTCCTGGAATTCTTATATAATTTTAGAATTCACTCTGTCTCATCCAGGCTGGAGTGCAGTGACATAATCATGGCTCACTGCAGCCTGGACCTCCTGGTCTCAAGTGATCCTTCCACTTCAGCCTCTTGAGTACCTGGGACTATAGGCACACCCACAATGCCTAGGTAATTTTTTGTATTTTTTTTAGAGATGAGGTTTCATTATGTTGCCTAGGCTGGTCTTGAACTCCGGGACTCAAGTGATCCTCCCACCCTAGCCTCCCAAAGTGCTGGGATTACAGGTACGAGCCGCCTTGCCCGGCCTAATTTTAGGTTTTACATTTAGGTCTGTGATCAGTTTTGAGTCAATTTTGTGAAAGGTATAAGGTCTGTGTCTAGGTTTACTTTTTTGCATGTAGATGTCCAGTTGTTTCAGCACCATTTGGTGAAACAACTACCTCTTCTTTATTGTATTGCTTTTACTCTTTTGTCAAATATCAGTTGATTATGTGGGTCTATTTCTTGGCTGTCCATTCTGTTGCATTGACTTACTTGTCTATTATTTTGCCAGTATCACACTATCTTGATTACTGTAGCTTTATAGTAAGTCTTAAAGTTGAGTAGTGTCAGTCACCCAACTTTGTTCTCCACTATCTTGTTGACTATTCTGTGTCTTTTGCCTCTCCATATAAACTGTGGAATCAGTTTGTTGACATCTACAAGATAAGTTTCTGGTATTTCGATAGGGACTATATTGAATCTATAGATCAAATTTTGAAGAACTGATATCTTAACAATTTTAAGTCTTCTTAACCATGAACATGCAATATCCATTTATTTATTTATTTTTATAATTTTTATTTTGCTCTTACCCTTACCATATGAAGATCTCCATTTATTTAGTTCTTTGATGTTTTTCATCACACTTTTATAGATTTTTTCATATAGCTCTTGTATCACATTTTGTTAGATTTGTACCTAACTATTTAATTTTGGGGGGTGCTAATGTAAATGGTATTGTATTTTTAATTTCAAATTCTATTTGCTCATTGCTAGTATATAGAAAAATGATCAACTTTTGTATATTAGCCTGTATCCTGAAATCTTGCTATAATTGCTTCTTAGTTTCAGAGCTATTTTTGTCTATTCTTTCAGATTTTATACATAGATAGTCATGTGATCTGAAAACAGACGGTTTTATTTCTTCCTTCCCAATCAGCATTCTTTTTATTTCCTGTTCTTGTCTTATTGCATTAACTAGAACTTTGAGTATAATATTGAAAAGAGGTGGTGGAACCGGGTACAGTGGCTCACGCCTGTAATCCTAGCACTTTGGGAGGCCGATGCAGGCAGATTGCTTGAGGCCAGGAGTTCAAGACCAGCCTGGCAAAATGGCAAAAACCTGCCTGTACTAAAAATACAAAAACTAGCAGGGTGTGGTGGCACATGCCTGTAGTCCCAGCTACACGGGAGGCTGAGGCAGGAGAATCGCTTGAACCTGGGAGGCGGAGGTCACAGTGAGCCAAGATCGCACCACTGCACTCCAGCCTGAGCAACAGAGTGAGACCCTGTCAAGAAAGAAAGAAAGAAAGAAGGAAAGAAAGAAAGAAAGAAAGAAAGAAAGAAAGAAAGAAAGAAAGAAAGAAAGAAAGAAAGAAAGAAAGAAAGCAAGCAGGCAGGCAGGGAGGGAGGGAGGGAAAGAAGGAAGGAAGGAAGGAAGGAAGGAAGGAAGGAAGGAAGGAAGGAAGGAAAGTTGTGAGACATTTTTACCTTCTTCCTGATCTTAGTTGGAAAGCTTCTCATTTTTCACCTTGAAGTATGATGTTAGCTATAGGTTTTCTATAGATGCTCTTTACCAAGTTTAGGAAGTTCTTCTCTATTCCTAGTTTACTGAGAGTTTTTATTATGAATAAGTGGTGGATTTTCTCAAATACTTTTTCTGTATCTATTGATACAACCATGTGATTCTTCTTCTTTAGCCTGCTGATGTGGTTGATTACATTAATTGATTTGAAAATGTTGAGCTACACTTGCATACCTTGGATAAATCCTATTTGACCATGATGTATAATTCTTTTTTTACGTTGCTAGATTCTATTCACTAATATGTTGTTGAGGACATTTACATCTATCTTTATGAAAGTTATTGGTCTATAGTTTTCTTATAATATCTTTGTTTTGTTTTGTATTAGGGTGATACTGACTGATAGAATGAGTTAGGAAGTTCCCTAGGCTTCTATCTTCTGAAAGAGATTCTTAAAAAACCGTTATATTTTTCTTGAATGTTTGGTAAAATTTACCAGTGAATACATCTGAGCCTCATATTTCCATTTTAGAAGGTTATTAATTATTTATTCAATTTATATCTTTTTTTTTTTTTTTGAGACAGAGTCTCTCACTCTGTCACCCAGGCTGGAGTGCAATGACACGATCTCGGCTCACTGCAACCTCCAACTCCCGGGTTCAAGCAATTCTCTTGCCCCAGCTTCCCAAGTAGCTGGGATTACAGGCGCCTGCCACCACGCCAGGCTAATTTTTTGTATTTTCAGTAGACACCAGGTTTCGCCATGTTGGCCAGGCTGGTCTCGAACTCCTGACCTCAGGTGATCCACCTGTCTCGGCCTCCCAAAGTGCTGGGATAACAGGCGTAAGCCACCGCACCCAGCCTATTCAGTTTCTTTAATAGACATAAACGTATTCAGATTATCTATTTCTCCTTGTGGGTGTTTTGGTAGATTGTGTCTTTTAAGGAATTGGTCCATTTCAAATATGTTATCAAGTTGTGAAAATAGAGTTGTTTAAAGTATTTCTTCATCATTCTTTTAATGTCCATGGGATCTGTAGTGAAGTACCTTTTTTCATTTCTGATATTAAGTAATTTGTTTCCCTCTGTTTTTTTCTAGCCTGGCTAGAGGCTTATCACTTTTATTAATCTTTTCTAAGAACCAGCTTTTGGTTTCATTGATTTTCTCTATTGATTTTCTGTTTTCTACTTCATTGATTTCTTCTCTAATTTTTATTTTTTCTTTTCTTCTGCTTATTTTGGATTTAATTTGCTCTTCTTTTTCTAGCTTCCTAAGATGTAAGCTTATATAATTGATTCTAGATCTTTCTTCTTTTTTAATATATACATTCAAAGCTGTAAATTTTCTTCTGAGAAATTGTTTTTGCTACATCCCACAAATTTTGATGTTATCTTCCTTTTGTTCAAAGTATTTTTTTAATTTATCTTGCAATTTCTTCTTTTGAACCATGTGTTACTTATATTGTTTAATCTCCACATGTTCAGAAATTTTCCAGTTGTCTGTTGTTGATTTGTAGTTTAATGCTACCATGGTCTGAAAGCCTGCATTGTATGATTTCTATTCTTTCACTTTTGTTAAGGTTTGTTTTATGGCCCAGACTGTAGTCTATCTCGGTGAAGGTCCCATGTGAGCTTGTTAAAAATGTGTATTTTGCTGTTAGATGAAGTAGTCAGTAGACATCAATTGTATCCAATTAATTAATTGTTTTTTTTTTTTTTTGAGACGGAGTCTTCCTCTGTCACCCAGGCTGGAGTGCAGTGGCACAATCTCGGCTCACTACAACCTCCGCCTCCTAGGTTCAAGCCATTCTCCTACCTCAGTCTCCCCAGTAGCTGGGATTACAGGCATGCACCACCATGCCCAGCTAGTTTTTGTATTTTTAGTAGAGATGGGGTTTCACCATGTTGGCTAGGCTGGTCTCGAACTCCCGACCTTGTGATCTGCCCACCTCAGCCTCCCAAAGTGCTGGGATTACAGGCATGAGCCATCGTGCCCGGCCAATTAATTGTATTTTTAAGTTCAACTATATTCCTACTGATTTTCTGCTTTCTGGATCTGTCCATTTCTGATAGAGGGATGTTGAAGTCTTCAACTATAAAGCGGACTCATCTGTTTCTTCTTGCAGCTTTATCAGGTTTTGCCTCGCATATTTTGAGGCTGTGTTGTTCGGTACATAAGGATCGTTATGTCTTCTTGGAGAACTGACCTCTTTATCATTATGTAATACCCTTCTTTATCCCTAACAACTTTCTTTGTTTTGTAGTCTGCACTGTCTAGAATTATAATATATAGCTACTCCTGCTTTCTTTTGGTTAGTGTTTTCATGGTAAATCTTTCACCACTCATTCACTTTTAATCTATATGTGTCATTATATTTAAAGTGGGTTTCTTATAGACAACATATAGTTGGGTCTTATTTTTCTATCCACCCTGACAATCTCTGTCTTTTGATTGGTACATTTAGACCATTGATGTTCAGAGTGATTATTCATATAGTTAGAGTAACATCGATCATATTTGTTACTGTTTTCTATTTGCTGCCCTTATTCTTTTTTTTTTTTTTTTTTTAGATAGAGTCTCATTCTGTCACCCAGGCAGGAGTGCAGTGGCGCGATCTCTGCTCACTGCAAGCTCCGCCTCTCAGGTTCACGCCATTCTCCTGCCTCAGCCTCCTGAGTAGTTGGGACTACAGGCGCCCGCCACCACACCCAGCTAATTTTTTTTTTTTTTTTTGTATTTTAAGTAGAGACAGGGTTTCACCGTGTTAGCCAGGATGGTCTCGATCTCCTGACCTTGTGATCCGCCCATGCCCTTATTCTTTGTTCCTATTTTTGTCTTCTACTCTTCTTCCACCTTTTGTGGTTTTAATTAGCATTTTGTATTATTCTATTTTCTCTCTTTTCTTAGCATATTAGTTATACTTCCTTTTTTACTTTTTTAGTGATTGCCCTAGAGTATACCAAGTATGTTTACAACTAATCGAAATCCACTTCAAAATAACACTATACCACTTCATGGGTAGTGCGAATACTTTATAATAACTAAATGATTCTAATTCCTTCCACCTGTCCCTAGTATGATTGCTGTCATTCATTTTACTTATATATAAGCATACATAAGCTTATATATATGTATATAGATATAAAGATAGATGCATTAGCATACATTGTAGCTGTTAGTAATTTGAACAAACTATTATCTCCTAGGTTAATTAACAATAAAAAATAAAAGTTTTTATTTTACCTTCACTTATTCCTTCTTCAGCGTTCTTCTTTTCTTTACGTAAATCAGAGTTTCTGGCCTATATCATTTTTCTTCTCTTCTAAGAAACTACTTTTTTTTTTTTTTTTTTTTTTTTTTTTGAGACGGAGTCTTGCTCTGTTGCCCAGGCTGGAGTGCAATGGCGCGATCTCGGCTCACTGCAACCTCTGCCTCCCGGGTTCAAGCGATTCTCCTGTCTCAGCCTTCCGAGTAGCTGGGATCACAGGCACGCACCACCACACCCGGCTAATTTTTGTATTTTTAGCAGAGACGGGGTTTCTCCATATTGATCAGGCTGGTCTCGAACTCCTGATCTCAGGTGATCCACCTGCCTCAGCCTCCCAAAATGCTGGGATTACAGGCATGAGCCACCGCACCCGTCAAGAAACTACTTTTAACATCTAGTACAATGCAGGTCTACCAGTAACAAATTCCCTCAATTTTTGTTTATCTAAGAAAGTATTTATTGCTCCTTCACTTTTGAAGGACAGTTTCATAAGGTACAGAATTCTTGTTGATGGGAGGCTTTTCTCAACTCTTTAAGTATTTCACTCCAGTCTCTTCTTGCTTGTATGGTTTCTGAGAAATCAGAGGTAATCCTTCTCTTTGCTCCTCTATAGGTAAGGTGTTCTTTTCCTCTGGCTTCCTTCTGGACTTTTTCTTTATCTTTGGTTTTCTGTAATTGGAAAATAATATGCCTAGGCATAGGGTTTTTTGTTTGTTTTGTTGTTTTTTTTTGTTGTTTTTGGCATTTATCGTGCTTGGTGTTCTCTGAGCTTTTGTGTCTAACAATTTTTTTGGTAAAATTCTCAGTTGTTATTATTGTTTCAAATATTTATCCTGTTCCTTTTTCTCTTCTCCTTCTGGTATTCCTATTGCCTGTATGTTACACCTTTTGTAGTTCTCTCACAGTCTGTGAATATTCTGTTCTGTTTTTTTCAGTCTTTGTTCTTTTTGTTTTCCAGTTTTGGAGGTTTACATTGAGATCTTCTCAAGCGCAGAGACTCTTCCCTCAGCTGTGTCCAATCTACTGATAAGCTCATCAAAGGCATTCTTCATTTCCATTACAGTGTTTTTTATCTCCAGCATTTATTATTTGTTCTCTCTTAGGATCTCCATCTTCCTGCTTACATCGCCCATCTGTTCTGACATGTTGTCCACTTTATCCATTTACAGCCCTTAGCACATTAATCATAGTTGCTTTAAATTATTTATCTGATAATTCCCATATCCCTGCCATGTCTGGAACTGATGCTTGCTCTGTAGATATTGTGTTATTCACCTTTTGGCATGCTTTATAATTTTTTCTCGATAGCCAGACATGATGTAGTGGGTAAGAGGAACTCCTGTAAATAGCGCTTTAGTAATGTAATGGTGAAGTATGGGGGGAAGAGAAATGTACTATATCGTCCTATGATTTGGTCCCTGTCTTTTAGTGAACCTATGCCTCTGGAATGTGAATATTCCAAGTGATTCTCAGGATGTTTTTTCCCCTTCTTAGGTGGGACAGGATAGCTAGAGTGGGCTGGAGTTGGGTATTGTTCTGCTCCCATGTGGAAAGCTAGAGCTAGATGGAGTTGAACACTTTTCTTCCCTAAGGTCAATTAGGCTCTGATAAAACCTCAGTAGATTAGGCTCTGGTTAACTAGTTTCTCCGGAGGACAGACTTTATTAAGAAGAACAGAGTGCTCTGGTATATTAAAAAAAGGTACCTTTTCCCCCTCCCACTATTTCTATCTTCTGCTCTCTCTCCAGAAGAGGCAGCCCCAGGCTTTTGGGCTTGGCAGCCTCTGGAGTCCAGGCCAACTAAAAGCTTGGTCCAAAGGGGCTAACCATGAAGGCAGTCCAGATTCTAAGCCAGGGATATTAGGCACGTTTCTTTCTCTAGTTAGCCCCAGACCCTCAACCCTCAAACATTCACATGGAATAGACTCTAGATGTTCCTTTTGTCTCCATTCTAGTCTAACATGTCTGGCTCCAACCGATGAGCCAGGATCATCTTCTCACATCACAAAACCTCCCAGCTTTTTAGGAGGGATAAGCGGCTGCAACACAGAGGCTAAAGCACTGGCCTCTGCTTTATATGGTCACCATCACAAGACAAGCAATGCAAACACATCCCAGTGTTCAAGAGAAGGAAGGAGATTGGAGTTCCTGCCAAGAAGAAACCACCATAGAACATATTCCTTAGACATATGTTAGCAAATAAGCAACTAGTCTTAAATCGCCCACTAGACTCCTTTGAAGGTCACCTAGAATGTCTACAGTTAGGATATTGAGATCTTATTGTTGTTGTTGTTGTTTTATCAATCTGCCCGTAGCAAAATTATTACACATTAACTCGACTTTCTTCTTGGCAAGTCTTCTTATGAGTCAGGCTTCCCCAACTCTCCCCACTCATGACAGGTAAAGAGAAAACGACTAGGACTCAGTTCCCAATCATTTTCAGAATACATGAAGGCAATGTTATGGATTACTCATGAACAAAAACAAATAAATACAACAAAAACAAACTCACAATCATCATCTGGCAGCTCAGTGTAGAATTCTAGAGCTCCTTAAGAATAGGATATGTACAATACTGTTTCTTTCCCTATTTAATAACATTTCTACCCAATGTAAACCTACTCTCGATTCTTCCTAAGGACCCACCTGGACCACAGTCCCATTTCTTCTTGTCTAGTGTCTCCTGGTCTCTGTGACTTTCCCTACCTCCCAGGCCTAAGCATATTTTTGGCTGACACACAGTCTAGATTGTTAAGAAGGGAATTCTGTCACCAGGAGGCAAGTGATCCAGGGCCTTGACTTACAAACTAGTGTTTTCTAAGGCTCCCTGAAATTCTCCTGAGGGTGCACCATGGAAACCTTACTAGGAGAAACTCTTAAAGTACCCAAAGATTAACTGTAAAGGAGGTCTCAGTTGGTGAGGCACACGTCACTGGTACTGATGTAGGTCTAAACAGTTTTCACTTTAGTTCCTCCAGTATGAACATGCAGGATCAAATTAATAGACCATTCTTTTTAATCACAGACAGAATAGTATAGTGGTGAAGTCCAATGCCTCCACAGTCAATCCTGGATCTGCTCATTCTCAGCCGTGACAGAGGGCAAATTTCTTAATCCCTTATGCCTTCATTGTCTCCTGTACAATATGAGGACAATAATAGTACCAACCTTGTGGGATTGTTGTTCATGAGTTAGTACATGAAATGGCTTAGAAAGGTGCCAGGCCCAGACGATCACACAGTAAATACAGTTGTCACCATTCTTCCTGGGAGGATCTTCTTACAAAGAAAAGTAAAATACAAACAATGGTGCTATAAGTGAGATTCAGGTATAGAGACAAAGGAATTGTTTGGAGAATTTAGGACAAAAGGAAAAGAGTAAAGGTATGGAGTCTGTCTTTACTTATCCAGAGAGGCTGTCAACAGTACCCCAGCTACCAAGAGACCTGCTGCCTGGGACTGGCTGGCAGGATCCCAGAAGCAGCAGCCTCTATTTCAGTTTACCACTTCCAGAATGACTCCACCCCAGGGGCGAGGGAGGCGAAAGGAAGAGAGTACGAGTGTGGGGTTTTGTTTTCTCCATCTGCACTTAATGCTTCTTCTTCTACCAAGAGGGGAAACTATGAACAGGGTGTTTTGGCCTTTGAACCACCTTGACAGCTTGAATTCCTTTACTCTTCCAGGAAATTGTAAACAAAAAAGAATTGTTGTGCTGACACTCTTTTTGCTTCTATTTTCCTTATTGAATGGCTACTGCTTTTAAAGAAAAGTGTCTCTTGACTATCTAAAATGTATTTCAGACTCCTTCGATGTATGTCTAACTAGCATGAAGTGAAACAAACATAGAAAAGTTGATAAAGGCATGAAAGCTTAGGTGTGCTCACCTAAACTTTAGGTGACTTCTAAGTCACCTAAGTAAGCTTTAGCTGACTTCTAAGGACAGGCATGCCATAGAATATAAACAATGGGTCAAAGTTATTTAAAATCATTGTTAGACAAAGGAAAGATGGATGGAGGAAGAAGACGCAAAAGGGAAGATGATAGGAAGAGAAAGAAAAAGTTTGTAGCCAGAGATTGCTTTATGGATATGTAACCAGTGCAGCCACAGAGGGTCTGGTACTCAGATGGGACCCTGTGCTTAAGGCATAATGTTCTGTAGTCCCCATCTGGAAATTCTCACTTTATCTTTTAATTGTTTTTGTAAACGAAGTCTGATACAAGACTGTAGCCTCTGCTCAGACAGTTCTGCTTCCCAGGCTCCCTGGGACAAATTCTCAGCCCCCTGCTCCTTGGCCCTACCCCGAAACAAGCTTTTTAAGTGCATCACTGCGCCACCAATCAGTACTCATCATAGTCACTTCTTTAACATTAAGATGAACTCTGTCAGTTTCTTGGTGGTCAGCCTCTACAGCAAATGGGGACACAAATGATCAGACCTAATGAGCAAGTTGTTGTCTAGGTGGCCCACCGATCACTCTAGCTCTGACGTCAGTCCATTGCACCTGTATTTAATTTCAATCCATCCTTCGTTCACTAGTTATGGAAGACAATTTAGCTCCTGTGGGAGACAAAAATCTCTGCAGTGACTTGAGACAAGTGGACACTTGTTGGAGAGCTTAGATAGAGTGTATTTTTATTCTTTTTTTTCCATTTCCTTTTCTCTTTTCATCTTTTTTCTTTCTTTCTTTCTTTCCTTTTTTTCCTTTGTATTTTTATCTTAACATGCCTAGACAGAGAAGAACACTGGATTGTACATAATGGGCTTTCTTTGACTCTCTTTTCCAGAGTGGAAATAGGATTCTGTGCTCCATCATTCTGAGCCATCACCAGGGGCCGTCCATAATCAACTATGATGATGAGAGTGGGAAGACATGTGTACATATCGCAGCGGCAGCGGGCTTCAGCGATATTATTCATGAGCTGGCAAGAGTCCCTGAGTGTAACCTGCAGGCTCTGGATGTGGATGACAGGTATCCATGGTAACCAGAAAGTGCTGGGAAACTAGTCATTTCCCCCTAACTGAATCTTAAAATAAAGGAGATGTTTAAGGAGGTGTCCTATACAGCTATATCCCTATTGCCAGTAATACACATGGGCTTGTGACAATAAAAATTGCTCTATTTTAGTGAGAGGAGAAAAAATTATTGTTATGGAGAGGAAGACTGCGACTGTACAGTGTTGTCAGATTTTCCACTTTTTGCTAAATGTTCTCTGTGTTCTCAGAAGACGTTCTGTATTTCAGCTTCCTGCTATGTGCCCTCTTTGTTCCTAAAGGTAGGTTTTGGTTGTTTTTTTTTTCTTCATTCTTGGATTATGTTATAAAGTCCACAAGTTCTTTTATCCAGAGAAGAACATAATAGAGACTTTGTATTCTGGACTATTGGGCTTTTAGAACTGCAAGGAACTGTATCAGGTTGTTGTTGTTTTCGATCATCAAAGATGTATTGTCTGAAAAAGGAAGCTAGGTCCAAAAAGGTAAAAAGACTTCTGTCAGAGCTAGTTAGATACTAAATGAAGATTTGTACACCTGTCTTTCAAACTTGTAGCTTTTCATCTATAATGCCCTGCTTATCTAAACTGTTTTGGTTAGGCACTGAGTCAATGGAAATGTAAGAAAAATATAACAACAAACAAGACTATCAAAAATAAGTATAGACTTGAGCACTCTGGTTTCTTTATCCTCTTGTATTGAAGTGCAAAATTAGCCCCTTACTTGTAATTATTTTATTTTATTTTATTTTATTTTATCTATTTTTTTGAGATGGAGTCTCGCTTTGATGCCCAGGCTGGAGTGCAGTGGTGCAACCTCAGCCCACTGCAACCTCCACCTCCCAGGTCCAAGCGATTCCCTTGCCTCAACCTCCCAAGTAGCTGGAACTACAGGCTCCTGCCACCATGCCCAGCTTACTTTTGTATTTTTATTAGAGACAGGGTTTCACCATGTTGGCCAGGCTGGTCTTGAACTCCTGGCCTCAGGTGACCCGCCCGCCTCGGCCTCTCAAAGTGCTGGGATTACGTGCGTGAGCCACCGTGCCCAGCCTACTTATCATAATTTTAGATGCCCCAAGAAAGCACCTCCTACTCCCAGATACCTGAAATTCTTTTTTTAAAAATTATTTTATAAAATATGGAATACTTCACAAATTTGTGTGTCATCCCTGCGCAGGGGCCACGCTAATCTTCTCTATTAATACCTGAAATTCTTTTAACTCAGGGAAAAAATGGGGAGTTCTACATAGGTCTCAGAAGTTGGAGATGGTTAAATGACTTTAAGTAAAATTAAAGTATAAATCATTGAAAGTAGACATTTTCCAGCCAGTGTGGTGGCTCACACTTATAATCCCAGCACTTTGAGAGGCCGAGATGGGTGGATCACTTGAGGTCAGGAGTTTGAGACCAGCCTGGCCAACATGGCGAAACCCATCTTTACTGAAAATACAAAAATTAGCCAGGTGTGGTGGCGGACACCTATAATCCCAGCTACTCAGGAGGCTGAGGCAGGAGAATCGCTTGAACCCAAGAGGCAGAGGTTGCAGTGAGCCAAGATCGCGCCATTGCACTCCAGCCTGGGTTACTAAGCAAGCAAGACTCTGTCTGAAAAAAAAAAAGAAAAAAGAAAAAAGTAAGTGTTTTCCTAAGAGCAGATGTTGATCCTAAGCAAGTAAGAAAGTAGAAGAACATAAGCTACATTAGGAAAAAAGTGAATTAACCATTTTTTAAAAAAAGAACAAATTTCAGAAAGGCAGGCTGAGGGAAAGTTCATCTACTTCAAAACACTCCTAGAACCAGCTTTGAACAGAATAGTTCCCATTTTGCAATACCACCCACTTAGCAAAGAAAATCCAATTCTCTAGGCCTCATGGTGGAAAGTAAAACTAAGGGGAAAAAAGAAAGTACAAAGATAAGGAGAGTTCAAAAGGAAGTAAAATATCCAGAAGAGTCCTTTCCAATCCAGTACTCAATTCAGAGGCCTCATGTACTGATCAAATCCTAGCCTCCATTTTTTTCCACGTTTTCTGCAGCAAAACATGAAATTCTGCCTTCATGCTGAAGCTATAAGCTTCTGTTAATAGTTGAATTTTTCAGGGCCAGGCACAGTGGCTCACATCTATAATCCCAGCACTTTGGGAGGCTGAGGCAGGTAGATCACAAGGTCAGGAGTTCAAGACCAACCTGGCCAACATGGTGAAACCCTGTCTCTACTAAAAATACAAAAATTAGCCGGGCGTGGTGGCGCACGCCTGTAATCCTAGCTACTCCGGAGGCTGAGGCAGGAGAATTGCTTGAACCTGAGAGGCAGAGGTTGCAGTGAGCTGAGATTGTGCCACTGCACTCCAGCCTGGATGACAGAGCGAGACTCCGTCTCAAAAAAAAATTAAAAAAAACAAAAATAAATAGTTTAATTTTTCAAAGTTTGCACAGGTTTATGTGCTTTAAGTATTTACAATAATTGTGATTTCCCTTTCCTTCTTCTCTTTTTTAGTGAAAGTTTTTCCTATTGAAAGTTTTTGTGAAAAGGAAAGAAAAGTAAAGTAGTAATAAAAAGAGGTAGAAGGAAAATATGAAGAACTAGGCCTCCCAGATAGTAAAACACATCATAAGTCTATGGTACTTAAAACATTGTAGTACTTACCTAAGATATGACACAGAACACATAACCCAGAAGCAGCATATGTAGCTTAAGTGTTTCAAATTTCATCAGTCTATGAGGTCACAGTCCGCTTTAATATGCAGTTTACTTGTCTTCAGAGAGGAAAGTCTGTTACCAAGTCCTGCTCTCTGTGTATTTCTGGGAATTCTCTGGGGAATGTTTACATGTTTCATTAATCATTCCTCAGTCACTGATAGCTCAACCAACGCTGCATCCTTGGACCCATTATCTCCTGCCATTCAGCGGCCACCACATCCGCCCACTCTTGTCTCTGCTGAATTCCTTCTGAATCATGGGCCCTGCCCTTTAGCCCCCTGCTGTGACAGCTGAGGCAGATTGGCTGTGTTTGCAGGACATCCTGAAGCTTAGAGATAAGAAGGAGCTAAAGTTTAGACAACTTGAAATTAGGTACCACAGACTGGCCCCAAGGACATGAGTATATTAGAGATTATCTATATGCTCCCCTCGTTACTCAGCAAAACCCTGTTCTTCTGGATCGCTTCCATGTTGATGGTCAGAGGAATTTAAACAGTCGGTCTTAGTAATTGTCATGAAGGAGTATTTCACAAAGCTTCTGAGTGAATCATCACATGTTGGTAAGCCTGACTAGATCAACATCCAGCCCTCCATCTGCTGAATTTATTGGCAATACACTGTCTAAATGGGAGGACATAATCTGCTGGGGACCCGTCCTGTTTCAGAATAAATGTCTCCTGGAGACCTCTCTCACATAGAATGGAACTAATCACATCTGCCACATTCAAATATGCAGTGTGATTGATCACTGTGTTGAAAAATACATGGCCCTATTACGTGTTATAAAATTGCTGCTTCTAGCATAACAGGAAAAAGGTGTTTAATTGACAGAAGATACAATCTGTACCTGGTAATTCTGGGGCCACACAATATACATACATATATGCTCTCCAAATACTCATGTCCAACCCCGTTCACAGATATACCCAACCCAGCCCTTCTCTGTCCAGCTGCCAGGCTGCCTCCAGGCCTGAGAGACCACCTGGCCCTCTCAGAAGTGCCCTTCTGCCCAAGGTTCAGGCCCTGCACAAGGCTGAGGAGAGGTCTTCCATGACCTCCTTTCCTGCCCCAGGACTGCCCATTTCCCGAGTGACTTACCAGAGGGATAGTCATTCTTTGCACAGAAGACCCCATTCATAGGAATGTGGGCCAGGCTCACACCTGTAATCCCAGCACTTTGGGAGGCTGAGGCAGATGAATCCCTTGAGCCCAGGAGTTCGAGAGCAGCCTTGGCAACATGGCGAAACCCCATCTCTACAAAAAATACAAACATTAGCCGGACATAGTGGTACATGCCTGTAGTCCCAGCTACTCAGGGGGCTGACATGTGAGGATTGCTTGAGCCCAGGAGGTGAAGGTTGCAGTGAACTGTGATTGTACCACTGCACTCCAGCCTGGGTGACAGAGTGAGACCGTATCTCAAAAAAGGAATGTCAACTTGCCCTTTGCCCTTTGCCTCTCCCTACACCCCCAGAAAAAAATCAGAACATAGTTTTGTGACATCAGTACTTAATCCAAAATATAGTTATTCAATCTTTTATTTTTGGAGACAGAGTCTCACCCTGTCACCCAGGCTGGAGTGCAGTGGCACGATCTCAGCTCACTGCAACCTCCACCTCCCTGGTTCAAGCGATTCTCCTGTCTCAGCCTCCCGAGTAGCTGGGACTACAGGTGTGCGCCACCATGCCTGGCTAATTTTGGGTTTGTTTTTTTTTTAGTAGATTAGGGGTTTCACCATGTTGGCCAGACTGGTCTTGAACTCCTGACCTCAAGTGATCCACCCACCTCAGCCTCCCGAAGTGCTGGGATTCTAGATGTTAGCCACCGTGCCTGGCCTAGTTTATTCAATCTTGAATACAACTATGTGTAGAATCAAACGTCCAGTACCTTTTCACAGTATTTTCCAGGATGACCTGATGGCCAGGGCTAATCGTCTTTAGGCCACCTCCAAGCTCTCAAACTCTGATCTCCTGCTGGCAACTGCCTAAGCTACTACAAGTCCACAGCTTCCAAAAATAATAATGCATAGGCACAGAGCAGCTATAAATCTACACTTAAGAAACATTTTTTTAGAGTAAACATAATCTTCAGAGATGCAACTCTATCTCCCAGCAAGTTGACTTTTTATATGCTTCAGCTAAGCTTCAGCTTCTCAAACTTCTGTTTTAGATCGAAGTATTTGCTGTACATTAGGCACACTTAAAAACCCACTGGGACAGGTTACCAAAACACAGGCAGAGTCCTTCATCCAAGACAAAGCCAAGCCTTGACCTCCTAGAAAACAGTAGGTGCTCTTTAAATGAATAGTGGAAATTCTTATTTCTACTCACAGAGTTAAAAAAATTCAGGGTCTAATTCTACCCAGAATTATTTTGTCTTTGGTACAATAAAGAAAGCAGTATCACAAAAGTACCAATTTATTCGACCTTCTTGTTGGGAGCCTCTATATGTGCCAGAACCACACAGTGAGTGAAAGGCTCCCATTCCCCTCCCACGTGGAGCATACAATCTTTTTTAAAAAGTGGTGGAACACTGGCCGGGTGTGGTGGCTCACTCCTGTAATCCCAGCACTTTGGGAGGCCCAGGCGGGTGGATCACGAGGTCAGGAGATCGAGACCAGCCTGGCCAACATGGTGAAACCTCATCTCTACTAAAAATACAAAAATTAGCTGGGTGTGGTGGCGGGCGCCTGTAGTCCCAGCTACTCGGGAGGCTGAGGCAGGAGAATCGCTTGAACCCCAGGGGCGGAGGTTGCAGTGAGCCGAGATTGTGCCACTGCACCCCAACCTAGTGACAGAGTGAGACTCCATCTCAAAAAAAAAAAAAAAAAGTGGTGGAACACTTACTATATCAAGTATTTATGTTATTTTACAGCCCAGAGTTTTAAAAGTTATAATGATTTTTATCTATAATTTAACCTAATTTCTATTTTTGAGTTATCTCACTAGATTAGTAGGAAACCTAAACTCGTCTTTTAAAGCCCCCCACCCCACTTGCCTTATTGTGTGTGCCTTGGTTCTGGAATTTTATACAATGGGTGTATAGGAATAGAGATGGAGGATGGCCCCTCGTCTTCTGTCCTTATCCCTTCAGGTCAGATGATGTTCAGCTGTGTCAGTGCTGTGCTTGGGCACGGGCGCCATCTTGGCCTGCCTGTGGTCCCATTGCCTAGACAAACCACAGACATTCCCCATCCCTCGCTCCTAGTATCTCTGCTAGTGAAGCAAGGTTCTTGACCCCTTTGCTCCTGAGTCCAGTGGTCCTTTATGCTCTTGTCACACCATCTTTTTTTTTTTTTTTTTTTTGAGACGGAGTCTCCCTCTGTCGCCCAGGCTAGAGTAGCAGTGGCGCGATCTTGGCTCACTGCAACCTCTGCCTCCCAGGTTCAAGCAATTCTCCTGCCTCAGCCTCCCGAGTAGCTGGGATTACAGGCATGTGCCACTACGCCCAGCTAATGTTTTGTATTTTTAGTAGAGACAGGGTTTCACCGTGTTAGCCAGGATGGTCTCGATCTCCTGACCTCGTGATCCGCCTGCCTTGGCCTCCCAAAGTGGTGGGATTACAGGTGTGAGCCACCATGCCCAGCTGTCCCACCTCGTCCATTGAAGGGGGACCACCTTTCCAGTGCTGGGGGAGCCATTTCCATTCAGATGTTTAGTTAAGTATTTTCCCTTTGCTCTGAAGTTGCTCTCAGTCCCAAGCTTGGCTTTTGAAAGCAAAAATACTTTTCCCTTCCTGACTTTGCAATATTCCTCCCCTGAGGTTGAGCACAAAGTCAACCATCCCCTTAAATAGGGGAAAGAGGCGAGGTAGAAAATATGTATAGAGATCAGGATCTTAAAATATAATCCCACCACATGAAGAAATGGTGTTAAGAGGGCTTGGTGCGGTGGCTCACGCCTGTAATTCCAACACTTTGGGAGGCCGAGGACGGCGGATCAGGAGATCGAAACCATCCTGGCCAACATGATGAAACCCTGTCTCTACTAAAAATACAAAAATTAGCTGGGTGTGGTGGCCCGTGCCTGTAATCCCAGCTACTCGGGAGGCTGAGGCAGGAGAATAGCTTGAACCAGGGAGTCGGAGGTTTCAGTGAGCTGAGATTGCACCACTGCACTCCAGCCTGGCAACAGAGCAAGACTATGTCTCAAAAAAAAAAAAAATGGTGTTGAGAAAAGTTGGCTATGTAATTACAAAAACAGTCAAATTGGCTCTGACCTCACTGCACATACCAAAATACGCATATAGACACACACACAGGTTTTGTTTGTTTAGTTTTTGTTTTTTGAGACAGGGTCTCGCTCCATTGCCCAGGCTGGAGTGTGGTGGCAGGATCTCGGCTCACTGAAGCCTCAACCTCTCTAGGCTCAATCAATCCTCCCACCTCAACCTCCTGAGAAGCGAGGACTACAGGCACGTACCCATCACATCCAACTAATTTTTATATTTTTTTTGTAGAGACTGGGTTTTGCCATGTTGCCCAGGCTGGTGTCGAACTCCTGAGCTCAAGCAATCTCCCACCTCTGCCTCCCGAAGTGCTGGGATTTCAGGCATGAGCCACAGTGCTCAGCCATGGTTTTTTATTTTTAAACCAAATAAATCTAGAATACTGGTGTTCTTTTTATTTACGTTCAGTAAAATTTACTTTTATGGTGTACAGTTCTATGTGTTTTAACATGCATGAATTCATGTTACCACCACAAACAGAATTCAGAACAATTCCATCAACTCCAACATCAACTCATGTCCTTCCATATAGTCAAGCCCTCTCCCATCCCTAAGCCCTGGCAACCACTCAATAGTTATCTGTCTGTATAGTTTTGCCTTTTCCAGAAGGTCATGTAAGCGGAAATATACAGTAGGTCATCCTTTGAGACTGATTTATTTGATTTATTTCACTTAGCAGAATGCATTTGTCACTCATCTATGTTGTTGCATGTATCAGCAGTCTGTTCTTTTTCACTACTGAGTAGTATTCCAGTACTACTGGAATAGGATGAACCACAGTTTGTTTGTCCATTCACCCACTGAAGGACATTGAGTTGTTTCCAGTTTTTGACAATTATGATAATGCTTCTACAAACATTTGTGTACCATTATTTCTGTGAATGTAAGTTTTTATTTCTCCAGCAAAATACTTAAAAGTGGGATTTGTAGGTTATAAGTATGTGTTTAACTTCGGAAGGAACTGCTAAATTATTTTCCAGAGCAGCTCTTACCACTTTACATTCCCACCAGGAATGTATGAAAGTTCCAGTTGCTCCATATCTTCACCAGCACCTGGTATTGCCAAGCTTTGTTCTCTTTGGGTTTTTTGGTTTGTTTGTTTGTTTTTCTTATTTTAGCCATCTTCATAGGTGTGTATTGGTATTTCATTGTGGTTTTAATTTGCATTTCTCTAATGACAGATGTTATTGAGTACCTCTTCATGTGCTTATTTACCATCCATATATCTTCTTTGACGAAATGTCTATTCTGATCTTTTGCTAATTTTTAAAATTGGTTTATTTTCTTATTGTTCCGTTCTGAAAGATTTTATTATTTTATTTTATTTTATTTTATTTTATTTTATTTATTTTTTGAGATGGAGTCTCGCTCTGTTGCCCAGGCTGGAGTGCAGTGGCATGATCTCGGCTCACTGCAAGCTCTGCCTCCCCGGTTCACACCATTCTCCTGCCTCAGCCTCCCAAGTAGCTGAGACTACAGGGCCCGCCAGCATGCCTGGTTAATTTTTTGTATTATTAGTAGACACGGGGTTTCATCATGTTAGCCAGGATGGTCTCGATCTCCTGACCTTGTGATCCACCTGCCTTGGCCTCCCAAAGCGCTGGGATTACAGGTGTGAGCCACCGCACCCAGCCAGTTCTGAAAGATTTTATATACTAATTACCAGTATTAGTAATACTTTGTTGACTATGTGATTTGCAAATATTTTCTCCCAGCCTATGGCTTGTCTTTTTATTCTCTTAAGAAAACACTGGTTATACAGTTTAATAAAGGTTTAAATACTGGTGAATATTTTTATACCTTTTGGCCAATGAAGGACTTTTTTCTTTTTTTTTGAGACAGAGTCTTGCTCTGTCGCCCATGATGGAGTGCAGTGGTATGATCTCGGCTCACTGCAACCTCTGCCTCTGGGGTTTAAGCAATTCTCATGCCTCAGCCTCCTGAGTAGCTGGGACTACAGGCACATGCCACCATGACTGGCTAATTTTTGTATTTTTAATGGAGACAGTGTTTTGCCTTGTTGGCCAGGCTGCTCTTGAACTCCTGACCTCAGATGATCCATCTGCCTCAACCTCCCAAAGTGCCAGAATTACAGGCGTGAGCCACTGTGCCTAGCCATGAAGGACTTTTTAAACATAACATCATGAAAGAAAGAAAAAATGAATAAGGAATTAAATGTGATTTTTTTTTAAGTTTTATAGAAAAATCACTTAAAAATTGAAAGTCAGCCAGGCATGGTGGCTCACGCCTATAATCCCAGCACTCTGGGAGGCCAAGGCGGGTGGATCATGAGTTCAGGAGTTCAGAACCAGCCTGGCCAACATAGTGAAACCCCGTCTCTACTAAAAATACAAAAATTAGCCGGGTGTGGTAACATGTGCCTGTCATCTCAGCTACTCAGGAGGCTGAGGTGGGAGAATCGCTTGAACCTGGGAGGCGAAGGTTGCAGTGAGCCAAGACCACACCATTGCACTCCAGCCTGGATGACAGAGTGAGACTCTGTCTCAAAAAATAAAATAAAAATAAAAATAAATTAAAAGTCAAGTAACAAATTACAGAAAATGTTTTCATAAACATAACCTATAAAAGACCAATGCCTTTAATATAAAGAGCACATACAAATTAGTAAGAAAAACACTTATACTTTAATAGAAAAATGACAAAAGGCATTAGTCATTTCAATGAAGAAACTCAAATGGCAAACAAACTTATATTTCAAAAGTTCAAACCTTACTATAAATTAAATAAAAAGGAAAATGACAGTGAAGCATATTTTGCCTACCAAAATGGACAAAGATTTTTAAAGTTAGTGACAATACTCAGTATTACAGAAGGAGGAGAAACATAGCTAGTAGGAGGACAAATTGACTCAATCTTCCGGAAGGCAGTTTGGCACTATGTATAAAGAACCTCAAAACTGTTCATACCCTTTGACCCACTACTTCCTCTTCTAGGAAATTGTTAGAAAGGCCAGAGAGTGTAGATGGCAGGGAATACTTAGAGCTAGAGGAGAGGCCCCTACACATGTCCACCATCATCCTTCGGGCTCATTTAACACTTACTATTTCTATACTGTAAATGGCAACAAGATTTTCCCTACCTCAACCTGACTTTGAGCAGGAGCTGTTGCTGGCTAAGCAGCCTGAACAATTCACATGCTCAGACGCTTGTGCTTTTTTCACATGGCCCCTCCAGGACACCTCTGCACTGGGCTGCAGCTGCAGGGAAGGCCGAATGTGTCCAGTCACTGCTGGAGTTGGGAATGGACAGCAACCTGCGGGACATCAATGAGAGCACGCCCTTGGCCTATGCCCTGTACTGCGGTCACACGGCGTGTGTCAAACTCCTCTCCCAAGAGAGCAGGTGAGTACAACAGGAGCCAGTTATTTTTCTATTCTTCTCAACTATTTATAAATTTGGATGAAATGTTTTAAATTGCCAAGGTGCAAACCAATAATAATATTATTATACTTTTATAATATAATTAATGTTACATAGTATTAAAGACATTAAATGATTCTATAATTAACGTTTGCCATTATCTAACACAGAATAAAGTGCTCTTGGAGCAAAATGATAGTAGTGAATCCAAATCCATCAGCCTAATATTCACTGAACTTGAATCTCTTCTTTCCTTTTCTCTCTTTCCTCTTCCCTTTTTGGCAAATCCTCTGAATCCCTCTTTTGCCTAATTTGATGAGTCTCAAACTTTCGTTCTCGGGACCCTTTTACACTCTCAAAAATTATTAAGGGCCCCCAGATAACTTTAGTTTATGAGAGTCAAACCCGTCAATATTTATGGCATTAGAAATTAAAACCGAGCGGCCAGGTGCGGTGGCTCATGCCTGTAATCCCAGCACTTTGGGAGGCTGAGGCAGGTGGATCACCTGAGGTCAGGAGTTCGAGACCAGCCTGGCCAACATGGTGAAATCCCACCTCTACTAAAAATACAAAAATTAGCCAGGCATGGTGGTGGGTGCCTGTAATCTCAGCTACTTGGGAGGCTGAGGCAAGAGAATAGCTTGAACCTGGGCGATGGAGTTTGCAGTGACCCGAGATCACTCCATTGCACTCCAGCCTGGGTGACAGAGTGAGACTCCGTCTCAAAAAAAAATTAATTAATTAATTAAAATGAGAAATTTTTAATAAAATATGCATTGTTATCCATTTAAATTAATAATAAACATTACATTTACATGAGAACATAAATAGCATATTTTAATTAAAAATAAAATGTTTTATTTAATATTTCTATTTCCCAAAACAAAAATATTGTCATGAGAAGAGCAGCATTGTTTTATATTTTTGGCAACTCTCTTTGGTAGCTTAATACAAGCTTAATAGAATACAGCTGCGGGCTGGGCATGGTGGCTCACACCTGTAATCCTAGCACTTTGGGAAGTTGAGGCGGGTAGATCACCTGAGGTCAGAAGTTCAGCTAGACCAGCCTGGCCAACATGGTAAAACCCCATCTCTACCAAAAACAGAAAAACTAGCCAGATGTGGTGGTGCGTGCCTGTAACCCCAGCTACTGGGGAAGCTGAGGCAGGAGAATCGCTTGAGCCTGGGAGGTGGAGGTTGCAGTAAGCCGAGACAGTGCCACTGCACTCCAGCCTGGATGACAGAGCAAGACCGTCTCAAAAAAAAAAAAAAATAGAATAAAGTGGGTTCCACATCTACTCTTTGCATTCTCTCTGTTGCGATGTAATGTGTTTTGTTTTTTGGTTTGGGGGTTTGCTTATTTATTTATTTATTTATTTATTATTATTATTATTTTTAGAACCAGAGTCTCACTTGTCATCCAGGCTGGTGTGCAGTGGCATAATCATGGCTTACTGCAACCTTGAACTCTTGGGCTCAAACGATCCCCTCACCTCAACCTCCTGAGTAGCTGGGACTTTAGGCATGTGCCACCATGCCCAGCTGGGTTTTCTTGTTTTTTGGTTTTTTATTTTTTTGTAGAGATGGCCTCACTATGCTACCCAGGCTGGTCTCAAACTCCTGGCCTCAAGCAGTCCTCCCACCTTAGCCTCCTGAAGTGCTGGGATTAGAAGTGTGAGCCATCATACCCAGCCACAGTATCATGTTTTGATTGATGTATATAAAAACGATCCAGCCTTATATAAATACGTAGTTGGAAAAGGCAGGTGTATCTCAATAGGCTTTTCAGATAATTGTGTGTATTTTTCTTTGATACGATACCAAAACTTAACAAGCAGCAGTTTCTTAAAGGTTAATTGCAATGTGGATTCTCACCATATCAATGAATTTTTTGTACTCTGTCACATTAGAATACATTACTATACCTTATACTTTAAATGGGTCTTATACACATGCGTGATTTTATTAACACCTTGCATTGGTCATTTGGAAAATATTGGTTCACTTAATTATAAAGATCTTCCAGATGACACATTTCATTATACAATATCAAAAAGTCACATTTGTTAACATCACCACCAATCTATTGGACAAGCTTTATATACTGAGATGGTGTCAAGCTTACAATGTGAATATAAGTTTTCCAAAATTCTAGTTTTTGCTTGAAAGCTAGACTTTTGTCATTGGCTACAATAACTGTCAGTTATTTATCTTGAAATGAAATATTCACTGTATTCGTTTTATTTTATTTATTTGTTTATTTATTTTGAGATGGAGTTTCGCTCTTGTTGCCCAGGCTGGAGTACAATGGCACGATCTCGGCTCACCGAAACCTCTGCCTCCCAGGTTCAAGTGATTCTCCTGTCTCGGCCTCCAGAGTGGCTGGGATTACAGGCATGTGCTACTACCCCTGGCTAATTTTGTATTTTTAGTAGAGACAGGTTTTCTCCATGTTGGTCAGGCTAGTCTCTAATTCCCAACCTCAGGTAATCCACCCGCCTCGGCCTCCCAAAGTGCTGGGATTACAGGCGTGAGCCACCACGCCTGGCCCACTTTATTCATTTTAATATATTTTTATTGTATATATATATATATATATATATATATATAGTATACATATTTTGATATAAATATACCTAGTCAGATGGGTCGAGCGCAGTGACTCACGCCTGTAACCTCCACACTTTGGGAAGCCAAGGTGGGTGGATCACTTGAGCCCAGGAGTTCAAGACTAGCCTAGCCAAGATGGCAAAACCCCATCTCTACTGAAAATACCAAAATTAGCTGGGCGTGGTGGCATGCACCTGTAATCCCAGACACTTGGGAGGCTGAAGCACGAGAAATACTTGAACTCAACTGCAACTTTGTACCCTTCGACCTACACCTCCCATTCCCCCACCTCACCCTCACTTCTGGTAATCACTGTTTTACTCTCTGTTTCTGTGTATTTCACTTTATTTATTTTGCAGAAATTTCTGCAAATACTTAGCTCTACATAACCACAGTTTGTCTGCAAGGCATAAAAATGGTGTTCCGTGAAAAAAGTGTCCGGTTCAGCCCGCGACTCAAACAATTGCACAGCTGCTTTACCCCAAGACAATCATCACACCTCCGTATATAGTAGAATTGCTTACGAGTGCTTCTTATTTTGTCAAACAAGTGTACTCAAGTTAATATTTAATCAAATTAATAACTTGTACTCCCTAAACAAGGACATTATTAAGTTAAAGGACTTTTTTTTTCTGCAAGTACATTGATGCCACTATTGTCCTGATTTGTACTGAGGCAGCCACCATTTTACCCACCACCTCTATTGCACCATCGATGCAAGGCAGCACAGTGAAAAAGACAAATAACGTTGTGATGTTATTATGAATAGAGTTTAATGCCATAAACCCCTTAAAAAGTCGGGGATCCCTCTCCAAGGGTTCAGTGGACCCCATTTTGAGACCCAGAGGCCTAAAGCACAAGCTGTAACAGGAGGAGGAGATGGCTTACACAAGATGCTGCAATAGCATCAATTCACACAGACATATTCTTTATAGGGAAACTTGAGCGTCGGAAGTGCCCTGGGGCTCTCTCTCTGGTGGTATTAGGAGTCTAGAATTCAGTATTTCAAAAAGCCCATTGGAAGGTGAAAGAATAAAGATAAGACTACATCATGGAATAAAAATTCAAAGGATGCACTGTGTGACCTGTAGAGAAAACATTCATTATATGCATCCAAAATAAGTGGTGATGTTTTTCAAATTGCAGATTGCGATATCTCACTCCAGAAAGTAGTGTTGCAATCTGACTCAGGGGCACACACACGGGTCAGGTTTCATCGTTAATTCATACCGCAGAAAGCATTAAGTCAATTGGAGCCTCAAAAGAGAATCACACAGAATTTTCTAAGGAACACAAACAGAATCTTGCCTCAGGGAACCTCTCGACAACTGCTGGCCTTTTTCCTTTATAATTTGCCTGCGCATTGGGCATTGCTCACTTTCTTCTGCAGCCACGCCCGACCTTGGTCATGCACTCCTCCTCTTCCCTCGCTGGAGCCCAGACTAAAGCTTCTTTCCTTGGTTGTTTTTTTTTTTTTTTTTTGCTAGAGATGAGATCCTGCCATGTTGCCCAGGCTGGTCTCAAACTCTTGACATCAAGTGATCCTCCTGCCTCAGCCTCCCAAAGTTCTGGAATTATAGGCATTAGCCACCGTACCTGTTCTTCAGCATACTTTTTTTAAAAGTACTTTTCGATAGGAAAGTTTTAGTTTAAAATGGGGAGGGGTCTCTGAGGGGGATAATGTCAGTCGGTCAGCACTCGGTCCAGGTTTTCTAGGATCTCTGTCAGAGAAAGCCTAAAACCACATTCCCCCCACCTCAGCAACCTCCTCCATCCTTCTGCTCATTGAAGCCTGAACTCAAACCCTTAGGCTTCATCTCTGACTTCAACTTGCGTGCCTACTGACTGTCCTTGAGATGTGAGAACAACACTTTCAGCTAATTTTCAGTTTAGTTAACCTCTTGTTGAAAACAGATGATCTAGGTGTAAATTTTGAAAGGATATCCCCTGAAGGAGCAAGAAAAATCTAAGAAACGTCCTCCTTGGGCAAAGACTGCCCATGGTAAAGAGCCTCTTCTGGGCGGGATTGCCAGGGGTACTGTGAGTTCTTCACACTGCCTTTAACTTGAGAAGGCTTTGGAGGTATCTAGGAAGGATCTCAGAAAACCTGATGAAGCATGTGGAATAGGGGGTCGGTATTTCGGTGAGTGATGTCTCTACTTCCCATACTCACATATCATCCCTGCTCTTTTATATTCGCATAGAACAGAGCCTACTCGACCCCCTCCCTCCCAGAGCAGTCGGCCCCAGAAGAAGGAGAGACGGTTCAACGTGCTCAACCAAATATTCTGCAAAAACAAGAAAGAAGAGCAGAGAGCCCATCAGAAGGATCCCAGCAGGGACCGATACAGAGAGGAGGACACCTCAGAAGTCAATGACATCATCACCACCTTTGATAGCATCGTGGGTACCAACTGCCAAGAACAGCCTGGTGATCAGGTGGCTATGGTTGAATTTAAGAAGAAAACCTCAGACAATTCAAAATATCTCTTACCAGAAAAGAAACCGCTGGCCCGTAAGGGGCTTCCACCAATCAGAACGCAGAGTCTCCCACCCATCACCCTGGGCAATAACTTCCTAACAGCCTCCCATAGGGCCACTTCCCATGCAGGCCTGAGCTCTGCTCCTCATCATATGGCCCAGCGATCTCAGAAAAGTCGAAGTGAGCAGGATTTATTAAATAACAGAACTGGCTGCCAGATGTTACTAGATAACCCCTGGAAGAGTGATTCTAATCAGGTATTTTCCTACAAAGTTTGGACTGTGTCTTCTTCTGATAAGCTGCTGGACAGATTGCTCAGTGTCCGGCCTGGTCACCAAGAGGTCTCCGTGCCACCACACCTTCGCCATCTACATAATCCATCATCAGGTAATGTCCTTGATTTCATGTTCATTCTCAGCAGGCTCTATACTGGAAATGTCCCGTACAGTTTTAAGCTAGGAACTGGAGTGACAATAGCCTAGAAGGCAGGGTGAGAATAAAATGAGTGATTAGAGCCACCTTTTCTCCCAAAGTGCACTGGATTTGAGATTTCTGAGCTGTGAAAACATTCTGCTTCTCCCCTCTTCAAGTAATCATCAAGTACAAATATGTGCCTTCTCATCTCCCCAGCAAATATGTGTGGTATGTACCAGATTGGAGCAAGAATATTACTATTTCCACTAGCAAGGATTCTTAACTAGTGTGTGGCAAATACCTGTGAGGAGTTTGTTTGTGTGATTGTTTTTAAATCAGGCATTCAATCTCCACCCCAGACCTACTGAACCAAAATCTTGGTGAGGGAACAGGGAAAATGGCCATGCCTTGTGTGGACACATGTAGAAAGGTAACACATTTGCACATTTGTGAGTTAGATCTCAACACATACCAAAGGGTTGTAAAGCAATTCTCCCTCTTGCGTCTTCCCCAGCTATCCAGTGCCCCTCATCCAAAGCTAAATGTCAAAAAAAAAAAAAATGCATTTTTTGTTTATCCTTCCAGAGATATTTTACCCACATATATGTCTCCATTTTTAGATATGAAATATGTACATATCCCACCTTTTAAATAAATGTATCACACTAAAGAATGTATTTATTTATTTATTTGAGACAAGGTCACACTCTGTCACCCAGGCTAGAGTGCAGTGGCACAATCATGGCTCACTGCAGCCTCTGTCTCCTGGGTTCAAGCGATCCCCCTGCCTCAGCATCCTGAGTAGCTGGGACTACAGTTGCGCACTGCTACATCTGGCTATTTTTTTTTTTTTTTTTGTAGAGATGGAGTTTCACTGTGTTTCCCAGGCTGGTGGTGAACTCATGGCCTCAAGCAATCCTCCCTTCTCGGTCTCTCAAAGTGCTGAGATTATAGGCATGAGCCACCACACCAAGCCTAAGAATTTATATAGACAGATAGATAGATGATAGATAGATATAGATAAAGATTTTTTTTTTTTTGAGACGGAGTCTCGCTCTGTCGCCCAGGCTAGAGTGCAGTGGTGCAATCTCAGCTCACTGCAACCTCCACAGTGACACGATCTCTGCTCACTACAACCTCCGCTTCCCGGGTTCAAGCGATTCTCCTGCCTCAGCCTCCCAAGTAGCTGAGACTACAGGCATATGCCACCACACCCAGCTAATTCTTTGTATTTTTAGTAGAGATGGGGTTTCACCATGTTAGCCAGGATGGTCTCGATCTGACCTCGTGATCCACCCGTCCCAGCCTCCCATAGTGCTGGGATTACAGGCGTGAGCCACCGCGCCTGGCATAGAATTTATATTTTTATACAAATGTATATGTATCTATTCCCCACCTTATAAATAAATTTATCGCACTAAAGAATTTATTTTTATTTTTTAAATGATCCATAGGCTGGGTACAGTGACTCACACTTGTAATCTCAGAACTTTGAAGGGTTGAGGCAGGGGGTCAATGTAGCAGGATCCCCATCTCTACAGAAAAAAAAAAAAAGATCCACAGGTGATTCTTTGAACCATTGTTCAAAAGCAGAGGCTGCAAAACAGCTTCCGAAACCTGTTCGGTGCCACAGTACCTTGGCTTGTTTTTAAGTAAATTGTCAATATTTTTAAATTATGAAATTTTATATAAAAATCTAGAATTCTAGCTTCTCTCGAAAAACTAGAAAATCTGGCAACACTAAACCCAAATTCCCAAATGGCAATAATTGGCTGGATCTGAGTAACCACTGTCCACTTAGACACCACTGTCCCCAGTTCAGTTCAGTCCAGTCCACACCACTCCACCGTCTCTCCATGGAGTGTCAGACAGGCTTTATAAACATCTTTCAGTTGTTTTTCTTACAGTAGGATTAAGAGAAAAAATAATTTATTTCTTGAAGCCATTTTTCTCTAAGAGTAGAAAAATGAAAGACCAAGACAGCAATGGGGGTTTTTGTTGGGCGGTGGGGTGTGTGTGTGTGTGTGTGTGTGTGTGTGTGTGTGTGTGTGTTTTGAGACAGAGTCTCACTTGTCACCCAGGCTGGAGTGTAGTGGCATGATCTCGGCTCACTGCAACATCCGCCTCCTGGGTTCAAGCAATTCTCCTGCCTCAGCCTCCCAGGTAGCTGGGATTACAGGCATGTGCCACCACGCCTGACTAATTTTTGGATTTTTAGTGGAGACGGGGTTTCACTATGTTGGCCAGGCTGGTCTCGAACTCCTGACCTCGTGATCCGTCCGCCTCGGCCTCCCAAAATGCTGGGATTACAGGCGTGAGCCACTGTGCCCAGCTGCAATATGTTTTTTTAAAAAGTAGAAAAGGGCCATATATTTTTTCAGAATGAGCAAAATTCCTTTGCGTTTAATATGCAGTTGATTTTGACTCTCTTCACCCTTTGACATGTGCCCAGTGCCTGAAGCCTTTGAAGTAGAATATGGCTCCCTCACTCATATTTGTATACATATTTAGGCACAGGATAAATATGGATAAGCACATTAAGGCTGTTTCCTGATGTCTGAGAAAAACTCCAGTCAAGATTTTGCTTCCTCCACAAAGCACTGAAGCACTTGGCTGGTGGCATGGGTAGTGTTTGCATTTTTTTCTGCAGAAGGATCAGGAAGGGAACACAGTGGTCTGCCACCTTTTGACACTTCAGGGCCTCAACCCATCCTGTTTTCCAGAGTTAGGCCTGTCCCGGCCAAACGAATACCTTCTGTTATGAAAATCATGTGAAAATCTGAAAATCTTGTTCTTTTTCCGTTCCAAAGACAGCCTTGGCCTGTCTCTTTTACATCAGTTAGGATGGGGTTCAGCTTCCTGTAAAAGAAACCCAAAGTCACAGGGGCTTGAACAACATAGAAGTTTATTGCTATCACGGCCAGGTGCAGTGGCTCAGGCTTGTAATCCCAGCACTTTGAGAGGCCAAGGGAGGTGGATTGCTTGAGCTCAGGAGTTCAAGACCAGCCTGGGCAACGTGGTTAAGCTTCGTCTCTACAAAAAATACAAAAAAAATTAGCCAGGAGTAGTGGTACTTGCCTGTGGTCTCAGCTACTTGGGGGGCTGAGACGGGAGGATCACTTGAGCCTGGGAGGCAGAGGTTGCAGTGAGCCAAGATCGCACCACTGCACCCCAGACTTGGTGACAAAGTGAGGCCCTGTCTCAAAAAAAAAAAAAAAGTTTATTGCTATCACATGAAAGAAGTCTGAAGTAGGCAGTTCCCAGACATTTGGTGGCTCCACAATCATAAGCAACATAGGCTCTTTCCATCTATGTGCCCCGTCACCTAATGTATGGCTTCTCTCCTCGAGGGGCTGATGGAGCAGGAGGAAGGAAGTAGAGAGGGGGAAAAATGCGTGTCCCCATGTGAATCAGCTCCCATTAAGAACTCATCTGGCTTAAGTGCCACACTTCCGCTTGCATCTCATTGGCCTCTAAACTTTGGTCATATATTCACAGCTATCAACAAGGAGTCTTTTAGCTGGCCACGTTGCTATCCCTCCAAAATTGGATTTCTGTTTCTAAGTGAGGGAGGAGATATTAGATGGAGAGTTAGTACATTCTGACACATGTGCCACCCAAAAATTTCCATCTTATTTGAAATAAAAAGAAATTCAATAAACGTGGTTTGGGGATTTGCTCACTTACACAATGAAATAACTAGAAAAATCCTGGGACAGCAGAATAGCAGAAAGGGGAAGGTGAATTTCTCCAATGGAATCTGCCTATATCAAATATTTTTTTCAACCAATTTTTCTGAGTGCTGATTATAACTAGGAGCCATTCTAGGCAACTGAGTCATGATAAGATAAATTTCCCAAGTGTTTTCAGCCTATAAATCAGCTTTAAGGGGTATAGATTTACTAAAATGCTTCTGCAACTGACTTTAAATTGACTTTCTTCTCATGTTTAGATACAGTCATAGGGTTTCAAAAATGGAAAGGAGCTTAGTCATTTGATCAAACATTAAATGATTGCTGAGTGTTTATCACAGTTGATTTATCAAAAGAGAGTGAGGGATTTTTTTTTTTTTTTTTTTTTAGAGAGAGATAGGATCTGTCACCCAGGCTGGAGTACTGTGGCTTGATCATAGCTCACTTCAGCCTCAAACTCCTGGGCTTAAGCAATCCTCCCATCTCAACCTCCCATGTAACTGGAACTACAGACACATCTCCTCCTCTGGCTAATTTTTTTGTCATCATTTTTTTGTAGAGACAAGGGTCTCACTTTGTTACCCAGACTAGTCTAGAACCCCTGGCCTCAAGCAATCCTCCCATCTTGGCCTCCCAAAATGCTGGCATTATAGATATGAGCCACTAAGGCTGGGTGTGGTGGCTCATGCCTGTAATCCCAGCACTTTGGGAGGCCAAGGTAGGCGGATCACCTGAGGTCAGGAGTTCGAGACCAGCCTGGCCAACATAGTGAAACCCCATCTCTACTAAAAATACAAAAATACAAAAATTAGCCAGGTGTGGTGGCGGGCGCCTGTAGTCCCAGCTACTGTGGAGGCTGAGGTGGGAGAATCGCTTGAACTCAGGAGGCAGAGGTTGCAGTGAGCCGAGATCGCACCTGCACTCCAGCCTGGGCGACAGAGCAAGACTATGTCTCAAAAAAAAAAAAAAAAAAAAAAAGCTTTCCTAGCCTTACGGATTTTATTTTTGTGATCATTTTTAACAATAATTGTTTTGAGATCACTGAGGCTTCTGCACTACACTGAAGTGGGTGTTGTCGTTGTTGTTAGTCTAGGAGAGTTGAAACTTTATGTGAAAGTTTAATGTGGTAAAGCAGTTGGATAAATCATCCCACTATAGCACTGACTTGAACTTGGATTGTCCCTTTATCTTTGGATTTCCTCCTTTCCTGCCCTGGGTTTGGTAGAAATAATATGAGTTAGTAGTGCTGCTGTTAAAATTCCAGGCAGCCACTATCCAATGCTTACATCAGCAGCCCTGAACATTTAGCTGTAATGATTATTGCTTAACATTTATTGAGACCTGTCAGAGGTTGGATGCAGCAAGATGGGGGATGAAGCACTTATCCTAGAGACTTGGAATTTGGAGCACGTCAGCTTAATTCATTGCAGGCAGCTTTCAGAGAAAATGGAACAGAAAGCTCTGTGGTATTGTCTGCTAGCCTGGTTATTTATAAGCCGTCACAAGAAAAGTAAAAAAGTGTGCATTTCCTTTCTCCTGCAAAAGAGAGCTTCCTTCTCTAGAATTTTCTAGACTATCTCAGCCAACAATGCACTCTTCTGGCTGGTTAGGTCTGATCCTGTGATCCTTCTGTCTAAACCCATCAAACGTTTTGCATCTTTTCAGGACAAAGGCCAGGGTTCTAAACTGGGCAAACAAAGCCCTCACGGCATGGTCAGACCTCACGGCATGGTCATGCTCAGCTTCTGCACCGCCCATCTCAAATCCCCACCCCTACCTCTTCAGAAGTTCCTTGAATATGTCTCAGTTTCTTGACAATTTCATACCTTTCCATTCTATGACATCTTGGCCCTTGTTATTATTTTGGGTTCTCTCCACTGTGTGCTTGACCGATTCCTACAATCTTTTAAGAACCAGCTCAAAACTCACCTTCTATAATATGTGAAGGTCACCCTGATCTCTGTAGGAAATATGGCTCTTTCTTAGGACTGCTAATAAGAACAGCTCCACCTGGCCGGGCACGGTGGCTCACGCCTGTAATCCCAACACTTTGGGAGGCTGAGACGGGTGGATCACCTGAGGTCAGGAGTTCAAGATCAGCCTGGCCAACATGGTGAAACCCCATCTCTACTAAAAATACAAAAATTAGCCTGGTGTGGTGGCGCACGCCTGTAGTTCCAGCTACTCAGGAGGCTGAGGCAGGAGAATTGCTGGAACCCGGGAGGCAGAGGTTGCCGTGAGCCACGATGGCACTACTGCATTCCATCCTGAGAAACAGAGTGAGACACTGTCTCCAAAAAAAAAAAAAAAAAAGAATAGCTCCACCTTGCTGACCTACACACCTACACACTTCACTTTCCACAACATTGCAGGAGAGATTTTATCCTCTTTATAACTGAAGAAATTGAGACAGAGAGGTTAGCTCATCTGCCTAAGGTCACAGAGCTAGCTAGGAAGTGGCAGAGGAGATACTGGAACAAGGTCTATGGGATCCCAGAAAACCTCAACTTCTCTGGACCATTCCTTCCTCTGCAATGCCCTCACAAACTCTATCACAGCACTACTCATGGAGCTTCAAAACCATATGTTTACCTGTCTTTCCTCCCACATCAATTGCAATCCCCTCCTGAACGCCTTGCTTTCTCCTCTTTGTACTCTAGGGTCTGGAATATGATGAGTGCTCAATGGATGATTGCTGAATTATCTATTTATTATTGTTATTATCATTATTATTATTATTAATCCTGCAGTCACCTCGGGTTCCATCATGTAACTGTGAAAACATTTCCTATCCTTTTTTTCTAGGACAGTGGTCCTTGACCCTGTCCCCAAAGCTGAACACTCCCTGGAGTTGCCTGCAGCACCAGACAGCTTTGGGCTATGCACGGCTCCACCCTGTCCCTGAAAACTGAGCAAAATGCCAACATGGAATAAAGTTTAACTCCCCTTCATCTCCGAGTCACTGCTGTAGCCCTTCTTTGCCCACTGCTCCCATCTGCTTAGAGGAGGCAGAATAATAGAAGTTACAGGGTCAGCCCTATAGGGTTGAAGTCTAGGCTGTGTCCCTTCCTAGCGTGTGACTTGAGCACTTTTAGAACTCCTCCAAGTCACAAGGTCCTCATTTGTAAAATGAGGATGATAATAGAATGTATCTCACAAGAAAAAGTGATTGTCAGAGTTAAATAAGATTATGCCTACAGCATTTATCCCTATTCCTGACAAAAGTAAGTGTTCCATAAACATAACTCAAAATTATTATCTCGTTGGTTTTACAAATTTCTGCTCAAGTGTTCATGGATAAATAGTTGTTCGCTAATATAAATTTTCATGTTAATTCTACACAGGAATATTTTCTCTGTAAATAATGGCTCCTGAAGTTATTTGATGTTCAGTGTTCAAAAGGATAAAATATAATGGCAAAATATCCACCAGGGAGACTGGAGATTTAATCTCCATCAACTAACATTGCTGAGGTGGCCGCTTCTGCACAGACCATCCACCATGAGATTCACTTAAACAGATGCAAGTTGTTCTTGGCTAATCCTTTTGTTTTTTCTTTTTTTCTTATGCTATTTTGCTCCAACAGAAGACCCTTAAAGTCTAGGAGCATTGCTATAGCAATTCTGGTTCTTTCTTACTAGACTGATAGGCAAAAGATCAAATAATCTTTTTTTGTTAAGGTCTTTTGAGTACTTTACCCTATAAGCTAAATGCTTTACCCTTGTTCTCCAGTTTAATCCTCATGACAAGTGGAAAAGATATACAATTATTTTCACCATTTTGTATATGAAAAAATTGAGGTGTTGAGAGGTAATATCATTTGCCCAATGTCATATAACTGAAAAGTGGGGAAGCAGGGAATCAAGCCTAATTCTGTTTGACCCCAGAGCCCAACCAAGCTCCTATTCATGACACCATCCAGTCAATTTTAAAATGGATTTAAATCACATTTGTGTGTTCCCTTCTATTTTCAGGTATCGAACATCCGTATCTTAAAGTCAGTAGTACATTGATGAATGTTTAACAGCTAGCTTTCCAGGAGAAAAATCTGTGCTTGCTGATTTTTCACGGTGTAAATACACCCACCATGGCTGATTTCAAGACACTAGTGTGATGTCAAACAGTTCACAAAATTTCTGAAAATGTAACCATCAGCTCTCAAGAGCTGGCTCACATGGTCCATGCACACACCACTGCTTTCTGTCCAAGTTAAAGAATAGGTTTCCTGAGTGCATCTACCCCATTCCGTCTTCCAGGTCAATGATTCTCCATCCTGGCTGCACTTGAATCAGCTGGGAGCTGATAAACAGCTGACACCATGCCCCACCTCCAGAGATTCTGATCTAATAACCTGGGATGTGGCCAGGAAAGCAGTATGTTTTCTAGCTTCTTAGATAATTCCTATGTGCAGCCAGGACTGAGAAACTCTGCTTTAGAAGAAAATACTCTACTCATCACCCACTCATTTCATCAAAGATTTGATGAATATATAAGAGATGCCATATCTATATTATTTCCTTTTTTTTCAACTTTAACTTTTATGGGGTGAGTAACCCAGTGTGTTTCTTTATAAAATTTTATTTAAACTAGTACTCTCAAGAAATGATTTCTAGTACCTTTTTCTATCATTTAAACAGTGACTGGTATATAACAGAAATGCAATAAAGTGTAGCTATCATTGTTTTCATTGTTATTGTTACCACCTTAAATTTAGTGATCTGTAACAACTTTGATGATTCTCTTATCCATTGCATTCTGTAATTTGCACTTGGTTGAGTCTCAAGTAATTGATGCAAATATGTTTATCTTCAGGACAAAATTTTCAGCATCTTTCCCCAAACAGACACAAAATCAGGGATCTTCCTTTCACTCGGAACAACCTAGCTCCCCTACCAGATCAAAAATGTAAGTATTATGAATCTTCCGCAGCTTCCTTTGCAAGTGTTAACATATCTAGACACAACTAAATGTTATTTCCGTTTACTTTCATTTTTCTTTTTTTTTTTTTGAGATGGAGTCTTGCGCTGTCGCCCCGGCTAGAGTGCAATGAACATGATCTCAGCTCACTGCAACCTCCACCTCCCAGGTTCAAGCGATTCCCCTGCCTCAGCCTCCCAAGTAGCTGGGATTACAGGCGCCTGCCACCACGCCTGGCTAATTTTTGTATTTTTTTTAGTAGAGATGGGGTTTTGCCATGTTGGCCAGGCTGGTTTCCAACTCCTGACCTCAAGTGATCCACCCACCTCGGCCTCCCAAAGTGCTAGGATTACAGGCGTGAGCCACCACGCCCAGCCCTACTTTCATTTTTCAAGGGAACATCAGGTGCCAACACTTATAAATTACAGGAAAACAGAGACCATCTTTAAAGCTTTTTTTTAAATGCTTATTTTTTTTAAAAAAATAACACTCCCTCCCTTTAGGAATTTTTGTGTTTGAACTATTGAAACAATAACAAGTTTATTTTTACATGTATTATTTAATGTCTTTAGGAAGGTGCTTTAAAAATTCTCTTTTAAGACTGGCCTCCTGATATCAGTTTCCTTACTATACTGGACAGATAGAAATGTACATCGCCTCTGTACTCACAGTCCATGCATTCCTAAGCAGAAAAAAAAATGCAGTTCATCAGGATTACTTTTGGTATTATTGATTTATTTTATATGAAAAAAATTCTCCTAATATAAAATATTAATATACTCCATTGGGCCAGTGATCTTCAAACTTTAGTGTGCCTAAGTATTACCTGGGGTGTTTGTTGTGAAGTAGATTCCTGGGTCCCCCACCCAGAGATTCTGAGTTTGAATATTCTCATATCTATACTCTGAAGCATAATAATAATAAAGCAAGTTTTATTATTATTCCCATTGTAGAGCCAGGAACAAAACTACAGGACACTGAGTCTACTGCCTCATGAAATAAGCAATACTTACTGGATTCTATTTTCTTTTTTTCTTCCAATTGCACCCCACTGCATTTATCACAGACAAACACACACACACACAGCCCCTCCACATCCTCCTAAGTGCAGGTTAGACGATTTAGGAGCTGTCCTATTTCAGATAAGTTTCTCAACCTTTCTGTACTTTAGTTTCCTCACCGTCCATAACAATAGTGCTATTCTAATAAGATTTATCGGAGTACTAAATGAGATAACATATGTAAAACACTTGGCACACTGTTTGCATAGAGTATATATCCAGTATGTCTTTCTCCCCTAGGCTAGGGTTTGAAGGAGACAAACCAAGAGCTCTAGAACTCTTTAGGTAAAAACAATGAAAAATAGGGTCTTAGTACAACTCTGTCTTTTGGCAGATAAGGAAACTAAGAGGTAGAGGGATATGTCCAAGGTCACACAGAGAGTTAGTAGCAGAAACCAAGACCTCTTCCTTGACAGATCAGTTCCTCTGCCCTTTACAGATGTGTGTAAAGTGAACGTTTTGGATGGTGTCAATTCTATCATTGAATGAAATTCAAGCCCGAACCTGTCTTTAAGCAGAACTGTAGCCACAAAAACATCTAGTTAAGGAAAGAGCCACTCAGTCTTGAATGCTGTTGGAGCTTGGAGAAGCCGAAGAGAGGTTTTCTTTGGCAGGGCCCAAGAGCTTTGCTTTTCACAGTTAAGTTTCAGGAGAGAAGGAAAGATAAAGATCTTTGATCAACTTAGCTCTACAAAAAAGAAATGAAAGGGCCCACAGTGCTTTTCTTAAAAGAAGCCTGAGAGCCTTTTGAGGTTTGCATAAAAGCACAGTACAAATGTCTTGGGCCTTCTTTAGAACCTTGTGAGCAGTTTTTGAACATCAACAGCTACTCCACTCCAAGGAAGAGCTCTGCCAGGCACACACAGCCCAATCATGTTTGATCACACTTGGTACAGTCTTCTATGTGTGCATATTTGAAATCCCAGACTTCATGCAGCAAGCCTGAACAGATATATATACAAGATATACATACACAGCTTCTCTCTGCAGTCTAGCTCTCACCAAGACACACTTCTTAGAAATGCCTCGACTCCTAAAACACAATACAATTCTCCTGCCGCCTTCCTGTTAGAGAAGCAAATCTTGAAAGTCTCTTGTTCTATTCTTTCTTCCCAGTTCTATCTGGAGAACCTCTGCGGACAAACCGAGTGCTTCCTGCAATTCCAAGTCAACGAAGACACAGCACAGCAGCAGAAGAGAGTGAACATTCTGCCAACCCCACCAGTGATGAAAATTAACTGTGGGCCACTCGCTGCAGAAATGTAGATGAATATGTATTTTCAACTCTCAAAGGACAAGATTACTCCAGTTTGTAAGAACGAAGACCAATTTAGTAAGCTGCATTCTATAAGCCATCAGTTTTATAACTCGAAATTCTTTATTCCAAATAAAGATACTCCCTAAATAAGCACTTAGAATATTTGGGTGTGCATATTAAGTCTGTGAATTTCTGTGACTTCCACATGCCAAAATTAAAAGACAAAATATGTTATCAGTAGGAAAACTGAGCTATGTTTGGTTTGCTTTGTGGCATGTGCACTGTTTTTTTGTTATTGTTCTTTGGTTGTTTTTTTGCTGAATGATTTTATGTTTTGGGAAAAAAAGTACGCTTTGCTGAATAAAAGCAAAAAACAAAACAAAAAAAAAACCACATCCCAGACAAACATGTCTTCACATTTATTGTCATTCTAACTTGAACTAATGAAACCTATTTAAAAATAAATTCCTATGATCAGTCACAGTTTACGGCTTTTAAATGTACAATCTTCTGCAAAATATTTTTTAACATTGTCAGTTCCTGGCTACAGCCCAAGTCACTTGACAATGTTTATCTCTCTTCTTTGTTATTTAATTATTTCCATATGTCATCATTTTCAGATATGATTGATTGTGCCAACAGGGAGAAGTCATGTGATTTGGAAAGATCTACATCCTGGCCCAACAGAGTTGAATAGGCAGTTCTCACACATTTCTCAAATACTCTACATATTTAACTATTTTTCTGTTTCAAAATAATGGTCTCTTGCCTACTCAAGACTTTCGCAAACTTAAGACTTAGCAAAGTTTTGAATGACTACAACTAACTGCGGATCTTACTAAGATAATTATGTGTTGTTTGGATTGATTTGTGCTAGGGGTCTGCATAAAGTTCAAGGCTTAGCCACATAAGATGATGGCCACTCTATGTTATTTGGGAGCCTAGATATTATTTTGTGAATATCTCAAGTACCTGTATAACATTCACCACTTTATATTAGTAGTATTTGTTTGGAAAGGTTAGACTATACCATTAACTAGATAGACACTCCTCTGGGGCCAAATCACAATCCTTTGGCTTTGCACTTCTAGAAATTTATACAATGCCTGGCACAAAGTAGGCACTTGATCATTTCATTTTTTTTCAGGAAGGAAGGAAGTAGAGAGGCAAAGAGGGAGTTGGCAAGGAAGGGGGATGTAGAAAGCAATCATAAAAGATGTCATTAGTCCACAATCTCTTTTTTTTCTTTTTTAAGATGGAGTCTCCCTCTGTCGCCCAGGCTGGAGTGCAGTGGCGCAATCTCAGCTCACTGCCACCTCTGCCTGCTGGGTTCAAGGGATTCTCCTGTCTCAGCCTCCCGAGTAGCTGGGATTACAGGCACACGCTACCATGCCCGGCTAATTTTTTTGTATTTTTAATAGAGACAGGTTTTGCCATGTTGGCCAGGCTGGTCTCGAACTCTTGACCTCAGGTGATCCACCCACCTTGGCCTCCCAAAGTGCTGGGATTACAGGCCTGAGCCACCACACCCAGCCTAGTCCACAATCTCTTTTTGACGATGATAGTTGCATGAATCAGAGATTGTAAAGGAGAAAGTGTACGGATCAGCCTTCCAAGCTGGGCAGTAGCTAGAGGGAAAGAAAGTCCTGTTACAAACAGAAGGACTTCAGGACATAGCTTCTGAAGAATTTTCCTTTTGTGTTGTTTTGTTTTGTTTGTGGGCTGTTCTCATCTTTGAAGAGTCATTCTTTAAGCATCAACCTGTTAGGTTGTTTGGCATCAGACTGTTAAGTTGTTCAGCTGTGTCACAGGCTACTTCTGAATCCATGTCCATCCACAAGTAGATTACCTAGCCCTACACTGCCTGCATCAGTCAGGGTAGGCTAGCTTCCACTTTAACAATAAACAACCTCCAAATCTCACTGGCTGACACGGTTTGTTTCTTATTCACAATACATGTCTCATACCAGCCGGCAGAGTTGGCTGATGTAGATTCCATTTCAATATGTTCTTCTTTGGTGACCAAACCAGAGGAAATGAGAGGTGAATCTCATTATTTACTCTCACATTTCATTTGCCAAGTCAAACTGTGTGGACATGCCTAACTTCAAAAGAAGTAAAGAAATGTATTCTGACCGTGCACGGTGGCTCACGGCTGTAATCTCAGCACTTTAGGAGGCCGAGGTGGGCGGATCACGAGGTCAAGAGATCGAGACCATCCTGGCTAACACGGCGAAACCCCGTCTTTACTAAATACACAAAAAATTAGCCGGGCGTAGTGGCGGGCGCCTGTATTCCCAGCTACTCAGGAGGCTGAGGCAGAAGAATGGCGTGAACCCAGGGGGCGGAGCTTGCAGTGAGCCAAGATCGCACCACTGCACTCCAGCCTGGGCGACAGAGTCTCAAAAAAAAAAAAAAAGTTAGCTGGGCGTGGTGGCGCTCGGGAGGCTGAGGCAGGAGAATCGCTTGAACCCGGGAGATTGCGCCACTGCACTCCAGCCTGGTGACAGACCGAGACTCCGTCTCAAAAAGAAAGAAAAGTGAGGTCTCTCTAGTCCCATAATTCACATATATAATCCCCAAACCATCATTTTCCTGTTCCAGAAAATTCATTCAAATTTCATAGTGTGGTATACCCTGGGCAAAGCCTTCTTCCTGAATTTGTTTATTGGGTTTGTACATCTACACAGGCAATTTGTGGAAAGTGCCCACCAACTCAGTACTTTGTGCTAAACCAGTTAGAGTTGTTGGAAGTTAGGGTTGCTGATTTTTTTTCATTTTTCTTAGTTCCCTTTGGTAATCACCTGGTTTAACATAGGTGTTATTTCTTCCAGTAAACACTGAATTCCAATGTTCTCATCTTGCTGGAAGTAAACCAATATAAATAGATTGCTGTGGCTCCAGCTTATTATCCGTTTCAGCTCTACCACAGCACAACTTGGCACTCAGTCTCATTTTAGAAAACCCCACCATGATGAGAAATATGCACATGCTCCTCATGTTATGATGGAATTATGTCCCAACAAACCCATTGTAAGGTGAAAATAGCGTTGTCGATTTTTTTTTTTTTTAATTTTTTGAGACAGGTCTCACTCTGTCACCCAGGCTGGAGTGCAGTGGTGTGATCATGGCTCATTACAGCCTCAACTTCCCAGGCTCAGGTGATTCCCCAAACTCAGCCTCCCAAGTAGCTGGGACTACAAGGTGTACACCACCACATCTAGCTACTTTTTTATATTTTTAGTAGAGATGAAGTTTTGCCATGTTGCCCAGGCTGGTCTCAAACTCCTGGGCTCAAGCAATCCTCCCTCCTCGGCCTCCCAAAGTGCTGGGATTACAGGCATAAGCCACCACGCCCAGCCCAAAAATACATTTAACGCACTTAACCTACCAAACATCATAGCTTATCCTAGCCTACCTTTAATGTGCTCAGAACACTCATAATAGCCTACAGCAGAACAAAATTATCTAACACAAAGCCTACGTTATAACAGTGTTGACTATCTCATGTAATTTATTAAATACTATACTGAAAGTGAAAAACAGAATGATTGTATAGGTGCTTGAAGTAAAGTCAAAAAATCATAAGTTGAATGATCATAAGTCAAGGACCATCTGTAATGCCTTCCAGAAAGACAATCATAAGCATTAATTTTACTTTTGCCTCTACCTTTTTTTTTTTTTTTTTTTTTTGAAATTTACAAATGCATGTCTCTAAGCATGTGCATCCTGGCATTTTAAAGGTAATCTTTTGAAAACAACCTTTTGGAATCCACTCTAGGTTTAAATGGGGTAACTAAGAAGGAACATATTTTACCTTAGCATAAAATATAATGCCCAAATCAAAAACTAAATTAATAAAGAAACATGATGGCACCTCTCACATGTAGTAGTGAGACTCTCTGATGGTCTTCAAGGGAAAAATGATATTTTGAAATCAGAGAATTCTGTTAGAATCACATATTTCCTAGACATTGACAAAGAAATGTAAGTACTAGTGGATGAAGACTGTCAACAAACTGTATGTTCCAATAGAAACTATAGTCTTTCAAAGCAAATGCCTTTGTATTCTGACCCCATTCCAGTCTAACCCTGGTTTTTTTGGACAGCTGAATGAGTTTTTGAAAGCTGAACAGTTTCCATTCAGTATGTCACACCAGCACAATTGTCACTAGAGAGACAAAGGTAGTTTTCACATTGATGTGTGAAAAACAGGAAATAACATGTTGATTATTAAACCCCTAGTAAAATGTTTATTAATGGTGAATGGTAAACCACCTTGCCACTGCTAGTGGTCTACAAACTGGGGAAAATGAGAGCAAAAGAAAGATTCCCAGTTCCCTTCAAAGGATGAGGTACAATCTAACTGGCTGACATGAAAGATAGGGAACTGAAATTTCTGTAGACTGTGAGATTGGAAGGTGGGAGGAGGACGGAGGAGACTGCAAATGACCCCGCATGAGCAGTGAAACCAAGAACTGAACCCAGTTACAAACAGATGACCATGAGCAATGTCTCCAGTGTGCTGAAAGTGAACCTGGGCCAAAGACATAACAGTGAACGAAGGTGAAGGAAGGAAATTATCTCCATTGCTTCTATTCATGTGACATAAAAGTACTTCCAAAAGGCTTTTAAGAGAAGCCAATGACACTTACTGACTACTTAGACACTGATAATAAAAAACGACAGGTTATGAGGAAGCAAAGCCACATTTTAGAGCCCAGAGAATTGTCCTCTGCAATGGGCAAGCCAAGGCCTGGCCTCACCCTCAGAAGGATGAGCTCCATTTCCCTTGACTAACACTTCAGACATTGCTCACAGATCTCCTAGGACAGGGGTCCCCAACCCACAGGCCACAGACCAGTACCAGTCCATCACCTGTTAGGAAGCAGGCTACACAGCAGGAGATGAGCAGTAGGTGAGTGAACGAAGTTTCATCTGTATTTACAGCTGCTCCCCATCACTCGCATTACTGCCTGAGCTCCACCTCCTGTCAGATCAGTGGCAGCATTAGATTCTCACTGGAGCACAAACCCTATTGTGAGCTGTGCATGAGAAGGATCTAGGTTGTGCACTCCTTATGAGAATCTAACGCCCAGTGATCTGCCACTGTTTCCCATCACCCTGAGATGGGACTGTCTAGTCGTAGGAAAACAAGCTCAGGGCTCCCACTGATTCTACATTATGAAGTGTATGTAATAACAATAGAAATAAAGTACATAATAAATGTAATGTGCTTGAATCATCCTGAAACCATCGCCCCCCCACCCCGCACCCCGTCCGTGGAAAAACTGTCTTCCACGAAACCAGTCCCTGGTGCCAGGAAGGTTGGGGACTGCTGTAATACATGTATGCATGATTCAGCTACACCCAGAAATGGATTTCCCCTCAGAGCTCATCATGAGCTTGGACGATCACTGCTTCTCCCTGTTACCTTGTGAGCCTATTAACAGCTCACCACTCAGTTTAGACAGTTTTTCTATTCAAGGTAGGTAGCCTGGTCTTAATGCAGGCAGAACTGACTATGGCTTCATGCCTGCTCTTGTTATCACTCCCTGCACCCTATGAACACTCAGGAAATACATGCGTGCCCCCTTCAACCCCCTTTGTAACTAAGAAATAAACACCAACACCTAGAAATGGGGTCCAAGTCAGGAAGGAAGTAGACATGACAGTGTCTTCCCTTCCACCAGCTCTTCCAGAATTAAGGGGATGGACAAGGGTTCTACAACCAGGCGAAGTACAGATCTTTTGTGCAGAAAATAGACATATATGGGTCTGAATTACTTGGCTATTTATATAATCAATCCCTGTTTGTTGGTAAGGAGTAAGGTTAGTTTAAAACATACGGCCTAAGACCTTAGACATCACTCAGATAGGCAGGAAGGCCTCTTAGGGGTTCAGTCCTAATGTCAAGAGGAAATTATCTCCTTTTCTGGCACCTATTCTCAGGCCTCAGCTTATCTTGTTCTGGACCAGCAATAGCTGATTATAATGCATTCATTCATTCATTCATTTATTCATTCTTTCTTTCAACAAATATTTATTGACTGCTTGCCCTGAAGCTTAGAGCCAAACAGTCTTTTCGTAGTTTGTACAATTTCAGAGTATGAGAAAATCTGGACTTTTTGTTGCTGTTGTTTGGTTGTTTGTTTTGCTCATTTGTTTTTGGAGACAAGGTCTCACTCTGTTGCCCCAGGCTAGAGTGCACTGGAGTGATCATAGCTCACTGCAGCCTCGAACTTCTGGGCTCAAGCAATCCTCCTCCTTGAGCCTCCCAAGTAGATGGGACTACAGGCATGTGCCACCACACCCAGGTAATTTATTTTTATTTTTATTTTTAGTGGAGATGACGTTTCACTATGTTGTCCAAGCTTGTCTTGAATTCCTGAACTCAAGCAATCCTACCACCTTGGCCTCCCAAAGAGCTGGAATTACTGGCATGAGCCACTGCACCCAACTTGGACTGGTTCTTACAAATCAGTAACCTTCTTGGTTAGGCAAAAAAGAAATCTTAATATATCTGGCAAAGCTGCCCCAGTCTCATAAGTGTTGGTATCACTGTCTATTTCTTTATCATAATGATACTTCATGTTAATTTGGCCTCACTTCTTCATCAGTAGGTCTATTCAGGAAAGATCTGACTTGTGAGACTGTAGGAAGTGGGGAAGAGAATGGGGGATGCTGATTCTTCTCAACAAAGCCCAGAACAGCAAGTAGTTTCTCAATTGTGTTTCATCTTCAACATTTAATTTGTTCTTTTTCATTTTCTTCTTTCTTTTTTTTTTTTTTGAGACAAGGTCTCACTCCATTGTCCTGGTTGGAGTGCAACAGTCACGGCTCACTGTAGCCCCTGCTTCCCAGGCTCAGGTGATCCTCCCACCTCAGTCTCCCGAGTAACTAGGACTACAGGCATGCACCACGACACCCCGCTAGCTTTTGTATTTTTTCTAGAGACAGGGTTTTGTCATGTTGTCCAGGCTGATCTCGAACTGAGCTCAAGTGATCCACGTGCCTTGGCCTCCCAAAGTGCTGGGATTACAGGTGTGAGCCACCACGCCCAGCCATTTTCAACATTTAAAAGTTAACTTTACAAACTATTTTAAAATCAGAAATCAGAATGAATACAATATAATGCTTTGTTCTGATTTTTTGTTACTTCAGAATTTAACTAACATAAACATATGAGTAATTGCCTTTTTTCAATTAAACTCGATCTGGAGAATGTGTCTTCTCAACAATTTTCTTTCTCTTTTATTTATATATTTATTTATGTATTTATTTATTTATTTTTGAGACGGAGTCTCTCACTCTGTTGCCCAGGCTGGAGTGTGATGGCATGATCTCGGCTCACTGCAACCTCTGCCTCCCGAGTTCAAATGATTCTCCTGCCTCAGCCCCCCAAGTAACTGGGATTACAGGTATGTGCCACCACACCCAGCTAATTTTGTATTTTTAGTAGAGATGGGGTTTCACCACGTTGGCCAGGCTGGTCTCAAACTCCTGACTTCAGGTAATCTGCCCGCCTCAGCCTCCCAAAGTGCTGGGATTACAGGCGTGAGCCACTGCACCTGACCTCAACAATTTTCAAGAGAAAAATTAATAATCTGGTGAATCAGAATGACCATTGAGATCCTGAAGGCATACATTTTCATGAAATATGCTAGCTCTTCCAACATTGCTAGTGTCCTTTCTTTTCTTTTTTTTTACAGCAAGATTTCATCTAGAACTAATGTACTTTCTTTTGTTTTTCTTTGTTTTCTTTTTAATTTTTTTAGAGACAAGTTGTCACTCTGTCACCCAGGCTGGAGTGCAGTGGCAAAATAGCTCACCACAGCCTCGACATCCTGCGCTCAATTGATCCTCCCACCTCGGCCCCTGGGACTACAGGCACACGCCACCAAGCCCCACTAATTTTTTTTTTTTTAAATAGAGACGGAGTCTTTCTATACTGTCTTATCTAATGCAAAGAAAAATATTTGTTAATGATAACTTTAATCCTTTAATTAAAAATACCATAAAAAGTAGTGGTGGAGAATATCAGAAGAAACTAGTTGAGTAGGCTTTAATGAGTCTATTCCCTTGTCCTCATTTCTCCTTCTGCTAACTCTCCTTTCTTCAAGTAAACACTGATTTTTTTTTTAAGCAAGCCAGTTGTGAACACCTATTATGTGTACAGTTCCAGGGAGCTACAGTTATGAATAACAAAATGCCTACTCTCATAAAGCTCTCTATGAGGATGTGCCAACCAAAATTCTCCAGATTGCACAGATAAAACAATTACAGAAACTTATCTCAGGTTCTGTTTTCTGACTTTGTCCCATCAGTGTGCCAGAGACTCCATAAACCTGATTACTGGGATTGCTGCTGCTAATAGCCCTGATTTTCCTGGGTTTTATTCCCTGTGAAAATTGATACAATGTAAGGGAAAAAATAGAAAATCAGAGGGGAACACTCCACTTCATTTAGAGAGATTCTTTAAATGTGCAATAAAAACAAGGTTTCATTAACAGGAAATTGTCAGGAGGTATTTGATAGAGGAGAGAGAACTGGAGGCCACAGGGTGGGGCATAAGCCAGGAAGACTTTGACAGCCAGAGGTTGTATGATGGAGGAGAGAGAAACAAAATCAGGAATGGAACCAGACACTTAAACTTGCAGCAAAGAAGAGAACAGGAAAGCAAAGAAGCAGATGGAGGACCTTGAACATCAGAAAACAAGGTTTTTAGGCCAGGTGCGGTGGTTCACGCTTGTAATTCCTGCACTTTGAGAGGCTGGGGCGGACAGATCAATTGAGCCCAGGACTTTGAGACCTACCTGGGCAACATGGTGAATCCCTGTCTCTACAAAAATACAAAAAACCTTCTGCGTATGGTGGCGCACACCTGTGGTCCCAGCTACTTAAGAGGCTGAGGTGGGAGGATCACTTGAGACCAGGAGGTAGGGGCTGCAGTGGGTCATGATGGCACCACTGCACTCCAGCCTAAGCAACAGAGTGAGACCCTATCTCAGAAAAAAAAAAAAAAAAAGTTTTCTTTGAAGTCATAAATAAGGGAAAGGAGGAACAATAACAGCTGAGGTTCTGTGCTGCCAGGCTTGGTCTAAAGGCTTCACATTCATTGCAAATAGCTAGTGTTTCTCAAGTGTTTACTATGTGCAGCCACTGCGCTAAGTTCAGGACTTACAGGAGTCATCTTGTTTAACCCTTACAGCAACACTTCGGGTAAGTAACATTATTGTGCCCAGTTTACAAAGGAGTAGGCCACATGATGAGGAAGTGTCTGGGTCAGGATTCCAGACCAAGCAGTCCAGCTCTAGACCCTGGCCTCCTCATCCCTGTATATACTGCTTCCCCCAGAGAGGTGGGCTGCCACCAAGACAGCACTCACCAAAACCACGGGCTCCTCTTCTTCCTGAGCAACACATGGCAGAACTACATCTCCCAGCCCCTTGCAGTGAGGTGAGGCATGGGCTGATTCTTTTTTTGTTTGTTTTTCGTTTTTGTTTTGTTTTGTTTTTTTTGAGACAGAGTCTCACTCTGTTGCCCAGGCTGTTGCAGTGGCGTGATTTGGGCTCACTGCAATCTCCATTTCCCGGGCTTAAGGGATTGTCCCATTTCAGTCTCCCAAGTAGCTGGGAGACACCAATGCCTGGCTAATTTTTGTATTTTTTGTAGAGATGAGGTTTTGCCATGTTGCCCAGGCTGGTCTCCAACTCCTGAGCTCAAAGCAGTCTGGCTTGGGCTGATTCTGAATGTGAGTTGCTGCGATGTGCCTGGCTTCCCTAAAACCTCTGACAGCATAGTTCACAAGCTCTTTCTTGGGAAGTCAGATGCAGAGGACCCAGTAGAAGACTCTGAGGCCCCCAAAGATGGTGGAAGCACTAGGCATAAGCCATCTGAGTCCAGTTGCCAAGCATCCAATTGGACTTTAACATTTTCAAGAAATAACCTGTCTAGTATTAAACCAGTAAGATTTAAAAGATATTACAGGCCAGGTGTGGTGGCTGATGCCTGAAATCCCAGCACTTTGAGAGGTGGAAGTGGGCAGATCACGTAAGGTCAGGAGTTCGAGACCAGCCTGGCTAACATGGTGAAACTCTGTCTCTACTAAAAAAAAATACAAAGATTAGCCAGGTGTAGTGGTGAACACCTGTAATCCCAGCTACTTAGGAGGCTGAGCCAGGAGAATTGTTTGAACCCAGGAGGTGGAGGTTGCAGTGAACCAAGATCACACCACTGCACTTCAGCCTGGGAGACAAGAGTGAGACTCCGTCTCAAAAAATAAAATAAAATAAAAGCTATTACAGTAGTTATTACTTCTGATTAATACAATGGCTGAGGTCAATAATGATTGTATTAAAAGGTGATTTTTATCAGTATGCTTTAGAGCAAGAAGTTAGGACTGGAATTACGATGGGAGATAACTAGAACGCCATGAGAATAAACATGTGGGCATTGTTCAATTGATTCAGTCATTGCATCACCTCACATTCTAAGGGAAGAAAGTTTTTATCACCACCTCTTTTTTTCTAGAAAAGCTCCTTATCATCTGTAAGTGTAAAGGAGAATCTCAGCAAAACAGAGTGGTTATTGGCTTTGTTGTAGAGCTGACACACCTCTTTGGAATTCTTAGAGACAAGCAACCTGGGCTAGTGAGGGAGGAATCTGCACTCTTGGAGGCTGAGGAGGCATGTTAGCCCAGAGCTGGTCTACAGTGTGTCTCTTAGTGGAGTCAACCCGAAACTGTCAGTGGGGATCCCCAGGACTGAAGCAGAGATCTCTGTGTTGCAGCCATCTTCTCCTTCAGTCTCTTAGTTGCAGAGAGGTCAGTGACAGGCTGAACTGTGGGTTCTATCCATGCATATCACCCAGGGGATTTCTCCAGGCCAAGTTCCACACACTCCTCACTGCTCTCAGTGTTTGCCTAAATATCCACTTTCAACTCCAGACAATTGCCTCTTTACTTTGATGTTTGAACCACTGAGTCACTGCTGTTACTGGGAGCTGTGACCACTGGGAACACAGGAGGAGAAAGGGTGTGGAAAGGGGACCTATAAGGATCTTTGGTGCTCTGTCAACCGCAGAATGCTTGCCAGGCTGTACTGGAAGATGTCTCTCTCTTCCCACATCCTGCCGATCATTATAATAATACACATGGAAATGGTTTATGAACAGTAGGGGAAAGGCAATTTGATGCTATTAAATGGAGAACTCAGAAGAAAAGGAGATGATGAATGCGGCGTGGCTATTGCCTTCTCTGTTTTCCTCCCTAAAGGTGCTTGAAAGATCCTTCTGGATTCTCCCCTGCCATGGGGGTGGGAGAAAAACCAAGGTATGCAGAGCCACGGCTCCATGAAAAGACTGGCATCTGAGAAGCCTGCAAGCCTAAATCCCTGGACAGGGTAGGACCTAAATGTTCTCTGAAGGCGAATAGAAATCATCTTGTCTAAAACAAGGGCAATCTTTGAACTCTGTCTTTGGCCTTCTAGGCTTGGCTCTTGGTCAAGCACTGCAGTTATTTAGGCTGGCAGGTACCCCAGTCTAATTTTTTTTAAAAAGCAATCATTCTTGTATGTCCTGCAGAAGCAATGAGCCAACTAGTATCCTTAGTGCCTTCCCTGAGCCAGAGGGTTCTTGATTCTTGACTGTTTTTTTTGTTTTGTTTTTTAAGAGACAGTAACTCTCTCTGTCCCCCAGGCTGGGGTGCCTCACTGCAGCCTCAAACTCCTGGGCTCAAGCGAACCTCCTGCCTCAGTTTCCAGAGTAGCTGGAATTACAGGTGCATGCCACCACACCTGGCTTAGTTGTTTTTTTTTTTTTTTTTTTTTTTGTTTTTTTTTTGAGACGGAGTCTCGCTCTGTCGCCCAGGCTGGAGTGCAGTGGCGGGATCTCGGCTCACTGCAAGCTCCGCCTCCCGGGTTCACGCCATTCTCCTGCCTCAGCCTCCCAAGTAGCTGGGACTACAGGCGCCCGCCACTACGCCCGGCTAATTTTTTGTATTTTTAGTAGAGACGGGGTTTCACCGTTTTAGCCGGGATGGTCTCGATCTCCTGACCTCGTGATCCACCCGCCTCGGCCTCCCAAAGTGCTGGGATTACAGGCGTGAGCCACCGCGCCCGGCCTATTCTCTTATCTTATTCTCTTAACTTCTAGCTCAGGTTTGCTTCAGGCTTGGAGCCCTGCAGTGGAGGACTAGGTATCATTGGCTTCTTCTCTCCCCATCCACCTCCTCTCCAACTCGCAAGCAAATGTTTTAGACCCTCAGGGTCAGACCCAAGGAGCAAGGGGAAGAGGGAGAAGGGTGTAGTCTCGCAAGGCCAGTAGAGTTGCGCTCTGGCCTCAGTGCCCTGCAGGTGCCAGGCACAGCAATGCTGCCTCTTTCTCCAATGGGACTTTTTTTTTTGAGATGGAGTCTCACTCTGTCACCCAGGCTGCAGTGCAGTGGCGCAGTCTTGGCTCACCGCAACCTCTGCCTCCCAGGTTCAAGCGATTCTCCTGCCTGAGCCTCCCTAGTAGCTGGGATTACAGTGTGGCCACCACACCCGGCTAATTTTTTTTGTATTTTTAGTAGAGATAGGGTTTCACCATATTGGCCAGGCTGGTCTTGAACTGTTGACCTCAAATGATCCACCCGCCTCGGCCTCTCAAAATGCTGGGATTACAGGCGTGAGCCACCATGCCTGGCCTCCAATGGGACTTCTTAAAAAGCATCTTGGCTGGGCGTGGTAGCTCACTCCTGTAATCCCAGCAACTTGGGAGGCCAAGGCAGGCAGATCACCTGAGGTCAGCAGTTAGAGACCAGCCTGGCCAACACAGTGAAACCCTGTCTCTACTAAAATTACAAAAATTAGCCGGGCATGGTGGCACATGCCTGTAATCCCAGCTACTAGGGAGGCTGAGGCAGGAGAATCGCTTGAACCTGGGAGGCGGAGGTTGCAGTGAGCCAAGATCGCGCCATTGCACTCCAGCCTGGGCGAAGAAGTGAGACTTTGTCTCAAAAAAAAAAAAAAAAAAAAAAAAAAAAGATCATCTCACTTGGCCGGGTTCGGTGGCTCATGCCTGTAATCCCAACACTTTGGGAGGCCGAGGCTAGCGGATCACCCGAGGTCAGGAGTTTGAGACCAGCCTGGCCAACATGGCAAAGCCCTGTTTCTACTAAAAGTACAAAAATTAGCCAGGTGTGGTGGTGTGCACCTGTAATCCCAGCTACTTGGGAGGTTGAGGCAGAAGAATCGCTTGAACTCAGGAGGCAGAGGCTGCAGTGAGCTGAGATCACAACCATTGCACTCCAGCCTGAGTGACAGAATAAGAGACTCCGTCTCAAAAAAAAAAAAAAAAAATCATCTCACTCAATCACCCATGCTGGGAACAATTCCTCTCTGGCTGGCAGCTTACGTCTCCCACTAGTCCCTAGATTCTGACTATTCGTGCTTCTGTTGGGGCCCTTTCTCTGTTCTGAAAGTTTTCTTGGGCAAGATTCATTTTAAGATGATATTGGTTCCTATTTGGTGTTCAGGAGATAGATATGCACTATTGCAGCTTGCTCCTGAGACACCTTCTTTACTCCCAGGTGAGTCTCTCCTGATGGTCATCTCTTAGAAACCCCTCTCCGGCTGAGGTTGGTGGTAGGCGGGAAGTGGGGGCGGGGGAGGACTTGAAACTTCTCTGGAGAATGAGGGGGAAAGGCCCCAGGAGTCCAACTTAACCCAGGGCTTTCCCTCCATCAACTTTTCAACTTCCCAACCTCACAACTAGTTCATTTGAAGCCTAGAGGGGATAATGGGCTAATTGGTTCATACCTCCTAGCACCTACTCTTTCATTCTTTTTTTTTTTTTTTTTTGAGACGGGGTCTCTGTCGCCCAGGCTGGAGTGCAGTGGCGCCATCTCGGCTCACTGCAAGCTCCGCCTCCCGAGTTCACGCCATTCTCCTGCCTCAGCCTCCCGAGTAGCTGGGACTACAGGCGCCCGCCAGCACGCCTGGCTAATTTTGGGGGGTTTTTTTGTATTTTTAGTAGAGACGGGGTTTCACCATGTTAGCCAGGATGGTCCTGACCTCATGATCTGCCTGACCTCGTGATCTGCCCACCTCGGCCTCCCAAAGTGCTGGGATTACAAGTGAGCCACCGCGCCTAGCCCTACTCTTTCATTCTTGATGATACTCACAAACAGGTAAGCAGCTGAACCCCAGAGAAATGTAAATTTCCAAAGGGACATTTGTCTTCAGTTATAACCAAGATTTCACATAAAACAACTCTACAAGCTCTATTTAAGAAACATTTGAATACTTTGATTTTATTCCAATTCAAACATTTCTAGGGGAAAAAAAATGTTTGACGACCCAATTTTGAGTTTATATGATTCCACTGAATGCGTTTTTAGTTTAAGAATAAAAAGTAACTAAGATCTAGTAAAATAAAACAAAATAAAAATAATGTTTTGATTTGGCTCAGGATATTAATTTTGTTTATTCAGCTTTCAGTTCAGATCCTGACTATAGCATTGACCTTATTGACACCTTTCTCCTTGGTCTGAATGGTGGTTTAAGTAAGAAGCTTTGCATCGTACAATTTCCTCTCTATGAAGATAGAAGTGGAGTAGCTTAATCCAGGGAGCCTGGCTGTTCCTGTTAGGTCTCTGCATATTGTTCTATGGTAAGTGTGGGAAAGGGCCCCGTAGATGTCAACCACAAAAGTCAGATGTGTAAGATACAATATTATTTACAGCCTCTGTCAGATATGCTCAAAATATCAGACATATAAACATCTATTTGCTCCAGGAAACCATTGAAAATTCCACTAACTCATAAATAATGACTTCACTGTGCCCTACAATGACCTCCTTTTACCCAGTACTAGCAATTGCATTCCCGCAAGCAAACCAAAAGACAGCTTAGAGATAAGAAACAAGTAGACCAGCTCAAAAATTTTAAAAACAACCCCTAAACAAGTACCGTTGTTAAGTGATGCTAATTTTGCATTAACATTTCCAGGCATCTAGTGAATGGTTAGATGCATATTGTCAACATATATCAAGGATAACCGGGAAACCTATCGCCCTGAGGTCAGTGTTGCTTAGTATCAGTGATTAGTCCTTGGGGCTTTTATGTACCAATCCCTGGAAAAGTGATTTCAGTTTTAATCACCACTGGAATAAAAGGAGGAAACAAATGAAAGTGACCTTATTTCAATATCATTTCAATGGAAGAAACAAGGAAGTGGTTTGTTTGGCTTCTATCCCTATCCCTGGAAAATGGAATGGCCCCCAGTAAAGTGCTGTGTGAATATTATTCTTTATGATGAAAAGAACATGAGGGATCCGGGAGCGCAGGCTCACACCTAAAATCCCAGCACTTTTGGAGGCCAAGGTGGGCGGATCACTTGAGGTCAGGAGTTCGAGACCAACTTGGCCAACATGGTGAAACCTGGTCTATACTAAAAATACAAAAATTAGCCAGGCATGGTGGCCTGTGCCTGTAGTAGTCCCAGCTACTCAGGAGGCTGAGGCAAGAGAATCGCTTGAACCCGGTAGGCGGAGGTTGCAGTGAGCCAAGACTGCACTACTACACTCCAGCCTAAGCAACAGAGTGAAACCTGATCTCAAAAAAAAAAAGAAGAACGTGAGGATAAAAAATTTAATGTTTCAGGACAGACCATGTCATTGAACCACTTTTTCCCCACAAGCAGTGGTTGGAATCACAATCATATATTCAGTAACTATTTGTCTATTTGTGCTGCACACTGTGCAAGGTGTGGGAAATGATCCCATCAACCAGACATATTCCTTTCCTTGGGGGCTTAGAATCATTAGCAGGCAGGCATTGACAATAAAGCATAAGACTTTTGGTAGGGGCCCTGGGAGCACCTAAAATTTAGGAAAGGCTTTAAGAGAGGTCCATATCTCTAACCTGAAATCCAACAAATGAGTTTCAGTTAGCCAGGAAGGGGAAAAGAAAAATTTCAAGAACTACACATAAAAAATAGGGAGATGAGGCTGGGCGCGGTGGCTCACGCCTGTAATCCCAGCACTTCGGGAGGTCGAGGCGGGCGGATCATGAGGTCAGGAGATCGAGACCACCCGGGCTAACACGGTTAAACCCCGTCTCTACTAAAAATACAAAAACAAAATTAGCTGGGCTTGGTGGCGGGCGCCTGTGATCCCAGCTACTTGTTGGGGGTGCTGAGGCAGGAGAATGGCGTGAACCCGGGAGGCGGAGCTTGCAGTGAGCCCAGATCGCGCCACTGCACTCCAGCCTGGGCAACAGAGCGAGACTCCGTCTCAAAAAAAAAAAAAAACTGGGAGATGAGAAGGGGCACTTAGAATAGTACAATTAGTTCAGTATGGCTGAAAGGGGTGGGGATAGGTGTGATGGAAAAAAGACCGAAGAGGCAAGCAAAGAACACAAAATGCAGATCCTTGAAGGTCACATTGAGAAATGTAGACTTTGTCCTGAGGATTACCCTCTATCAAAGAGTTTATGTAATAGAGGGGTGGCGGGGTGACGCGCTCAGATGTGACTGTTTACAGAGGAGGCTGGCTGTAGTAGGAAGAATGGAAAGGAATGGGGCAAAAAATGGAGTCAGGAAGACTAGTTAGGAGGTTGTCAAATTGAGTTGGCGAGAAAGAGAGGAACTCAAACTAACACGGAAGCAGTAAGAACAGACGCGGTGGCAGCCGGGCGCGGTGGCTCCGCCTGTAATCCTAGCACTTTGAGAGGCCGAGGCGGGCGGATTGCTTGAGCTCAGGAGTTCGAAACCAGCCTAGGCAACACAGTGAAACCCCGATTCTACTAAAAATACAAAAAAATTAGCCGAGCATGGCGGCGTGTGCCTGTAGTCCCAGCTACCAGGGAGGCTGAGGGAGGTGAATGGCTTGAACCCGGGAGGCGGAGGTTGCCGTGAGCCGAGATCACCGCTGCAATCCACACTCCAGCCTGGGCGACAGATTTAGACTCCGTCTCCAAAAAAAAAAAAAAAAAAAAAAAAAAAAAAAAAAAAAAGAACAGACTCAGTGGCTCACGCCTGTAATCCCAACACTTTGGGAGGCCAAGGCGGGCGGATTACCTGAGGTCAGGAGTTCGAGACCAGCCCGGCCAACATGGTGAAACCCCATCTCTACTAAAAAATACAAAAATTAGCTAGGCATGGTGGCGCACGCCTATAGTCCCAGCTACTCGGGAGGCTGAGACAGGAGAATTGCTTGAACCTGGGAGGTGGAGGTTGCAGTGAGCCAAGATAGTGCCACTGCACTCCAGCCTGGAAGATAGAGACCTTGTCTCAAAAAAAAAAAAAAAAAAGAAAGTACAGTCTCAAAAAAAAAAAAAAAAAATAGAAAGTACAGTTGTCCTTCCATACTTTCCATATACGCGGGGGATTGGTTCCAGAACTCCACAATTCCATACCAAAATCTGTGCATACTCAAGTCCTGCAGAACCTGCATATATGCCCTCTATGTGAGTGGGTTTCACATCCTGCAAATAATGTATTTTCATTCTGCGTTTGGTTGAAAAATATCCACGTAAAAGTGATCCCCACAGTTCAAACCTGTGTTGTTCGAGGGTCAATTATAAATGGATTTGGAAATAGTCAAGAGATAAAATTGATGGGTCTTGATGATTGATTGGGCATGAGAAATATGGGAGAGGGAAGAGTCCAAGATAACATCAGGACTCTGGCTTGAGCAACAGGAGAAAGGATGGAGCCATCCACTGAGAAAGAGACTATAGTTGGGGAGCAGGCTTGGGAATGGAAATGATGAGCTCTATTTAGGATGTCCGCATTCTAAAATGCTGCTAAGACTTCCATGTGGGGGCCAGCATGGCGGCTCATGCCTGTAATCCCAGCACTTTGGGAGGCCAAGGTAGGCAGATCGCTTCAGCTTAGAAGTTCAAGACCAGCCTGGGCAACATGGGGAAACACTGTCTCTACAAAAAAAAAAAAGAAAGAAAGAAAGAAAAAGAAAAATTAGCCTGCATGGTGGCTCATGTCTGTAGTCCCAGCTACTCTGGAAGCTGAGGTGGGAGGATCACCTGGACCTGGGAGGTTGAGGCTACAGTGAGCCATGATCATGCCACTGCATTCCAGTCTGGGTGACAGAGTGAGACCCTGCCTCAAAAAAAGAAAAAAAAAAGAAAGAAAGACTTCCATGTGGAGATAACAAGTAGACTATTTTTTTTAATTTCCCAAAGATTCTACAATGAACATATTAACAGAAAAATAGCCCACAAAGGATTCTAAGAAGTGTGGTGAAAAGATAGATGTCACCAAACCAAGGAAGACAGTTTCTTTTTTTTTTTTTTTTATTGACAGGGCCTCACTCTGTCACCCAGGCTGGAGTGCAGTGGCACAATCACGGCTCACTGCAGCCTCGGCCTCCCAGGCTCAGGTGATCCTCCCACCTCAGCCTTCTGAGTAGCTGGGACTATAGGCGCATGCCACCATGTCTGGCTAATTTTTTTCAGTTTGTTTTTTAGTAGAGATGGGGTTTTGCCATGTTGCCCAAGCTGGTCTTGAACTCCTGAACTCAAGCAATCCACCCACCTCAACCTCCCCAAGTGTTGGGATTGCAGGCATGAGCCACTCACCCAGCTAGAAGACACTTTCAAGAAGGCCATGGTCACTGGTATCAGCTACTTAGAGCTCAAGTCAGATAATGCTGGGAAAACAGCCTAAAATTGAGCAACAAGGTTGTTAGTGATCTTGGCTGGACCAGTGTCAGAGGAACATTGGGGCAGCAGCCAGATTTCAAGGAGAGTTTCAGGGTGGAGGGTAAGGAAGTGGTGGTGAGTGTGGACACCTGTTTCAATAAACTTAACTGTAACCAAAACAAGTCAGATAAAGAAGTGAATTAAAGGGGTGGGGAAGCTAGGAAGGGTAAGATTTTAAGGATAGAAGACACTTGGGCTTGTTTAAATGCTGATGGCAATGAATCAGCAGCAAGTGAAGCATCAAGAGAGAAAAGGAACTTGCAATGCAGCAATGTCAATGAGGCTGCAAGAGAGATTTAGAGCCTCAGAATTGGCTTTGTCAATGAGATGTCTCTTTCACTATGATGGAGGAGAAGGAGGAAATGATGAATTCCTCTGCAGGTAAGTTTGTGGCAAGAATTTGAGTGAGTTCCTGTCTAGTGGCTTCTAATTTTCTCTTATAAAGTAAAAGAAAAATTCCCCTGATTTAAAAAAAAAAGATATATGTGCCAACTTTACAATCACAAATTATCCCTGATTGTGGTTTCACTTAGGAGTAAAAACAAAACTTGTCATTTAATTGTTCTCTTTCCGTTCTTCAATAGGTAGGTGTTAACACCCAGCCATCAGCTGTGGTCCCAGGTGGTGTCTTAGCCAAGGTCCAGTGAGCAGTGTGGGAACCACACTGCTACTGCTGAATTCCTAGTGCCACCTGGATCACAGGTTTGATTGCTGTATGCTCAGTGAGCCTTCATTCATTGAAACATTGGGGAAGGACAGTGAGAGGAGGGTTTTCTGAAGCTCAAGGAGATCTGGTGGCCCTGGGACAGGATTATTGAAGTGAGTGCTGACCTCAGAGAAGCAGAGGCAAAGGAAAAGGGGAAAAGAACCTAAAGGTCGAAGTCCAGAGAGGGCCAGTGCAGTCTACTCTCAGATTCCCTTAGTCAATTTCCTGAAGCCTACACTGCAGGTTATCCAGAACCTGAAGATGCTAACTAGTTGCCTTGCTCTTTTCACTTAAAAAAAAAAAAAAAAAAGTGTAAGTTCTGTCTTTCATTGTCATTCTCAGCAATCTGCTTTCAAAACTAACCATATAATAAAGTGGTGGCCAAGCTATTTGCCAAAATGCCCCAACCACCAGATCTTTTTTTTTTTTTTTTTTTGAGGCGGAGTTTCGCTCTTGTTGCCTTGGCTGGAGTGCAATGGCGAAGTCTCAGCTCACTGCAACCTCAGCCTTCAGGGGTTCAAGTGATTCTCCTGCCTCAGCCTCCTGAGTAGCTGGGATTACAGGCGCCCGCCACCACGCCCAGATAAGTTTGTAATTTTAGTAGAGACAGGGTATCACCATGTTAGGCTGGTCTCAAACTCCTGCCCTCAGGTGATCCACCCGCCTCCGCCTCCCAAAGTGCTGGGATTACAGGCACGAGCCACCACGCACAGCCCCCAACCACCAGATCTTAAGGAGTAAACAGAGAAACTTCTCCTACTCCTGGCCTTCTGCCCCTACTCTGGGGATCAGGTTTTTGTGTCTCGCAAGGAGGGGGTGCCTTGGGTTCCCTCACCCCCTCCTATACTCACACACATATGGACACACACCCTCCCTAAGCTGCTGCAAAAAGGACAGGCTCAGACCCACCTTACTCAACGTTCTAGAGAAAAAGATTGCCTAAGCTTCCATAGTGACTCTTTCAAAATCAAATATAACGCTCTGATTTTGCCAGCCACTGAAATAAAAGTAGGAAAATAAAGTGGAGTGTGGGGGACAAAAAGGGGAGCCTTGCAGGGAGAGAAAGGAAAAACAAGAAACAGAATTAAGAGGAAGAGCCAGAAAATGAAAAGGTTTAACTGATCCATAAATTGAGAATTTAGTTAAAAGTATAAAGTTCTCTCTTCTCCACTCTTAATTGCCTGTGAAACATTTTACCACGTTCAGGAAGAATAAAATGTGATCTACTCCACCTATAGAAACATAGCTGTTGGAGAGTTTTTCCTTGTAAAAATAAATACACACAAATAGAAATCCAGGCCAAGCGCAGTGGTGCATGCCTGTAATCCCAGCACTTGGAAGGGTGAGGTGGGCGGATCACTTGAGGCCAGGAGATCGAGACCAGCCTGGCCAACATGGTGAAATCCCATCTCCACTAAAAATACAAAAATTAGCTGCACGTGGTGGTGCACACCTGTGATCCCAGCTACTAGGGAGGCTGAGGTAAGGGAATCGCTTGAACCTGGGAGGTGGAGGTTGCAGTGAGCCAAGATTGAGCCACTACACTTTAGCCTGGGAGACAGAGCAAGACTCTGTCTCAAAAAAAGTGAAATCCAGTGAGCCAAAGTAAACAGCTAGACACTCATGTCAAGCTGGAGGCAACTGTCCTTTTAGGGTTTCCAGCCCACACCCCTGATGGCGTAACTCCACTCCTCTTTGTGTTGGAATATTCATGTTTTCTTGCTGACTTTAGCCCAAGTCCTCTGATCTAAACACACAGCTATCTGAACCTTCCCCTTCTCCATTCTCTCCCTGCCCCAGCCTCCCACCCCCTCCCTAACCTATGAAATGAAAAGTAGATCCCTGCTTTTCCTGGCTGATTTCCTGGGGCACCTCAGGCAAGACAATTCTCTATTGACCTTGCGGCAGGGACTACAGCCCCAAACTTACATTTCTCAAGCAAATCAATGGAAACTTCTTTTTTTTTTTTTTTTTACTGGCAGGAGCAGCCACTGGTGCGAAGCATCTGCCTGGAGATCATCAGTCCCAGGGGCAATAGGGTAGGGGTGGTGCTGCTGAATCTAACGTCACTTGGAAAACAGGTTATTTTTCTGGGATGAATTTAAGAGATGTATTGAGTTAGAAGGGGAGGATTTTAACTTCATTTTGAAAAATGGTGGCTCCTGTTTGCTGCTACCCATAATGAAGCCCCGGAGCCCCAAGTTCAAAGGCTTTGACAGCAACTTAAGTGAAGGACCCTGGGGCTTCCTGAGGTTGTTGCTGGCAGCTGTAGGGAGAGCTGTCCAGGCCCTGCTTTATTGGAAAGCTCACACCAGCTGACTGCAAAGCCAGGAAATGGACCTCCAAGCAAAAGATGAGAGAGCATGGGATAGAGGAGCCTTTAGCCTTGGGTTTCAATGCCCTGGGGATTTGCTCCTGGATGATGGGAGCAAAGAGGAGGATAGAAATGGAGGGTTCTTAAGCACTCGGGAGACTGAGGCAGGAGAATTGCTTGAACTCAGGAGGCGAAGGTTGTGGTGAGCCGAGATCGCACCATTGCACTCCAGCCTGGGCAACAAGAGCGAAACTCCATCTCAAAAAAGAAAAAGAAAGAAAGAAAGAAATGGAGGGTTCCTAGAGTGGAGGAGACTCCCACGGTGGTGGCTATGATGTTTCCTTAAGTCAGCTCTACCTTAGGAGTCTGGTGAAGTTTAAATAGCACCATGAAAATGGGACTTTCAAAAGTACTGGCCTGATTTCTTCAATGAGTCAATAACATAGCATGGAGGAAAAGGGGAAGAAAAACTAGAGTCAAAACAATTAAATGCAATGTGTTGCCCCTGAGAAGATTCTGGTTTGAATAAACCAGTTATAAAAGACTTTCTGAGGGCAGTTGATATTTAGGAACTTTTTTTTTTTTTTTTTTTTTTGAGACAGGGTCTCGCTCTGTCGCTCAAGCTGGAGTGCAGTGGCACGATCATGGCTCACTGCAACTTCTGCCTCCCAGGTTCAAGTGATTCTCCTGCCTCAGCCACCAGAGTAGCTGGGACTACAGGCACGCGCCACAATGCCAGGCTAATTTTTGTATTTTTAAAGACAGGGTTTCACTGTTGTCCAGGTTAGTCTCGAACTCCTGAGCTCAAGTGATCCGCCTGCATTGGCCTCCCAAAGTGCTGGGATTACAGGCATGAGCCACTGCACCCAGCCAGGAACTATTACATTAATTAATTTACTTACTTATTTTCCTTTATGGGAACGAGGTCTCGCTCTGTCCCCCAGGCTGGAGTGCAGTGGTGTGATCATGGGTCACTGCAGCCTTGCAGTGAACTCCCAGGTTCAAGTGATCCTCCTGCTTCAGCCCCACAGGTAGCTGGGACTATAGGCGCTCACCACCACACCCAGCTAATTTTTTATTTTTTGTAGAGACAGGGTTTCGTCATGTTGCCCAGGCTAGGAACTATTATTTATTTTATTAGGTGTAATAATGTGTGATAATAATATAGAATACAGTATTATGGTTCTGTGGGGAGACATCCTTATTTTAGAGATGCATACATGAGTATTTAGGGGTAAAACATCATTATATCTGAAATCTACTTTTAAATATTTGGGCAAAAAGAACAGATGAAGTAAATATGGCAAGTGTTGCAATCAAGGGAAATCTGGATAAAGGGGTATTCATTATACTATTCTGTATACTTTCTGTTTATTTGAAAATGTGCAATCTTAAAAGTTACAAATAAACAAAAAAGTCAAGGACAATATAGGAAGATGGGGAAAGTTCCCATACAGGTCCCCGGGCAGATCCCCAACACCAATTTACAGGACTATGGGCCAGGCTCAGAGCCAAGAATGGAGGGATGAATAAAATCCAAGTTGTTTTGTTTTGTTTTTTGGAGACATGGTCTCACTGTCACCCATTGGATTGCAGTGGCATGATCATGGCTCACTGCAGCCTCAACCTCCTGGGCTCAAGCAATCCTCCTACCTCAGCCTCCCAAGTAGCTGGGACTAAAGGTGCACACCAGCATGCCCCACTGATTTTTTAACTTTTTTTTTGTAGAGATAAGGTCTCACTTTATTGCCCAGGCTGGTTTTGAATTCCTCGCCTCAAGCAATCCTCCTTCAGCATCCCAAAGTGCTGGTATTACAGGCATGAGCCACCTCCCCTGGCAAAATCCAGTTTTTTTTTCTTCAGGAGATAACAGTTTATTGTGAAGGGCAAGCAGAACACGTGGAAAAGGGGATACGGGAAAGAGAGTCATCAGAGGAGGTGGCAACCTAGCTTAATACACCCCTGGAGTGGCGTAAAATCTGAGAGGGGGAGAACAAGTTTTCTGAGGGTCTCTGTATAGGGGTCACTGGCCAACAAAACCTTTTCTTTTCTTTTCTTTTTTTTTTGAGATGGAGTCTCCCTCTGTTGCCCAGGCTGGAGTGCAGTGGTGCAATCTCAGCTCACTGCAAGCTGTGCCTCCCGGGTTCACGCCATTCTCCTGCCTCAGCCTCCCAAGTAGCTGGGACTACAGGCACCCACCACCTCGCCCGACTAATTTTTTGTATTTTTAGTAGAGACGGGGTTTCACAGTGTTAGCCAGGACAGTCTCGATCTCCTGACTTCATGGATCCACCCGCCTCGGCCTCCCAAAGTGCTGGGATTACAGGCGTGAGCCACCGCGCCTGGCCTCAACAAAGCCTTTTCTCAGAAAAGACAAAACTGGGTCACCACAAGGTGAAGATGGCCTTAACAGTGACAGAGAGACTGCTGGGCAGGCCCAAAGTTTAAGGCAGGGGCTGGTAGCCCTCCCCAGCCAATCTCTTCACCCATCCTGGTGCCCCACTTTCCTAACCCAAAGGCCCTGGCCTTGAGTTCCAGATCCCTGTTCTGCTTTCAGGAAAGAGCTCCACAGTAAATCTCTACCCCTGCTTGGGGCCCCAGGGTCCAGATATTTTTTCAAACAACACTTAATTCTCCTTAAATGCAACTAATCCACTTCCTATGAGTGCCTTGACCTAACAAGAGGCAGGCAAGACCAGTGAGGAACTAGAGACATTCAAGATCAGCAGGTTAAATATGTCCTCACAGTTCCCAGGCAGCGTTCCCCACAGCCCAGCTCATGATCCAGGACCCTACTGCTTCCAAAAGGAATAACAGAGACATCTGGAGATCATCTAATGCGCTTGGTTAAAGGAAAAAAGAGGCCATAAATTACTCAGAAGACCTTTCACAATGGCCTTAGAACAGTTGGAATACTGCCACAGAGAGGTTTGAAAGGAAACTTGGAGAACTTCTGGTCCAACCTTCCACCCAGCATGGAATCCCTTTTACTTCACAGTTTATGCCAAATTGATCCATCAGAGAGTGTGTTACTGTTTCTCCTAAGGAGAGGCCACACATGTGATTACAGTTAGTCTGCAAACTGAGACATTGGCACTGGAGACTGATGATCAAGAAAAAAGCAAAACAAAACAAAATGAACTTTGTTTCACACCCAGATCTTTCTTTGCTAAGGAAAATACTTTTCAAGTTTATTTTCCCAATGTTGGAATGTGAACTAAAGGGATCTGAAGCTTTTCTGGCTAGGGACAATCCTTCAACTTTAGGTAAAATGCAGCCACCTTAGATTGGGTTAGGTCCTAAAGGTAAAAAATGTGTATGCTCAATTTTAAGATCCCTTTAATTTCCCTAAAAGTAAGATATAGAGTCAGAGTTTCTTCCAGTATTTGAACCTAGTTCCATGTCCTGCTTGCCCTGTGTTGTTGTTGTTGTTGTTGTTGTTGTTGTTGTTGTTGTTGTTTTAGAGACAGAGTCTCACTCTGTCTCCCAGGCTGGAGTGCAGTGGCATGATCATAACTCACTACAGCCTCAAACTCCTGGACTCAAGCAACCCTCCTCCCTCAGCCTCCTAAGTAAGCTGGGACAACCAGCATGCACTACCATGCCCAGCTAATTTTTTAAAAAATTTTTTGTAGAAACTGGGTCTCACTATATTGCCCAGGCTGGTCTAGCACTCCTAGGCTCAAGTGATCCTCCCACCTCGGCTTCCCAAAGTGTTGGAATTACAGGCATGAGCCACCTTGCAGCCAATGTTGTATTTTTTAAAAAGAAGCAGGGCGTGGTGGCTCACACCTGTAATCTTGGCACTTTGGGAGGCTGAGTCAGGAAGATCGCATGAAACCAGGAATTCCAGACCAGCCTGAGCAACATAGCAAGACCTCCATCTCTACAAAACATAAAAAATAACCAGGCATGGTGGCATGCCCCTGTGGTCCCAGCAGCTCAGGAGGCTGAGGTGGAAGGATCACTTGAGCCCAGGAGGTTGAGGCTGCAGTAAGCCATGATTGTACCTTGCACTCCAGACTGGGCAAGAGAGTGAGACAAGAAAGAAAGAGAGAGGCTGGGTGCGGTGGCTTACCCCCTGTAATCCCACCACTTTGGGAGGCCGAGGCAGGCAGATCACCTGAGGTCAGGAGTTCGAGACCAGCCTGACCAACATGGAGAAACCCTGTCTCTACTAAAAACACAAAATTAGCCGGGTGTGGTGGTGGACGCCTGTAATCCTAGCTACTCGGGAGGCTGAGGCAGGAGAATCGCTTGAACCTAGGAGGTGGAGGTTGCAAGATTGTGGAGCCGAGATTGTGCCATTGCACTCCAGCCTGGGTAACGAGCAAAACTCTGTCTCAAAAAAAAAAAAAAAAAAAAAAGAAAGGAAGGAAGGAAGGGAGAGAAAGAGAGAGAGAGAGAGAAATTCATCTTGAAGCAATAGAGTCACACTCAGAGACAGGTACTTAGGTACTCTGAACCCATGGAATGGAGAGCCCATCCAGCAAAGGCAGGTGCCAGCCTCCTGGTGCATACCCTGGGGCATGAGCCTTGGAGAGCAATGGCAGACAGTACCACCTCACCAAGTTGCCTTTTTCCTCTCTCACTTATTCTAGTGCACATATATTTGGTTTTTCAAAAGCTAAATATGCCAATGATGTAATTCCAGACTGAAGTTTAAAGAGTTCCATTTTCATTAGTCCATTTTCTTGTTCTATTTTGTAAGGTCTCAGTAGGATTTGTACAATTGCATTATGATTGAGCATTACAAATAGAGTCTGCTTTCTAGGAGTGGACAGCAAGGTTGAAAGAGAAGAATCTAGGAGGTTAAACTGCCAAAGAACAATACAGAAAAATTTGCAAGCAAATACCATCGTGGTTTGTGATAAGAAGTGCTAAGGCTATTCCTAGAAGTGAAATCACTGCAAACTGGGGAGAACCTTGTGAGTGAATGGGCGGGAGGTGGGAGGTTAGGGCCTCAGATCAGACCAGCATGGCAGTGTTACGCTGCCACTTACTAGCTATGTGGCTTTCTAAGTCTCAGCTTCACTTCTCTTAAATGGAGATAATAATACTTACTTACCTCCTAAGGCTATTATGAAGGTTAAATAAGATAGTGTATGTAAGTGCCTGGCACATAGTGAGCACTCAGTAAATGCTGTCATTATTCTAAACAAGGCCTTAAAGCATGAGTCAAATTTAAACAAGCAGAGGGGTGGGGACAAGAAAGTAGAGACCAGGCTTTGTGGCCATCTGGAGTGAAGATAATGCGGAGGATGTAAAGCAGTGATGCACTGGCACGGGTTCTGATCCTGGTTCTCTTATTTCCTTGTGATCTGGGGCAAGTATGCTCTGTGCTTCAGTTACCTCATCTATTAAATGAAGATGACAATATGTAGTCAATTACCACATGGGATTAAATGAGATATTATATCTTAAATGTTCAGCACAATATCTTAAAACGCACACATAAGAAACTGGTGAGCCATGGGGGACTCTGGGGAAAAAGGTTAGGGAACAAGAATGGAAAGGAGACTTATTTTATGTACATCTCACTTCATGCCCTTTAATTTCTTTTAAATGTTTTACTGGGTTTCTTCAATTTCTTTCAAATGTTTTACCAATTCAAAAAAAATTTTTAATCTCAAAAAACATATGCCAAAAAAAAAAACACAAATAGAAATCCAAGCTGGACGCGGTGGCTCATGCCTGTAATCCCAGCACTTTGGGAGGCTGAGGCGGGTGGATCGCTCAAGGTCAGGAGTTTGAGACCAGCCTGGCCAACATGGTGAAACCCTGTCTCTACTAAAAATACAAAAAAATTAGCCAGGCATGGTGGTGGGGGCGCTGTAATCCCAGCTACTTGAGAGGCTGAGGCAGAAGAATTGCTTGAAACAGGGAGGCAGAGGTTGCAGTGAGCCGAGATGGCGCCACTGCACTCCAGCCTGAGAGACTGAGGGAGACTCCATCTCAAAAAAAAAAAAAAAAAAAAAGAGAGACATCAGTACAGAGCCTAGTACATATATGGCTACAGTATACTAATCTATCCCACATGGAATAAGACCACATTCTTTCTCACCCTGCTAAAAGAGTACAGAATAATTTATAATTTCAGTAGAAAGCCAAAATCTGCCAAAGCAATATTTTGAAAAATAAGATTTGCAAAGCAAATGCTGAAATCATGTTTAGCTTCTTAAGGAAACGAAGTTTTCAAATACTTAAAGTAGTTTTAGCAGCACCTATTTAGATAAGAACAATTAATTGTCCTCATTACAATTTTTTTCCTTAAGGCATTTGAGCAATCCCAGGAGGATTTCTACTTGTTTTCTCAGCTATTTAAGTATTAAGGAGTATGCTTTAAAATAATAAATTTATATTTACCTTTAAAATTATTGTCTAGTTTACATTTTAATTCAGATCAGATCTCTTTGAGACTATTCTGACTTACTGAGAGTTCATTGTAGTTGTATGCCTCAAAACAATTAACAAGTGTTTCTTCTCCCTACGTTGGACCTGAGCTTAGTTTGCTTTCCCTTCCTTCTTTCTTTTCTTCTTGTATATTCCTCCCCATTTCTTTCCCACACAAAATTTCCTATAAAAACACATTTGTGGATAAGCTTGCTATGTTCTTATCGGCAGCTCTGTGGTCTCCAAGCAAAGATGTCAATTCTAAAATGTTTCCCCAGAGACCCATGGATCAGAAGGTTGTTAAATCAGCCCTGAGGATCCCAGGCGCTGCCTTCCAGCCCTGGATCAGAGCCCTGTCCCTACTGGGTATTCACACTTACCTGGTTCCCCAGCACATACAACCTTTTGGAGGTCTGGGAGGGAATCACTGCCAGGAAGCAGCTGCAAGGACTCAGTTACTACAAGGCACCATAGCATATTGGGGAATCTTCCTACGTTCAACTGATATTTTACTTTTAAAAAATCTGATCATTTTACATTCTGTGTTAAATGATCATCAGCGGGCCTTGCCTTTTTTCATATAAACTCAACCTATGACTCTTTCCTCCTACTACAGGAAACCTATTGTGTGGCAAATATGCCAACACTGCTTCAATCTCAGAGTAAAATTACAAGAAAAAAAGAGGAAACACCCTAAGCCTAAACCACATGCTTGAGGTTTCATTTTAAAATAGGCAGATCCTATTCTAATTTTTCTCCAAGTCACGTGCAATATTTTTCTAGAAGTACATTTTGCTTTTTACTTTTCAGGTTGGAGATTGTTTTTCCATCTGGCTTTTCTGCTTTCAACTCAGTTACAAAACTGTAGTCAACATTTTCACAGGTTGTCAATGGAAACCTGATTATGGCTCCTCATCCAAGAAGAAAAAATAAAATTGAGTTGAATAGAGGACAAGATAGTACAGAAAATGCATTCAGATTTATCAGACTTTCCCAACTTCCTGCTGTTTGCTTTACAAAACAGAGCAAATCTCACATTCCTCCCGTTTAGTCCCAAAACACTTCTAGGGAAATTCTGTCACATGACAGCCAAGGATACCCAAATTTAGAGCCCTGCATGCTGAATGGGGACACATGATCACTTTAAAAAGAATGAGACTGGGAGCTATTATTTCTTCCAGATGGATATGAAGTCATTTTCAAAGAAATAAAGGCATTGATTTATTTGGGATCTTATCAACAGCAGTTCAAAGTGTGCAGTATCAAGGAGAAGGAAGAGGCTTAGTCTTCTAGGAAATGATGATGGACTCGGTATGGGAATTGAGACGATTTTCTACATAGCCGTGAATTAATGAAACTTAAGCTTAGGTGGGGGGCCTCACTTGCACAGGCCCCCGCTAGTGCTGGGGGTTAGTTGCTGGTAGGAAAGGGATAGCAGGTTACAATCAGGAACTGTTTCTCTGTAAGCATTTCTGGTAAAGTACTTAATCTCAGAAGAAAAGGATGTAGATCTCTGTGGCTCCAGTCATTTGTTGTGATTTATTTCCTCTTTCCATATATTTATTTTCATACCATCTTTTATGTTCAGAACTGTATGTTCTTTTCCTTAAAGAGAGCGCCTAAAATTGTATAAGCTTCAGGCCTCACATAAAATCTGGCTCCACCATTATTTAAGAATGAATAATTTTAATTTCAATTTATTGCCTACTCTCAGGTCCTCATTTCCTTAATTGGTGGCTCCCATATTACATTAAAACATTTCCTTCATTCAGCCAAGCTATGGATTGAACATTTAGAGGTGTGTGTGTGTGTGTATGTGTGTGTGTGTGTTGGCAGGGAATCAGTGATATTAGGGCTTTGAAGGGAGGGCTTTCTCTTTCTACTAGAAAATAGACTGTTATATTTTTTCCTTACTAAAACATTGACATGTCCTAAACTGGCAGTATGTTTGTGGTTCTTCAAAGTTATGGACACAGACCGATACTTCAAAGAAACCACCACCTCTACCCACCCTGTCCCAGGAATTTGCCAGACCAAGAGATGCTGTTAGAAAGAGCTTGTCACTGAATCTCCTCTAAGGATATAGTTGAGCACGTTACTCAACATTTCACCCTGTCTTTTTCCCAGGGGCTCTCCAAAGAATTTTTCTAGTCTTCGTTCCAGGAATGATTGTACTTCTTTTGGGCCACTGGCCTTTTAATCTTATCAACTATGTGAATTGTATAACCAGCCACAGTTCTCACTTTGAATTGTTTGTTAGTAAGCCCAAAGTTAAATCTGCAGCCAGGTCATGCCTAGTAATTATGGTGTGTTTTTGTAGTCACATTCCTGACTCCATTTTATTCCTTTATTTCTAATTATTATTCTTGATATGTTGTTACATTTTATATATCCTTTCCTGAGAGAGTAGGGATATGATTTAATAAACCATTCATAAAGGCTTTCTGGTTATAGTTTTATCATGGGTATCTGGATTTGTAGCAAAAAATCTTTGCATACCACACCAAAAAAAAAAAAAAGATTTTGAAAGAAGGTGACTGCCTGAGGTCAGGAGTTCGAGACCAGCTTGGCCAACATGGTGAAATCCCATCTCTACCAAAAATACAAACATTAGCCAGGCGTCGTGGCAGGTGCCTGTAAACCCAGCTACTCAGGAGCCTGAAAGCAGGAGAATCACTTGAACCTGGGAGGCAGAGGTTGCAGTGAGCTAAGATTGTGCCACTGCACTCCAGCCTGGGTGACAAAGTAAGACTTCGTCTCAGAAAAAAAAAATAAAGAAAGAAAGAAGGTGACTGTGACCTGATGTTATCTGCCTGTTCCTTCCCACTTGCCTTGTTCACACTCATACTTCTGCCTGCTCACTGGGAGTGTCAAGTGTGCCAGCATTTTGTCACTAACCTCAGAGAATATTAATGATGACAACTGCTTCTAACCCATCTTTGCCACACTCAGAATCTACGCTCCCTGTATCTCTCCCCACCCTCATTTCTAATAAAGCCCTGATGCTCTAAGGGCACCTGCAGGATCCCAGTTGCACGTAGGATATCAATCCCGTGTACCCAGGTTCAAGTGGATACAAATGAAGTTTCAGGGAAGGTTCTCAAGTCTGGAAGAGTGTGAAGGCACTCTGGCCCTACAAGTGGCATCTCAAGTAATTCAGACAGGAAAGAGATTCTGACCGTGGGAGGGGGAGGCTCAAACCCCCTGGATGTGCTTCAAGACTTGAGCTATGTTTGTGGGCACAGAAGACCTCCTGGAAGAAGCAGGCAAGGACAGACGTTAGGGTGGGGAAAGCAGTGGCCTAGCAGAGGAATGAGTCACTGGGTTAACCTGGGTCAAGCCAGTCTTCCTCTGGAGGGTCCAACCTCACTAGCCCCCATCTCAAACTTCTCCCTTAGTCAAGATTTCAGATTCAAGTCAGAGTGAGAACAGTCTCACCATGACCCCTGAATTTCTCGTTCTAATGTCCTTTTGCCCTGTGCCCCTATCACATAAGTGTTCAGCCCCCAAACGCCTTTCAGAGCATCCTGTACTCACTCCAGCTGCACTCTCCTAGAAGCCTTCTCATTGATACCGCTGATCCACTTTGTTTATTTCTTTTATTTATTTATTTATTTTGAGACGGAGTCTGGCTCTGTCGCCCAGGTTGGAGTGCAGTGGCGCGATCTCGGCTCACTGCAAGCTTCACCTCCCAGGTTCACGCCATTCTCCTGCCTCAGCCTCCCGAGTAGCTGGGACGACAGGCGTCCGCCACCATGCCTGGCTAATTTTTTGTATTTTTAGTAGAGATGGGGTTTCACCGTGTTAGCCAGGATGGTCTGGATCTCCTGACCTCGTGATCCACCCGCCTCAGCCTCCCAAAGTGCTGGGATTACAGGCGTGAGCCACCGCGCCCGGCCCTCTTTGTTTATTTCAATCAGCGTTCCCTTTCTCGGATTTTTTTCTCCTGTTTTCCAAAAGAGGAGGCAGGTTGGCTGTGGGTAAATTTGAGATTCTGCATAAACCAGAATGATCTAAGTGTTTTATTTCCACCCACAAATTGAGATTACTACTACTACATTATATCACCTAAGAAAGAAAAGTCAACATCCAAAAAAGTACTTTAAGGCTGGGCACAGTGGCTCATGCCTGTAATCTCAGCACTTTGGGAGGCTGAGGTAAGCGGATCACTGGAGGTCAGGAGTTTGAAACCAGCCTGGCCAACATGGTGAAACCCCGTCTGTGCTAAAAATACAAAAATTAGCTGGGCATGGTGGCGGGTGCTTGTAATCCCAGCTACTCGGGAGGCTGAGGCATGAGAATTGCTTGAACCTGAGAGGCGGAGAGGTTGCAGTGAGCTGAGATTGCACCACTGCACTCTAGCCTGGGCAATAGAGGGAGACTCAGTCTCAAAGAAAAAAAAAATACTTTTAAGACTCAGATGGAAGGAGATAGTGAACTGGCACATTAGAGATTAATACACTGAATCTGCCTGGTAGAATGTAAGCTCCATAGGGGTTGGGGGGTTTTCTATTTTATTAACTGCTATGTCCCCAAAAGCTGGCCCATCATAGGTGTTCAGTAAAGGTTTGTTGCTGTGTTAATTTTTGGTACAAATGGGTCTGTATTCATGATTTAAACTGAACGTCTTTGTCCTTTCAAGCTGCTATAACAAAATACTATAGATGGAGTCATTTATAAAAAACAGAAATTTATTTATCACAGTTCTGAAGGCTGTAGAGTCCAAAATCAAGGCACCAGCAGATTCAGTGTTTGGATGAGGGCGCCCTCTCATTCCGTCCTCACATGGAGAAAGGGTAAGGCAGTTAGCTCTCTGGTGCCCCTTTTATGAGGGCACTAATCCCATAAGGGCAGAGCCTTCATGACCTAATCACCTTCCAATCATCTTGTAGTACCATCTTCTTGGGAGTTAGGATTTCAGCATAGGAATTTGGCAGAAACACATTCAGATCATAGCACTGAACAAAGTCTCATGGTAGCTGAGGCTTTCTTTCTCCATCTCTCATGCCCCTAGAAGACACATCATGTTGGCTTGCAGTTTTTAGAGGAAGAGAAGGAGGAGGAAAAAAGAAAGGAAGTCTAGTCATTTAGATTTCCTCATTTATATATGCACATCACAGGCCGGGGGAGGTGGCTCACGCCTGTAATCCCAGCACTTTGGGAGGCCGAGGTGGGTGGATCACGAGGTCAGGAGACTGAGACCATCCTGGCTAACACAGTGAAACCCCATCTCTACTAAAAATACAAAAAATTAGCCAGGTGTGGTGGCGGGTGCCTGTAGTCCCAGCTACTCGGGAGGCTGAGGCAGGAGAATTGCTTGAACCCAGGAGGCGGAGGTTGCAGTGAGCCGAGATGGCACTACTACACTCCAGCCTGGGCAACAGAGCGAGACTCCATCTCAAAAATAAAATAAAATAATAATATATGCACATCATTTTTACACACCTGTGCTTAGTGAAAATGGTGAACGCCACAACTGAGGTTGCAGACATCAAGTTATGGCTATGGCAGACACCATTTTTTACCTCCCACATTCATTCATTCTCCCACATTTTTTTTTTTTTTTGAGATGGAGTCTTGCTCTGTTGCCCAGGCTGGAGTGCAGTGCAGGAGCTCAGCTCACTCCAACCTCCGCCTCCCGGGTTGAAGCGGTTCTCCTGCCTCAGCCTCCTGAGTAGCTGGGACTACAGGAACATGCTGCACACCCAGCTAATTTTTGTATTTTTCATAGAGACAGGGTTTCACCATATTGGCCAGGCTGGTCTCAAACTCCTGACCTCAGGTGATCCACCTGCCTCAGCCTCCCAAAGTGCATTACAAGTGTGAGCCACCACATCCATCCCCCCACATTTTTCTTTGCTAGCAAAATCCCAGTTTCGTTCAAGAATTAGATAACTCTGTGTGTTTCTGAAATATTGGGCCCTTTACCTTTTTTTTTTTTTTTTTGAAATGGAATCTCACTCTGTTGTCCAGGCTGGAGTGCAATGCCACGATGTTGGCTCACTGCAACCCCCACCTCCCAGGCTCAAGCAATTCTCCTGCCTCAGCCTACCAAGTAGCTGGGATTACAGGCACGTGCCTCCATGCCCAGCTAATTTTTGTATTTTTAGTAGACACGGGGTTTCACCATGTTGGCCAGGCTGGTCTTGAACTCCTGATCTCAGGTGATCTACCTGCCTTGGCCTCCCAAAGTGCTGGGATTACAGGCGTGAGCCACTGGGCCTGGCCCCCTTTTCTATCTAGGGATGAATTCTGATTAGTCTAGGCCTTATCATGGTATTCTAGTCCCCTTACTAAGGCTAGAAGAGGTATGGGAACTAACTCAGAAAGGAGGTCTGTAGGGAACTTCTGGAATAATTTTCATCACATCACGTTACAATGGAACACGAAGAAAAGGACAGGCCTCTTCCCCTCTTCCACTCTTAGGTCATGATGAACTACCACAGCCACACTGAGGACATGGGATGTGAACCTAAGAACAAGCTGCAAATGGCAGAGCGGAAGAGTGGAGAGAACCTGTGTCCTTGATCTCATCTTTGAGCTGTTGAATTAAGCAGCTCCAGAATCCCCTCTCTTCTAAAATTGTAATGAGGGGTATTATAAATTTTTAAATTTAAACTACATTTAGTCATGTTTTCTTTTACTTGCATCAAAGCATATCCATTGGTACAAAGGCATGGGAACCAAAAAGCACAATACTCAATACTCGCCCTGGTGAGAAGAGCTAAGCAAATGCATCTTGGGAACAATCAAAGTTCCCAGCAAGGCCAAGTAGCACCAACCTAAGTTTCATAAATACCACTCTTGACAATTTACCATTTTCATTATGATTCATTTGCCCAAATTTAAACACGTTATCCAGTCATTTCCCTTAAGTAATTTTATACTCACAACCTTTTTTTTTTCTTTTTGGCAGCTGATTGTACTCTAGAACAGAGGTCAACAAACTGTTTCTATAAAGGACAGATAATAAATATTTCAAGCTTTATAGGTTTCTGTCCCAACTACTTAACTCTGTCACTACAACACAAAAGTAACCATAGAAAATACATAAATGGGCTGGGCACGGTGGCTCATGCCTGTAGTCCCAGCACTTTGGGAGGCTGAGGCAGGTGGATCACCTGAGGTTAGGAGTTCGAGACCAGCCTGGTCAACATGACGAAACCCCGTCTCTACTAAAAATATGAAAATTAGCCGGGTGTGGTGGCATGTGTTTATAATCCCAGCTACTCAGGAGACTGAGGCAGGAGAATCACTTGAATCCAGGAGGCAGAGGTGCAGAGATTGTGCCACTGCACTCCAGCCTGGGTGACAGAGTGAGATTCTGTCTCAAAAAAAAAAAAAAAAAAAAAGAAAAAATACATAAATGAAGGAATGTGGTTATGCTCCAATCAAATTTTATTTATAAATACTGAAATTTGAATTTCATATCAATTTTATGTGTCACAAAATATTACTTTTTATCATTTTCAATAATTTTAAAATAAACACAAATGAGTACCTGTAAAATTGAGGCTGTCTGAATAAGATTTGGGTTTATATAACTGTCAATTTCCTGGATTACAGGCAGGTGCCACAACGCCTGTCTAATTTTTGTATTTTTAGTAGAGACGGGGTTTCCCCATGTTAGGCAGGCTGGTCTCAAACTCCTGACTTCAGGTGATCTGCCCACCTCGGCCTCCCAAAGTGCTGGGATTACAGGTGTGAGCCACTGCGCCTGGCAGGTTGTGTATTATATTGTATAATTTTATAAGATGTTACCGTTGGGGAAAACTGAGTAAAGAGCACATGGGATCTCTCTGTATTACTTCTTTTTTATTGTGGTAAAATATACGTAACATAAAATTTATCATTTTAACATTTTTTTAAATTTATAATCCACTGGCAGTAAATACATTCACATTATTATGCAACCATCACCACCATCCATTTTCAGAACTTTTACATCACCTCAAAATAAAACTCTGTATCCATTAAATAATATCTCCTCAATTTTCCCTCCCACAGCCCCTTTTCAGTCTCTGTGAATTTGACTACTCTAGGCACGTCCTATAAGTAGAATCACACAATATTTGTCCTTTTGTATCAGGTTTATTTCACTTAGCTTAATGTATTCAAGATTCATCCATGCTGTAATATGTATCAGAATTTCATTCTCTTTAAGGCTGAATAATATCCCATTGTATGTATATACCACATTTTGTTTTTCCATTTATCCATTGATGGACATTTAAACTGTTTCCACTTTTTGGCTATTGTGAATAATGCTGTCATAAACATTGCTGTATAAATATCTGTTCAAGTCCCTGCTTTCCTTTTTTTTTTTGAGATGGAGTCTTGCTTTGTCACCCAGACTGGAGTGCAGTGGCGCGATCTTAACTCACTACAACCTCCTCCTCCCAGAATCAAGGGATTCTCCTGCTCCCGAGTAGCTGGGATTACAGGTGCCTGCCACCACGCCCAGCTAATTTTTGTATTTTTAGTAGAGATTGGGGTTTCATCATGTCGGCCAGGCTGGTCTCGAACTCCTGACCTCAGGTGATCTGCCCGCCTCGACCTCCCAAAGTGCTGGGATTACAGGTGTGAGCCACCACGCCCGGCTCAAGTCCCTACTTTCAATTCTTTTGGATAGAAGTGGAATTGCTGGATCATATGGCAATTCTGTGTTTAATTTTTGGAGGAAATGTGATACTGTTTTCCAGAGCAGCTGCACCATTTTACATACTCCAGCAGGGCACAAGCGTTCCCACTTCTTCACATCCTCATCAACATTTGTTATTTTTGGTGACAGCCACCCTAATGGATGTGAAGTGGTTTTGATTTGCATTTCTCTAATGATTATTTGTCTTTATCATCTCTTCATTTGTTTATTGGCCATTAATGTATCTTCTTTGGAGAACTGTCTATTCAAGTCCTTTAACCATATTTTAATAGGGTTGTTTGACTTTCGTTTTTGATTTATAAGTATTCTTCATATATTCTGGATATTAACTCCTTATTGGATTACCATTTGCAAATATTTTCTCCCATTCTGTGAATTGCCTTTTCACTCTGTTGATAGTGTCCTTTGATGCACAAAAATTTTTAATTTTGATGAAGTATATTTTATCTGTTTTTTTTCTGTAATGTATCTTCTATAAGTTCAAGTGAATTTAGAATTACCTCAAATTTAAAAGGTTTTTTTTTTTTTTTTTTTTTTTTGAGACAGAGTTTCGCTTTTGTTGCCCAGGCTGGAGTGCAATGGCTCAATCTTGGCTCACTGCAACCTCCGCCTCCTGGGTTCAAGCGATTCTCCTGCCTCAGCCTCCCGAGTAGCTGGGATTACAAGCATGGGCCACCATGCCTGGCTAATTTTTTTGTATTTTTAGTAGAGATGGGGTTTCTCCATGTTGGTCAGGCTGGTCTCGAACTCCCGACCTCAGGTGATCCACCCACCTCAGCCTCCCAAAGTGCTGGGATTACAGGTGTGAGCCACCACGCCTGGCCTCAAATTTAAAAGTTTAATCAAACAAAATGTAAGCAACATTCTTAGTTCATGGGTCATACAAAACAAGTGCCATTTGGCCCACAAGTCATAGTCTGTGAGCTGCTTCTGTGGAATAGAAAAAGGAATCGTTGCAACCATCTCCTTATCCAATCTCTCACTCTGCTCTTAACCCAATACCTCTGGGACTCAAGAAATTAAAATACCTCCACCACATTTATTGCTATATAAGTGAGTATATGTATGCACATGGTTCCATCTTACATGTTCCAAAAATCAAAGGACTCACCAAAAACAGGAGCTACAATTCCACATTTGATTTTAAGAAACCAACACCCCAGGTTTTCAAATGCCCCTTAAGAGCTTTGCTTGTAACAAATATTTTTGCTTTTTGTTGCATTGTGGCAGAGGATTTTAGGATCAGCACCTTTGCAGTCAACTACCCAACCTCTCTCCTCTCCTGGGAATCCTTCTTCCACACCCTTACACAAATTGTCAACAGCATGGCCTCCCGTCACCTCCCAAGCCAGCCTCTTCCAATGCTTACAAGCTGTAACTATTAGAAAGTCCTGATACCGGGACGTGTGTGGTGGCTCACACCTGTAATCCCAGCACTTTGGGAGGCCAAGGCTGGTTGGTCACTTGACGTCAGGAGTTCAAGACCAGTTTGGCCAACATGGTGAAACCCCATCTCTAGGAAAAATAAAAAAATCAGCCAGGTGTGGTGGCATGCCTTTTGTCTGTAATCCCAGCTACTCGGGGGGCTGAGGCAGGAGAATCACTTGAACCTGGGAGGCGCATGTTGCAGTGAGCCGAGATTGTGCCACTGCACTTTAGTCTGGGCAACAGAGCAAGACCCCAAGGGAATGGAAGGGGAGGGGAGGGGAGAAAGGAAGAAAGGAAAGAAAGTCCTGATTTTTTTTATGGTATTTAATTTCCTTTAATATCACATAAATTCTTTTTTATATATGGAGTATTTTATAATCTGTATTTGAAAAGAAGTGATTCATTATTCTTGATTCTACTAGAAATATTATTATATAAAAGACATCAGTGAGGCCGGGCATGGTGGCTCACTCCTGTAATCCCAGCACTTTGGGAGGCTGAGGTGGGCAGATCACAAGGTCAGGAGATCGAGACCATCCTGGCTAACACGGTGAAACCCCGTCTCTACTAAAAATACAAAAAATTAGCCAGGCGTGGTGGTGGGCGCCTGTAGTCCCAGCTACTCGGGAGGCTGAGGCAGGAGAATGGCATGAACCCAGGAGGTGGAGCTTGCAGTGAGCCGAGATGGCGCCACTGCACTCCAGCCTGGGCGACAGAGAGATACTCCATCTCAAAAAAAAAAAAGCCATCAGTGCAAACCTTCCTAGGGGTATTTGGGGCATTAAAAGAGAGCATCTCTAAGGTTACAGCCCTATCCCAAGCCCCATCAGGAATTCTCCCAGACAACTCAATGACCTCCCTGGGCATACTTGCCTCCCTCCAGTCCACTCTCCACACTGCAACCAGGTTGATCATTTAAAAAGGTACATCTGATTATGTCACCCTCTTGCCTAAATCATTTTAATGGTTTCTCATCATTCTCAGAATAGAAACCAAAATCCCTACCACAGCCCACAAAGCCCAGCCTGCAGCCTCATCTCGTTGCCTCCCCATAAGCTTCCATCTACGACAATGCCTTGTCTCCTCACCTCCTCAGAGTTGTCACTCTCCTGCAGGTGGTCCTCTCTGCCTGAATGCTCTGTACCTACCTCATACCGTTCCCTGCTCACTTCTCTTGAGTAAATACCTAGGAGTGAGATTGTTATGTTACATGCTTTGTGTATGCTTAACTTTGTAAGAAACTGCTGTCAATCAAGAAAAATGACGAGACAAGTCTCAATCATTTTAGGAGGTTTATTTTGCCAAAGTTAAGGCTGCACACCTGGGAGACAGGTCTATGCCTTTCTCTGAAGATGATTTTGAGGGCTCCAAATTTAAAGGGGAAAGGGCAGGATATTGAGATGTATACAATTTTCATGTAAGAGCAGGGTAAGGAAAAATAGCCATTCATGCCTTTGTCTGGCTCAGTGAATCTGCGGTTTTTACATAAGATGACATAGACAAATGGGGCAGAGGAAAAAATGCAGGGAATCTGCTTTTTTTTTTTTTTTAGACAGAGTCTCGCACTGTCGCTCAGGCTGGAGTGCAATGGCACGATCTCGGCTCACTGCAACCTCTGCCTCCCAGGTTCAAGCAGTTCTCCTGCCTCAACCTCCCAAATAGCTGGGATTAGAGGCGCCTGCCACCACGCCCAGCTAACTTTTTGTATTTTTAGTAAAGGCGCGATTTCACTATGTTGGCCAAGCTGGTCTCAAACTCCTGACCTCGTGATCCGCCAGCCTCCGCCTTCCAAAGTGATGGGATTACAGGTGTGAGCCATCACGCCCGGCTGGGAATCTGCATTTTCCATAAGATAACATAGACGAAAATGGGCCAGGAGAACAATCTGATATGCATTTGTGTCTGGTGGGCCAGGGGTGACAGCATCCATAAAGATAAGGATCAGTTTACATTGCCATGGTGAAATTTTAACAGAAACACCTTAGAAGATCTTGCAGCTCACAAGGAATTTCCTTGTGGGCAAAATATGGGGGAAGCTTGTAGCTTTTCATCTTGTAGCCATCTTATTTAGGAACCAAAAATGGGGAAGCAGGTTTGTGTGACCCAGTTCCCAGCTTGACTTTTCCCTTTGGCTTAATGAGTTTGGGATCCCAAGATTTAATTTCCTTTCACACTGCCAAATTGTTTTCCAGAGTGGCTGTACTATTTTGCATTCCCGTCAGCAATGTAAGAAAATTCTTAAAAATATCAAGTGCTCCAAATCCTTGCTAGCACTTGATATTGGTAGTTTCATTGTATGCTACATTTTTTTTTTTAGACGGAGTTTTGCTCTTGTTGTCCAGGCTGGAGTGCAATGGTGTGATCTTGGCTCACCGCAACCTCCGCCTCCCAGGTTCAAGCGATTCTCCTGCCTCAGCCTCCAGAGTAGCTGAGATTACAGGCATGTGCCGTCACGCCTGGCTAATTTTGTATTTTTAGTAGAGACGGGGTTTCTCCATGTTGGTCAGGCTTGTCTTGAACTCCTGACCTCAGATGATCTGCCCACCTCGGCCTCCCAAAGTGCTGGGATTACAAGCGTGAGCCACTGTGCCCAGCCTGTATGCTATATTTTTAACAAAGCACAGAGTAAGTGCTATCCGATTATGAGGTTCCGCTAAAGGGAATAGAAGATGAGTAACTCCTTTGAACCCATTTCAGTGAGAGCTCTCTGGTCGAAGTTATCTCCCACTCTCCCTCCAGCCTTCATAGTAATAACCTTTAGCCAAGCTGCTATGAAAGCACAAGAGATTTAATGGGCTTAACCACAGAGACTGTTTTTCAGACTGAATTGATAAAAGTACAGCAGCTTCAAAGTCTTACCTTACTATCTCTACCCAGCTCAGTCTTACTCCTGACCACGACTTCGACTTCGCTGTTGGAATCAAAGTGGTGAGTGTGAAGGTCACATGTGTAAAAATGTTACAAAGGGCATAGTCACAGAGGGCTTGAAGACTTCCGGGAGCGAAAATACTTTTGAAGGTTGGTTAACATATTTTCCAGATCAACTGAGAGTTTAACTCTTCAGAAGACTACAAGTGGATTCTTTTTTCTTTCCCTTAACACAGAACCTACATGTTGGTAAGCACTTGTAGACATGGGTACCTTTGACAACTGTAGCTTCCAATAAAGCGTGCAAGGGTGCTAATATCACACCAATTAAAAGGCTGACATGCAAATTGCTAGAAGTGTTTTACAGTTTGTTTTTCATTGTATCAGAATACCCCAGTGAGAATGTTTTTGACTAATACAGTAATAAAAGGCTGGCTCTGGAGCTACCCTTTGCTAAGGTAACATATTAATGAGTCACCAGAAGCTATAAATAGAACTCAACATGAACTTCTGTCCACAATTACACCACTATTCCCACAAAGAGAGATGTTACTAATGATGGAACACGGCCTGCTAGCCACTATTACAACCAAGGCGGGTGAGGACACGGGGAACCACAGCCTTGTGGGAAATGTGCACTGTGCTACGAGTTGCTGAGATGTCATTACAGTGTGTGCTTTCCCTTACGGCCTGTGAGGCAGTTTTATTGTTTTCCTTAAGGATCATCAATGTGTATGCCAGCCAAGTTTGTCAAATTCTCTCTCTCTCTCTCTCTCTCTCTCTCTCTCGTTAAATTCCAGACAATAATTGCCTTGAGTCAGTAATTTATAGGAGAGCTCCATAACCATTTACTGGATGGATATAACACTCTGGAATTTTTTTTTTTTTTTTTTTGAGACGGAGTCTAGCTCTGTCACCCAGGCTGGAGTGCAGTGACACGCTCTCTGCTCACTGCAAGCTCCGCCTCCCGGGTTCACACCATTCTCCTGCCTCAGCCTCCTGGGTAGCTAGGATTACAGGCACCCACCACCAGGCCCGGCTAGTTTTTTTTATTTTTAGTAGAGACGGGGTTTCATTGTGTTAGCCAGGATGGTCTCAATCTCCTGACCTCGTGATCCGTCCGCCTCGGCCTCCCAAAGTGCTGGGATTATAGGCGTGAGCCACCGCGCCTGGCCAATTTTTTTTAAGACTCAGGGTCTCACTCTGTGGCCTAGCCTGGGGTAGAATGGTGCAATCATGGCTCACCACAGCCTCAAACACCTGGGCTCAAATGATCCTACCACTTCAGCCTCCTAAGTAGCTGGGACTACAGGTGCACAACCCACATGCAATAATTTTTATTTAGTTAGTTAGTTATTTGAGACAGAGTCTTGTTCTGTCGCCAGGCTGGAGTGCAGTGGCGCGATCTCGGCTCCCTGCAACCTCTGCCTCCTGGGTTCAAGCGATTCTCCTCCCTCAGCCTCCGGAGTAGCTGGGATTACAGGCACCCGCACCATGCCCGGCTAATTTTTTGTATTTTAGTAGAGATGGGGTTTCACCTTGTTGGCCAGGATGGTCTTGATCTCCTGACCTTGTGATCCGCCCGCCTTGGCATCCCAAAGTGCTGGGATTACAGGCGTGAGCCACTGCGCCCAACCTATTTTTTAGCTTTTTAGAGACAAGTTCTCACTATGTTGCCCAGGCTGGTCTCAAACTCCTGGCCGCAAGCCATCCTCCTTCTTTGGCCTCCCAAAGTGCTGGGATTATAGGCACAGGCTACCACACCTGGCAATACTCCAGAATTTTGATCAGTTATATACACAGGTCAATATATTCAAGCCAATTTCCTTCAAAATATCCATTTAAATGTTCCCCCTATCAAAAGATATCTCTGCCAACAGCCCTACTATGTTTCCTCACACCTTGCTGAGCTCATTTCTTCAGGCAATAATGAGGAGAGAATAAAATGTCACCTGGAAACTGAGAAAGGGCAAACATGTCAAGACCCTGCTATTCACCACACCTTAGGTCTAGTTTCACACCAACTCTAGAGGGAGGATAGGAGACAGAAAAAGTAATGTTGAGAAAACAGAAGTGGTCAGAAATGGTCCAGTACACAAAGTCCTACTAGAGTAGAGAGCCAGAGCTCTCTACTGTGGAAATCTGTAGACTCCAGGTTCTCGGGGGAGACGTTGAGAAAGAGAAATAAAGAGACAGTAAACAAATCATCTTCCCTGCGAGTTTGCCTGGTGGTCTCTCATTTCCCATGGCCAAGTCCTCAGTAAATGCTTCCAGTACCTGAGTCAGTCTGAGAAATCGAGGGAGGGTAGGAAAGGAAAGTTATATGTGGTAGGCAGTAACTTTCTCTTCTTACTCACGTTCGAATGCAATCTAGGCAGATGGCAGAACGTTCAAATCAATGATCTCTTCTTCACAAGTTCAGGTCAGAATTATAAGCTCTCTGTGGTCCCACCCCCGGTTCCCTCATCTCTTCTTTCCTCCCCCCAGCATCATACACAGTACCCTTCTTCTCCAGGACCCTCCCTCCATCTCTGTTTTATTTTAACTAGAGTACTGTCTGCTTTTCTGCCCTTTCATGATTCAAGTCATGAAACCTAATGCGAAAAGGCAAGATGACCAAGCAAATGGAAAAGACAAACGTCTAAAATTCTGCAACAATGAGATGAATCTATCTGAAGAGGCTTCCATTCCAGAGGGCAAGAAAAGGGAAGAGAAAATACTCCCCGTAGATGCTAGGTCCTCTGGAGGTAGTAATAAGGAGCCCAAACTATGTCTTCCTCATAGTCTAAGACTCAGTCCTACCTGAGATGCACGGGGCTTGGGATGATGCCTGTCTTTCAGAAGCACTCCCCACACCCCACTGTGGTGCCAGCTTAGGAAATTCCACGGGGACAGGGCTCAACTCTGAGCTCCAACTCCCAACCACCTTCTCCCTTTGGCTTATTCCCTCATCCTCAAAGTGGCTAGGCATACACAAAACCCGGAAGAAGAAAGTGTTCGGGTATAAGGATCCCCTGGTTTGACAGATGGCTCAAAGTTCAAGTGGCACAGAAAAGACAAAAACAGGAAGTATAAGGACATAGGGGTGTCTATAGCAGCAGAGGCTGAAGGAAGACTAGAATGGAGAATGGATACACATAGAGAACAGGGGGTACTCTCTGACTCTGTGCCTCTGCTTTAGTCTTTAAAGACAAAGAAACTTCCAGAACCAAGGTATTGACTATCATCATCCTATGCTCTTTCTATATCACAACTCTGTCTCGTAAGGATGTCTGGCTAGTTTTTCTCATATCTGCAAGCCTGGCCATACTCTAACACGGTCAGGGTTATTAATATAAGGTCTTCTATGGTGTAACTTGTGCCAATGAATGAGATTGGATCTATTTCGATGCTGCAATAACCAGTTGTATATCTATTGGTAAATAGTAAAAACCCCAGAGAGATGCAAATTGATAGCCAGTCAATCCCAAGCACTCAAAATTATTCTGTAGACTGTCTCAACAGACTCTAGGACTAGTCTAGCCTTGCTAATCCTCTGGTAAGAAGGATCTCACCCACGCTACTCCACTCAGAGAAATTGGATCCAGACCTATGCTGAGCCCTCAGAGCTCTGGTTAGACCACAGCAGAGATGATGACCTCAGAACTCTGGGTCCATGTGAGCCAGGAGCAATCTCCAAGATAGCACAAAAGCTACAGGCTTACCTGCTAACTATCAACAATTTTTTAAGATTCCTCAAACTTTCTAAAGAGAATTCAGTTTGTTACAGATTCACAAGGAGAAGATTGGACCAAGACCCAGAGGCTGAGATCAGTATAGAGATCTTTTAAAATTAGCCGGGTGTAGTGGCGGGTGCCTATAATCCCAGCTACCTGGGAGGCTGAGACAGGAGAATCTCTTGAACCCAGGAGGCAGAGGTTACAATGAGCTGAGATTGCACCATTGCACTCCAGCCTGGGCAGCAAGAGCAAAACTTCATCTCAAAATAAATAAATAAATAAAGATCTTTTAACATAAAGTCCAGCCAGGTACAACCTTCCAAGATCAGATCTTCCAAATATCAGAATGACCTGGGAGCACATTTTTTTAGGTTTTTTAAAAATTGAGATAAAATGTATATGACATAAAATTAACCATTAACCATTTTAAAGCATACAATTCAGTGGCATTTAGTACATACACAATGTTGTGCAATCATTACCTCTAACTATTTCCAAGAAGTTTCACCACTCGCAAGGACATTCCTTACCCATTAAAAAATCACACTTGGGCTATGGCTCATGCCTGTAATCTCAGCATTTTGGGAGGCTGAGGCAGGCAAATCCCTTGAGGCCAGGAGTTCAAGACCAGCCTGGCCAACATGGCGAAACCCCATCTCTACTAAAAATACAAAAATTATCTGGGTGCAGTGGTGTACACCTGTAATCCCAGCTACTCGGGAGGCTGAGGCATAAGAATCACTTGAACCAGGGGGACAGAGGTTGCAGTGAGCCGAGATTGCACCACTACACTCCAGCCTGGGCAACAGAGCAAGACTCTGGTCTCCAAAAAACAAAGAAATTACACTAGAGGAGCATTTTTAAAGTATATATTCCAAGGCCCCATACTGAAGAAATTGCAAATCCATGGGAAGGGGAATATTTTTCAAAACTTCTCAGGTATCTCACTTTTAGGTATTTACCTAAGATAAGTGGAAACATGTTCCTACAATGAACTATATACATGAATAGTTATAATATTTTTATTCATAATCACCCAAACCTGGTAAAAACCCAAATGTCTCTCAGTTGAGTAACACACAGAGAAACAGTGATACATCTGTACAATGGAATAGTACTCAGCAATTAAAAAGAACACACATGCAACAGCAAGGATGACTCTCCAGTGTATTATACGCAGGGATACAACCCATTTTCCATACTGTATTCCATTTATATGACATGCTGGAAAATGCAAAACCATAGTGAAGGAGAACAGATTAGTGGTTTCCAGGATTGAAAGGCTGAGGCTGGGTTTTGAGCACAAAGGGGTATTTGAGCACAGGGCATTTCTGGAGGGGTGATGGACTGTTCTACCCCAAGTTGTGTCACTTGATTGTGGTGGTAGTGACAAGCATATGTCAAAACTCATAGAGCCCCCAAAAGTGTGAATTTTACTAGATTTAAATTTTACAAAGTTTTAGACCTCTCTGTTGGTTTCTGATGAGCAGCCTATTTGGGGAACTAGTTCATAGGACTGAGATGGGATCATTCCTTTGACCTTTTCACGGGACTTGCAAAGGGGTGGCTCACTTACTCAGCCTGCAGCACTCAAACTCCTTGCTGGAGGCAGACCACACAGGTAGGTGGGTGCAGGAGCCACAGTGAGTGTCTTTGGGCGCTGGTGGGAAGGAAACCCCTACCAGCCCGTGGCAGCATCTAGGGATTGCCCGTGACCCCTGGAGCCCCAGAGGGTGTGTGTTACAGTGTGTTCCTTTAGCTTTGCCATCTGTGAACAGCTTAAGCATTAACCAGCTTAGTGGAGGGTCAAGGTGACAGCCTTTTATACCCTGCCCTCTTAGTACCTAAGTTCTTGTCTGGCATCCAGGAAGAATCAGGTCACATAAACAGATTGAAGGGTAGTGTACAAGGAGGATTTTATTGAGTGGTGGAAGTGGCTCTCAGTGAGAAAGGGAGCTGGAAGGGGGATGGAGTGGGAAGATAATCTTCCCCTGGAGTTCGGCCATCCTCAGCCAAATTCTTCCCCAAAGTCCCACCCATCAAACCATCCCTCTGAAGTCAAACTGCTTTTCTCCGATGTCCAGCTGCTTCTTCTCTTCTCTCCTTCTCTGCCACTCTGCTCTGCTCCTCTGCCAGTGACCCTTGGGGTTTTTATGGGTACAGGATTGGGGGGTGTGGTGGGCCAGGGTGGTTTTGAAAAGGCAACGTTTGGGCAAGAAAACAGGAATGCATGCTCTCATTTAGGGCTGTGGGTCCAGGCTTGAGAGTAGAGCCCTTTCCAGGGACCCCATCCTTTTCTACCTAGTATTTCCCTGCCTCCTGTCCATATCAGGATGATGTTAGACAACCTAGTTATTCTTTAATCCATTCAAGTTACACTTTGGACACTCGGGACTCATTGACTTATCATTACTATTTATCTGGTCATTATCATAGCATTTGAATATTTTCCACAGAGTAGAGGTACAAAAGTAATCTGGCATGCTGACACAACACATATGGTATGTATTTGAGTATATGACAGACCACAGGGCATTGGCTACATAATGGTTTTGTTCTAGTGTTTGCCAAGCTGAAATCACCACACCATATGTAGTGACTTTAGAATTTTCTTTAAAATGAGTTATACTTTATCTCATCAAATTAATCTTGATCCATTGATATGAAAGTCATTCCCACTGATGTGATCAAAATACAATCTATGAATTTAGCACAAAACATGTTGAACAACTGAAACATGTTTAACAAAACATAATGTTTAGCAACTGATTTTTAAGATCAGTCCTGCTATAGTTTGAATATCTATCCTCTCCAAAGCTTGTGTTGTAATTTTTTTTTTTTTTTTTTTTTTTTTTTGAGACGGAGTTTCACTCTTATTGCCCAGGCTGGAGTGCAATCATGCAATCTCAGCTCACCACAACCTCTGCCTCCCGGGTTCAAGCGATTATCATGCCTCAGCCTCCCAAATAGCTGGGACTACAGGTGTGTGCCACCACGCCCAGCTAATTTTTTGTATTTTTAGTAGAGATGGGGTTTCACCAGGTTAGCCAGGATGGTCTCAATCTCCTGACCTCATGATCCACCCGACTTGGCCTCCCAAAGTGCTGGGATTACAGGTGTGAGCCACCACACCTGGCCTCGTGTTGTAATTTAATCCCCAATGTGACAGTATTGAGAGCTGAGGCCTTTAAGAGGTGCTTGGGTCAAGAGGGATTAATGGATTAATGGACTAATGGATCAACAAGTTTTCATGAGAGGGGACTGGTGGCTTTACAAGAAGAGGAAGAAGATGAGCTAGCATGCTCAGCCCCTGTACCACCTCAGGACTCTGCAGAGAGTCCCCATCAGCAAGAAGGCCCTCACCAGATTCAGCCTCTTGACTTTGGACTTGTCAGCCTCAGGCTTGACCTTCTTGCCAGCCTTATAAGAAATAAGTTCATGGCCGGGCGCGGTGGCTCACGCCTGTAATCCCAGCACTTTGGGAGGCCGAGGCGGGCGGATCACGAGGTCAGGAGATCGAGACCATCCCGGCTAAAACGGTGAAACCCCGTCTCTACTAAAAATACAAAAAATTAGCCGGGCGTAGTGGTGGGCGCCTGTAGTCCCAGCTACTTGGGAGGCTGAGGCAGGAGAATGGCGTGAACCCGGGAGGCGGAGCTTGCAGTGAGCCGAGATCCCGCCACTGCACTCCAGCCTGGGCGACAGAGCGAGACTCCGTCTCAAAAAAAAAAAAAGAAATAAGTTCATTTCTTATAATTGTAAAAAATAAATTCCTTTTTTTAAATCAACTACCCAGCTTCATGTATTCTGGTATAAGCAACAGAAAACAGACAAAGATAAACCCCAAATAAAAAACAAATAAACAAAAAAATCCAGAAGCTTTTATGTGATAAAGCTAATGATCCTAACCAACTCCAGTGAAGATCATTTTGGTTCTTTTCATAAAGTTCAATACCTATTTTATAGAAAAGAAAAGAGGTTAACTTAGACAAGATTCAAAGTGAGTAGATAGCATATTTTATAATAGACTCCTCATAGAATCATGGATCTCTTTGTGAAAATTTACAACTATGGAAAACATTAAAATAATGTGCAGATATTTATGTATATAACCAGCCTCACTGATTACCATCTAACTCGTGTTTAATCTCACTTAAAAAAAAAAAAGCATATCCTGCTGTGGCTGATCATCCACTCAAAACAACATGACTAAAATTCAAATAGAAACTCCCACATAAAATAAGAAGAAAAGAAACAAAAAGTAGGCAATGTTTAGATTGGAAGATAAAGATAATTTCAACTGTGGAACAAAGGAAACAAACAAAGATCTCTCCATGCCTTGAGGTAGATCCTATCTGATGTTTCTACCCCCTTAGGTATACTTTCTACTTTGCAATTCTCCTTGCTTGCTCTATTTTCAAACTATTTCTGTTAATATTATTGCTTTGCTTCCTCCTTACTTTGCAAACAATAGCTGCAACTCTTTCTGAGACACTCTGTTCACATTGCTTCTTTTTTTAGAGCTGCTTGTGCCTGAGAGGAAATGGAGCTACAAGTGTTTCCTTTCCACTCAAAACTTGCATTTTTTTTTGTAGTGGGGGAGATAGCTGAGGCTTATAATTTGCTCCAGACAGTTTGAGATAGCACTGAGTTTTCCAATATGCCTCTCTTGAAGTCCTTGTGTTATAAATTATTTATAAATTTTATCACAACTTCCAGGAAGCAAACTAAGTAAATTCTCCTGAAGCCAGATGGCTCAGCAGACTTTTCAGATGTTGCTGCTCTCTTGCAGCCTCCTGCTTCTGTTGCCCCACATCTCAAAAATGCATCCAACTAGAAAGTGCACAAAAAGCTCATCATTTCACAGGTTCCCAGCAAAAGTTCCTCCCCCATGAAGGAATATACAAGAAGGAAAAAAGTAATTTGACCCTGTCTTAAGCTTAAAACAGTGACAGCAGTCCTCCAACTTTCTCACCTAAGTGCCTCTAGGTAGGAATGCACAGCCCTGGGGACCTAGAGCATATCCCGACATTCTGTTTAATAATATACAATTGGCACTCCATATCCATGGGTTCTGCATCCATGAATTCAACCAACTGCCAATGGAAAATGTTCCAGGGGAAAAAAATGGTTGGCTGCTAGGCGCGGTGGCTCACGCCTGTAATTCCATCACTTTGGGAGGCCGAGGCAGGTGGATCACGAGGTCAGGAGTTCGAGACCAGCCTGGCCAATATGGTGAAACCCTGTCTCTACTAAAAATACAAAAATTAGCCAGGCATGGTGGTGGGTGCCTGTAATCCCAGCTACTCAGGAGGCTGAGGCAGAGAATTGCTTCAACTCAGGAGGCAGAGGCTGCAGTGAGCCGAGATCACGCCACTGCACTCCAGCCTGGGCAACAGAGCAAGACTGTCTCAAAAAAAAAAAAAAAACAATGGCTGCATCTGTACTGTGTACTGAACATGTAGGTACCTTTTTTTCTTCTTATTATTTCTAAACAATATAGCATAACAACTGTTTGCATAGCATTTGCATTGTATCAATACAAGAGGATCTGCATAGATTGCATGCAAATACAACACCACTTTATATTAGGGACTTGAGCATCATGGATTTTAGTATGCATAGGGGGTACTGGAACCAATCTCCATCATGGATATTGAGTAACAACTGTATATCTATGGTTTAAAATAAAAATGACATTGGGAGATTTGCAAAAATTTGATAGTAAAAAATGACTCTTCAGGAAAGTTGCTATGTTTATTGTATGAATCAGAATTCTTTTGGTTGTGACAGACCATATTTTGAACTTAAATACGATCTTAAATACCTTAGAAAGAAAAGGGCACCTCTTGTTTCATATAAGCAGGAAGGACAAGGGAAAGGATGATTGAAAAGCCTACGAGCAGCCGGGTGCGGTGGCTCATGCCTGTAATCCCAGCACTTTGGGAGGCCAAGGCGGGTGGATCACAAGGTCAGGAGATCAAGACCATCCTGGCTAACACAGTGAAACCCTGTCTCTACTAAACATACAAAAAATTAGTCAAGCGTGGTTGCGAGTGCCTATAGTCCCAGCTACTCGGGAGGCTGAGGCAGGAGGATGGTGTGAACCCAGGATGTGGAGCTTGCAGTGAGCTGAGATCGCGCCACTGCGCTCCAGCCTGGGCGAAAGAGCAAGACTCCGTCTCAAAAAAAATAAAAATAAAAATATTTGTAGGCCAGGTGCAGTGGCTCACGCCTACAATCCCAGCACTTTGGGAAGCTGAGGCGGGCAGATCACGAGGTCAGGAGTTCAAGACCAGCCTGGTCAACATGGTGAAACCCTGCCTGTACTAAAAATACAAAAAATTAGCCGGGCATGGTGATAGGCGCCTGTAGTCCCAGCTACTCAGGAGGCTGAGGCAGACGAATCACTTGAACCTGAGAGGCAGAGGTTGCAGTAAGCCAAGCTTGAGCCACTGCACTCCAACCTGGGCAACACAGCTAGACTTCGTCTCAAAAAGAAAAAAAAAAGAAAAAAAGAAAAGCTTATGACCACAAGAAAACTTTTCCTCTCCACTTCTTTTTTGTTTCTTTACACAAGCAGTGGATTTGTGGGCCCATATTTCAGTTTTAATTAATTAAAAGAATTAATATAATATACATATGCAAACATACCCATCATATTTAGAAGATTCAAGTTGTGTATTAAAACAGTAGGGTGCAAAGGAACAACTCCCCCAAAAGGAGGGGAAGAGCACAGACACAGCCCTGGGGGGAACTGTTCTGAGCTAAAACCAGGTTGTTTTTAGCTTGTGGCTTCAGGAATTTCCAGGCATAAAGCCCCACAGTCCGAAGAATATATTTTACATCAGTTTGAGAAATACAGACATATGCCATATGTCATATAGGCCTCAGAGGGTTTCAAATGTGATGTCCTATAAATGAATTCTCTAGTGAAGAACTGCCTTGGTTCTCTGATAATGAGATGGGAGAGTTCCTTTGACCCCTTCTCGGGCCTTGCAACAGGGGTGTGGCTTGTTTACCTCCATACTCAACTCCCTTGTGAGAGAGGGAGCCGCAGGTGAGCAGGTGCAGGAGCCTGGGTGAGTGCCTTTGGGTACTGGTAGGAACAAGCCCCGTACCAGACTACAGTAGCATCTAGGTGTTGCCCGGGACCTCTGGAGCCCCAGAAGGCACGTGTTATAAACAATGCTCTTTTAGCTTTTGCCATCCACAGAGGGCTTAAGGGTTAAACACCTCAGTGAAGAGTCAGTGTGACAGCCTTTTTGGGTTCTTGCACCCAGTGCGTCCCAAATTCTTGTCCAGCATCCAGGAAGAATCAGGATTGAAGGGTGGTGTATGTGGAGAATTTTACTGAGTGATGGAAGTGGCTCTCAGTGGGATAGGATGCTGGAAAGGGGATGAAGTGGGAAGATCATCTTCCCCTAGAGTTTGGCCGTCCCCAGAGGAGCTCCTCTCTGACCATCCCTGGCCAAACTCCCCTCCAACCATAGTCTCTGGTGTCCAGCTGCCTCTTTTCCTCTCGACATTCAGACACTTTTCTCTTTCTCTGCTGCACCATTCTGCTCCTCTGACAGGGGAGCCTGGGGTTTTTATGGGTACAGGGCCAGGGGCATGGCAGGCCAGGGTGGTTGGGAAAAGGCAACATTCAGATGGGAAAACAGGAATGCATGTGCTCACTTAGGGCCATGGGTCCATGCTTGAGGGTGGAGCCCTCACCATGCACCCTGCCCTCTTCTACCCAGTATTTCCCACCTCCTGCCTATATAAATAAGACAGTTAGATGGATGGTGAGAGTCTCAGTGTAACTCAATGCAGGTTTGGTCGCTCGTCGTTTGCAGAGTACAGTTAACATGAGTGAGGTATGGCAGAAAGAAAGTGACTTCATTAACCAAATCTAGCAATGGGGAAGTAGCCTGATGCCCTCCAAAGTAATCACTTTGATTTTTGGGGGAAAGGCAAGGGCTTAAAAAGGGAAAATTTTGCCAGGCATGGTGGCTCACGCCTGTAATCCCAGCACTTTGGGAGGCTGAGGCGGGTGGATCACCTAAGGTCATGAGATCGAGACCAGCCTGACCAACATGGTGAAACCCCATCTCTACTAAAAATACAAAAAATTAGGGGGGCATGGTGGCGGGTGCCTGTAATCCCAGTGACTCGGGAGGCTGAAGCAGGAGAATCACTTGAACCCGGGAAGCAGAGGTTGCAGTAAGCCAAGATTGCACCATCACACTCCAGCCTGGACAACAGAGCGAGACTCCATCTCAAAAAAAAAAGAAAAAAAAAAGTTGGGGGGGAAACTTGATACGGAAGGCAGGCAAGAATTGTGCTGAGTACAATGTCTGCATGTCTTGTTCTGTTGGATATCTTGGGTCCCAGTCTACCTGGAGCGTGGGCTGGCATCATCTCAACAATGGTTGGGTTGTTGACTAGTTGCCTTGAAGTAATCTCTCAAATTTTGCAGCTGGGTCTCAGGCTTGGTCTGCCTGTCTTAAGATTAGCCCCGGGAACTAAGAAGGCACATAATTAGATACTAGCATACAGTTAGGTAAATGTGAAGGGAGTATATATGGTGAGAAGGGGAGGGACATGGATATCTTAAGGCTAAGGGAAAAAGGCTTCTGCAGTTTGTGTCAAGGTTATATCTTGAAACCCAAGAGAAAGGAAAACAGGTTTTAAGATGCATGTCGAAGTTAAGCTGCCCAGTTACATCAGTAGCCTGTTGGAGACAAGGCAATGAGGGGTCATTGAATACACTCTGCCAGAAAAAAAAAAACAAAAATATTAGCGTATGGGAAGACAGAAAGGGAAGGAAGGAAGGAATGAAGTGGAGAGGGGAAGAGGAGTTGGCATGAGTCTGAAAATTACATTAAAAATCCGTAGAAGTAGGCCAGGCGTGGTGGCTCACACCTGTAATCCCAGTACTTTGGGAGGCAAGGTGGGTGGATCACAAGGTCAAGAGATCGAGACCATCCTGGCCAACATGGTGAAACCCTGTTTCTACTAAAAATACAAACATTAGCTGGGCCTGGTGGCACGTGCCTGTACTCTCAGCTACTCGGGAGGCTAAGGAAGGATCATCACTTGAACCCAGGAGGTGGAGGTTGCAGTGAGCTGAGATCGCACCACTGCACTCCAGCCTGGTGACAGAATGAGACTCTGTCTTAAAAAAAAAAAAAAATCCATAGAAGTGAGAAGGCCAAGGACTTCCTAAAAACTAGGAGATTAAACGTTAAATTTGAAGTTGTTTGTGCCACTACAGAATAAATCCTGTGGCAGAGACAGATTACAAAAGCTGTTTTCATCCTGGCCTCAAAACTAAACTATATTTCCCACCCTCCACGGCAGTTAGGTATAGCCATGTGACTACGAGTTAACGGAAAGTGGGCAGAAGTGGTGTGTGCCACCTCCAGATGTGGCCAATATAACTCCCAAAGTATCTCGTTGCAGCCTTCCTTGTCTCCTCAAACACTTCTCTTCAAATCTGGCAGTTCTTCCACATGCCTTTCCCTCTCCTGCAGGCTGATTGCAGAGAATCAAGTTGGGGACTCTAATACCCTAGAAGATTCTGAAGCCGCCAGAGAAGAGCTCCAGTCTGTGAAGGACTATATGGATCAGGCCCTCTCCAACCCCCACTGAACAGTGATATCAGAAAGAAAGAATCCTTTTGTTGTTATTGCTAAGTTACTATAATGGGGCTTGTTTGTTACAGCAGTTGACTTATCCTGACTAATACAAACCTCTTCTTCACTTCATCCCCTCTGAAATCTTTTTTTAAAAAAACTACTATACATACAAATGTCCTACAAGAGCTCTGGCCAGGTGCGGTGGCTCACGCCTGTAATCACAGCACTTTGGGAGGCCAAGGCGGGAGGACCACAAGGTCAAGAGATCGAGACCATCCTGGCCAACATGGTGAAACCCCGTCTCTATTAAAACACAAAAATATTAGCTGGGCATGGTGGCACGTGCTTGTAGTCCCAGCTACTCGGGAAGCTGAGGCAGGAGAATCGCTTGAACCTGGGAGGCGGAGGTTGCAGTGTGCTGAGATCGCGCCACTGCACTCCAGCCTGGCAACAGAGCAAGACTCCATCTCAAGGAAAAAAAAAAGAAAAGAGCTCTGTGGCAATCAAAAGGAGACTACGTTTCACATCTAGGTTAACATGGCATGAAACACAAACCACATTTATAGTAAAGCAACACGTTCCATGATCTAAACCCATTTGCAAAAGCAAAGAGTTCAGAGTCAGAGCCACTCCTATGGAATTTGCAGAAGTATTGGAATGGGCCTTGACTTCTACTGAGCATGGGATGGGGGAGGTTTCAAGAAACGTCGTCTAAATCTGAGGGAACCAGCAATCCCCAAATGATGTATGGTTTACATTGTTATTTTTATGTGGTTCAGGGTGCCATGAATGAGAGTAGTTTTTGACTCACCTGTCAGGGATGGAGATTTTAAAACTCTTGTGACCACAAAACCCTGAAATGATACTTAAATCCCTTAGATGCTTAAAGAATTGTGTTATGGCCAGGTGAGGTGGCTCACTCCTGTAATCCCAGCACTTTGGGAGGCCAAGGTGGGAGGGTCACTTGAGGCCAGGAGTTCAAGACCAGCAAGACCCTGTCTCTACAAAAAAATCTTAAAAACTAGCCGGGTGTGGTGGCATGTGCCTGGTGTCTTAGCTTCTTGGGAGGCTGAGGTGGGAGGATCACTTGAGCCCAGGAGTTTGAGGTTATAGTAAGCTATGATCATGCCACTACACTCCAGCCTGGGAGACAGAGTGATACCCTGGTCTCTTAAAAAAGGAATTGTTTTACTCTTACTCTGAAAGTTACACTGAGAAATTCCTGGTGAACAGCTGAATGGATCTGTTTAACTGTCAGTGAAGAGAGTAGCCAGGGTCTCTGCTTTCCTGGCTGCCCCGCCCTGAATTAGTTCCACCCGACCCCCGATCTTTGTTGTTTTCCTTTAAGGCATGAATGAAATACCTATTATGGTGTTTATTTTGTAGGTATGTTGTCCCTACCAGACTCTAAGCTCCATGAGGACAAGGGCTCTGTCTGTTTCATCCTCCAGTGTATATCTGGCACCTAGCACAGTGCCTCTCCCACACTCCATGGATATTTGTTGAAATAACATAAAATCTGTAAATGTGGGAGCCTCAGACAGTCACCAGTTGGCCTCAGAGAATTCATCTTCTAATACAGTTTTGACCAACCAAAATTATTTTAACTAATTATTTGAAAATGCATTATTACCTTTCTTTATACAAATAACATATGGCATTTATCGTGTATGAATATGACATGAGTTCTCACACTCAGATTTTGCAATAGCAATATAGATTTTTTGGGTTTTTTTGCTTTGTTTTTTATGGGTAACATCTGTTTCTTCCTAGAAAACACATGAAATCCCTTTCCATGTGTTATAGACTAGATCGAGTTTGAAACTAAAAGTGATTATCTCTCTTCAGTCCAGGCAATGGCAATGTTAAGTAAATAAACAGCCTACTGGAATCTTTCTTATCAGAGTTCCAGGAATGATCACTTTTGTTTTTTAAGAACAAGATATTGAAAGAGCATAGTAGTATCCTTTTTCTGATTGCTTTGTAGAAATCTGGCAGTCCTTCCTCAAAACGAGCCTCTTAGATTCATATCTGCACTTTTCCCTACCATGTCCCACCCTCTCCCAGCCATTAGAATTCAGAAGTTCAATTAGCCGGGCGTGGTGGCGGGCACCTGTAGTCCCAGCTACTCGGGAGGCTGAGGCATGAGAATGCCGTGAACCCGGGAGGCGGGGCTTGCAGTGAGCAGAGATCGCGCCACTGCACTCTAGCCTGGGCAACAGAGCGAGACTCCATCTCAAAAAAAAAAAAAAAATAAAGAATTCAGAAGTTCAAACTAACACCTTAATATTTTCTTAGCAGTTTTTAATTGTTTTGTGCAAATTGACAATGAATATATACTTATCTCCTTTCCTTTGTCAACTTACTAGGGGCAGATTCAGTAAGTACCTGTTGATTTTCTTCTTTCCTTCATTCTGAGAATAAGCCCTTGGTATTATTGTTGCTTCTTAGAATAGTGTAGAGGATAAATAATACATTCTACATCAACCTCTTCATTTTATAAATAAGGCAACTAAAACCTAAAGTAACCAAGCTTACTTGCCCGAAGTCAGATAGCTAGTTAGCAGTAGATCACTTTCCCTCTGATTTTACTTCAATAATATAATATGCTGATATTTTCTTGACAGCTTAACTTACGTACGCTTTGAGTTCATCATGCAATGGCAAAGTAATTTACAATGTACCATTATAAGTAGATACACGTCACTCCAAGAGCAGAATTTCTGGTGTTGGTAAATTACACTAAAACACTTGCCATTTCTGAAATATTCCATATGGATTTGTTGTGCTTATGCTATCACACATAATTTTACCTCAGTCCAGAATCTCCTTTCTTACCTGGTGAATTCTTTTTATTCATCAACACTTAGTTCAAAGGCCACCTTCTCTTTGCAGCCTTCCTTGTCTCCTCAAACTCTCTCTTCCCTGTATCGCCATGGCTCATTATACTCCGTTTATAGTCCACAAAGCTGAATGTCTTGAGGCCAGGACCTTGATGTCTATGTGGCTTCCCAGAACCTAGCATTGTTTTTTGCACTTACTGGACACTTAATTAATATCATTGACTTAGTAAATGAATTAATAAGTAAACTGAATTAAACACCCTCTGACAAAATTAATTACTCACTTCTTGTGAGGCACAGCAGAAAAGGACAAACTAAAGATGCTTTATATATCCTGTCCATGTGGTTCCTATAGCTGCTAAATGACAAAAATGTCTAAAGCATCCTGCACAGCGCTGACATCGACACGTAGTAAATGTTCTTTTACTTTGCTTTCCCCATGTCCAGTCTCCATTATGAACATATAATTATTGTAGTGGAATGAAGATGGAAAGATCAGTGTTTTAAGTTTTGTCAAATATTGTGAGGGGAGAAATAAATTCCTTTGTCCTTTGAATGATTGATTGGTCTGTCCCATGGAGGTGGCTGAGCAGGTTGACATCCAACCCAGTTGGAAGAGTATCTTGGTTCCCAACACAAAGAAGACAATGCAGATCTGTGTGGTTGGAGGGACTGGGATTTACTTCTAATGTAACTTAAAGTACTTGGCACGCAGTTAGCCCTCAATAAATATGAGTTTATTGTTACCCCCTCTCAACGAGTAGTGGCTTTCCAGATCCTCACTGTGAGAAAGATGACAAAGCTACTTCTAAACTCAGAGAAAATAAAAATGCCATGGTCAATTAGCTATGTCTGCCTTGGACACAAGATAGGGAAATGGAACTTTTTTTCCTGGATCTAGAATCCATTGCCTTAAAATAAAGCAGGCTTGAGATAACTTACTGAGTTAGTGGAGCTCACAGAGAGACTGAACAGAAGTAAAGACTTGAATTTTACCATTGGTAGAATGTACAAGTGTCGTTTGCTATCAATAGCTGCACTCTGCAATACAGTAGCCACTAGCCACATGGTGCTTTAAATTTATATGAATTAATCTTTTTAAATTTAATTTAATTTTTTTTTTTGAGATGGAGTCTTGCTCTGTCACCCAGGCTGGAGTGCAGTGGCGCAATCTTGGCTTACTGCAACCTCTGCCTCCCAGGTTCAAGGGATTCTCCTGCCTCAGCCTCCCAAGTAGCTGGGATTACAGGTGCCAGCCACCACGCCCAGATAATTTTTGTATTTTTAGTAGAGACAGGGTTTCAGCACATTGGCCAGGCTGGTCTCGAACTCCTGACCTCATGATCCGCCTGCCTCGGCCTCCTAAAGTGCTGGGATTACAGGCGTGAGCCACCGTGCCTGGCCTAAATGAATTAAAATTAAATAAAATTTAACCAACAGTTCCTCACAGGTAAAGTGCTCAATAGCCATATGTGCCTATTGGCTACCATATTAAACTGTGTAGACAAGACGTTTTTCATCATCACAGAACATTCTATTGGACAGAGTTTCTATCTAAGGTGTCTTAGAAAATTGTGAACCGGGCACAATAACTCACTCCTATAATCCCAGCACTTTGGGAGGCCAGAGCAGGCTGATCGCTTGAGCTCGGGAGTTCAAGACCAGCCTGGGCAACATGGTGAGACCCTGTCTCCACCAAAAAAAAAAAAAAAAAAATTAGCCAGGAGTAGTGGTGTGCACCTGTGGTCCCAGCTACTTGGAAGGCTGAGGTGGGAGGATTGCTTAAGCCCAGGAGGCGCAGGCTGCAGTGAGTCAAGATTGTGCCACTGCACTCCAGCCTGGGTGACAGAGTGAGATCCTGTCTCAATTAAAAATAATAATAAGGAATAGGGCTTCTCACATAGGAAATATAGTCATTTAAATCAATACCATGATCATACTCAATGGGAAAGCACAAGAGTTCCATCCATTAGCATCATCAAAACTACAAGAGTAATTACTCTCAAAATTACCATTTAAATCTTCTGGAATTTTTGGCAAATGACAGTAAGCCGTAGAAACTCTAAACTCATTTATTGTTTTGGATATCTTGTTATCTCAAGTGACAAGGCCTGACATCCTCTCAGTCCACCTTTTGCTCCAACCACTGCTGTGCAACCTGCTTCCTACAGGTGTAACGTGACAGCACCTGACTTCAGCCATGCTTCTTCACTCCAGCTCTCATGCTCTGGGGCTTCTCTGACACTCTGACATCAGTGGGATGCTGCAAGAACCTGCCTGGCCTAGCGCATGAGGGCAAGGGCACGAGGCCTGTGTAGTGGCACAGGACTCTGTGCTCAGATGAGCCTCATTCTTGGTTTAGGGCTCTACTATCTCTATCTTGAAATTATGAATACTTTTTGAACAATGACCTGTAATTTTATTTTGCACTGGGCCTTGCAAATCATGTCGCTGGTCCTACATGCATCCATGGAAACGTAAGCCCTTGACTCAAAGCTGAAACAGAATCTGGTGGGTAGATACACCTTCCACTCTCCCTAGAATGCACAGTTCTTAGACACATGGCTTCACAGAAGATGCCCATCATCACAATCCAGTCTTGAGTAGTCCACTGCAGTGACCACTTACAACAGATATCTGTATTGGCCTTCCCTCCTTCACTGTTTTACTTCCCCAACCTCATTCCTCTTGCATGATTCACTTCCCAAAATGCATGCAACCCCTGATAACAGACTATTTTATTGAGGGAACCCAGGCAAAAACGGTATTTTTCTAGTGTTTTCTATGTGCCACAGTTCTCGATTCCAGGAAATCAGAAGTAAACAAGACAAAATTATCTGCTGTCATAGAGTTTACATTCCAGGTGGCAAAGACACAAATAAGTGAACAAATAAACAAGATCATTACAGATTATGGTAAATGCCATGAAGAACACAAACAGGGTACTCTGAGAGCAGAAAGGGTGGGAATATGGATATTGCATATGAGGCCTGAATAATGAGGAGGCACACACACACCAAGGGCTAGGAGAAGATGTTCCAGACAGTGGGAGTAGCAAGTCCAAAGGCTCTAGGGTGAATACACTCTTGGTATGTTCCAGGGACAGAAGAGAAGACAGAGCGGTGTTCCAGAGAACAAGAGGAGAGGTGGTACAAGAGGCTATGAGAGACATTCTATGCTTGAACCCTGGAGGCGGAGGTTGCAGTGAGCCGAGACGACACCACTGCATTCCAGCCTGGGCAACACAGCAAGACTTTGTCTCAAAAAAAAAAAAAAGAATTAAGATTCTATTTCTCCCTCTCCCTCTCCCATCTCCCCACGGTCTCCCTCTCCCTCTCTTTCCACGGTCTCCCTCTGATGCCGAGCCGAAGCTGGACTGTACTGCTGCCATCTTGGCTCACTGCAACCTCCCTGCCTGATTCTCCTGCCTCAGCCGCCGCCACGCCTGACTGGTTTTCGTATTTTTTTGGTGGAGACGGGGTTTCTCTTTGTTGGCCGGGCTGGTCTCCAGCTCCTAACCGCGAGTGATCCGCCAGCCTCGGCCTCCCGAGGTGCCGGGATTGCAGATGGAGTCTGGTTCACTCAGTGCTCAATGGTGCCCAGGCTGGAGCGCAGTGGCGTGATCTTGGCTGGCTACAATCTCCACCTCCCACCCGCCTGCCTTGGCCTCCCAAAGTGCCGAGATTGCAGCCTCTGCCCGGCCGCCACCCCGTCTGGGAAGTGAGGAGCGTCTCTGCCTGGCCGCCCATCGTCTGGGACGTGAGGAGCCCCTCTGCCTGGCTGCCCAGTCTGGAAAGTGAGGAGCGTCTCCGCCCGGCAGCCACCGCGTCCGGGAGGGAGGTGTGGGGGTCAGCCCCCCGCCCGGCCAGCCGCCCCGTCCGGGAGGGAGGTGGGGGGGTCAGCCCCCCGCCCGGCCAGCCGCCCCATCCAGGAGGTGAGGGGCGCCTCTGCCCAGCCGCCCCTACTGGGAAGTGAGGAGCCCCTCTGCCCGGCCAGCCGCCCCGTCCGGGAGGGAGGTGGGGGGGTCAGCCCCCCGCCCGGCCAGCCGCCTCGTCCGGGAGGTGAGGGGCGCCTCTGCCCGGCCGCCCCTACTGGGAAGTGAGGAGCCCCTCTGCCCGGCCACCACCCCATCTGGGAGGTGTACCCAACAGCTCATTGAGAACGGGCCATGATGACAATGGCGGTTTTGTGGAATAGAAAGGGGGGAAAGATGGGGAAAAGATTGAGAAATCGGATGGTTGCCGTGTCTGTGCAGAAAGAGGTAGACATGGGAGACTTTTCATTTTGTTCTGTACTAAGAAAAATTCTTCTGCCTTGTGATCCTGTTGATCTGTGACCTTACCCCCAACCCTGTGCTCTCTGAAACATGTGCTGTGTCCACTCAGGGTTAAATGGATTAAGGGCGGTGCAAGATGTGCTTTGTTAAACAGATGCTTGAAGGCAGCATGCTCGTTAAGAGTCATCACCACTCCCTAATCTCAAGTACCCAGGGACACAAACACTGCGGAAGGCCGCAGGGTCCTCTGCCTAGGAAAACCTTTGTTCACTTGTTTATCTGCTGACCTTCCCTCCACTATTGTCCTATGACCCTGCCAAATACCCCTCTGCGAGAAACACCCAAGAATGATCAATAAAAAATAAATAAATAAATAAATAAATAAATAAAAAGAGGCTACGAGAGATTGGAAGAGACCAATCACACAGGGCCACGTTAAGGAGTTTATGTTTATTCTAAGTGCTATGGGAAGTCACTGAAAGGTTTTTAATAAGGGAGTGTATTCTGATTTATGTTTTTAAAATACTGCCCTGTGAAAAGAATGTATTGGAGGAGAGCCATTTAGAAAGTTATTGCAGGAGTCAAGGTGATAGCTGATGATGGCTCAAAGGAAGGTGGGAGCAGGGAAGATGGACAGAGGGAGGAATTACATCAGGGTAGGTGCACTAAGCAGCCCATGCCACTGAGCCAAGGTCTGATCTTGGCCACAGATGAACGAGCTCCTACTGGAGCAAAAAACATGTTGACAAGTTCTCTCCTCAGTGCAGAGGCTGTGGCCACTGCCATATCCCTACTGAGGAAGCAGACAGAGAGGAGCAGAGCTGAGAAGGGAGGTTGGGGAGAGAGGAGCAAGGCTGAGGCAGAGGGCAAGAAAACAAGGGGAAGGAAGGTGGCAGATCGCTGATACAGCAAATCAGTAGCTTAGACCACAGCTGCCTTGGGAAGCCCCTGGCCAGCACTTAGATCTACAGAAACTGCTGCCTGCAGCCCGAAGACATCTTCTGCGCTTCCCAGATAAGCACCAGCCCTGCTCCTCTCCTTCTTCCCCTCCCCCAACCTCATCCTCAGTTCACTGTATTTGTTGTAGGAGTGAAGAGAGCAGAAAAGAGATTGCTTTAGACAGTGCACTTTTCACACATTTTCAGCAACTAAAAATACTCATGAAACAGAAATAAGAGACATAATGATTTGGAAAAGATTAATGTTTTTTCCAGATGATTGGATTATGTACTCAGAAAACCCAGCGTGGCTCAACTACAAGCCTTTCAGAATTCCTAAGAAAGTTCTTCAGTGTCATCAAATACAAAATATCCAGGAATCTATAAATGTTCCATATACCATCAGTAAGTTAAACAACCTAATAGGAGTAATAAGCCCAAATATAATACAAAAATATTTAAAACTACAGAAATAATCCTAGCAAGAAATGAGTATGCCTATGTGAAAACAACCACAAAAACAACAGCAAACTGGCAAAACTTTAAAAAATAAAATTGTAATAAATGAAGAAATATTCCATGTTCCTAAAACAAAATTAATATGTAGCTTTAAGTCAAATCTAATTTAAGTCCGGGCACGGTGGCTCACGCCTGTAATCCCAGCACTTTGGGAGGCCGAGGTGGGCGGATCACCTAAGGTCAGGAGTTCGAGACCAGCCTGACCAGCATGGAGAAACCCCATCTCTACTAAAAAAAAAAAAAAAAAAAAAAAAATACAAAATTAGCCGGGCGTCGTGGCGCATGCCTGTAATCCCAGCTACTCGGGAGGCTGGGGCAGGAGAATAGCTGGAACCGGGGAGGTGGAGGTTGCAGTGAGCCGAGATCGCACCATTGCACTCCAGCCTGGGCAGCAAGAGCGAAACTCCGTCTCAAAAAAAAAAAAAAAATATATATATATATATGTATATATATAATTTAAAAGATTTGTCAGCCAGGCGTGGTGGCTCATTCCTGTAATCCCAGCATTGCGGGAGGCTGAGGCAGGAGGATCACTTGAGGCCATTTCAAGACCAGCCTAGGCAACATAGCAATGTGTCTGGAATTGGTGGGTTCTTGGTCTCACTGACTTCAAGAACGACGCCACGGACCCTCGCGGTGAGTGTTACAGCTCTTAAGGTGGCGCGTCTGGAGTCTGTCCCTTCTGATGTTCAGATGTGTTCGGAGTTTCTTCCTTCTGGGGGGTTCGTGGTCTCGCTGGCTCAGGAGTGAAGCTGCAGACCTTCGCGGTGAGTGTTACAGCTCATAAAAGCAGCGTGGACCCAAAGAGTGAGCAGTAGCAAGATTTATTGCAAAGAGCGAAAGAACAAAGCTTCCACGCTGTGGAAGGGGACCCGAGCGGGTTGCCAATGCTGGCTCCGGAAGCCTGCTTTTATTCTCTTATCTGGCCCCACCCACATCCTGCTGATTGGTAGAGCCCAGAGGCCTGTTTTGTCAGGGCGCTGATTGGTGCGTTTACAATCCCTGAGCTAGATACAAAGGTTCTCAACGTCCCCATCAGATTAGTTAGATACAGAGTTTCGACACACAGGTTCTCTAAGGCCCCACCAGAGCAGCTAGATACAGAGTGTTGATTGGTGCACTCACAAACCTTGAGCTAAACACAGGGTGCTGATTGGCGTATTTACAATCCCTGAGCTAGACATAAAGACTCTCCACGTCCCCACCAGACTCAGGAGCCCAGCTGGCTTCACCTATTGGATCCCGCACCAGGGCTGCAGGTGGAGCTGCCTGCCAGTCCTGCGGCGTGCGCTCGCTTTCCTCAGCCCTTGGGTGGTCGATGGGACTGGGCGCCGTGGAGTAGGGGGTGGTGCACGTCGGGCAGGCTCCGGCCGCACAGGAGCCCATGGAGTGGGTGGGAGGCTCAGGCATGGCGGGCTGCAGGTCCCAAGCCCTGCCCCGCGGGAAGGCAGCTAAGGCTCGGTGAGAAATCGAGCACAGCGCCGGTGGGCCGGCACTGCTGGGGGACTCAGTACATCCTCCGCAGCCACTGGCCCGGGTGCTAAGTCCCTCATTGCCCGGGGCCAGCAGGGCTGGCTGGCTGCTCCGAGTGCGGGGCCCACCAAGCCCATGCCCACCCGGAACTCCAGCTGGCCCGCAAGCACCGCACGCAGCCCCGGTTCCCGCGCGTGCCTCTCCCTCCACACCTCCCTGCAAGCTGAGGGAGTGGGCTCCAGCCTTGGCCAGCCCAGAAAGGGGCTCCCACAGTGCAGTGGGGGGGGCTGAAGGGCTCCTCAAATGCCACCAAAGTGGGAGCCCAGGCAGGGGAGGTGCCGAAAGCAAGCGAGGGCTCTGAGGACTGCCAGCACGCTGCCACCTCTCAGCAAGACCCCATCTCTACAAAAAATTTTAAAATTAACCAAGTGTGGTGGCTTGCACCTGTGGTCCCAGCTACTCAAAAGGCTAGGGTGGGAGGATCCCTTGTGTCAGGGAGTCAGAGGCTGCAGTGAGCCGAGATTGTGCCACTGCACTCCAGCCTGGGTGACAGAGCAAGGCCCTGTCTCAAAAAAAAAAAAAAAAAATTCACGTGTGGGAACTTAACATGATGTTAAAATTTAACATCTTGTCAAGATGTTAACATCTGTCGATGCTTAATAAACTGAAAGAGGCCAGACGCGGTGGCTCACGCCTCTAAACCCAGCACTTTGGGAGGCCAAGGCAGGCAGATCACAAGGTCAGGAGACTGAGACTATCCTGGTTAACACGGTGAAACCCCATCTCTACTAAAAATACAAGAAATTAGCCAGGCGTGGTGGCGCGCCTGGAGTCCCAGCTACTTGGGAGCCTGCGGCAGGAGAATTGCTTCAACCCGGGAGGCAGAGGTTGCGGTGAGCCGAGATGGTGCCACTGCACTCACACTCCAGCCTGGGCGACAGAGTGAGACTCCGTCTCAAAAAAATAAATAAATAAATAAACTGAAAGAATAAGCATTCAAGAATTTTTAAGAAATATTTAAAAAAAGGCTATCAGGTATTAATTATTTAATTAGCTATAGTGTAATTAGCTATTTATAATTTAATTTAGAATTATAATTAATAATAAATGATATATTATTAAGAAAATGTAAATATATAAACCGTAATTTAATTAACAGTTAATATTTAACTATTTATAATTTTATTTAATTATTTATTATTTAATTAACTATTTAATTATTCTAAACCTAGAATAATTAAAGTAGTATTGATTAAAAATGGAATCTTTTAGGGAACCTCAAAACAAACTTCAGACTATGTAAAAATTCAATTTATGAATAATAAATTATGTGTTATAAACTAACATGGGGCTGGCCATGGCGGCTCATGCCTGTAATCCCAGCACTTTGCAAGGCTGAAGTGGGAGGATTGAGACCAGGGTTTCAAGACCAGCCTGGGCAATATAGCGAGACTTAGTCTCTACACACATACACACAAAACAAAAACAAAAAAACTAACCTGGGAAGAGAGCTGGATTTCTAAATAAAAAAGCAATTAAAAAAGCCAAAGAGCCGGGCACGGTAGCTCACACCTGTAATCCCAGCACTTTGGGAGGTCGAGGCAGGCAGATCACGAGGTCAGGAGATCAAGACCATCCTGGCTAACACAGTGAAACCCTGTCTTTCCTAAAGATACAAACAAAAGTTAGCCGGGCGTGGTGGCGGGCGCCTGTAGTCCCAGCTACTCGGGAGGCTGAGGCAGGCGAATGGCATGAACTTGGGAGGCGGGGCTTGCAGTTAGCTGAGATCACACCACAGCACTCCAGCCTGGGCAACAGAGCAAGACTCTGTCTCAAAAAAAAAAAAAAAGTCAAAGAAAACATTATCATATTTGATTTCACTTTTCACTACATAGAAATTTAAGCATTTATATAACCCCCAAAATCATAAAGATTAGAAGCAAATTAAATACTGTGAAAACTACTTGTGTATATGACATGCATGAGATTAATGTCAATATATAAAGAGCTCCAACAAATCTATAACAAGAAAACACCAGCCACAATTAGGAGAAGTCAATGGAAATGAATAGTCAATTCACAGACATGCACACACACAAATTAGCCAATAAACATTTTTAAAGTTTATAATCAGTAGTAATTAGAGAATGCAATTTAAGGCAACAATGAAGTACAGTTTTTCACATGTCATATTAGAAGATAATTTTATTAATGTAATAGACTAGCCTTTATTGAGTACCTGTAATATATTATTTTAAACTTCATAATAACTCTATGAAGTAGGCAGTATTACTATGCCCATTTGAACAAAGATAAACCAAGATATAGAGCAGCTAAGCAACTTTTCCCAATCCACACAGCTAGGAAGTGGTCGAGTTGGAATTCAATTCTAGACAGGCTGATTCAGAAGTCAGATCCCAGTGCTACACTAATAGGCAAGAGTCTATCCAGGAGGACGTAGTGAAACAGGCACTATTCTACACTGCTGTTGCTGGAATTAATGGTAATGCCTCTCGAAAAGCAATTTGACTTGAAGTATTAAGGCTCTTTCATAGTAACTCCACTTCTAAGAATCAATTCTAAGGATCTTAGAATTAGAAATAGATAATCATGTTAAGAATATTTATTGGACAGCCATGGTGCCTCATGCCTGTAATCTCAAAACTTTGGGAGGCCAAGGTGGGAGGATCACTTTAGCTCAGTAGCTCAAGATCAGCCTGGACAACATAGCGAAACCTCCTCTTTACTAAAAATTTAAAAATTAGCCAGGTGTGGTGGTGCATGCCTGTAGTCCCAGCTACTTGGGAGGCTGAAGCAGGAGGATTACTTGACCCTGGGAAGTCAAGGCTGGAGTGAGCTATGATAGTGCCACTGTGCTCCAGCTTGGCTGACAGAACAAGACCCTGTCTCAAAAACAAAACAAGGCTGTGCACAGTGGCTCATGCCTGTAATCCCAGCACTTTGGGAGGCCAAGTTTGGGCAGATCACTTGAGATCAGGAGTTCGAGACCAGCCTGGCCAACATGGTAAACCCCATCTCTACTAAAAATACAAAAATTAACTGGGTGTGGTGGCACGCACCTGTAGTCTCAGCTACTCGGGAGGCTGAGGCAGGAGAATTACTTGAACCTCAGAGGCAGAGGTTACAGTGAGCTGAGATGGCACCACTGCACTCCAGCCTGGCCACAGAGCGAGACTCCATCTCAAAAAACAAAACAAAACAGAACAAAAATGTCTTTTATAATGAGAAAAAGCCAATGAACCTTATATTGTTTTGAGAAAATTATTTGGAACATTATTTTGAGCCACTTTTACTCTTTTGGGGAGATAAATGGAATACCAGTTAGAGATACCCCCCCAAATCTTATCTACTCAAACCTAAGAGCAGTGGTAGTGGCCCTTGATCATTTCTGTCCAAGGCAGAGCTACTGTGAAGGAAAAGGGCCGCAGTTCTGTCTTGGAAATAGAAGAGAGAGGTTTGGAAACTACCTGGACTGCCCAAGCTGTAAGCAGAAAACATCTGCAAACTTGGAGCTCTACTGGGAAAAGATAAAATATATCAGCTTTCTGTCTTTTTGTTTAAGACAGAGTCTCACTCTGTCACCCAGGCTGGAGTGCAATGGTGTGATCTTGGCTCACAGCAACCTCCACCTCCCGGGTTCAAGCAGTTCTCCTGCCTCAGCCTCCCAAGTAGCTGAGATTACAGGCATCCGCCACCATGCCCGGCTAATTTTTTGTATTTTTAGTAGAGATGAGGTTTCACCGTCTTGGCCAGGCTGATCTCGAACTTCTGACCTCAGCTGATCCACCCTCCTCTGCCTCCTAAAGTGCCAGGGTTACAGGCGTGAGGCACCGTGCCTGGCCTGCTTTCTGTCTTAAAAATAATTTCATTGGATAAGCACAGGCAAAGCCTGAGTAAGATATGTTTATACTTTCTGATCATTTTTTGATACGTAATTATGGGGTACATGTGATATTTTGTTACATGCATAAAATGTGTAATGATCGGGTCAGGATATTTAAGGTATTCATCACTTTGAGTCTTTATCATTTCTATGTGTTGGGAACATTTCAAGTCCTCTCTTCTAGCTATTTTGAAATATGCAATACATAGTTGCTAACTATAGTTACACTACTCGGCTCTTGAACATTAGAACTTATCCCTTCTATCTAACTGTATGTTTTCACCATTAACCAACCTCTCTTAATCCTCACCACCCACCCACACACTCTTCCCAGCCTCTGGTACCTATCATTCTACTCTACCTCCATGAGATCAACTTTTTTAGCTCCCATATATGAGTGAGAAAATGCAATATTTATCTTTCTGTGCCGATTTATTTCACTTCACATAATGACTTCCAGTTCCACCCATGTTGCTGCAAATGACATTATTTCATTCTTTTTATGGCCGAATAGTATTCCATTGTGTGTGTATATATATATATATATGTGTGTGTGTGTGTGTATATATATATATATATATATATATATATATATATATATATATATATATATATATACTACATTTTCTTTATCCATTCATTTACTGATGGACACTTAGGTTGATGCCATATCTTTGCTATTATGAATAGTGCTTTGATAAAGAAGTACAGGTATCTTTTTAATATACTGATTTCTTTTCCTTTGAATAAATACCCAGTAGTGGCATTGCTGGATGCTATGGTAGTTCTACTTTTAGTTCTTTGAGAAATCTCTGCATTGTTTTCCATAGTGGTTGTACTAATTTACATTCTCACCAGCAGTGGAGATGAGTTTTCTTTTCTCCCCATCCTCGCCAGCATCTGTGTTTTGTTTTTGTTTTTGTCTTTTTAATAATGCCCATTCTAACTGGGGGAAGATAATATCTCAGTGTGGTTTTGATTTGCATTTTCCTGATAATCAGTGAGTGGCGTTGAGCATTTTTTCTTTTTTTCTTTTCTTTTTTTTTTTTTTTTTGAGATGGAGTCTCGCTCTGTCGCTCAGGCTAGAGTGCAGTGGCGCGATCTCGGCTCACTGCATCCGCTTCCTGGGTTCACACCATTCTCCTGCCTCAGCCTCCCGAGTAGCTGGGACTACAGGCGCCCACCACCATTCCCGGCTAATTTTTTGTATTTTTAGTAGAGACAGGGTTCACTGTGTTAGCCAGGATGGTCTTGATCTCCTGATCTCATGATCCGCCTGCCTCAGGCTCCCAAAGTGCTGGGATTACAGGCATGAGCCACTGCGCCTGGCCAGAGATGGAGTTTCACCATGTTGGCCAGGCTGGTCTCGAACACCTGACCTCATGATCCACCTGCCTTGGCCTCCCAAGGTGCTGGGATTACAGGCGTGAGCCACTGCACCCGGCCTTATGTATAATTTTTTAACCAGATGCTTTGTTTCATCAGCTCCAGGTTAGGCAAACACAAGTAGCTCTGGCCTGCAGTGAAGCAAGAATTCTTAATGCATTCTTCAAAGTTCTCCTCCTAGCAAATTCAGCAGGCCTCTGAAAGTTAATCCACAAATTGGGAAACTTTTATAACCTAACACATACAAAGGTATATGCCTGAGATTTTAGAGAGCCATGATCTCAACAAGTTTCTGTTCAACCTTTGGAAAGTCCCTGGAGTTCTGTTCTCTAACTGTATGAGGGCTAGATGACCTCTAAGATAATTTCTAGCCAAACAGCCTGTGACCATAACTGTCAGGTCCACTTAGTTCTTGGCTTAAATTTCCACATTGAGTCTGTCTGCCCAGGCCAAGTATACATGAAATTCAACATTTCTCCACTTCTCCCTGAGCACCTTTGAAGAGCTGTTCTGTCCTTGCAGCTCAAGGGGGTCCCTACACCAAGGCCTGCTCTTTAGAGGAGACTCTAGCTTTTCTCTGGTTGCCTTTCTTCCTCACAGACCAAGGAGTCTGCAGGGGTGTGTCCCCCAGGAACCAGCCCCACACTCACTGTCAGCTCAGGCTGCCATAACAAAGTACCACAGCCTGGGTGGCTGAAACAACAGAAGTGTATTTCTCACAGTTCTGGAGGCTGGGAAGTCCAAGAGCAGGGTGCCAGCATAGTCCATTTCTGGTGAGGACCCTCCTCCTGGCTTGCAGGTGACCCCTTCTCACTGTCCTCACATGCCTTTCTTCAGTGCCTGTGCATAGACTGCTCTCTGATGTCACTTCCTATAAGGACACTAAGCCTATGAGATCAGAACCTCATCCTTATAATCTCATTTAATCTTAATTACTTTTTTAGAGGCCCTATCTCCAAATACAGCCACACTGGGGGTTAGGGCTTCAACACAGGAATATTGGGGGACACAAACATTTAGTCCATAATACTCCACTTCAGAATGCATTCCTGGACTCTGGAATTATTTATTTATTTATTTATTTATTTTAGACAGAGTCTCACTCTGTCACCAGGCTGGAGTGCAGTGGCGTAATCTCAGCTCACTGCAACCTCTGCCTCCTGGTTCAGGCTATTCTCCTGCCTCAGCCTCCCGAGTAGCTGGCACTACAAGCGTGTGCCACCACACCCAGCTAACTTTTGTATTTTTAGTAGAGACAGGGTTTCACCATGTTGGCCAGGATTGTCTTGATCTCTTGACCTCATGATCTGCCCGCCTGGGCCTCCCAAAGTGCTGGGATTATAGGCGTGAGCCACTGTGCCCGGCTGACTCTGGAATTTCTTTTGCCGAAAGAGCGCACACCAACTTCCAGAGCATCTACCTGGCACTTCCCTGGAGATTTCCAGGTAGCACACTGTTACCACAGGTATGTGTATGGGACGGGGGCTGGGGAGCCCTGGATACTAGGGCTGGGTGCAGGAAGAAGCTGGGTAAGAGAAGTAGCTGGAGGCCAGAACCCAGTGTCCAGGGGCTGGCTCCCTCTGTTCCTCCCACCTCTGGTGTGGAACTCTAAAAATTCTACATTTGAACCTGAACCTAGTTTGCTATGAAGGTATATTTGTCAAGATAGGAGAACAGAAAACATTTTATTTAAGAGTTATTTAACTTGATGTACAACTTCTAAGTATTTAAAACACGATAGGTGGGCCTCATTTGTACTCTCTCCTAGTGTGCTATGGGAAAGAAAAAGAAATTTGCATCTGAGGCATGCAAGCCCCTTTAAATTATCATGCCCAGAGAGGCATTTGAAATGTGACAGGACTATCACTCTTCCCTCAAGCTAAAGAATCACCTCTTTTATTTTGAGATGGAGTCTCACTCTGTCTCCCAGGCTGGAGTGCAGTGGCATGATCTCAGCTCACTGCAAGCTCCGCCTCCCGGGTTCACGCCATTCTCCTGCCTCAGCCTCCCGAGTAGCTGGGACTACAGGCGCCCGCCACCATGCCCGGCTAATTTTTTGTACTTTTAGTAGAGACGGGGTTTCACCGTGTTAGCCAGGATGGTCTCGATCTCCTCACCTCGTGATCCGCCCACCTCGGCCTCCCAAAGTGCTGGGATTACAGGCGTGAGCCACTGCGCCCGGCCCAGGAATCACTTCTTGAAGCCACTTGCTATATGAGCTCTAGACTGACACAAAGGAGCCAAAAAATGCCATATCCTGGACACCATAACTCATAGCCTACAGTTCAGCAATGTATAGCCAATCACTATTCAGTGTTATTCCTGTAAACTAATGAGAATTCCTGATGAACAACTTTTGCATTCAATCCCTTTTCCGGAGCTGTCCTTTTTTCTTTAAAAACTGGAGCCTCTGCCAGGTGCGGTGGCTCAAGCCTGTAATCCCAGCACTTTGAGAGGCCAAGGTGGGTAGACCACCTGAGGTCAGGAGTTCGAGACCAGCCTGGCCAATGGTGAAACCCCCATCTCTACTAAAAATACAAAAATTAGCTGGGCGTGGTGTCAGGTGCCTATAATCCCAGCTACTTGGGAGGCTGAGGCAGGAGAATCACTTGAACCCGGGAGGCAGAGATAGCAGTGAGCTGAGACCGCACCATTGCACTCCAGCCTGGGCAAAAGAGTGAAACTCCGCCTTAATAAATAAATAAATAAAAATAAAAATTGGAGCCTCTCATTTATTCCCTGGAGTACTTCCCGGTGTTTCCCAGGCACCTGTCCTCAACCTTGGCCCCAAGTGATTAGGTAACTTTTACAAAGTAAGTGGCAGAATTGGGATTCGAACTAGACAATTTGGCCTTAAAATCCTCCTCTTAACCATTATAATATTACCTCCTTAAATAAGAACTAATATTTATTGACCACTTTTATACCTGACCACCTTTATACTAGATCCTGTGCAACTGCTGATACTATGACGTCAGTATTATTGTTTCTCCATTTTCCAGTTGAGGGAATTGTAGTTTAGGAAGGTTAAGAGATACATCCAAAAATACGCTCCTACCAAGCCATATTGGTAGATTCCAACACAGGTAATCTGATTCCAAAGCACAGGCTCTTAAGTGATTCCAAAGCACAGGCTCTTAACTAGACCAATTGGGCTTGCTCAACGGCCTTTCCTTGAAGGAGAGCTCACAGGTGGTAAGGAGGGCCTAGACATATCCTTGGGTCAGATGGTGACATTTGCCACAGAGGAAATTCATCTATGCTCAATGAAGAAATCAGCTGTTTTGAGTAATACAGCAATTTGAGGAAGTTAAATGGATTAAGATTACAGGTTGCGTTTCGCATTGGGAACTGTACTTGCATTTTTAGTTCCTGTGGCTTGAAATGAAATCCCAGAGTGAATCATTACTATCACATTCTGACTTGAAGCATGTCTTCAGGCCTAGTAAGAGTGATTTACTCCTAGGGAATTTATGAGCTATTTCTATCAGGTGACCTCTGAAGCAATCTAACTCCTTGGATTTGTTTCAGGCAAATTCAACATGATCCCAGTTTCTTTTTTTTTTTTAATTTTTTAATTTTTTAATTTTTTTGAGACAGAGTCTCTCTCTGTCGCCCAGGCTGGAGTACAGTGGCGCGATCTCGGCTCACTGCAAGCTCCGCCTCCCGGTTCACACCATTCTCCTGCCTCAGCCTCCCGAGTAGCTGGGACTACAGGCGCCCGCCACCATGCCTGGCTAATTTTTTGTATTTTTAGTAGAGATGGGGTTTCACGGTGTTAGTCAGGATGGTCTCGATCTCCTGACCTCGTGATCCACCCACCTCGGCCTCCCAAAGTGCTGGGATTACAGGCGTGAGCCACCATGCCCGGCCCCCCAGTTTCTTATAATATAATAATTATTGCCATTAGAATGAAGTTTGACTCTGTATGAAAAGTTTGTCAACTAGGAAGCTTCTTTCATAATAAAACAGTACTCCTGCTTTAAGACATTGTTCAAATCCTCATTAATATGCTTAAAAGCTGGAAATATGATGATTCACATGATGTCCAGAAGCACGTATCATCCCACCTACAAAGATTCTTCTCTAAAGATTCTATGAGCTGACCGGGCGCGGTGGCTCACGCCTTGTAATCCCAACACTTTGGGAGGCCAAGGCAGGCGGATCAGGAGGTCAGGAGATTGAGACCATGCTGGCTAACACGGTGAAACCCCGTCTCTACTAAAAATACAAAAAAAAAAAATTAGCCAGGCGTGGTGGCAGGCGCCTGTAGTCCCAGCTACTCAGGAGGCTGAGGCGGGAGAATGGCGTGAGCCTGGGAGGCGGAGCTTGCAGTGGGACGAGATCGTGCCACTGCACTCCAGCCTGGGCAACAGAGACAGACGCCGTCTCAAAAAAAAAAAAAAAATTCTATGAGCCAGGTACAGTGGCTCATATCTGTAATCTTAACACATTGGGAGGTCAAAACCAGCAGATCACTTGAGCCCAGGAGTTCAAGACCAGCCTGAGCAATATATGGTGAAGCCCCATCTCTACCAAAACAAAAAAACAAAAATTATCTGGTCGTAGTGGCACATACTTGTCATCCCAGCTACTCAAGAGGCTCACTTGAGCCCAGGAGGCAGAGGCTGCAGTAAGCCGAGATTGCACCACTGCATTCCAGTCTGGGTGACAGAGCCAGACCCTCTCTCAAAAAAAAAAAAAAAAAAAAAAAAAAGATTCTATCAGCGCCAAAGGGGTCACTGAAGGACCAAATGGATCAGTGGATCAGAAAACCTCACTCTTCTGCCCCTACTGTGGTGACCGAGAGTCACCAGACATCATGCCATGATGTCATCAGAGTTATTTACTATCCTAGTGGTGGACCTGCTGGATTACCAGGGAGACATCTTGGCTCAAGGTTGCTTTTAGTGTTTCCCAGCCCTTCTGTCTAATGCAAGGCTTTGTTTGCTAATCTTCACTGTCTTTGAAAACTTTATTTGATTATGGGGAAGAGTTTGCCTGGAGTAGGTTAAAATATAAACTCATAGTCAACACAAAAAGAGCTTTAGCTCAAGGAGAGAAGATGGCTGACCACATGGTGTGATTTTTCTGGGAAGGATCCTGTACCTCAAAAAGAAAATCATGAACAACCTCTGCCCCTATTCCCAGATTCCTTTCTAGTTAATGTCTAACATTCCTATCATAGCACTTTAATTTCTTTAGCTAAACAAAGCTCCCTACACCTGCTTATAGATATAATGTTCTTTTTATCAGAAAAGAAGGTATCTAACTCAATTATATTCAGATTATCATTTCAGAATACTACAGGTTAGATTAGGACAGTGGTTCTGAAATTCAACATGCATCAGAATCACCTGAGGGCTCCTGAAACCCTAGATTGCTGGGTCACACCCTGAGAGTTTCTGAATTAGTAGGTCTGGAGTTAGGCCCAAGAATTTGCATTTCTAGTAAGTTCCCAGGTGATGCCGATGCTGCTGTTCTGCAGACCACCCTTTGAGAAACACTGGATTAATGGTTCTCGAGTTTTTTTCTCCACACTCCAACACACCTGGGGGCAGCACACCAGGATTAGGACACACTCCTGTCAGTAATTCAGGATTGCCGGGGCAGTGATCCTGGCTGCACCTTAAAAGTACCTGGAGCTTTAATACAATATCAGCAGGATTATATCCCAGAACAATGAACTCAGAATGCCTCTTAGAGGTAGGCTGTATACCTGGGCATTTTGTGAATGTTCTCCAGGTGATTTTAATATGTAGCCAAGACTGAGAACTTTTGCTAGAATGAGATCCTGGGAGACGGGGGAGATCCATATTTTGACAACCTCCCTTCAGTTATTTTTATTTTGTTTTTATTTTTTAAGTTTTTCTGAGACGGAGTCTTGTCTCACTCTGTCACACAGGCCAGAGTGCAGTGGCATGATCTCAGCTCACTCAAACCTCTGCCTCTGGGTTCAAGCGATTCCCCTGCCTCAGCCTCCCAAGTAGCTGGAATTACAGGCATGCGCCACCTCGCCTGGCTAATTTTTGCATTTTTAGTAGAGATAGGGTTTCACTAGGTTGGCGAGACTGGTCTCGAACTCCTGACCTCAAGTGACTTGCCTACCTTGGCCTCCCAAAGTGCTGGGATTATAGGCATGAGCCACCATGCCTGGCTCCCTTCAGGTATTTTTAATACATCTCCTTCAAATTGCTTGAACCCGGGAGGTAGATGTTGCAGTGAGCCAAGATCACACCACTGCACACCAGCGTGGGCGACAGAGCGAGACTTTGACTCAAAAAAAAAAATATCCTTCATAGGATAATACTTCTTCTGCTCATTTTGTAACCAAGTTGAAAATTGCTAGCTAAAAATGTCCAAAAGTTAAGGCTAGACATGTCATTCCCAAAAGCTAAATGGTCAAGGTCACATTTCTAGAATCTCTTTATGATGATCCTTTCTCTTTTTTCTGTAATTGGGAAGGAGAAGAATAATTAGTAAGCTGCGAGCTGCAGGAAGAAGAAAGAGCTGAAATGAACATGGTAGTTTCTCTTTTGGCCTTTTCCTCTGCCCCCTTTCTTACCCCTCCACCTTCCTTCTGTACTTGCCAACACCTAGACCAGAGGGAGGCCTGAACCCCATTCGCTGAGACAGAAGACCTGAAGCACCAAATAATTTTTGCAATCTGAGGCCTTTTGGCATCAAAGATGTAGAATCCAGAAAGAGGTGGGTGCTGTGGAAGGGGAGCTCTGGGTGGGCACATTAAAGGACCCCCGTCTCCCAGAGAGATCAGGAACCAAAGGTATGTGTCCTCTTATACCAACTGGCTCAAGATCAGATATTGCTAAACAACGACCCCTGAAACCTAAGGTCCTCGTTGCGATATCGACACTACACTCCCTAAGTGACTAAGGATAAGGCATCTAACTTCCTGGAATCTCAAGTCTGCCTACATATGCAATAAGGAAAATATGCTACCCTATCTACCAGAGAAGTATTGTGAGATCAACTAACCTGTTCTTAGATAATTCTAAAGCAAATTAGCAAACAAATACGCTATATTCTCTGGGTTAAAAATATTGCCGTTTTTAACTCTGTAATACTTCACAGCACCTAATTCCACCTTTATAAACACTCAGGAATTCTAGACTTAATAATTCTATAGCTATAACTTTAATACATGCACATATAATTCAGCCTTCTGCATAACAAGCAATCCATAAATATTTATTGACTAAATGATAAATGATTAATCAATTGATTGAATTAAGGCATTTTCAAAATCAGATACACCGCTAATAAAATCACAAGCTGTTATTCTAAATAAATAACTCAGTGACAATTTCCCAAGCTGAATTAATTACTATGATCTACAACAACCCTGCATTAGAGATATTAAATATGTGAAATAAGTAATAAATTTCTAAATTAATCAATTTACTCATGGCTAGGTTTGAGGCAATAAGTAGAAGCCAAAAAATGTGCCTATCATGTTAATGAGATCCAGTGCTCCTTGCTGTGCTGTGACCAGAAAAATGTCCCCAGACTCCCTGCCTACCCTGCCTGCTCTGCTTTCTCTTGTTTTCCATGGCAGTCAGCATCTTCCAAAGTAGTACACTGTATATAATTGCCTCTTTTTTTTTTGAGACGGAGTCTTGCTCTGTCGCCAGGCTGGAGTGCAGTGGCGCAATCTTGGCTCACTGCAACCTCCACCTCCCAGGTTCAAACAATTCTCCTGCCTCAGCCTCCCAAGTAGCTGGCACTACAGGCGCACGCCACCACGCCGAGCTAATTTTTGTATTTTTAGTGGAGATGAGGTTTCACCACGTTGCCCAGGATGGTCTCGCTCTCTTAACCTCATGATCCGCCCACCTCAGCCTCCCCAAGTGCTGGGATTACAGGCGTGAGCCACCACGCCCAGCCTATAATTGCCTTCTGTTTTATGTTTACTACTTGTTTTCTGTCTCTTCCCTCCAGTATATAAGTACCGTGAGGACAGGCATTTTTGTCTATTTTGTTCATTGATATATCCCAGCTTTTAAATATATGGCACATAGTGGGTATTCAATAAATATTTGTTGATTTAACACATGAATAGATTAATGAATAACTTTACACCCCCAAATCTATCATCTCACTACTATCCAGTGTTCAGATGCCCCACACCCAACTTGAGGGTCTAGATAAGACCTTAGAGATGATCTAGTTCAGTAGTTTCCAAAAGGTCCTTTAGTAAGTGACAGTTTTCACCAGGCCTTAAAGGAAATGTGCATGTATATTTGCCAATTGTCATCCTGAAATTCTGTTGTTCTTCCTTTTTTTGGTGTTAAATGTTTTTATTTGGTAAAATACTCGTGAGAGTAGATGGTAACTGGTGGCATGTGTTTGTGTGTATGTGTTTTCCTGTATGTTAGGAGAGGTATGCTACAACTCCTTACAGGTAAAGAGATAAGGAGACTCAGGCTTAGAAAGAGTAGGTGACTTCCCAAGAGCCACTTAGCTCATCACTTATAAAGCTGGGATTTAAATTCATCTCTTCTAACACTCAGTCTAACGTTTTTTATACAGCGTCAATTTTTGAGTACGAAGTTATGTGTACTAGGGCAGGTTTCAAATACAGAATTCATTTTACCATTAAACCAACTAGCTCTTGGAGTTAACATCTTATCTCCCTTTTTTTTTTTTTTTTTTTGGTTTTTGTTGTTGCTTCTTTCTTTTTTTGGAGTTCACACCTGCATGGTGAAATATTGGTTCCTCTAAACATTCGCACTTTTTCGTATGTTTCACACTTGGTAATCCAAAAGCCTACTGGATTACAAGGCCCAGAAAAAAAGCTCATCTTAAAAATATGCATATTTTATGTGACAACAAGTTTAACCTGCATATAATGTGTTTTCTGAAAAAGCAAAACCAACACTATATTATGTGTGGCCCACAAGAAGATATGGAATTCAGCTCATAGAAAGTAATGTTTTAATATATTCTGCATTAATCAGAATTCACTTAAAATATTATGTTCAGTTCTAGACATCATCATTTTGATGAGGTAGACACAAACTGATGTGATCTCAAAGTGGGCAGCAAATTGGAACAACAATCTGGAAATTGTATCAAATAAAGAAAAATGGAACTCACCATGAAGTTTAATTTTTTTTTTTTTTTGAGATAGAGTTTCACTCATGTCGCCCAGGCTGGAGTGCAATGGCGTGGTCTCGGCTCACTGCATCCTCTGCCTCCTGGGTTCAAGTGATTCTCCTGCCTCAGCCTCCCGAGTAGCTGGGATTACAGGTGCCCACGACCATGCCAGGCTAATTTTTGTATTTTTAGTAGCGACAGGGTTTCACCATGTTGGCCAGGCTGGTCTTGAACTCCTAACCTCAGGTGATCCACCACAGGCATGAGCCACTGTGCCTGGCCTGTGAAGTTTAATTTTAAAGAATAGATGTGTTAGGATTGGCTTGATAGCTGAGAAATGTGGTATAGAAAAGGCAGTACAGGCTGGGTACAGTGGCTCATGCCTATAATCCCAGCACTTTGGGAGGCCAAGGCAGGCAGATCACGAGGTCAGGAGATGGAGACCATCCTGGCTAACACAGTGAAACCCTGTCTGTACTAAAAATACAAAAAAATTAGCCAGGCCTGGTGGCGGGTGCCTGTAGTCTCAGCTACTCCAGAGGCTGAGGCAGGAGAAGGGCATGAACCTGGGAGGCAGAGCTTGCAGTGAGCCAAGATCGTGCCACCACACTCCAGCCTGGGTGACACAGCGAGACTCCATCTCAAGAACAAATAAATAAAAAAATAAGAAAAGGCATTACATATAGCCTATCTCAGTCTACTCATATTGCCATAACAAAATACCACAGTGGTGGCTTAAACAGCAGAGGTTTATTTCTCACAGTTCTAGAGGCTGGGAAGTCCAACATCAAGGTTCCGGCCAATTTGGTTTATAACGAGGGCTCTCTTCTTGGTTTGCAGATAGCCACAGTTTCTCACTGTGTCCTCCCATGGCCTTTCCGTCGAGAGATCCCATTCTTTTTTTTTTTTTTTTGAGACAGAGTCTCGCTCTGTCACCCAGGCTGGAGTGCAGTGGCAATCTCGGCTCACTGCAACCTCCAGTTCCCAGGTTCAAGCAATCCTCCTGCCTCAGCCTCCTGATTAGCTGGGATTACAGGTGTGTGCCACCACGACTGGCTAATTTTTGTATTTTTAGTAGAGACGGAGTTTCACCATGTTGGTCGGGCTGGTCTCGAACTCCTGACCTCATGATCCACCCACCTCGGCCTCCCAAAGTGCTGGGATTACAAGCGTGAGCCACTGTGCCTGGCCAAGATCCCATTCTTATGAACTCATGTAACCTTAATTACCTCCTAAAAGGCCCATCTCCAAATACAGTCACGTTGGGAGTTAGGGCTTCAACAAATCAATTTGAGGAGGGTACAGTACAGTCTATAGCATAGTCTATAGTCCTCTAACACAAACTGTACTGGGAGACACTGTGTAACTCACTGTAAGAAAACTAGCTAAAGCGGTTCAACAATAAAACCAATGCCACCCCTCCCCGTCAGGCTGCAGCTTCTCTATTACTGGAATTAATAATTCAGTTTAAAGAACCCTCTCTCTCAGGGATGTTGAGGAGGTTCCTACAATGAATGTAAGTTTAGAACAGAAGACCGCTAGATCTCTCTAACTCAAAAATTTATCTCTACCATATAAACAAAACAATTCTACCATATTTGAACTTTTTAAATGTTGCTATTCTATTAGACTTACCCCAAATTGTCCTTATCCTGAAGGATTGGAACCATATGTGGTTATTTTGGCATAAGAAGAAAATCTAATAAAAGGTTTAAAACAACAACATTAAAAAATTCTTGGATTAACTAAAATTTCACAATTCATGCTGTTGCAAAGAGCAGTGAGACGTTTATGATTCTCATCTGGATTGTGCTTGGGTTTGTGATTTTTTGTGGGGTTGGGAGGAAGTGGTTTAAGCAAATTCTTAAGTGGCATCCCAAACTGCTTGCAATCAATTTCTGAAGAAAGACCTTAAAGAGATTACATCTAATTCCATGACAAGATTGGAGGTATCTAATATGTAAGATAATTTCAAACTTAGTCTTTGGCAACCTTTAGGTAGAAAAAAACAAGAAAAAGAAACTAGATTAAGAAAGAAAAACAAAAATATGTATTCACTATTTGCTCTCAGAAATTACATGGCCTCTACTAAGATTGCCAGATATAGTTAGTTTTCAATAAAAAACTCTTAGTTCTGGATGAACCAGAAATACTTGGCAACAAACACTATTTCTGAACTCTGTTTAACTGTGACCTGCATTATAACCAAAGTGTGTTTTTGGTTTTTTTTTGCAGCCAAGGTCTCACTCTGTCACCCAGGCTGGAGTGCAGTAGCACAATCAAAGCTCACTGCAGCCTGAAACTCCTGGGCTTAAGTGATCTTCCTGCCTCAGCCTCCCAGATAGCTGGGAATACAGGCGCCTGCTATTTTTTTTTTTTTTTTTTTTTTTTTGGTAGAGACAGGGTCTTGCTATGTTGCTCAGGCTGGCCTTGAACTCCTGGCCTCAAGCAATCCTCTCACCCTGGCTTCCCAAAGTACTGAGATTGCAGGTGTGAGCCACTATGCTCAGCCATGACCAATGTTTTAAAACTATGATAGTTTAGCTTAATACACGTTTCACATTTTTGTAAAACTATAAGTCAATGAACTTAAGACATAAAATGAATTAGTTGCAATCAATGCCTTATTTTTTTATAAATCAAATCATGCTATTAAGAATGTTAAGCAAAAAGGATAGCAAAAGCTATATTTATAAGAATAGTTTCCATATAAATTAAAAGCAATGCCCTTAAAACACATCAGTCAGGATACTTAATGTGAAATATGATTGATACTGATGGCTTTTTTCTCTGTCTCTTATAGATCCTTGGACAAGGAAAAAAGAAGAGATCTCCCAATTGGAATCACACATTTTATTGACCAATACTGGTTCACTCTCCTGTGTTCACTTGTAGTGAAAGAACCTTGACTTGAACTCAAAGCCCTGTGTGGTAAGGTGATCACATAATTTATATATGAAATAACCGGCCGGGCGCGGTGGCTCACACCTGTAATCCCAACACTTTGGGAGGCCAAGGCGGGCGGATCACGAGGTCAAGAGATCGAGACCATCCTGGCCAACATGATGAAACCCCGTCTCTACTAAAAATACAAAAATTAGCTGGGCTTGGTGGCACATGCCTGTAGTCCCAGCTACTCGGAAGGCAGAGGCAGGAGAATCGCTTGAACCCAGGAGGCAGAGGTTGCAGTGAGCCAAGATCGTGCCAATGCACTCCAGCCTGGCAACAGTGAGCCTCCATCTCAAAAAGAAAAGAAAAGAAAAGAACCAGAACACTTTTGACAGTAAAGGGGGACATAATTACACCAGCTCAGCCAGGCAAACCAGGACATTTATAGGAGACCATGGATTGATACCCCAACATCTATTCCACCTCAATTAATTATCCTGCAATAGTGGTCTTGAAAGTTGCGGTCCGGGAGCAATGGCTCACGCCTGTAATCACAGCACTTTGGGAGGCCAAGGCAGGCGGATCACAGGGTCAGGAGTTCAAGACCAGCCTGGCCAACATGGTGAAACCCAATCTCTACTGAAAATAAAAAAAAATTAGCTAGGCATGGTGGCACACACCTATAATCCCAGCTACTCAGGAGTCTGAGGCAGGAGAATCGTTTGAACCCCGGAGGCGGAGGTTGCAGTGAGCCGAGATCACGCCACTGCACTCCAGCCTGGGTGACAGAGCAAGACTCCATCTCAAAAAAAAGGAAAAAAAAAAGGGGGCCGGGCATGGTGGCTAACACCTGTAATTCCAGCACTTTGGAAGGCCGAAGCGGGCGGATCACAAGGTCAAGAGATTGAGACCATCTTGGCTAACATGGTGAAACCCCGTCTCTACTAAAAATATAAAAAGGCCGGGCGTAGTGGCTCACGCCTGTAATCCCAGCACTTTGGGAGGCCGAGGAGGGCGGATCACGAGGTCAGGAGATCCAGACCACGGTGAAACCCTGTCTCTACTAAAAATACAAAAAAGTTAGCCAGGCACGGTGGCGGGCGCCTGTAGTCCCAGCTGCTCGGGAGGCTGAGGCAGGAGAATGGCGTGAACCTGGGAGGCGGAGCTTGCAGTGAGCCGAGATCGTGCCACTGCACTCCAGCCTGGGCGACAGAGCGAGATTCAGTCTCAAAAAAAAAATAAAAAAATAAAAATAAAAATAAAAATAAAAATATAAGAATATAAAAAATTAGCCAGGCATGGTGGTGGGCACCTGTAGTCCCAGCTACTCGGGAGGCTGAGGCAGGAGAATAGCATGAACCTGGGAGGCAGAGGTTGCAGTGAGCCGAGATCATGCCACTGCACTCCAGCCTGGGTGACACAGCAAGACTCCGTCTCAAAAAAAAAAAAAAAAAAAAAAAAAAAGTAAACTTGTGGCCCCAGACCTGCAGCACCAGCATCACATGGTAATGCATCATAAATGCGAATTCCAACCCCAGGCCCACTGAGTCAGAAACTCTGGAGTAGGGCAGGCAGCAATATGTTTTTACAAGCCCTCCAATGGAGGCTAAAGTTTTAGTCCACCAGTCTAAGCCAATTAAAATATTTCATTTCTTTTATCAATGATTGGTTTAGGAATAAGCAGGTCCCAAGCCAGCCTGAGCCAATGACATACAGAGAGGGGCTAGTTTGCGATTTCTGGGAAAGATAAATCAATCTCTCTCGTTGGATGTGAACAAGGGAGCATATTGCCTGACTCTGCGATGACTCTGTGAACTGCAGAGCAGAGACATGAAAAGGACTTGGTTCTTTCATGGCACACTTTGACTGCTGAATCAAGCAATTCAGAAGCCCATTTTACCTCTGGACTATGTGAAAAAAATAATTGGTTTAAGCCATTTCTACTTCAAATAGCTGAAAGCATACTAACACACCAGTGCTCACTCTCACTTGTTTTGAACCTATCTTTGCACTAGACCTTCTCCCACAATATCATCTCTTCTGACATTTCTGCTTTCAATCCCATCCCTTCTCATTTAGTCAAGTCTCACCCATCCTTCAAAGTCTTATTCACTCCCTCCTTCATAAAAGTTACCCTGACTACTCCATCCCAAATTGTCACCACCTTCTGTGTTAGTCTGTTCTCACACTGCTAATAAAAACATACCTGAGACTGGGTAATTTATAAAGGAAAGAGGTTTAATTCACTCACAGTTCCACAAGCCTGGGGAGGCCTCACATAAAGGAGGAGCAAAGTCACATCTTACATGGCAGCAGGCAAGATAGCTTGTGTAGGGGAATTCCCCTTTATAAAACCATTAGATGGCTCTGCCTCTGCCTCTGCCTCTGCCTCTCCCTCTCCCCTCTCCCTCTCGGTCTCCCTCTCCCTCTCTTTCCACGGTCTCCCTCTGATGCCGAGCCGAAGCTGGACTGTACTGCTGCCATCTCGGCTCACTGCAACCTCCCTGCCTGATTCTCCTGCCTCAGCCTGCCGAGTGCCTGCGATTGCAGGCACGCGCCACCACGCCTGACTGGTTTTCGTACTTTTTTGGTGGAGACGGGGTTTCGCTGTGTTGGCCGGGCTGGTGTCCAGCTCCGAACCACGAGTGATCCGCCAGCCTTGGCCTCCCGAGGTGCCGGGATTGCAGACGGAGTCTGGTTCACTCAGTGCTCAATGGTGCCCAGGCTGGAGTGCAGTGGCGTGATCTCAGCTCGCTACAACCTCCATCTCCCAGCCGCCTGCCTTGGCCTCCCAAAGTGCCGAGATTGCAGCCTCTGCCCGGCCACCACCCCGTCTGGGAAGTGAGGAGCGTCTCTGCCTCGCCGCCCATCGTCTGGGACGTGAGGAGCCCCTCTGCCTGGCTGCCCAGTCTGGAAAGTGAGGAGCGTCTCTGACCGGCCGCCATCCCATCTAGGAAGTGAGGAGCGCCTCTTCCCGGCAGCCATCCCATCTGGGAAGTGAGGAGCGTCTCTGCCCGGCCGCCCATCGTCTGAGATGTGGGGAGCGCCTCTGCCCCGCCGCCCCGTCTGGGATGTGAGGAGCGCCTCTGCCCGGCCGCGACCCCGTCTGGGAGGTGAGGAGCGTCTCTGCCCAGCCGCCCTGTCTGAGAAGTGAGGAGACCCTCCGCCCAGCATCCGCCCCATCTGAGAAGTGAGGAGCCCCTCCGCCCGGCAGCCGCCCCGTCTGAGAAGTGAGGAGTCCCTCTGCCCGGCAGCCGCCCCGTCCGGGAGGGAGGTGGGGGGGTCAGCCCCCCACCCGGCCAGCCGCCCTGTCCGGGAGGTGAGGGGCGCCTCTGCCCAGCCGCCCCTACTGGGAAGTGAGGAGCCCCTCTGCCTGGCCAGCCACCCCGTCCAGGAGGGAGGTGGGGGAGTCAGCCCCCCACCCGGCCAGCCGCCCCATCCGGGAGGGAGGTGGGGGGGTCAGCCCCCAACCCGGCCAGCCGCCCCGTCCAGGAGGGAGGTGGGGGTGTCAGCCCCATGTCCGGGAGGGAGGTGGGGGGGTCAGCCCCCCGCCCGGCCAGCCGCCCCATCCGGGAGGTGAGGGGCGCCTCTGCCCAGCCGCCCCTACTGGGGAGTGAGGAGCCCCTCTGCCGGGCCAGCCACGCCGTCCGGGAGGGAGGTGGGGGGCTCAGCCCCCCGCCCGGCCAGCCGACCCGTCCGGGAGGTGAGGGGCGCCTCTGCCCGGCCGCCCCTACTGGGAAGTGAGGAGCGCCTCTGCCCAGCCAGCCGCCCCGTCCGGGAGGGAGGTGGGGGGGGTCAGCCCCCCGCCCGGCCAGCCGCCCCGTCCGGGAGGGAGGTGGGGGGGTCAGCCCCCCGCCCGGCCAGCCGCCCCGTCCGGGAGGTGAGGGGCGCCTCTGCCCGGCCACCCCTACTAGGAAGTGAGGAGCCCCTCTGCCCAGCCACCACCTCGTCTGGGAGGTGTACCCAACAGCTCATTGAGAACGGGCCGGGATGACAATGGCGGTTTTGTGGAATAGAAAGGGGGGAAAGGTGGGGAAAAGATTGAGAAATCGGATGGTTGCCATGTCTGTGTAGAAAGAAGTAGATGTGGGAGACTTTTCATTTTGTTCTGTACTAAGATAAATTCTTCTGCCTTGGGATCCTGTTGATCGGTGACCTTACCCCCAACCCTGTGCTCTCTGAAACATGTGCTGTGTCCACTCAGGGTTAAATGGATTAAGGGCGGTGCAAGATGTGCTTTGTTAAACAGATGCTTGAAGGCAGCATGCTTGTTAAGAGTCATCACCACTCCCTAATCTCAAGTACCCAGGGACACAAACACTGCGGAAGGCCGCAGGGTCCTCTGCCTAGGAAAACCAGAGACCTTTGTTCACTTGTTTATCTGCCAACCTTCCCTCCACTATTGTCCTATGACCCTGCCAAATCCCCCTCTGCGAGAAACACCCAAGAATGATCAATAAAAAAAATAAAAATTAAAAAAAAAAAAAAAACCATTAGATGGTGTGAGACTTATTCACTATAATGAGAACAGCATGGGAAAGACCTGCCCCCATGATTCAATTACCTCCCACCAGATCCTTCCCACAGCACATGGGAATTATGGGAGCTACAAATCAAGATAAGGTTTGGGTGGAGACACAGCCAAACCATATCACCTCCTCTTCAGAATTCAATTTCATGTACTTTCTGAAGCACCAATCTGTTATTATTATATACTTCCTTCTACTGCTTTTTCTCATGTCAAAGTGCCTTATCATGTGTATGTTCCTGGCACCTGACGTTGAGCATGGCACTCCACAGATGCTAAGTAAATGTTTGCTATAGATGGAGATTGTGTTGATCTATGGAAATGAGGGATTGGGTGAAGTACCAGTTGTTGCCGCTGCTAACAACAACCGCATTCCCAGGTCACAGTGGGACCTTTGGCTGTGATCACCTTGGCACGTCCTGCCTTAATTATAACTCTAATTCTGGCCAGGTGCAGTGGCTCACTCCTGTAATCCCAGCACTTTGGGAGGCCAAGGCGGGCGGATCACGAGGTCAGGAGATCAAGACCATCCTGGCTAACGTGGTGAAACCCCGTCTCTACTAAAAATACAAAAAATTAGCTGGGCGTGGCGGTGGGCGCCTGTAGTCCCAGCTACTCGGGAGGCTGAGGCAGGAGAATGGTGTGAACCCGGGCGGCAGAGCTTGCAGTGAGCCGAGACTGAGCCACTGTACTCCAGCCTGGGAGACAGAGCAAGACTCTGTCTCAAAAAAAAAAATAAATTATAACTCTAATTCTGCTGTGGCCTAACTAGAGTTAAACAACTTTATGACAACTATTAGCCAGACACTCGAGGCACAAACATATTTTGCTCTCCTTTTCTTTCCCCATTGAGAAGATACAGGTTACCAGGTAAATGCCTGGTCACTCCTCAAGTTAGGACATTATTGTACTAAGGGAGGTCTGCGTGGTGAGTAGGAAATGGAGTTGCCCGGCCAGCATCAGCGCCCAAAGTCCTTTTCTGTATTTGCTCTCTTTGGAACTGGATACCACCAATGGAGTTGTGTTTGGTGGCAGGAAGCTGAGCATGTGAGGTTGCAACCAGAAGTTGCAGTATAGCTTAGTGTTTGAGGATGTGGGTTTTACAATCAGATCTCCTGGATTTGACTCTTGGTAGAGACTCCTGTCTAATTACAATCGTAGGCAAGTCATTTGACTTCTCTGACTCTCACTTTCCTCATCTGTAAAATGGGGATAATAATCAGACCAGCTTTATTTGCTGATATGAGAAATAGATAAGATCATATATGTAAAATGCTTAGCATCTTGCCTGACACATAGTAAGCATTTGATAAATGGTAGTTTTTATTAGTGACTCAGCCTTTCTGTGGCTCAGTGCTGGCTTCTTCCCTCCTGCTTGTGATTGTGGGAGGTGAAGGGCCTTACACTTCCCTGCTCATAGGCAGGGCAGTTAGTGAATAGTGTAGAGGAAACTGGGGTTTCAGGTGCAGCTAGAGAGAGCAGGCTTTGCCCTGGCTTTCTGCCTGCCCAACAGCTGTGATTTAGCATCTGAATATAAAAACTGCCAGTATCCTCCTTAGCACACCACCACCACCTCCGCAGCCTGCCACCTTCTCACTCATAGTAATACACAAAGCTAGGATGTTCTCCAAGAGTTGACATTAACTCTTAACATCTGCCCAGCACTTTACAGTTTAGAAAGCCCTTTCCCATCTCTTCTCCCATTTGGCCCTCATACTATCCTTCTGCAGTAGTCAGGGACAGCTGTTGTTAGTCACATTTTACTGATTAGGAAAGTGAAATTCAGAATGATTATGTGATTTGCCAAAGGCTGCATAGTCAGGAAGTTACAGAGCTCAAATAGAGATGTTCTGACTCCGACTTAGTCATCTGCCCACCCCGTCACAGCCCAAATGCCCTCCATGTGGAATGAGGTTTTCCAAATAAAAGCATGATGTGTATGTTCTACATGTAAGATTATTTCAGCAAAATTGTAGAAATGTGAAATACTTCTTACCTCCCTCTCCAGGACCCGTTGCTTAATGTTCAAGTATGTATATGGGTCTCAGGAAAATGAGAGGACAGACCTGTCTTTCAGTTAGTTGTCTAAAAATATTTATTGTCATGCTTTAACCCTAAGCAGTAGTCATATCCTATTTAACCTGAGTGTTTGCCCTAATCTCTCATGTTTATTCAAACAAAAGGTATCCATATTTGACTTTATATAATGATTTTTTTTTTGAGATGGAGTTTCGCTCTTGTTGCTCAGGCTGGAGTGCAACAGTGTGATCATGGCTCACTGCAACCTATGCCTCTCTGGCTCAAGTGATTCTCCTGCCTCAGCCTCCCAAGTAGCTGAGACTACAGGTGCCCGCCACCACGCCCAGCTAATTTTTTTGTATTTTTAGTAGAGACTGGGTTTCACCATGTTGGCTAGGCCAGTCTCGAACTCCTGACCTCAGGTGATCCGACCGCCTCGGCCTCCCAAAGTGCTGGTATTACAGGCGTGAGCCACCGCGCCCGGCCTATATAATGATTCTTTTCCTCCCCTTCACATTCAAGAAAGGAATCTGACATGCTTATGAAAATTGAAAACAGAAAACAAGATCAGATAGAAAGCTTTGGAGAGCTGGGGTCAAACTGAGTGTGAATTCACTGTAAAAGGGAAGGATCGAAAGCCCTGTTTGCAGTAGAGAATCTTAATGGTGTGGACTGTGTTGGGCAAGCAGCTCTGGTTAAGGACACTAACGCTTGTGCAGAAGTTTTGTTTTCAGATTGGCAGAAATTAAAGATGTGGCCATGAAGGAAACAATCTTAGTCTCTGGGTCATCCACACTCATTAACTGTAAGTGATAGAAAGGGCCTGAGCTTCAGTGTCATACAAATGTGAATTAGAATCCTGGCTCTGACATTTACCCACTGTGTGACCTTGAGCAAGTTCCCTAGTGTCTCTGAGCTTTGATTTCATCTGTAAAATGGGACAGTAGTGCCACTTTCCAGATGGTCGAAGGGATTAAGTGACATGATTTAAGTAGAATGCCTGGCATGTAATGGGTGATTAATAATAAATGGCAGATATTATTTATTATCCTAAGCAATTAACAAGAATTATATGATGGCAATGTTTTCTAAACAATACCTTTACAGATTAATAATATCATTAAAATGACAAAAATCCATTGGTGATTCTTAGCCTGAACAATCTCTCTGTGTCCTCCATCAAGCTTAGTTATCAAGAACTTCAGTTATTTGCCCGCAAGCCTCTGTGTCTCCATGTGATAGGTCACCATAGGATTTAATGTCAGATTCAGGCTGCTTCAACGCTCAGTCCTATTTCACATTTACTTGAAATAGTGGTTTATCATTTTTTTGCTGTTTTTTTCTTTTTGAGACAGAGTCTCGCTCTGTCTCCCAGGCTGGAGTACAGTGGTGTGATCTTGGCTCACTGCAACCTCCACCTTCTGGGTGCAAGTGATTCTCCTGCCTCAGCCTCCCAAGTAGCTGGGATTATAGGCACCAGCTATCATGTCCAGCTAATTTTTGTATTTTTAGTAAAGATAGGGTTTCACCATGCTGGCCAGGCTGACCTCAAGTAATCCACCCGCTTCGGCCTCCCAAAGTGCTGGGATTACAGGCATGAGCCACCGTGCCTGGCCAAAACAGTGGTTTATCATCTTGATCCTGCCATTAACTAATTGTTTGAACCAGAAACTAATTGAAACCAAGTCCCAATGTCTTCAGTGAAACAAACTGCAGTGTGTGTGTGTGTGTGTGTGTGTGTGTGTGTGTGTGTGTGTGTGTAAAATAAAGGTCTGGGCCAGGCGCAGTGGCTCACGCCTGTAATCCCAGCACTTTGGGAGGCCAAGGCAGGCGGATTACCTGAGGTTGGGAGTTCAAGACCAGCCTGACCAACATGGAGAAACCCTGTCCCGACTAAAAATACAAAATTAGCCAGTCGTGGTGGCAGGCACCTGTAATCCCAGCTACTCAGGAGGCTGAGGCAGGAGAATTGCTTGAACCCGGGAGGCAGAGATTGCGGTGAGCCAAGATTGCACCATTGCACTCCAGCCTGAGCAACAAGAGTGAAACTCCGTCTCAGGGGAAAAAAAAAAGGTCTGACATTTAGGCTTTCATTATTATTTTGAGACTCCAAACCACAGATCCCCACTAAGTTATCCTAGTTTACTAGTCAGTCCATAAGTCTTCCATGATTAAACTTACTAGTAATGATAATCATAACAACAATAATAATATACCTTAAAAATTATAAAATATTTTTCCATGTCTAGCACTTTTACATATATTATCTTATTTAGATTTCATAACAACTTATTGAAAGAGATTGTATTTCCATTTTACAGATAAGGAAATGGAGGTTCAGGTGAGACAAGTAATCTGTCTATAGTTATAGAACTAATAAATGGTAGAGCCACCTGGTTTTCTATCTCCATGTCCAGAGATTCCTATCAAACCTATCATCATAAACAACAAAGAATTACCAATTGTCTAATACATTAAGGATAGTGTGCCTGGCTCTATTTGCCTAACTGGTTGCTTCCACCAAGGCCCAGCAGAACAAAAATCAGAGCCAGCAGCCACATACCCCCTTGATCCGAGCCTGGCCCCCTTGCACATATGTGATCCTGTGAAATTCACTAACACATAAAGCATCATGCCATCTGAAGGCACAAAATAGCTATTAATAATCCCCTGCATTGGTAAAGTCCCCTCCCTTCTGGAATGTTAGTTTTACAAAGATTATCATATAATTTCCTCCAGGGCAGTTTTAATGATGTGCCCTGTTTCCTTATGTGAGAAAGACTCAAGAAGAATTATTGAAACTCATTAGTTGCTTCCAAAAAGAGAAATATTTTGGTTGGCATAATGTCAACTGTTGATCCACAGGTTCAACCTGACTATTCTACTTAGAAAAAGCACAAATGAGTTTGGGTTTATTCAAGATCTGAAACCTTCTGGCCAAAGCTTAAAGGTACTTGTGTTCTTACCAGTGAAAATTCCAACCAACATGAAAAACACCTCACACAGAGGTCATCTTGTATTTCCTCAGAGATCCATGCCAGAATATGCTGAGGGCTTTCAGGGTCATGCCATGGTAGCTCCTTCCACCCATGATCTCCATATTTCTAATTAATTTTTTCCCACTTTTTGGTCTTTTTACCCAAACTAGAAAGTTTCTCCAAGAGGGAGCATGTGTTGGTGTCCAAAGTGTTTCTGCTGGAGAATGGCAGTGACAGGGCAAAGTGGGCACAATGCTATGATGAAGTTTGAGTTGACTTTACCCTCATCTTCTTCCCTCACAAACCAAACCCTGGAAACCATGCAGAAAAGCCTCTCCTGAGGCTTGGCTACAGGAGAGGCAAAAGTAGAGGGAGCAGCAAGGCAGTTGCCTCCTTCCAAGATTACACCCAGGCTAATCTGAGGCTACCATACCCTCTGCTATGTCTACTCCCAATATATCTGTGAAATTTATTGGAAAATTTCAATGCACTATTAAAAACGTCATGAGTGTAGTCAGTAAAATAAGCTTTTAACAACATAGGAAATTGTTTAGGCCATGGTGGTAATTGACAAAACAAATAAAAAATTATATGCATCTAAAAGATATTAGAAATACACCAAAATAGCTGTGTGTAGTGGCTCATGCTTGTAGTTCCAGCAATTTAGGAGGCCAAGGCAAGAGGATTGCTTGAGGCCAGGAGTTTGACACCAGCTTGGGCAACATAGGGAGACCTCATCTCTACAAAAATTTTTTTTAATTAGCTGGGCGTAATGGCACACACCTGTAGTCCCAGCTACTTAGGAGGCTGAGGCCGGAGGATCACTTGAGCTTAAGAGTTTGAGGCTGCAGTGAGCTATGATAGAGCCACTGCATGACAGAGAGACTGTGTTTCTTTATATATATAATATTTATATACAATAAATATATAATATATACATTTATAATATATAAGGAATATATAATTATATAAATCATAATTTAATTATATAATTTAATTATATAATTATATAATTATATTATATAGTATATATTATATATAATATATACTATATAATATAATTATTATATATATTATATATCCTATATTATATTATATAGTATATATTATATATATTATATTATATATTATATGTAATATATTATATAATATATAATATTATATATCATGTATCATATATTATATATATTATATCATATATAATATATAAAATATATATATTATATATGATATATGATATATCATATATATTATATATGATATATGATATATCATATATCATATATAAAATATAATATATAATATATAATATATATAATATATAATATATGATATCATATATTATATATTATATATCGTATATTATATATTTGATATATCATATATCATATATTATATATCATAGTATATTATATCATATATTATATATTATATAGTATATCATATATTATATATTATATATAGTATATATGATATATAATATATAGTATATAATATATAATGTATATATTGTATAATATATAATATATAATGTATATATTGTATAATATATAATATATATTATATATGATATATATTAAATATATAAATAATATATAATATAATATATATCATATATCATATATCATATAATATATATAATATATAATATAATATATAATAATTGTATAATTTAATTATATAATTATAATATATAAGGAAGATGTACAATTTACATATATATAAATTAACACTTCTAGGTCATAAGAGTGTGACTACAGTGAACAACTGCTATTTCCTGCCCTGTTTGTTGCAAAGATTAATTGGGATATAAAGTGTCTGGTATAGTGAGTTTCTGTCACATAGCTGGCACACAAAAAGGGGTAGCACTTAGGATAATACTTGTTATCCAGGCATTGAAAATTTGTCTCTGATTAGAGAAAACAGCTTAACATATTCCTACTTGGAAAAAAAATTCACTTTTTATTGAAATCAGAATCACAGTCTAAGTGGTTTACACTGATTTTCTGCATTTGGGTTGGACCATTTAGTCCATCTGTAGCTAGATGCTCCAGGGGTTTAAAGACATATTCAGTTTCCTTTCTACCTCCTGCCATGACATCTAACACACAAGACAGATGATTCATTCTTCATTTATTTTTCTGTCTTTATAAAGTTAGAAAAAGGTAGCAAGTATATGAAAAAAAATTCATGAGAATGATGTTAAGAGGTAAGAAGGTGGGCAAAAGAAGGGAAGGTGTAATGGCATGTCTGGGCATTGGTGACCCTCTCCTACAGCTCCACAAGGCAGAACGAGAACTGGACACAAGGAGAAGTTCAACACCTGGCAGCTTGTTTAGTTTTTCTCTTTTCTTACACAATAGAGTATGGGCTTCCTTTAATGTCACTGGGAAATTTTCTATGTGACCCCTGAGGGTCAGTACCTAAATCAATCAATCCTGGGAAAATATCTAGTTTTATGCTCTGGCCCCTGGTACCTGAAAGCAAGTTTTCAGAATCTGGTTGATCCTTCGCCTCTTCTCATTATCTGCACACAGAAATCAGATTAAGGAAGCGGATACTCTTTATTCTAATTTGAGGTTTCTTACCTATGACTGTCTTGGCAGATGTGAGAAGAGGATGCATATATTTGGAAGAGACAAAAACTTTATTTCAGCATATCAAGATATTTAAGTAAGGTATTTGTTCCAGAATTTTTTTCTCTCTACACTCTTCACTTAACAACTCTCCCTGATTGCATTAGAAAGACAAACAACAAAAACCCACTGACTAGCAGAGAATGAAGGTGCCAAACTCTTGGACTCTCAAATTCAAAAGCCTTAGTAGTAAGACAGAAAGATTTGGGGAGATACTTGCTGACCCATCTTAATTGCCCCTCCCACTAATATCAACCCCCCTACCCCACCCCCACCCCTAGGCTAGATAAAGACTTTCCAAGTTGGGGAGCGCAAAAGTAGAGAAATGAGTGTTAAGCAAAATAACTTCAGGTAATAAAGATCTAAGAAAAGGTCCTCCACCATGCCCCTTACTTGGGGTTAGCTCCAAGTTGGGGAGACATGGTGGAGGCTCATGACAATGTTGGGAATCTATTAACATCTGGAATCCTGGGAGGCAGCAGCCTAGCAGATGTTTCCTAGACCACAATGTTGTCACAGAATTAAGGTAAAGATGACCACATATAGTGCCCTAGGTAGGGAAAGTCTGAGGCAGTCCCTCTGAATCTTTTGCAGCCCCGAGAGTGGCACAGAAAAGCTAACGGGCCCCCAAGAAAGACACATAATTTAGCTGACAAAGGGTCCAAGGGGACTTACAGTCATGACCATGAGACACAAAAGTGGAAAGTAGCATGGAATGTACATCCAGAGCTCAGGTGGGGACAAGGACATACCTGCAGGTGCCTAATGTGGGGGTGATGACATCCAAGAACCACAAAGGACACAACTAGAGTGAAAGCCCAGGAGTTTGAGATCAGTCTGGGCAATAAAGTGAGACCCTGTATCTACAAAAAATCAAAAAAATTAGCCACACATGGTGGTGTGTGCCTATAGTCCCAGCTCCTTAGGAGGCTGAGGTGGAAAAGTCGCTTGAGCCCAGGAGTTTGAGGCTGCAGTGAGCTATGATCCCATCACTGCACTCCAGCCTGGGCAATAAAGCCAGACCCTGTCTCAAAGAAAAAAAAAAGGAGAGGAGAGAACAGGGGAGGGGAGGACAGAGGAGGGAAGGGGAGGGGAGGGGAGGGGAGGGGGAAGAAATTACTTAAGAATATACAGCTTATCCGCAATGATTAACCCAGGCTTTGATCACAGATCTGTCCATACATTTCTTACCATATCCCACTGTCAAGTCTTGCCATTCTATCTCCCTGGCATTATTCAGAACACCCTCTTCCTTCTCTTCCAAAATAAGGAGCTATTCTAGTTCAAGCTCTCTTCCAGTTTCTTGTTCCCCCAATTCATCCTTCACAGTATTAATATAATTTGCTTTCTGAATCACAAATCTGTTCTCAACAGTATCCTGCTTTAAAAATTCTAATATCTCCCTACAAAATAAAGTGTAAATCCCCTGTGTAGCATGGCTTTTAAGGAAGGCCTCCACCTTCTCGTCTCAATTTATTTCTCACCCCGCACTCCCTGATCTACTCTCACCAGACCTCTTGGTAATACCTTGTCCTTTCGCATTCCCACTGCTTCCTCTTGCTGTTCCCTCTGCCAAGAACTGCTTCCCTCCATTATCTCCCTTAGTGAGTTCCTACTCATCTTTCATGAACTTGCTTCAATGTCACACTTCCTCTAGAAAGCATCTCCAGTCTCTCCAGGGAAAATTAATTGTCTCTTTTCTGAATTAACATAGCACTTTGTTCAAATGACTAATACAGCATCCATGACATTGTATATGTTGGGAGAGACTAACTTAAAGAGCAAAGAATTTTTTCAGTCTGCCATTTTATCTGGGTTCCCCCATTCCCTTTTTGCTCTGTGGTCTAGAAATCTCTTCCTCAATTCCTTTTCTTTCTTTTCTTTTTCTTTCTTTCTTTTTTTGAGATGGAGTCTCGTTCTGTCACCAGGCTGGCGTGCAGTGGCGCAATCTCAGCTTACTGCAACCTCTGCCTCCTGGGTTCAAGCAATTCTCCTGCCTTAGCCTCCTGAGTAGCTGGGACTACTGGTGTGCGCCACCACGCCCAGCAAAGTTTTTGTATTTTTAGTAGAGACCGGGCTTCACCATGTTGGCCAGGATGGTCTCAATCTCCTGACCTTGTGATCCTAATGCCTCGGCCTCCCAAAGTGCTGGGATTACAGGCATGAGCCACCACGCCCGGCCCATCAATTCCTTTTCTACAGTGAATGATCATCTGGAATCATTTGCATTTTTGGCTGTGAGTTTCTCATGGCCTAGAGCAGACTTCTGAGAGGAAGTAACTACTTAGATGAATATTTTTACACGGTGAGCAAGTTAGGCAAAGCAAATGAAGAAGGCAATGACCGGCCAAGGAAACAGAATAAGCTGTCTCTTCTTGGCATGGAAGGAGGGAACAGTATGTTGGATGCTGGCCCAGGAACCATTAGCAAATAGGTAATATGAGAGCCTGGAGTTGGAGGCCATGTTAGGAGACAAGACCAGAGAAGTAGGTAGAGGTCACGTAATGAGGGACTTCTATGACATACAAGAGGGATTTGGGTAATGGGAAGGGATTGACGGAGTTTTAAGGAGAGTGAGATGGTCAGATTTTCAGCACGGTACATGATAAAGATTAGAATTTTATTCTGGTTGCTTATTACTCCTAACAAAACAGTGACTTAAAACAAACATTTTATTATACCATACAAATTTTTGAGTCAGCAGTTTGGAAAGAATTCAGTTAGGCAGTTCTTCTGCTCTATGTGGCATTGACTGGGATCAGTTAGTATTATTCATCTCGTGGCTGGTCTGGTATGGAGGTTCCAAGATGGCTTTACTCACATGCCAAGTTCCTGGGCAGGGTCACTAGGAAGACTGGGATCAGCCGGGCCACTCCCCCTCTCCCTGTAGTCTCAGCTCTCTCCAGATGGTGTAATAAGGTAGATGGACTTTGTACACAGTGACTCAGGACTTCCACAGACCAAGGTGAAAGCTCCTCTTAAAAGCCAGACCCTGAACAAGCCTGCCTAAATTCAAGATGAAGGGAAATAGCCCTCAAATCTCTCCATAGAAGAGTATTGAAGAATTTGTGGCCATTTTAAATCCACTACAAGGTATAAAAATGTAGAACTGAAAGTAGAGAGAGGCAACTGACTTCTTATAATGCCCAGTTTCTGAAGTATTTATGTATGAGTACTTCCAGAATATTCTCTTAACATCTTCCTCATAGCACTGTAACATGGCTATGATTTTTGTATGATTGTTGGTTTATGTATTAGACTTTTGAGCTCCTCAATGAGGACAACACGTGTGTCTTCCTTAGATTAATATCTCAGTGCCTGGAACATAGTTGATGCTCAAAACTTATTGAATAAATAAATTGAATACATTAGAATGGTGGGATCCCGTCTTCACAACACCAGAGCAGCGTTCTGCTTGATATAATTTCCTTCTCCAGATTCGTATCTTCTTATGAACGTAAGAGAAGCTTGATTTAAATGTGTAGAAATAGTATCCATTATAAATATTTATGTGAATAGCTTTTAACTTTTCCCTGTTGTATTAGTTCTCCACTACATAACAAATTATCACATACTTGGCAGCTTAAAACAACACACATTTATTATCTCAGTTTCTGTGGTCAGGAGTCTAGGCACAGTTTAGCTGGGTTCTCTGCTTCAGTTCTCATGAGGCTGCAAACAAGTTGTTAGCTGAGGATGCTGTCTCATCTGAGGCTTGACTGGGGAAGGATCTGCTTTTGTTGGCAAAATTCAGTTCCTTGAGGTTGTAGGACTGAGAGATTTGGTTTCTTTCTCTCTTTTTTTTTTTTTTTTGAGATGGAGTCTCGCTCTGCCACCCAGGCTGGAGTGCAGTGGCGTGATCTCAGCTCACTGCAACCTCTGCCTCCTGGGTTCAAGAAATTCTCTCCCTCAGCCTCCTGGGTAGCTGGGATTACAGGTGCCTGCCACCACACCCAGCTAATTTTTGTATTTTTAGTAGAGATGGGGTTTCACCATCTTGGCCAGGCTGGTCTTGAACTCCTGACCTTGTGATCCACCCACCTTGGCCTCCCAAAGTGCTGGGATTAAAGGCATGAGCCACTGTGCCTGGCCGGGAGATTCAGTTTCAAAGCTAGCTGTTGGCAGAGTCTGCCCTCAGTTCCTTAACATGTGGGTCTTTCCATATCAAAGCTCAAACATGGCAGGCAGCTTGATTTTTCAGAGCCACAAGAGAGAGAGAGACACTAGCAAGATGGGCACTATCTTATATAACTCAATGACATACATGCCTTCACACTCAAGAGGAGGAAATCACACAAGGAATACCAAGAAGCAGGAGGTCATAGCATTTCTCCTAAGAGTCTATCTGTCATATATCCTTACATCCAAATAATGACTCTCATAATTTGATATATCACCAGATAAGCTTTGTTTCCAGTTTCATTTGACCCTGACATTAAATTTCATTTATTTATTTGTTAATTATGGAAGATGGCCATTCCGTAAATCCTGTGAAAAATCAGAGGGGACAATTATCAGAAAATTCCAGCCCTCTCAGGAAGTATATCCATTTCATTTTTACTTTACAGTAGGGACTGCCTTCCTCTCTTAAGGAGACAGATACACATTTGCCTAAACCATTATTTAATACAATTAGTACTAGATCTTTCTTCAGATCCTATGTAGGGGGCTGGGAATTCTTAGCTATACAAGCTCACACAATATATTTTTTAAAATTCATGTTGATACTTTTTCATCTATTTGGTTTTAGCACAAGTATCAGACTGGCAGCCAAGGAACCTATTTTGTAACTGCAGAATATTCTTTCCAGGAAGACTGGTGAAAGGAGAATCAACGAAGGAAAGCCCTTGCTTCTCAAACTCCCCCTGATAATATTCTGAAGCAAGTATAGTCCATTCCAAAGCTACAGTCCCAATACCTGACTTCCTTATCCTATGTATGTGTCTAGGAATAGGATGCACCTAACTGCTGCTCACATGTCTTGCACTGGCCTTTCCTTCTCTGAAGCCAAGCTTCCCTCTCAAAGAGTAACTCAAAATCATTGACCAGCCCATGGCTATTTGACCAGGGTTATCCCTGGAAGTCCACAGTATGGAGATCTCTGAGCTAGATCCCTTCCTCTGTGTTTACCTTTACAGAGCAGTGCTTATTTCTTTCTTTTTTTTTTTTGAGACAGAGTCTTGCTCTATCACCCAGGCTGGAGTGCAGTGGTGCAATCTCGGCTCACTGCAAGCTCCACCTCCCGGGTTCACACCATTCTCCTGCTTCAGCCTCCCAAGTAGCTGGGACTACAGGCGCCCACCACCACGCCCAGCTAATTTTTTGTATTTTTTAGTAGAGATGGGGTTTCACCGTGTTAGCCAGGATGGTCTCGATCTCCTGACCTTGTGATCCGCCCGTCTCGGCCTCCCAAAGTGCTGGGATTACAGGCGTGAGCCACTACGCCCGGCCACAGAGCAGTACTTATTTCATTTTAAACTCTCTTGGTTTAGTATATTCATTAAAATAAAATAAGTAAATATATTACGTTGGTGTAAAATTGTGGTTTTCACCATTAAAAGTAATGGCAGAAATTACTTTTGCACCAACCTAATATTAAGCCTAAGAAGTTTCAGATTCTTTTGTAGTTTATAAGCCTGATGATTGGGTTTTCATGTGCATGTGTGAGATGTGCCTCCCGCAAACCTTGTTACGACGTTGGCACATTACCCATCTGATGTGAAAAAATTTTTCTGTACACTTTTCAAGTTTAAAAAGACAGCATAAAACTATTGTAATGCCCAACCTTGTTTTTACTAACCCTGTTTTTAGGCTTGTTTCCACCTGAATTGACTCTCCCTTAGCTAAGAGAGCCAGACAGACTCCATCTTGACTCTTTCACTGGCAGCCCCTTCCTCAAGGACTTAACTTGTGCAAGCTGACTCCCAGCACATCCAAGAATGCAATTAACTGATAAGATACTGTGGCAAGCTATATCCGCAATTCCCAGGAATTCGTCTGATTGATAACACCCAAAGCCCTGAGTCTATCATCTTGTAATAGTCTTAAAGCCCCTGCACCTGGAACTGTTTACTTTCCTGTAACCATTTATCCTTTTAACTTTTTGCCTACTTTATTTCTGTAAAATTGTTTTAACTAGACCCCCCTCCCCTTTCTAAACCAAAGTATAAAAGAAAATCTAGCCCCTTCTTCGGGGCAGAGAGAATTGTGAGCGTTAGCTATCTCTCGGTCGCTGGCTAATAAAGGACTCTTAATTCGTCTCAAAGTGTGTCGTTTTCTCTAACTCGCTTGGGTACAACGCTATGACATTAGAATAGTGGTCAGTTATGACCTTCCAATAACTGGATGGGAGGAGGGCCCTTTTGGGGTACTGGTCATTTTCTGTTTCTTTTTTTTTTTAAGACAGAGTCTCACTTTGTCACCAGGCTGGAGTGCAGTGGCGTGATCTCAGCTCACTGCAACCTCTGCCTCCCGGGTTCAAGCGATTCTCATATCTCAACCTCCCGAGTGGCTGAGACTACAGGCGTGTGCCACCACGCCTGGCTAATTTTTGTATTTTTAGTAGAGACTGGGTTTCACCACGTTGGCCAGGATAGTCTCAAACTTTTGACCTTGTGACCTACCCGCTTTAGCCTCTGGCCTCCCAAAGTGCTGGGATTACAGGTATGAGCCACCGCACCCAGACTATTTTCTATTTCTTTCTTTTTTTTTTCTTTTTGAGACCAAGTCTTGCTCTGTCACCCAGGCTGGAGTGTAGTGGCTCACTATACAACCTTGGCTCACTACAATCTTGGCTCACTACAACCTCCGCCTCCTAGGTTCAAGCCATTCTCCTGCCTCAGCCTCCCCAGTAGCTGGGATTACAGGAATGCACCACCAAGCCCAGCTAATTTTTGTATTTTTAGTAGAGATGAGGTTTCACCACGTTGGCCAGGCTGGTCTCGAACTCCTGACCTCGTGATCTGCCCGCCTTGGCCTCCGGAAGTGCTGGGATTACTGGTGTGAGCCACCGTGCCAGGCCTTCTGTTTCTTGATATAGATGATAAACATGAATGTGTTCATTTTGTCAAAAATTTTCAGGCTGTACTCTTATGGTATGTTGATTTTTCTGAATATACATTCTTCAAAACATTTTTTGAAATAGCAGTCATAATGGTTTTGAGTTTTGTTGCTATGAAATGAATTTCTCTTGTCTTCTAGTTTGGAAATTTAAGTTCATTTTTCATTCTCACCTCATTTTGTTAAGTGAATTTCAATGTAGCTTAACATTCTTCATTTTTAGACATTTAATTATTTTTAATTTTGGTGAATTAGGTGCTATCAGGTTACAAAGGTTTTAACACAGGCAGAGAGGCTGTCCTCAACTCACCACTGAGTTAATATCTAATTTTTAAACATTTCAAAGTCATTTAGTGTTAATAATGAAAAATATAAAACTAGGGGACTAGACTTAAAGTAGTACCAAGAACAGAGGAGGAGAAATTAACCTTTTAAAAGTAAAGGGGCCTTTCTTCCTCTGAGTGGGGAAAAGAGAAAGAGGATAAATATCTATTTGCTTCCTAAGTTGGAGAAAAGTCAAGGATGCTCACAAATGATGGTCTTGATTTTAAGGGAGTAAAACAAGGTTCTGTACTAAGAATAAATGTTACGGTGGGGCTGATAGCTCAAGGAAAAAGGAAATAGTTAGGAAATAGCCTGATAAGGTAAACATAGCTGAAGGTCAAGGGAACTGAAGAGAATAGTGCAGTTAAAATGGTTGATAAAAGGGTTCTTGGGGGGCGGTGGCTCACCCCTGTAATCCCATCACTTTTAGGAGTTGAGATCAGCCTGGCCAACTTGGTGAAACCCCGTCTGTACTAAAAGTACAAAAAATTAGCCAGGCATGGTGGTGAGCACCTGTAATCTCAGCTACTTGGGAGGCTGAGGCAGGAGAATCACTTGAACCAGGGAGGCGGAGGTTGCGGTGAGCCAAGATCGTGCCATTGCACCCCAGCCTGGACAACAACAGCAAAACTCCGTCTCAAAAAAAAAAAGGGGGTTCTTACTGGTAAGTAAGATAAAAAATGATAGGAAACAGCTGATAAACTATGAGAAGAAAGACTGGCTGTCAGGCTGTCACATTGAGGACAAATTACAGATTCAATGGGAATGACCACAGAATAGAGATAGATGGGGGTAGGTGGCTGTAGGTACAGAGAGGGAAACTCACAATCCAGCATTTTGGAGGGGAAGTAATTTCATTGATGACTAGGTTGAAGGTGTGGCTCCATCTGTGGGTTGCTGATACAGAGTGAAGTTGAAGATGATTGGAAAAGAAAACGATGAGAAATTGTGAGGTCAGAGTGCTAATGAGTCATGAACATGGATGCTGAAATCATTAAGGTGATACAGAACATGAGGATAATTCCAGGGCTGACACAGAATTTCAGAAACATAACTGGGCACAGACAAGGAAGTAAAGGGATATCCTAGTCAGCACCAGATTTAGGGAATTAGAAATGCAGGCAAAGTTTGTCTTTGACATTTATCACCTTTGTTCCATGGCACAATTTCCTAAGCTTTGCTCACTTACTCCCAAGTAATTGTAATTTTGGTGCCTTCATGTTACTTTCTCACTGTACAGTTTCCTCAATCTCTTTTTTTTTTTTTTTTTTTTTTTGAGAAGGAGTTTTGCTCTGTCACCCAGGCTGGAGTGCAGTGGCAGGATCTCAGCTCACTGCAACCTCTGCCTCCTGGGTTCAAGTGATTCTCGTGCCTCAGCCTCCCAAGTAACTGGGATTACAGGCACCCACCACCATGCCTGGCTAATCTTTGTATTTTTAATAGAGTTGGGGTTTCACCAGGCTGGTCTTGAATTCCTGGCCTCAAGTGATCCGCCTGCCTCAGCCTCCCAAAATGCTGGGATTACAGGTGTGAGCCACTGCACCCGGCCTGCTCTTGACATATCTAAAATCTCAAATGGTCACAGGACACAAATGGAGAGTTCTCCATTAATATACTACTTTCCCCTACTTACCTTTGCATTTTGACAAGGCTTTCTAGTAACAAATCCTTAATCTGAAATTCGTAATTTCAAGGCCAATACTCTACAGAGGTATCTGCAAAGTCATGTAATTCCAGCACAGCAGAGGTCTTCCGTCCTGTTGCTCTGAAAAATACTTCTCCAATATTGATTCATCCTTTTGGCCTCAGACTTTAACTACTCCCATAAAATGTGAGTTTCTTGGGAGCAGGACCTGAGCTGAGCCAATAAAAAGACACCCATAAAAGCACTAACTCAGTCATTTGTTTTCCTAATGGTGCCAAGGCAGGCTGGTGTGTTGTGACATATCAATCCACTTCTGTGTACCTGCCCTTCCCCGTCCAGCAAAATATCATCATTTTTAATATATGTTGTGATACTAAAATATTTCAGAAGTGTTGACCGAGTAGACATTCAATAATGATTATAGCTGATACTTACAGAGCACCTACTATGTGCCAAACACTGTATGTATTTTAACTCATTTAATCCTTGCAACAATCCTGTTAGGTTGGTATTGTTATTCTCATTTTGCAGATGAAGAAATTTGAAAAGACTTGCCCAAGGTCACAGAGATGAGAAATAGAGGCATCAGCATTTAAACCTAGGCAATCTAGAACCAGAGGGTACATTTAACCACTATACATCTCCCCTAAATACATCTTTGCATCACACCTGTTATCTCAGCACTTTGGGAGGCCACTAAGGCCGGAGGATCGTTTGTTGCCAGCAGTTCAAGACCAGCCGGGTCAGCATACCAAAATCTTGTCTCTCCAAAAATTTTAAAAATTGGCCAGGTATTGTAGGGGCACCTGTAGTCTGAGATACTTGGGAGGTTGAGGTGGGAGGATCGCTAGAGCCCAGGAATTTGAACGTGCGGTGAGCATGATCCAGCCACTGCACTCCAGCCTGGGTGACAGAGTGAGACTGTGAACAACAACAAAAAAATCAAGTTTCCTGGATCTATACAAAATTTTCAATTTAACAAATTTTTATAAAAATTTGTTTTAAAATAAACACCCCTCTAAATGGCAAAGCTAGAACAGAATCTGGTCACAATCTATAGGTTAGATATAGGATGACAGGGAGGAGCAAGAGCTGAACACATCAGCTGCAGCACCATCTACTTTGCCTGCGACTCCGTTAGCAGGCCCACTTTGCCCTTTTATAAATTATCTGATCAACAACTAAGAGATTAAAATTCGATCTATGTTTTACTCTATCTGAATCCTCAATATAATGAAGAACTTTATAATTGTTAATTTATGGATATAATTTAAGTTCATTAAACCATTATTTCCTTCCTATATCCTCTCATTCTTCCACAAAAACCTCTACCTTTGGGTGTTTACTTTTACAGACACCCACGCACACACCCCACACGCACGCACGCACATGCCTTATCTTTTAACTCAAGATTCTCATCTTCCTTTGGGGAGAAACAAACATCATGAGCCTTGAGGTCCATTTTCTGAGGGAAAGGGGGGGGCGGAGGCGGGATGAATAGGTTTTTACCCGGTATTTTTTATCATAAACGGGGAGGTACAAACCGCAAAGAAACACTAGTCGCTTGGTGGGCCACCACCTCTGGGGCTCACTGATCAATCGCACCCAAACTCATTTACTAATTTAAAAAAGTACTGTGGCAAGGCTCGTTTACGTAAGTCTTGGAGAGAAGCCGCCGCCACAATCTGCCGCAGTCTCGTGCGGAGTCACGGCCACCGAGCTCTTCACTTTCCCCAAGAGGCTCCCACGCCTTCCCCATCCCCAAGGGAGCTAGGCGGTCCCTCGCGGCTCTGAGTCCCTCGGGGAAGGCCGCGAAGAGAGGCCGCAGGCGCCCTGGCGAGAAGGGAGGGCGGGGGCAGCGGGCGGCGGGCAGCACCCGGGCTCCAGTTCATGACCCCGTTATTCCACAGAAAAATGGAACATTCCGCTCTTTCCGCCCACAGAGGGGAGGTGGGGGGAACCCTTCGATCTAGTCTGGGAGAGGCGACGCGGACGCAGCCACCGGAATCCGGGACGCGAAGAGCCGCGTTACGGGAATCGCTACCCCTCGGAGTCCCGCCCCCTCGTCGACAGGCGGCCACTGGACCAATGCCTGGGCGCAAAGGGTCTCTCAGGGGCCAATCAGCGCCTAGGTCCCGGTAGGGGGCGGGGCGCAGCGTTGGCCGGCCGGGGGCGCAGCTGGGCGGGATTGGGGAGCGCCCCGCCCCGCCGCGGGACTGGGGTGGCGCGCTACCTCTGCGGAGAAGGATCTGACAGTGTTCCGGAGCCGGGGCGAGCAGCCAAAAGGCCCGCGGAGTCGCGCTGGGCCGCCCCGGCGCAGCTGAACCGGGGGCCGCGCCTGCCAGGCCGACGGGTCTGGCCCAGCCTGGCGCCAAGGGGTTCGTGCGCTGTGGAGACGCGGAGGGTCGAGGCGGCGCGGCCTGAGGTGAGGAGGGGCCGGGTGCTGGGTCGCGTAGCTGGAGTTAGAGTGTCGGTGGTTTCGGACGGGCTATCTGGCACTCGAGGAGACCTCCCTTCCCCCTGAGAGCAGCGCCCGGAACTTGTCAGCCCAGCCTGGAAATCCCCACATTCCTTCCCCTTCCTGCTCCCGGACCTCCGAATTCTACTTCCACAACTTTGTCACCTCGATTATCGCAGCCCTGAGTACAAACTTCACCCAGGCGCACGCACGCACCCCTCTTAACGCCCGCCCCGCAGAACGCCCTTCAAGAACAAACCCCCCTTTTTGTTACCAGATCCCACGTTTTTCCCAATCCCCTTTTCATCTCCCCTGAAATTCTATTCGCTCCGCACTTGTCTTCATTCTCGAGGTGGATTTCCCTTCCCCAAAGCCGTTTTTTCATCTTGAAATCGTAACGTTTCAGCTTTGTTGAAAGTTCACAATGCTTATAAACACTATTAACGTTTCTTTCCTTCTTTTGATCTTTTCTATTAATAATTATCATTCCTAACGAATTCCACATCTCACTGTATCCCAAGGAGAACAAATCAGTTTTTAAAATTTTACCTCCTCCGACCTAAACTTTTGAAGATAGTGCAGGAAGCAAGGGTCTGTTCTTCAGTGGATGAACAGCATTTTATTTCATAATCCGAAACTGAAAAAAAAAAAAAATCACAGGTTAAAAATAAGACGTCACCTTTTTTTTTTTTTTTTTTTTTTGCCTTCAGAAGGAAACGCATTTTGGCTTAGTTTGTGAAGTATTTCAACAATTATACTGCCTTAAAATAACTAGTTATTAGAATGCCAGGGTGAATTTTCTGAAAGATTGTGGTATTTGCTTTTGACAGTGCTGTAAACAAACCCTTTAAACTGTGTATGACTGCCAGCTTCAAGTTGGAACAACTCTTAATTTGAAATTACGGACTCAGATCATCAGTTTAGCTGTGTGCCATTATGTTAATTTCTTAAATTCATGTTAATTCCTATTTGGAAGTATTTTTGAACTATGAACTGAAATATTACATTTATAGAACCAACTTGCTATTAAATTGTGCTTTCCAACTATTTCTCTTTAGGGATAATCTTGAACGTTTGTTTTTAATCTTGAGTGAAAGAAAAAAATTACAGGAAGGAGAAAGTGTCAAAAAGGACAGACTGTAGTGGGATTTTTTTCTTATTTTAAGTATGTATTGACAATACCAGTTTAATTTTCTCACAGGCAATTTAGATTATTATAAATACTGCTGCCACCTAATTTAATATAATATAGTCTTACGTAACTAAAAATGTTGTTCTCACTCTTATTTGTGAATTGCAGTATTTTCAATTTATTTAAATTTGTTTCCAAGGCTTTGCACTTCAGTTCAGTGTTAGGGCGAAAGTTAAATACATGTGAAGTAGGTGTTAAAATGTCCCCTTTATAGAGAAGGAAACAGGAGTCTCGCTGAAAACTAGATCTGTGTGACTCCAAATCCTGTGCTCTGAATCATTTTGTCATGTTGACACGTTTCTCATAAAAACCCCAGTGCCACAATTTGGTTTGGGAACTTAAGGGCAACCCATAAATCCTCTACAGTGGCAGGGAGGGATTCCCCGCTCCCTCCTTTCAGAGCTGCTCATTTTAATGGGAGTCAGAATTCTCTGGCCCTAATACATTTGCAGCTTGGCTCCTAGAGAAGCATGGAATGTTCTCACAGCTTCTCCGTTTCTTTGATTGCAAAGGCAGAATGATCAGAGTTGAGGTTCCTATTGTGCTTTATTATTTTACACAGCAAATACTAAGCAATTACTACCTGCTGTACGAACTCACAAAGGTGCAGGAGATGTAATCAGGACCTTCAAAGAGTTTATAATAATTGGATTGACAAACTTATACGAAAAAAACTACAAGGATGCAAAGCAGTTTTAATTAAATGCAGAGTGATGCAGAAAATCCTGTAGATATTAAAATTAGGGAATGATCGTTTAAGGATTGGAGTGAGCATTTAAGGATTGGAATGAGCAAAGGATTTACCAGAAGTTGGCCTTGAAACCTGGGTAGGATTTGGATAAAGGGAAAAATGAAGACAGCCCATTAATAATAGCGAATGGAGGACAAAATGTAGAATGGAGAATATAGAACATAATATAGGACTAGCTTGTGGAAAGGATCAGCAGTAACTAAGGTCTATTAATTAAAACAGGCAATATATTTAGTGCTTATGTTGTGCCAGTTGCTGTTTTGAGCACTTTGCCCATATTAAGGCATTTAATCTTCATAATATTATGAAGTAGGTCTAATAATAATAGGATAAAATCCTCTTTTTACACATAGGGAAACCCAGGCACAAGAAGGTTAATTAATTTGCCCAGCTAAGTGGTAGATCTAAAGGTCATACATAGACAGCCTGGCTTCAGAATCTGACCTCTTAACCATGATACATCCTGCGTCTCCATACAGTACGCTTGAGCGACAGCGAGTAGATAGAAAATAAGATCATACCAGAAAGTCTATAAAAACCCACCCTTAATTGTCCACCAGGTGCCTCAAACTATGGTAGATTCTGAGGATATCAAGATATGTGAAACAATTACTGTGCAGTGTTCTGAGTCCTGTTAGGGAATGATGTAAGAGTACACTGACAGCAAAGATGTTTGAAGTGGGGGGAAATTCCATATAAGAGATGATACTTCAAAAGCAGTTTGTAGTGCACAGCAGAGTCAGGAAAGACATTGGAATAATATATGTAGAAGCACAGACTGAAAGAACAAGGTATGTTAGAGGAAGTCTAGTGGTTTGCTGAGTCTACAGGGATGGTTAGTAGGGAGTGATGAAAGATAAGACCGAATTATAAATGGCATGGTGTGGTCAAGCAAAATGAGGAGCTTAAGTATTTGCTTTGCAGTTTGGAAACTACAAGAATAATTTCAGCATTATTGGAGTAAAAAAGCCAGATTGCTTGCAATTGCAAGCAGTTCTCTCTAGAAGTATAGTAGTAAGGTAGCTTGAGGGAGGAGTCTGAGGAAAGGATTTTTTTTTTTTTTTAGAATAGAGAAACTTGAGTATTGGAAAAGATAGATTGGATAGGCACATCAAAGCCAAAATTTTAGGTTCTTAAATAGTTAGAATATTTGGCATTATTATTCACCCTTTAAAAAGCTGTTGAGGAGAAGAATGACAGGTTTAAAGTTGTGTTGTAGAGAGAGTGATCCACCAACAATGTTCAGAATGCTTGGTGGGGAGGAAAGAGACTGGAAGCAGGAACACAGTTGAAATTATTGAGGTGATCAATGTCCAAATTAGGTTAGTTTGTGGTAGAGAGTAAAAAGAAGAGATGGGTGGGAAAGATATTATGGGAGAGAAGACAGGATAAGATTTGTAACTGAGAAAAGCTAAAATGTACTGCATAGATGAGAGAAACGATGGACTCCATTGACTTAGGCAGTTGAAGAGGATGAGTTGTTTGTAGATAGGGAAAAATGGTAAGTCCTTGTGACTTTTTAAAAAGTGTGTGGGCATTCATCCCATTACTGGGCATATACCCAAAGGATTATAAATCATGCTGCTATAAAGACATACATGCACACGTATGTTTATTGCAGCACTATTCACAATAGCAAAGACTTGGAACCAATTCAAATGTCCATCAATGATAGACTGGATTAAGAAAATGTGGCACATATACACCATGGAATACTATGCAGCCGTAAAAAAGGATGAGTTCATGTCCTTTGTAGGGACATGGATGAAGCTAGAAACCATCATTCTGAGCAAACTGTTGCAAGGACAGAAAACCAAACACCGCATGTTCTCACTCATAGGTGAGAATTGAACAATGAGAACGCTTGGACACAGGGTGGAGAACATCACACACCAGGGCCTGTCATGGGGTAGGGGGAGGGGGGAGGGATAGCATTAGGAGATATACCTAATGTAAATGACTAGTTAACGGGTGCAGCACACCAACATGGCACATGTATCATATGTAACCTGCATGTTGTGCACATGTACCCTAGAACTTAAAGTATAATAAACAAAAAAAGTGGGTGGGCATTTATGTGTATATGTGTTCATGAGCATGTACCTATGGTGTATTGTTTTTAGACCTCTTAAATTGATAAGACTCAGAGACAGAATATCTAAGAAGATGAAATGTAACTGGAATTAAAAGAAAGATCCAAGCCAAAATTCTTGAAATTATTTTGTTTGAAGGTAGTAGTTGAAGTCATGTCTTCAAAGAAGTTGGTATTTAAAAAGAAAAGTCGATGCCCAGTACTTTATCTTTGGGTACCTTCATAGCCTGGAGATAAAAGCTAGCAGAGAATTCAGTAAAGGAGACAAGAAAGAGGATAAAGGAAAGAATTCAACTACATTATCTGGTTACATAGAAACCAGGATATAGGAGAAATTCAAGAACCAGGGATGGTCAACAATGTGAAAGGCTTCAGAAACACTTGTGATATATATAGTCAAAATGGCTACAGTCTCTTCTTCTTCTTTTTTTTTTAAACTTTGCGGCTATCTAGTGTATCTTAGTAAGATTTAATAAGAAATTAGCTGATTGATCGTGAATAAGAGAGCTACATTGGCTGAAAAATGGCTATAGTATATAGATGATTGTTTTAAAGCTGTGTGTATACATATCCAGAGCAGGAGATTCATTCCTTTCAGCACTGTAAATCTGTTGCCCTGTTACATTTGGAATGTTCTGCCTCCAAAGTTTCATTTTCTTTTAAGCAATCAGCTTCACCCTTTGCTCTAAGGTTGATTGATCTGCTCAGTCTTTTTTTGTTTGGATGTTCTGTTTTATGTATTACCCCCAACCCCACCCCCTAGTGCAAAGTGAGTTAATCAGAGCTATGTTTCAGATAGCATAGCTCTGGTTAGACTGGCATGCTCTGGGATTTTGTCATTGGTAATCTTCACTTGACAATTAGAGTCAAAGATGATGTAGAGTTCATATGTGTGCTATTTTCTCTATCTAGGAACCCCTACCCTTATTTTAAGACTGGGCGCTCCTGGCCCCTGTCTGAATTGGGTATTTTCTGTGCTCCTGTGGCACTTTGTGCATATTCTGCATCTCTAAACTTTGGACTTCTTAAAGGCAAGAACTATTTATATGGCTTCAATTATGTTTGTAACGGAATAAAAATTGAATAAAAGCTTGAGCTTTTATTTCTTAAGCAATGGTGAGAACATGGATGTTCATCAAAGTGCTCTGTAAACCTTTTCATTTGGCTAAAATAGTCTAATTTTAAAAGGCCCTAAGGTCATAAGCATATTCTATGTGTTTTTCAATATGCTTATAATTTTGCTTTTGCATTTAGGTCCTTAATCTGGAGAGAGAGTGTATGCTTATACATGCATGTGCACGTGCATGAGTGTGTGTCTTTTTGTCTGATGAAATGGGGTTCTTTTTTTTCTTTTTTGCTTATGGAGCCAGTTGTCCCAATACTATTTATTGAATAGTCCTTTATTTTCCCAGCAAATGAGCAACCTTTTAAAAAATCAGATACTAAATTCTTATATACACTTGAGTGTGTTTTGTTTTGTACCATTGATTTAGTTGTCTATTCATTTGCCAATCAGTGCTATGTTTACTTTACCTTTAGACTGCCCTTTTTTTTTTTTTCTGCGAGACTTTTTTTTTTTTTGAGACAGAGCCTCGCACTGTTACCCAGGCTGGAGTACAATGGCAAGATCTTGGCTTCTTAGCTTGCTGCAGCCTCTATAAGCCCAGGCTCAAGTGGTTGTCCCACCTCAGCTTCCTGAGTAGCTGGGATTACAGGCATGGTCCACCATGCCCGGCTGATTTTTTTTTTTATTTTTTTTTTATTTTTTATAGAGATGGGGTTTTGCCATGTTGCTTAGGCTGGTCTTGAACTCCTGGGCTCAAGCAATCTACCTACCTCGGCCTCCCAAAGTGCTGGGATTACAGCCGTGAGCCACTGCACCCAGCCTTCTGTTACATTTTCTAATTAGTTATTACTGGTATGTAGGAGAGCTTTTTTTTTTTTTTTTGGAGATGGAGTTTTGCTCTTGTTGCCTGGGCTGGAGTGCAGTGGCGACATCCCGGCTCACTGCAACCTCCGCCTACTGGGTTCAAGTGATTCTCCTGCCTCAGCCTCCCAAGTAGCTGAGATTACAGGTGTGCGCCACCACTCCCGGCTAATTTTGTATTGTTATTAGAGACAGGGTTTCTCTATGTTGGTCAGGCTGGTCTCGAACTCCCAACCTCAGGTGATCTGCCTATCTCGGCCTCCCAAAGTGCTGGGATTATAGGCGTGAGCCACCGCGCCAGCTGGAGAGCTATTTTTTGATGATGTTTTGTTTGACTGTTATGTTAAACTCTAAATAGTCCTATTATTTTTTGATGATGTTTTGTTTGACTACTGTGTTAAATTCTCAATAGTCCTAATAGTTTGTCATGTGATTCTCACTCTTTCTTGATAGATGATCATATCATTCACAATTTATTTTCCATTTTTAGATCTTATTTATTATATTTTTGCTTAAGCCCTTTAGAGCAGTGGTGAATAACTGATGACTTCAAGCATCTTGTCTGAATCTTGACATTAATAGGAACGCTTCTAATTTTTACCTTTAAACCTATAGATGCTTATTATAGGTTTCTTTCTTCCTTTTTTTTTTTTTTTTGGAGGCAGAGCCTCACTCTGTCGCCCAGGCTGGAGTGCAGTGGTGCATTCTCGGCTCACTGCAACCTCTGCCTCCCGGGTTCGAGCAATTCTTCTGCCTCAGCCTCCCAAGTAGCTGGGACTATAGGTGCCCACCACCACGACCAGCTAATTTTCATATTTTTAGTAGAGACAGCGTTTCACCATATTGGCCAGGCTGGTCTCAAACTCCTGACCTTGTGATCCACCTGCCTCGGCCTCCCAAAGTGCTGGGATTACAGGCGTAAGCCACCATGCCTGGCCTTGTAGGTTTCTTATAGTAGTACCTGTGGCAGCAACAGCAAGAGCTGCACTAATAATAACAGCTGTTAACCTTTTATTGAGTAGTTACAATGAGCCAAATGATTCTAAGCACTTTATGTATAATGAGTTATTTAATCATCATAACATTCCTAGATGGGTAGGTGGTGGTGGTACCCCATGTTTACAGATAAAGGAAGTAAAAGTGAAGGCTATTTAAAAACTTGCCTAAGATGTTAAAATATAGGGACTGAAATTTGAACACAAGCAATCTGGTTCTAGAGTCCCTGTATCATCTTTGTTATCCTTCACCAAGGTAAGGATGGTCTCTTTCAGTCTTAGTTTTCTGACACTTTGTTGTTATTTTTAAGTTTTAGATGAACAGTTGTTGAATGTTATCAGATGCTTTTCAAACATCTGTTGGAATGACCCTGTCATTTTCCTTTGGTCTGTTAATATAGTAATTAGCAGTATCTTTTCTCATTTTGAACTGTGCTTATTTTAGGCTAAATACTTGTTAGCATTCACACTTTGGTTTTGTTTTCAAATCTATTTAGACTTTTCTCTAACCATACTACAAAAAAATGTTAAAGGCAGTTTTTCAGGCCCAAGGAAAATGATACCAGATGGAAATACGGATCTATACAAAGGAATTAAAAGCTCTAGAAATGGTAACCACACGAGTAAATATGTGCCAGTCTCACTCTGTCACCCAGGCTGGAATGCAGTAGTGCAACCACAACTCACTGCAGCCTCGACCTCCAAGGCTCAAGCAGTCCTCTCACCTCAGCCTCCTGAGTAGCTGGGACAACAGGCATGCACCACCACAGCTGTCTAACTTTTTATTTTTTGTAGAGGCGAGAGTCTTACTATATTGCCCAACCTGATCTTAAACTTCTGGGCTTAAGTGATCCTCCTGCCTTGGCCTCCCAGAGTGATGGGATTTCAGGTGGGAGCTACCAATGTGAAGTTTTAATATATGCAAAAGTAAAATATATGCTAAAATAGCACAAAGGTCTGGGGGGAGAAATGGAAGTATACTATTATATACTATGCCTGAGGTGACATAATATTACTTGAAGATAGATTGTGAAAAGTTAAAGATGTACACTATAAACCTAAAGCAACCAATAAGAAAACAAAGAATTATAGCTTATTAGCTAACAAGGAAAAGAGAATAAAAAATAATTAAGAAAAATAAATGCAGAAAAGTAAACAGGAACAAAGAACAGTCAAGAAGAAAACAAATATGAAGCTGATAGCTTTAAACCTAATCATATCACAAATTATATTAAATGTAAATGGTCTGAACACCCAATTGGAAAGCAGAGATTATCAGATTGGATACAACCACATGCTGCCTACCCCCTAAAGATGCCACTTAAATATGAAGAAACATACAGATTAAACAAAAAAGAATGGGAGAGGATATGTCATGATAACACTAATCAAAGTAAGACAGAATTGGCTATAGTAATATCAAAGTAGATTTCAGAGAATGTTACCAGTGGTAAAGAAGGGCATTTCCTAATGATAAAAGGGTCAATTTATCAAAAGGATCTACCAAATAACATAGTTTCAAAACACAACAGGGTAAAAACTGCAAGGAGAAGTAAATCCACAGTTATATTCAGGGATTTCAATATCCCTTTTTGAACAATGATAGAAGTAGTAGTCAGAAAATCAGTAAGGATATGGAAGATTTGAACACTATCAACCAAATTCACGTAATGACCATTTATGTAACACTCTACCAGCAGCAGCAGTGCTTTTTAAGTGCACACAGAATATTGATTTCAAGATTTATAAGGCTAAAGTCATCACGACAGTGTGGTGGTAGCATATAAATAAGCAAATTGATCAGTGGAACAAATAGAGTAGGAGTCATCCTACCTTCTGTTTTCATAAAGTACTGTTAGAACACAGCCACCCCTGTTTGTTTATGTATTTTCTATGGTTGCTTTTGTGTCGTAACAGTAGATTGGTAGCTCCAATAGAGACCTTATGGCTCACAAACCTAGAATATTTACCTCCTACCTCATACATGAAAAGCTTGCCCACCCTGGAATTGAGAGTAGCCAAATAGACCCACACCTGTGAACAACTGATTTTTAAGAAAGACGCAAAGGCAATTCACTTGAGAAAGGATAATTTTTTCAGCAAATAGTTTTGAAACAATTATCCGTATATACAAAATGAACTCAAATTTCAGCTTGACACCACACATAAATATTAACTTGAAATAACTGAGACCTAAATGACCCTAAAACTATAAAACTTGTAGGAAAAAACCTTTTTGACTTTATTTTTATTTTTTATATTTTTTTTTTTTTGAGAAGGAGTCTCATTTTGTCACCCAGGCTGGAGTGCAGTGGTGCTATCTCTGCTCACTTGCAGCCTCCTCTGCCTCCCGGGTTCAAGCAGTTCTCTTGCCTCAGCTTCCTGTGTAGCTGGGATTACAGATGTGCACCACCACACCCGGCTAATTTTTAAAATATTTTAGTAGAGACAGGGTTTCACCATATACCCAGGCTGGTCTCGAACTTCTGAACTCAGGTGATCTACCCACTTCGGCCTCCCAAAGTGATGGGATTACAAGTGTGAGCTACTGCGTCGGGCCCTTTATGATTTTAGATTAAGCAAAGACTTCTTAGATACATCAAAAACACAAATTGATGAATTGAACTTTATTAAAATTAAACCTCCTATTCGTCAAAAGATACTGTTAAAAGAATGAAAAGACAAGCATACAAGAAAATAATGCGTAAATCCATTTTCTAATAAAGGCCAGAATATCTTCTTAGAACTTTCAAAACTTAATGAGAAAACAGGAAACCCAGTTGATCAATATGTTTGAACAGACACATCATCAAAGAAGATATAGCCAAGCACACACCTGCCGTAGGGCCTAGCCATTCCACTCTTCACTTACCTTCTATTTTGGGGACACACACTATGTGTTAGTTTCCTAGGGGCTACTGTAATAGAGCATCCCTTTGTTACAGTATCCCTTACCTGAAATACTTAGTAACAGAAGTATATTGGATTTTGGATTTTTTTTTTTCAGTTTGTGTTGTATTTGCATTATATACTTAAAGTTAAGCATCCCAAATCCTAAAATCTGAAATCCAAAATGCCAGAGCTCAAAACGTTTTGGAATTAGAGCATTTCAGTTTTTAGATTTGGGATGTTCAACCTGTACCACAAATTGGGTGGCTCAAAACAACAAATTTATTCTCTCAAGGTTTTGGAGGCTAGAAGTCCTTTTGAGACTTTGGATAGAATCTTCCTTTGCCTCTCCTAGCTTCTGGTGGTAGCCATCGTCGTTGAGATTCCTTAGCTTACAGCTGCATAACTCCAATCTCTGCCTGTGTATTCACATGGTATTCTTCCTGGCTCTGTCTCTTTAAAGACACCAGTCATATTGTACTAAAGGCCTATTATACTCCACTATAACATCCAATTAAATCTGCCCATAGAGTAACATTTTGTGCTACTGGGGTTAAGACTTCAACATATTTTTTGGGGGGAACAGTTCAGCCCATAACAAACAAAAAGAAAATTAATTTAATTATATTGTATTTAGAACAGGGGTTGGCAAACTATAGCCCATAAGCCAAATCCAGCTTGCAGCCATTTTTATAAATAAAGTTGCATGGGAATATACCTATGCCCACTTATTTACATATTGTGTATGGCTGCTTTTGCACTTTAATAACGGAGTTAACTAATTGCAAGAGAGAACTTAAAGCCCACGAAATCTAAAATATTTATTATCTGGCCCTTTACAGAAAATGTTTGCTAGCCTATTTTAGAAGGTGTTAAGTGTTGTAGAAAAAAAAAAAATCAGTAAAGGGGTATAAGAAACACAGGGTGGTTAGGGAAGATCTCTATGAGGAGGTGAATTTGAGCAAAGGCTACAAGGAATTACTCTCTATATATTAACTTATGAAGATGTCCACTATGTAGTGTTAAGTGAAAAAGGTTATAAAACATTTCTCACTTACATGATCCCATCTTTGTAAAATAGAAAAGTGTGTATATTTATACAATGTAAAGTTATATAATACATGTATAAAAAATTTTGCAAGAATATCCACCAAAATGTTCATGGTAGTTATCTCTTGGTGGGATTATAGTGCACTTTCACATGGCATTTTTTCAGTTTCTTTTCATTAGACATTTAAAAAATATTTTTATAAATTTAATTCCTTATGTGTTATTAAGTTATATCAAAGGCTTAATGTGTATGAAACAATAATGGAAGATTCAACTCCTTGCCTAAGTTTGAAGTTACTTGTTGTATTTCAAAGAGGAGCACTAGTACTTAAGCTAGAATTTAAGTGAACAAATCTTAAAATGGATTTTTATCTCTGGTTACATAGAATAGTTGTTAGCAGGCTTAATTTAGTGCTAGTAGAAGAAGAAATATGTGATTGTTAAAGAACTCCGTCTGTCATAAATGTTCCTGTCATGTTTCTGTGACATTACATAGACGTCAGGGAAGTTTGCATTAGGTGTGGGTGAGCCAATAATGTTTGCAAGCGTATATCAAATCATAGCACTAGGGCTGGGCGCGGTGGCTCATGCCTGTAATCCCAACACTTTGGGAGTCTGAGGTGGGCAGATCCCTTTGAGCTCAGCCTGGGCAACATGGCAAAACACTATCTGTACTAAAAATAAAAAAATTAGCTAGGCATGATGGTGCCATCTCTAGTCCCAGCTACTCGGGAGGCTGAGGTGGGAGAATTACCTGAGCCTGGGAAGTTCAAGCTGCAGTGAGCTGTAATTGTGCTACTGCACTGCAGCCTGGTGATGGGAGTGAGACATTGTCTCAAAAAAAAAAAAAAAAAGCACTAGAATATTTGAATACTCTTATACAAGTGTTTATGGGTTTATTTTATTCTGAAGCTCAGAACATATCTAAAGTAGGATACTTTCTGCAAACCCAAAAGCCTAAGAGCAGATGGGGATTTTTAAAGTACACATATAATAAAATTATCAAAGCCAGCCTTCTGAACAAGACTCTCCTCTCTTTACAGTGAAACCCAATGGAAAAAGCATGACATTTAGAAGTAGAAGACTTAGCTTCAAATCCCTACTCCTTCACTTACTAATTTTGTGATTTGGGTAAGTAATTGATCTTGTCTGAATTTTTTGTTTTTTTATTTTACAAAGTTCCAATAAATAATCCCTGCCCTACTCACCTGATTCTTTAGGATATTAGGAGACTAAAGTGAAATAATTTATGTGACAACATTTTGTGTAATGTAAAATAATATCCTAGTGTTAATTGTTATGAACTCATAATTGATACTAATGGAAGAGAACAGAGTGGATAATTTAAAAACTAATTTAATAATTAGTTAATTTTGTGTAGGTATTACCAACTTCTGGCAGTTTATTCACAGTAACACTGTACTGTGAAAGATATATAGAAATTTTCTTCATCTTGATCCCCACGCAACTTATTAATTCAACAAGCATTATTTTGCCTTCTATTTGGCAATTTTAGTTCATATACTGTTCTACAATTGTAATAGTAATGTTACCATAGTAACAAAGTTTATATTGACATTCTTTTTCACATGCAATGTAAATCTAAATATATTCGTGCTTTTTATTTCATCCTTAGGTTAAGTTAGAAAATGAAAAAAAAATCACAATCCATAGGTGACAAAAATAATTTATAAAGAGCCTAACCATTAAATATTTATCCATTGTAACTCTACTGCTTTTTCTCTCACTTGAGAAAACATATGGAAATGAAAGTAAATGAGAATGAACAACTATAGGGATAATCTTGAATTTATTCTATTTTAAATAAATCATTTATGAACTTTGTTTCTCTAACATTAAAAGTAGCAATACTTGTTATACATCATCTAGCTCCTTTCGGCACACTACCATGTTATATCACCATAGTTGAGGAATGATTACAGCTTTTGGTTTTCAGAAATAATCTTTCCTGTATTTATGGTTACTAGTTAGGTTTTGGCTTCATAGAAGCTTCTCAAGTTACCTGCAAATTTCAAGGAAGGTTAGTGTATGCAATGTATGGTTATAATATATGCATAGAAAACTCTGCAAGAGGTGAGGTAATAGTGCTATTAATATAATTTTAAATTAAATATTAGTATCAACAGAAGGAAAGGAGGGAAAAAATAAGCAAACTACTGTCAATTCTGTCAATTTTTTTTTTTATTTTTTTGAGATGGAGTCTCGCTCTGTCACCCAGGCTGGAGTGCAATGGCACGATCTTGGCTCGCTGCAACCTCCGCCTCCCAGGTTCAAGTGATTCTCCTACCTCAGCCTCCTGAGTAGCTGGGACTATAGGTGTGCGCCACCATGCCCGGCTAATTTTTGTATTTTTATTAGAGACGGGGCTTCATCATATTGGTTAGGCTCGTCTTGAACTCCTGACCTTGTCATCCGCCTGCCTTGGCTTCCCAAAGTGCTGGGATTACAGGCATGAGCCACCGCACCCGGCCATAATTCTGTCAATTTTTAAGCAAGCCCCAAGTGAAGTTAACTGTATTGCATATAATATTTTATATAGTGTTACTGTGTCTTCATCTCTTAGATTTGGACTATGAAATCAAGTCCCATAATAGATGTTTCTTCATCACCTCTCCATTACAATCTTTTAAAAATTAGGAAAGATTACTTTCTAAATGTGAAATGTGGAATCTACCTTTGCCTAGTTCGCTTTGCTTGTGTTCCATGGTACTACTCAAACAAATCTAATTGCTTTGAAGTAATCATAAATTCTTTCATGGACCTCTTGTTCTGGAGCAGCTTTGTTGCAAGAATATAGTACATTTGGCTTGGCACAGTGGCTCACACCTGTAATTCCAGCACTTTGGGTGGCCAAAGAAGGAGGATTGCTTCAGACCAGGAGTTTGGGACCTGCCTGTGCAACATAGTGAGACCCCCATCTTTACAGAAAAATTTTTAAAAAATTAGCTGGGCATGCTGGCAAGCTGTTACATGATTAGGGAGTGCATAAAATCAAGTTAGTATGTATATTTAATAAAACAATATTGTGTTCCAAGTGCAGAACTAGGAAGCCATTTCTCATCAAGAAGAGTTAATAGTTTTATTTAGAAGAAAAAAATTACACATTAAGTATTTTGTCTTTAATAATTTTAGCTTTTATTTTAGGTTCAGGGAGTTCATGTACAGGTTACATGAGTATATTGTGTGATGCTGAGGTTTGGAGTACGATTGAACTGTCACCCAGTTGGTGAGCATAGTACCCAATAGTTTGAACCTTAAGTATTTATTTATTTTATTTATTTTTTGAGACGGAGTTTCACTCTGTCGCCCAGCCTGGAGTGCAGTGGCGCCATCTCCGTTCACTGCAACCTCCGCCTCCCGGGTTCAAGTGATTCTCCTGCCTCAGCCTCCCAAGTAGCTGGGATTACAGGTGCCCACCACCACGCCCAGCTACTTTTTGTATTTTTAGTATGGACGGGGTTTCACCATGTAGGCCAGGCTGGTCTGGAACTCCTGACCTCAGATGATCCACCCACCTCGGCCTCCCTGAGTGCTGGGATTACAGGCGTGAGCCACTGCACCTAGCTGACATTAAGTATTTTTTAATTTAAATTTATTTTTTGCATAAGTACTAAAGATTCACATGGTCAACATTGCAAGGCTGCAGAGTATATGGTGGAGCGTCTCCCTACCACCCTGATCTCTCAAATACCCTGTCACAGCCAGTATTTGAACTTTTATCCTCCTAGAGATACTGTGCATATATAAAAAAACGAATGTGTGTTTTGTTTTCTTGTATATTGTTTTGCCCACAAATAATAGCAAATGCGTTGTTCTGTACCTTAACAATGTAACAATGTATTTTAGATAACTTTATGTTTCTGTACATATAGAGCTTCCTCATTTTTTTTAAATGGCTACAAGTATTTACATTTACATGGTTTTGGTATACCATCATTTAACTAGTGTCCCATCATAATCAGGTTGTTTCAGCCTTTTACTGTTAAAAACAATGCAGTGAATAACTTTGTACATGTGTTGTTTTATTCATATCTGTAGGATAAAATAAAGTAGAATCATTAGAATCAAATGTGTGTGTTTTAATTTTGATTGATATTGCCGAACTGGCTCTCTGCCTTGTTTGGGTAGAGCTTTTTTCTTTGTTTTTAAGTGAGGTCTAATTTACAAACAACAAAACTGACCATTTTTAAAGTGTTCAATGTATTGGGAAGCTTATGCCAATTTACACTATAACCTGTAGTGTGTGACGATACTTTCGTTGCTTAGTCTCACAACACCCTGTTGATACTTTTTGGGTTTTTATATTTTTGCCAACACTAATATGTAAGAATGGTATTGGGATAATTTTTGGTTTGTTTACCTTTTGTTACATACTGCAAAACAGAACTCATAAGTGTACAGCTCAGTGAATTTATCACTGTCCAGATCAAGATACAGAACATGCTCAGCACCCAGAATGTCCCCTTTTATACCCTTCCTCACAAAAAACAACTGCTCTGACCTCTGTCACCAAACACCGTAGACTTTTGCCTCTTTTTGAACTTCTGTAAAATAAATCATGCAGAGCGTACTTTCTTGCCTTTTTTCTCTTTTAAAATTTTTTTGTAGAGTCAGGGTCTCACTATTTTGTGCAGGCTGGCCTCTTAACTCCTGGCCTCAAGCAATTCTTCCCCCTCAGCCTCCCAAAGTGCTGATATGACAGGTGTGGGCCACTGCACCCAACCTGTCTGATTTCTTTCATTCTGTATTATATATGAGATTCATCCATGATGCATGTATCTGTTGTTATTTTTCATTGCTGTGATTCAATTACTTGAATATACCATAATTTATCCTAGTGTTAATAGATATTTGGTTGATTTTATTTTTCATCTATTTTGAATAAAACTTCTGTAAACATTCTTGTAGATGTCTTTGGAGGTATTAAGCACTCGTTTCTTTTGGTTATACCTTATCTGGGCAGATTTTGTTTGTTTTAAGGTCTAATTTATAAACAATAAAATTCACCATTTTTTAGTTACAACTTGATAGGAAACCCATGAGTCTAACATTTCTGCGTTTCTTATCAGCAAAAACCCTGATGGCTGCCTTTTTTCTGAACTTTGTTTTGAGACGGAGTCTCGCTCTGTCACCTAGGCTGGAGTGCAGTGGTGTGACCTCGGCTCACTGCAGCCTCCGCCTCCCAGGTTCAAGCAGTTCTCTGCCTCAGCCTCCTGAGTAGCTGGGATTACAGGCGGCCGCCACCACGCCTGGCTAATTTTTGTATTTTTATTAGGGACAGGGTTTCACCATGTTGGTCAGGCTGGTCTTGAACTCCTGACCTCATGATTCACTCGCCTCAGCCTCCCAAAGTGCTGGGATTATAGGCGTGAGCCACCATGCCCAGCCAACTTACCTTTTAAAGAATGTTGGAAGGTAGACTCTCAGAGCCGTGGAGCAAAGGACAGGCTTACTTACAGTCTTCAAAGATACAGATAATGTCTCCCTCTAGAGTAAATGGCAGACATGCTTCCTGCATATTTTTCAAGTTTAGGGTTACTTAAGATCTGTCTTTCTTTCCTGTGAAGCAGCCTGTTCAGGTGTCATCTGACTTCACAATGCCCTGTGACAGTTGGGACTCAAGCAGCTGGCGCAAGAAAATGCTGATACTCTGACTACTGTTATGAGTAATACAGTCCTTTGCTTCTGACGCAAAAATGTCATGCCTTTTGCCAGTATCCATGACACTGTGGTAGGCTGACTTGTTAGCTTGAAAGTAAGGTAAAATCTCAGTGCCTTTGAAACAGTTGACACAGAATTCAGTGAATTTTGACAAATGTAGTCTTTTTTTTTTTTTAAATAGAATTTCGCTTTGTTGCCCAGGCTGGAGTGCAGTGGTGCCATCTCAGCTCACTGCAGCCCCTGCCTTCCGGGTTCAAACAGCTCTCCTGCCTCAAGCCTCATGAGTAGCTGGGACTGCAGGCATACACCACCACACCTGGCGTGTGTGTGTGTGTGTGTGTCTGTGTGTGTCGGGGTCTCGCTCTGTTGCCCATGCTGGAGTCCAGTGGCATGATCTGGGCTTACTGCAACCTCTGTTTCACGGGTTCAAACAGTTCTCCTGCCTCAGCCTCCCGAGTAGCTGGCATCACAGACACCCGCCACCACGCCAAGCTACTTTTTGTATTTTTAATAGAGATGGGGTTTCACCATGTTGGCCAGGCTCGTCTCGAACTCCTGACCTCAAGTGATCTGCCCACCTCGGCCTCCCAAAGTGCTGGGATTACAGGCGTGAGCCATCGCGTCCTGCCAAATGTATAGAGTCTTATAGTCACCACCACAATCAAGTCATAGAGTATTTTTATCACCCCAGATTTCCTTTATGCCCTTTTACGTGTGCCTTCTCTACCTCAGCCCTAGGCAACCCTGGATCTGCTTTCTGTCACCTTAGTTTTGCCGTATCAAGAATTTCTGAGGCACATGCCTGTAATCCCAGTGCTTTGGGAGGCTGAGGCAGGAGGATTGCTCGAGCCCAGGAGTTTGAGACAGCCTGGGCAACATAGTGAGACCCCCATCTCTTAAAAAAAAAAAGAATTTCCTGTAAATAGAGTTATACAATGTATAACCTGTTGTGTCTGGCTTCGTTTATTCAGTGTAATGCTTTTGAGATTCATTCATACTACTGCATGTATCACCAGTTCATACTCTTTTTTTTTTGTTTGCTGAGTAGTATTCTATTATATGTCTCTACCATTGTTTGAATGTATGTTTATACATTCAGCAGTTGGTGGACATTTGGATTGTTTCCAGTTTGGGACTTATGAATGAAGCTGCTGTGAACATTTGAGTATAAGTCTTATTGTGGGCATATGTTTTTATTTTGGGGAGTACGCTCTTTGGAGTGGAAATACCAAGTCTTATGGTGTGCTTTTAACTTGGTAACGAACTATCAAATTGTTTACCAGAGTGTCTGTATCATTTTGCGTTCCTATCTGAGTAGTTCTAATTTATATCTCTCATTTTGAGTGAGGTTGAAAGTATCTTTTCACATGCTTGATTTACTTGTATTTCCTTTTCTATAAACTATTCAAATATGTTTGCCTGTTCTATTAGGTGTTAGAATTTTTTAGTGATTTGTAGGCATTCTTTATATATCGGGAAAATTTTTGGCCATGCTATGAATTACAAACATTTTTTTCCATTTGTCAGGTATCTTTTAAGGATACATATTATGGTGAGTTTTGCCATGTAGAAATTTGTCAGTCTGAAGTTCTTAATCTCACAGTTATTTACTAATATAAGACTTCACATAAGAAAGAAACAAGATATCTCTTTTAATTAACCTTAAAGTATAAATTATGTTTTCTAGCAGTGTTTTCCATAGCCATAACTTCAGTGGGAATAAAGAAAAATAATGTGAAGACTTAAGTTTTCTACATTCTCATAAGAATTTTACCACCTTTTAGAAACACAGCTACAGCATGGAAACAAGATTGTGTCTTAAATTATGTGTATATAAGAGAAAAAATATTAAAAGTAATATTACATGTGTCTGTTGCAGAAATATCCGCGCAAGATGTTGACGTTGCAGACTTGGCTAGTGCAAGCCTTGTTTATTTTCCTCACCACTGAATCTACAGGTAAGGTTCATGAAATACCCTATCTTCTAACTTCACAAATTAGGTTTATATATTTTTATATTATTATATAATTAAGCTTATGTTTAATTATTATGTTCATATATTCTTTCTAGGATAATCGAGAGAATAATATCTTAAATTGATTTTAATAAAAATATTCTTGATAATCTGTTTTTGTATAATTTGAGTTGTAACAGTCATCTTACATGCTAAGTCAGTAATTTAAGTCAGTAATCTTAAATGCTGTATATCAATACTAACAATAACTTTAAAATGGGGAAGGAAAGAAGTGTGTGGGTTTTTTTTTTTTTCTTCAGTAAATGAATAGGAGAAAATTTGTTAAATCTTGTTAAATTTTACGTCATTCATACTACATGCTCTTCAGGTATTGAAGGGCTGCTTTCCTGTGTCTGTAAGTCCTTGTCCCCAAATTACAGTTACCCAGATATCTAATCATTCTATAGGATCTGGTTTTTAACCCTGTGCATGCTGATTACCCTACTGATTCTTCTCTTAGTTGCCTGTATTACATTTAAAATAGAATACTGGCTGGACATGGTGGCTCACACCTGTAATCCCAGAACCTTGGGAGGCATAGGCAGGAAAATAACTTGAGTCCAGGAATTCAGTCTGGGCAACAAAGCAAGGCCCCATCTCTACAATTTTTTTTTTTAATTAGCCAAGTATTAGTCCATTCTCACACTGCTATAAAGAAATACCTGAGACTGGGTAATTTATAAAGAAAAGGTTTAATTGATTCACAGTTCTGTAGGCTGTGCGGAAGCATGGTGGCATCTGCTTCTGGGGAGGCTTTGGGAAGTTTCCAGTCATGGCAGAAGACAAAGGGGGAGTGAGGCATCTCACATAGCGAGAACAGGAGGAAGAGAGAGAGAAAGGGAAGGTGCTACAAACTTTTAAATGACCAGAGCTCACAATAACTCATTCCTCATCCACCATCTCGAGGCAGTACCAAGTGAGAAATCCACCCCTATGATTTAATCACCTCTCCACCAGGCCCCACCTCCAACACTGGGGATTATGATACGACATGAGATTTGGGTGGGGACACAGATTCAAACCATATCATGCCTCTAGTCCCAACTACTCAGGAGGCTGAGCCAGGAGAATCATGAGCCCTGGACCTCGAGGTCACAGTGAGCCATGGTCACGCCATTGCACTCTATCCTGGGTAACAGAGCAAGACCCTGTCTCGTAAAAATATTTATGTGTACGTGTGTGTGTGTGTGTGTGTGTGTGTATGTGTGTGTGTGTGTGTGTATGAATAATACTATCCCAGCTGTCCCCCTTACTAGCTGTAGGACCTTGGTCAGTCATTTTCTGTACCTCAATTTCCTGATCTATGAAATGGTGATAATAAAGGCCACTACCTCCTAGGGTTATTAGTGAGGATTAAAGAAGTTAATATAGAGGCCAGGCATGGTGGCTCATGCCAGTAATCCAAGCACTTTGGGAGGCCGAGATGGGTGGATCATTTGAGGTTAGGAGTTCAAGACTAGCCTGGCCAACATGGTAAAACCCCGTATCTACTAAAAATACAAAAATTAGCCAGGCGGTAGTGCCGCACGCCTGTAATCCCCACTACTCAGGAGGCTGAGGCAGGAGAATCGCTTGAGCCTGGGAGGCGGAGGTTGCAGTGAGCCAAGATTGCACCACTGCACTCCAGTCTGGGTGACAGAGTGAAACCCTGTTTCCAAAAAAAAAAATCTGAGCTTGGTAGCACATGCCTGAAAGTCTCAGCTACTTGGGAGGCTGAGGTGGGAGAGTCACTTGAACCCGGGAGGCAAAGGTTGCGGTGTGTGGAGATTGTGCCACTGCACTCCAGCCTAGGGTGGCAGACTGAGACCCTATCTCAAAAAACAACCAAAAATAAGTTAATATAGAGGAAATATTTGGACAGTGTTTGGCCTACAGTAAGCATTATAAAAATGATAGTTACTGCATATTTATTATAAAGGTTATTGTTGTCTTTGAATAAAAGTTTCTTTATGAAAAAAATAAACGTAATATACCAAAACCAATCTGACTACAGTGGCACTCATACTTACTTTGATCTGAACATCATTTTTATAAAGTTACGTAACTATGTGGTAGCTGAGATATACCCTTGTTTCATGTTGAGCTAGTGATCAGTGAAAATTCTCAGGTGGTTTTTACATGAGTTACTCTTAAACTAGTTCTCCCTCACCCAATGTATATTTCTTATTACCTAAATAGGATATATTTCCTCTGTTGCTAATTTCATTTTATCAGTTTTAGCCTGGTGTTCTACTCTTTCAGCATAATTTTAAATCCCAACATTTTCATCCGAAGTGTTGGCAGTTGTTTGTAGTCCTGTCCTCTGCTAATTTGATAAGCATGTGTGTCTGTCTTTTCCCAAGTTGTTGATTAAAATGTTGAAAATAACAGGACTGCATTAGCTACCTGTTGCTGCCTCACAAATACTCCAAATCTTCAAGGCTTAAAATGATAATAATACCTCTCATGATTTGTATAGGACAAGACTATAGATAGGCAGGCACAATCAGACGTATTCATCTTTGCTGTACAATGTCTGGGGCCTCAGCTGCAATATTCAGACTGGGGGCTGGAGTCATCTTCAGACTCCTTCGCTTATATGTCTGTTGTTAATGGTATCTGCAGGCTGAGGGCTTTGCTGGGGCCATTGTCCAAAACACCATACGTGGCCTCTTTTTATGGCCCTGGCTTTCTTACAATGTGTGGCTGGGTTCTAAGGGCAGATATCCCGGGAGAGAGAAAGAAAGCTAATTGGAGTCTGTATTCTTTTAATGATCTAGCCTCTGAAGTCTCATAGCACACTCCATTGGCTGGAGTGGACACAAGGCACCCATACAGATCTGATGTGGTTGGGGGAAATGCAGTCCCCACCTCTTCATGAAAAGAGTATGCGTGACATCGTAAGAAAAACGTGGGATGGGATAAATATGTAGGTGTGGCCATTCTTAAAATACAGTCTTCTCCAAGGATTGAGGGCATGCACTTCAGCATATTCTACTTAAGACTATCCTCTAATTGACTTTTTTCTTAAGTCAGTTTTTTTATATATGGGTAATCAAATATAAATTTGAGTATGAACCTATAAAAGTAGCAAAATATCAGCAATTTCATAATGTTCATTGTAATATCGGTTATAGTATATTCTTTTTTTTTTTGCTTTTTTTCTTTTTTTTTGAGATGGAATCTCGTTTCGTTGCCTAGGCTGGAGTGCAGTGGCACAATCTCAGCTCACTGCAACCTCTGCCCCCCAGGTTCAAGCAATTCTCCTGCCTCAGCCTCCTGAGTAGCTGGAATTACAGGTGCAGGTCACCACGCCCGGGTAATTTTTGTATTTTTAGTAGAGACGGGATTTCACCATGTTGGTCAGGCTGGTCTAGAACTCCTCATCTCAGGTGATCCATCCACCTCGGCCTCCCAAAGTGCTGGGATTACAGACGTGAGTCACTGCGTCCAACCCAGTTATAGTGTATTCTAATTCACATTTCTTCATCTTGCCCTATAAACATTCAAAATAACTTTATCAGATACCTTTCTTAATTAAAATACTTTCTTTTTACAATTTAATCTCAGCCTGGTAGCCCTGTAAAATGGGATTAATTTGACATGGGATGGTATTATTGAAGCTGTGTCTCACTTTGAAAAACGGAACATTTGCCCCTTTTTTTTCGAGACTGAATCTCACTCTGTCGCTCAGGCTGGAGTGCAGTGGTGTGATCTTGGCTCACTGCAAGCTCCGCCTCCTGGGTTCACACCATTCTCCTGCCTCAGCCTCCCAAGTAGCTGGGACTACAGGCGCCCGCCACCACGCCCGGCTAATTTTTTGTATTTTTAGTAGAGACAGGGTTTCACTATGTTAGCCACGATGGCCTTGATCTCCTGACCTCGTGATCCACCCACCTCGGCCTCCCAAAGTGCTGGGATTACAGGTGTGAGCCACTGCGCCCAGCCCATTTGCCCATTTTTAATATTTCTCTTATTCTGTGTGATTAAAAATTATTCATACTGAGTCTCTAATTATATCTTTTTAGAACTCTAGAGTATATTTCATATTTAACATCCCTATGATTACTTTAGAGAAAGTATAACAAGTGATTTTGCCAAAGAATAAAGTGATGTCTAGGGAATTGTAAGGTCTGACCCAGTATCAGAGAGTAACTTAGTAGAGATTCTCCACTGGATGAAGGACCATGCTATTGGAAATTGAGAGTAATATATGCACTAAGATTTACAGTAGGCATTTATAAATAACAGCAAGATGATATAAACAGACCACATTATAAGTTTGAAACAAAGAAATACACATTCCAGCTCTGGGTTTTACAGGCTTTGTGAGAGGTCCTGGGATTCCATTTGGGGATACAATTTTGACTGCAAAAACTGTTTTTAATTTTTTCTGGGCTCACTGCAGCCTTGACCTCTTGGGCTCAAGCAATCCTCCTGCCTCAGCACACGACCCTCACCCCCAAGTAGCTGGGACTACAGGCGTGTGCCACCATGCCTGGCTAATATTTATATTTTTTTTGTAGAGATGGGGTTTTGCCATGTTGCCCAGGCTAGTAATTTTTAATCTCAAAAACACTTCATGGGTAACTACCCAGGAACCCCACAGCAAATAGGATTCATTGAGGAAAGCCACCTTAAAATTGTGGACATTGAAGCTAGAGAAAAAGAATAAAATCATGTCAAATAGTTGGGACTTTTATCTTGGTAGTAGGTAGCCACTAAATAATTTAAAGTAGACAAATGTCCTAATTATTTTAGAACAGTAACTGACAGTAGTATGTAAGATAAACTGGAAGGAGGTCAGACTGATATAGTATCCTGTGCTTCAGCAGTCAAAGTAGCATTGGAAAGAAGATGTTGATATGCTTATTAAGCATATAGAACCAATACAGTGCACTATTGTTAAGTTGGAGGTTAGAGGAGGCTAATTGGAGATGTTGGAAGATGACTACAGAGTATCTGTCCTGGATGTCTGGATGGGAGTGGTGCTGTTAGCAGAGGCAGAGAAATAAGAATAAAAAATAATAAGTTTGAAAAGATTATGATACATAATAGTTTTGGACATGCTCATTTAAAAATAGCTATGGGATATCTCAGGTAGATATATGTCTAATGGGCTATTGAAAGCATGGGGGTTTAGTGCTAGAGATAGGGATTGAGATGTCATCAATGTGGAGTAGGTGATAGGTAAAGCATGTAGTTGTGTTTAATTCTCTTTTACCCAATCTGATTCTTTGTGTTTTGTTTTGTTTGTTTTGTTTTGTTTTGTTTTTTGAGACTCTGTCTCACTCTGTCTCCCAAGCTGGAGTGCAGTGGCGTGATCTCACTGCAACCTCCACTTCCTGGGTTCAGGTGATTCTCATGCCTCAGCCTCCCAAGCAGCTGGGATTACAGGTGCCCACCATGACACCCAGCTAATTTTTGTATTTTTAGTAGAGACTGGGTTTTAGCATGTTGGTTAGGCTGATTCTTTGTTTTTAAATAGGGGATCCTATCCCATGCATTTATTTTCACTCTGTTGTCCAGGGTGGAGTGCAGTGGCTTACTACATCCTTGACCCCTTGGGCTCAAGCCATCATCCCACTTCAGCCTCCCGAATAGCTGGGACTATAGGCGTGCACCACCATGCTCGGCTAATTTTTTTTGTTTTTAGTACAGATGGCATCTCCCTATGTTGCCCAAGCTGGTTTCAAACTCCTGAGCTCGAGCGATCCTCTTGCCTCGGCCTCCCAAAAGTGCTGAGATTATAGACGCAAACCATCATACCCAGGGCCATGCATTTATTCTTAAAACTAAACTATTTGGCCATCTTGTTCTATTCTTCCTGTTTTGTATTGGTCCCTTGCTGTTTCCTTTGTTGTCTGAGTTTTGATGTGTGGACAATGTATACTGTCTGTGACCCCAACTGTACTCCACAACAGCATTCAGGACTGTAGAGGAGACCACCACTGCCTGTTTTCTGGAGAGTTTAGTTTAGACCTGGGATCTAAATGGAGGGACAGGATACGTTGTGGGGCAAGTATGAATCATGCTGCAGGCAGTCTGTGTTTCTTAAAGAAATAGTTTATACCATGGGCTATAAAGCATGAATGGGTTTTTCTTAATTCAGCTCTATTATCTTTATAATTTGTATATTTCTTTACAAATTCAGGCATTAAATTCTAACCATATTAATTTTCAGTTGTGTATTGTCTTTTTCTGTGTCTTTAGGGATATTTTAGTGACGGTTGAGGGACTCTACATTGAGTGCTACCAGCTAGATATCATTTTGTACCAGAAAAATTCAGTCCATTTATATATTTTCTATTGTTCCTTTTTAGGTGAACTTCTAGATCCATGTGGTTATATCAGTCCTGAATCTCCAGTTGTACAACTTCATTCTAATTTCACTGCAGTTTGTGTGCTAAAGGAAAAATGTATGGATTATTTTCATGTAAATGCTAATTACATTGTCTGGAAAACAAACCATTTTACTATTCCTAAGGAGCAATATACTATCATAAACAGAACAGCATCCAGTGTCACCTTTACAGATATAGCTTCATTAAATATTCAGCTCACTTGCAACATTCTTACATTCGGACAGCTTGAACAGAATGTTTATGGAATCACAATAATTTCAGGCTGTAAGTTTTGTTTTTGTCTTATTTCAGACTTTGTCATGACTATTGAACTGCATTTTTAATGTTGTCCTTTCATCTTTATAAAATGTAGTAACTTGTGGACTTAGTGACTTGGACATGTTTGGTTTTTAAAAAATAAGCTTAGAAGTAGGAACCACAAGTCTCCTGTCTTTCCTGAAAGTCAAGCAGTTTCACTTTACTAGAGAAATATTTGACATGAGACCCCCCCCACCACAGGAAAGTATTGTTGAATTGACATAATGATGGTAATTCTCAGTATCCCTTAATTGCTGAGAAAATGCACGTGTAAAGCAGCTACCTGAAGAAAGCGAACAAATACTGGAGTAAATCCTTTTTTTTTTTTTGGTGACAGAGTCTCGCTCTGTCACCCAGGCTGGAGTGCAGTGGCATCATCTCAGCTCACTGCCCTCCCGGGTTCAAGCAATCCTCCTGCCTCAGCCTCCCAAGTAGCTGGGACTACAGGCATGAGCCACCACGCCCGGCTAATTTTTCATATTTTTAGTAGAAATGGGGTTTCGCCATGTTGGCCAGGCTGGTCTCAAACTCCTGACCTCAGGTGATCCACTTGCCTCGGGCTCCCAAACTGCTGGGATTACAGGCGTGAGCCACTGTGCCTGGCCTTGGAGTAACAAAGTAAACAAAATAAACTTACTATGATCCAAAAGTGGGTTATCTAATTTGTGGATCACCCAGACTTTACTGTTTTGGCATTTGCTTTTCTTCCAACGAGTTTGGGAAAGCAATAAGAAGAGAAATATAAATGAATCATTTTGGCTTCTACTTAGTTGCCTCTTACAAACATATGTATATATTACTTTTAAAAATATACTTAATGGAGAAATCAGTTGATATTTTTTTCCAGTTATAAATGAAAGTTGATTTTACATAGAAAATTAATGTGAAACAAACCAGTTGATGACAGTTAGGATGGATGTATATATATTACTTCCTGAAAAGAAGTGTAAGAGTTGGGATAGAAAAGAAATTGTCATCAGCCTTTCATTGTGTCCATACTTTTTGCTTGGGTTTGATTTTTTTCATCTAATTTAGATCGCAAATGCCTTGGGTAGTATATAAATTGCATAATATTTGTGGATATAAAGCTTTCTGAAAGATGCTAATTAATCCCTTTTAGTGCCTCCAGAAAAACCTAAAAATTTGAGTTGCATTGTGAACGAGGGGAAGAAAATGAGGTGTGAGTGGGATGGTGGAAGGGAAACACACTTGGAGACAAACTTCACTTTAAAATCTGAATGGTACGTTATTTTAAATTTGTTTCATGTTAGATTTATTAAAGTTAGTCATTTTTGCTGGAATTTTTATTTTACCAAGTAATAATATTAAATGCTATTTTAAAACATTTAATTTTTTATTCTGTAACATTTCAAATATATGTAAAAGTAGAGGCCAGGCGCGGTGGCTCATGCCTGTAATCCCCCAGGCGCGGCGGCCCATGCCTGTAACTCCAGCACTTACGGAGGCTGAGGTGGGCAGATAACTTGAGGTCAGGAGTTCGAGACCAGCCTGGCCAACCAGAGCAAAACCCTGTCTCTACCAAAACTACAAAAATTAGCCAGGCATGGTGGCGGGTGCCTGTAATCCCAGTGACTCGGAGGTTGAGGCAGGAGAATCACTTAAATCCAGGAGGCGGAGGTTGCAGTGAGCCCGGATTGCACCACTACACTCCAGCCTGGGTAACAGAGTGAGACTCCATCTCAAAAAAAATAAATAAATAAAAAATAAAAGTAGAAAGAATAGTAGAATACCCATACATACCCATCACTCAGCTTCAACACTGGTCAGCTCATGACCAGTCTTATTTCAAAGGTACTCTTTGCCTATATTGTCTTGAAGAGAGAATCGCGGGCATCATATTTCATCCAAAGATATTTCAGTATGCGTCTCTAAAAGATGAGGACATTTTAAAAAAAAGCATAACAACATACCACTGTTACACTCAGATATAAAATATTACATTTTCAGTTAGTGTTGATTTCCCCTATGTCTCATGAATATGCCTATATGTATAATTTTTTTTACATTTGTTTCAGTCAAGATTCGAATAAGCTCCATACTTTGTGAATTTATGTCTTGTCTCTTAAATTATAGGTTCTATTTGTTCTTTTTTCTTACATTTCAGTTGTTAAACTGTTATACATTGTACATTGTTTAACATATTCCCTTGTCTTTTTTTTTTTTTTTTTTTTTTTTTTTTTTTTTTTGAGATGGAGTCTTGCTCTGTCACCTAGGCTGGAGTACAGTGGCATGATCTCTGCTCACTGCAACCTCCGCTTCCCAGGTTCAAGCAATTCTCCTGCCTCAGCCTCCTGAGTAGCTGGGATTACAGGCATGTGCCACCATGCCCAGCTAATTTTTTTCTATTTTTAATAGAGAGGGTTTCACCATGTTGGTCAGGCTGGTCTTGAACTCCTGACCTCGTGATCTGGCTGCCTCTGCCTCCCAGAGTGCTTAGATGATAGACGTGGCCACCGCGCCTGGCCCCCTTGTCTTTTTCTTTCCAAAAAATTGCTTTTAGATCTACAGATTTCATCAGATTTGGGTTTGATTTTTTTTTTTTCCCCAAAAAAATATTTTGTAGGAGTGATGTGTACTTCTGTCAGGAAAGACCAGATAATGTTTCACTGTTTTTCTTTTTTCTGATACTAAGATTGAGCAGTGGTTTCGGGTGTTGTCAGCCTTATTCCTTTATTTACTAAGTTTCCCATTTGTTTTTTCCAAACAGAAAAGTTGAAAGAGTTTTACAGTGAACACTCTTGCATACCCTAGATTCTACAATTAACATTTTACTATCTTTGCTTTATCACCTATTTATCTATGCATCCTTCTCTCCATCTCTCAATCTATCTCTTTTTTATGTATTTCATAGTGAGTTGCAGTCATTAATATACCTCACCCTTAATCACTTCAGTATTTCATAGTGAGTTACAGTCATTAATATACCTCATTCTTAATCACTTCAGTATTTACATGAACTAGAGTTCAGTATTATGTTTTTAAATAAAATTTACATATAGTGAAAACACAAATCTTAGTGTATCATTCAGTGAGTTTTGACAAGTACAGACACCTGTGTAACTCAATCAGTATCAAGACATAGAACATGACTAACACACCTAAAAAGTTCCTTCCTGCTCCTTCAGTCAATCCCAGCAAGTGCCCCACCCCATGAGCAACTACCTGTCTGATATTCTTCACCATAGATTATTTTTTCCTGTTACAGAATGTCTCATATAAATGGGATTATATAGTATATACTCTTCTGTGAAAAGTTTTATAACTCAACAGAATGTTTCCGAAATTTAATCATGTTGTTTTCCCACTAGTATTTCCCTTACAGCTTTGAGCAGTCATCAGTGATTATAATTTGTATATAAATTACAAAACTATGGTATTCTGTGTTTTGTTTTAGCTGAAATACTTAAAGAAAAACTTGCCTTTATCAACTGTGGTTTACCCTGAAGTACAGTTCAGATAGGAGAAGCAAGATAGGTTTAATATTTTTCCTTAATTACCAGTTTTATAATTAGTTGATTCCCTAGTATCCTCCAAAGGTAGAATAATGAGGGCTTTTCTTTCTCATTATAAATTTATATTTAAACATATTTGATATGTTTTAACTCATTATGGATTGTCCCATCTTTGATCAGTGGCAGTTTACTCAAATTGGCTCATTCATCCTTTTTTTTTTTTTTTTTTGAGACAGAGTTTTGCTCTTTTGACCAGGCTGTAGTGAAGTGGCGTGATCTCGGCTCACTGCCTCCCGAGTGGCTGGGATTATAGGCACCCACCACCCCGCCCGGCTCATTCATCGTCTTGACACAACTTCCTTAGCCTTTGATAGCTCTCTGATATAACATGCTTTTACAGGGTCATCATGTATTTCCTCACCCAGACCTGGAATCAACCTTTTCCCAAAACTCTCTGGTTTCATTTAGTGTGAAATAATATTTACAGACTACAATCTGGGTGCTACAGGAATTCATCACTACTGGTTTGTCATAGTTTTTAGATTTTTTAGATTTTTTCAGTCGAAAGAGCTAGGACATGTTTTGTGGTTTGAGATATAATACTATCTTTTAAAAATACAAATTCATACTGATATTTTCAGTTTAAAATTAGGGCTATAGGTTTTTACATAATTATATTTACCTGACGTCTACATCTTCTTTCTTATGAACTGAAAAACATAGTTGACAACAACACTAACATAATTATTCATTTGCTTTATCCTACGGTTAATACAGCAGCTGCAGAATAATAACAACAGTATTAGCACCAACAAAATGATTACCAAGAATGATTTTAAGATTGTTTTTCTCTGTGAAGGATGTGTAATAGTCAGATTACTGTGTTTTAATGTTACTTGGAATAGTTCTTTTCTATGTGGTTATACTACATACTCAGTACACAAGTTCATATGTTTCATTTTGCTTTTAATTTTTAGGAATTTTTCTTAATAATTATATAAAACAATCCAAAAAGTCAAATCTATTAATAGTATTAAGGCTTGTTCAGAAAAGTCTATATTCTATTCCTGAATCCTCTACCTTATTTCCTTCTCCTTAGAGGCTAACCATTTTTGTTTTGGTTCAATTTGGGGTTTGGTTTATCCTATTTTTAAAAACAGTGTTGTATATGAATATTTTTAATTGAGGCATAATTTATATAATTGTAAATAAATATAGTAATATTACTTGAAACTTTCCATGGTGATAGAAATCAGAAAGTAGTTGCCTAAGTTTGACTAGAAAGAGGCTAAGAGATTTTAGCCCTAAGACTAAAGGCTAAGGGGTAATAGAAATTCTTACCCCTAACCTCCTGTCACCTTCTAGCATATTGTGCTTAAAGAAATTTGTGGTACAGTAAGGGTTCTGTTTTAGGAAAAAGAAAAAACAGCACTGGGATCACAAGGAAATAGATAATTTTTGGAGAGGAGTAAGTGGGGATGGAGCATAAAATTTTAAAGCACAATATTTTTAGACTACAAATTTGAAAATAATTTTATGTTTTAAGATATAGATCAAAGTTAATTTTAAAGAAAGGTTTATTTTTAAGAAATTTTGTTAGTGACCAGCAGTTATATTGCAAAGTTTGCTACAACAATCTAGGTCTCATCAAACTCTTTGCAAGTAATTTTTTTCACTCTAATTTTTTCAGATGTGTTTTTAATGACTGATTCTTCAATTTTTTGTATTTAGGGCAACACACAAGTTTGCTGATTGCAAAGCAAAACGTGACACCCCCACCTCATGCACTGTTGATTATTCTACTGTGTATTTTGTCAACATTGAAGTCTGGGTAGAAGCAGAGAATGCCCTTGGGAAGGTTACATCAGATCATATCAATTTTGATCCTGTATATAAAGGTAGTTATAAACCTGAATTTGAGAGTTTATTTGACACTGTAGTCGTTTACAAATTAAAGTAGTTTTTATATTTAGATTTTTTAAGATTTTAATGTAGATTTTTAGATTTTAATTAATGTAGTTTTTAGATTTTACTTTTTTAGATTTTAATTAATGTAGATTTTAGATTTTAATTAATGTAGAAACAAGCATTTATCTTAGTGATTTTTATGAAGTCATTTTATCAATAATATCAAATAGAATTTGGAAAAAGAAAAATATCCATAATCCAACCACACTTAACAGCTGTTTTCACTTTGAATGTTTTCTGTTCTCAAACATCTTACACCATTGTAATTACAGTATGTATGTTCCATTTTTATTCTTTTTTAAAAATTTGATATCATAAATATTTGTCTTTTGACATATGAACCTGAAGAGATTAACAAATGTAAATTAACAAGGAGAACTGAAGATTCTTTAGAAATCTTTTTTTTTCCATTATAAGGTATATAGCATAGCATAATTTTCAGAGAAATTAGTTCATTTGGTAAGGATAAATTATTGTAAAATAAAGGAAGGACAATATAAAGAGTATATTTGAGTTTGTATATGAAATTGGAAAACATAATAAACCTTAGGATTTATTTTATTTTTCAGTGAAGCCCAATCCGCCACATAATTTATCAGTGATCAACTCAGAGGAACTGTCTAGTATCTTAAAATTGACATGGACCAACCCAAGTATTAAGAGTGTTATAATACTAAAATATAACATTCAATATAGGACCAAAGATGCCTCAACTTGGAGCCAGGTAAATTGAAAGTTACCGTTTATTCAAATAGTCCTTCTTTCAACCCTCTAATCTTAAAAAGTTTCAGTCATTTTCTAAATGTCTTTAAGTTTCTGGTTATGTGAAATATTTTGCTTGATAACCTCTTCTGGGTTGTTATTTCAAACAAGGGGAATCAGGAAGATATCCAGATAGAAAATACAGCTTTGCTAAATACAGTAGCCTTTAAGTAAAACATGAAAATGATATAGGGTGATAGGAAATGGCTTTTTTTTTTTTTTCTTCTAGAGACAGGGTCTCCATTTGCCCAGGCCGCTGGCTCACTGCAATTTTGAACTCGAGCTTAAGTGATCCTCCTGCCTTAGTCTCACTACAGGTGTGCACCACCACACCTGGCTTTTTAAAATTATTATTATTTTTTGTGGAGATGGAGTCTCGCCGTGTTGCCCAGGATGGTCTCAAACTCCTGGCCTTAAGCGATTCTCCTACCTTGGCCTCCCAAAATGCTGGGATTACAGATGTGAGCTACCACTACCAGCCTAGAAATGGCATTTTTGATGGGTGTTACAAAGAATACAAGTAATAAAGCAAATTAAGTAGAGGAGCAAAAATAAAGAGATTATAAGGATAAGGTAGCTAGTGTAGGGATTGGTGTGCTGCAGTCCACCAAAATCAGCCTGTGACTTGTTTTTGTAAATAAAGTTTTACTGGAACACAGCCACACTCATTTCTTTACATATTGTCTCTATTCTACAGTGGAAGAGTTGAGTAGTTGCAAAAAGAGTCTCTGGCCCACAAGCCTAAAATATTAGTAAATATTTTATCTACCTTTTTATAGAAAGTTTGCCAACCACTGAGGTAGAGGAAGGGATTGATAGGGAGCTTGTAAGACTGAAAATGATAGTATACCCAAAGATGATGCTACCAGCAAAAGAAATACTTGGAGCTTTTAAAAAGGCTATCACCATAGCATTCAGCTATCCATACTCTTCTCTGTTTTGATTCCATTTATCACAAACAGTATGTCTTTGCTTTTGTTGCTCTGGTCACAGTGAGCTTGTTAGGGAATTGGGCTAATGACTTTACTACTTCTCTCCTTACCCCACTTATCTAAAGTGCTCAGAATACAATCAGAAAAAGCAATAAAACAAAATTGGATTAATGCTTCATGTTGTACAGAGAATATACATACCTGAAGTTCTTCAAAATGTGGTATTAAGTATAGAATCTTAATTCAGTGCTACAAAAAAGACTGATGTTTATTTTGTATCTAATACTAAATTATCAGAGTAATATGACCAGTTATTTATCTGTATTTAATCTCCTCTTTTTTTCTGAAAGCCAAGTTTAAAAGCCAGGAAAACTTTTGTTTTTCTTGATTGGGCTGGATATCTTCCTTTTGCCTGTCCACATCTACGCTCTACCCTTCTCTTTGTTGTGTCATGCTGACCTGTATAGATTTCATCTGTGGGTTTCCATTCTTTCTAGCTTCCTTGTGACTGTGGTTAATGGAAGGAAGGGACTAGGCAGGAGAGAAGACAGAAGAAAAGTGAAATTGGCATGTTGATTTTCCCTGCTTCCTTCCAGGAACTGGCTGTCTTTTTTTTTTTTTTTGAGATGGAGTTTAGCTCTTGTTGCCCAGGCTGGAGTGTAATGGCATGATCTTGGCTTACTGCAACTTCCACCTCCCTAGTTCAAGCGATTCTTCTGCCTCAGACTCCCGAGTAGCTGGGATTACAGGTGTGTGCCACCATGCCCAGCTAATTTTTGTGTTTTTAGTAGAGATGGGGTTTCACCATGTTGGCCAGGTTGGTCTCGAACTCCAGACCTCAGGTGATCCACCTACTTCAGTCTCCCAAAGTGCTGGGATTACAAGCGTGAGCCACCGCACCCAGCCGGCTGTCTTTCAACTTAGGGTCACTACCTGTCAAGACAGCCCTCTCTAGCTGACCGGCTTCTTTCAGGTTCTGGTACTTCCCCTCATCCCTTTGGGCCTAGAGGTAGAAACAGCTCTAAGCCCCAGAGTACTAACTGCACTGTCTAAGGATTCCATATACTCTGCATGTAGTCCCTTTATGAAGCCCTCCTTGAATTATTCTAAATGGAGTGTGCCATCTGTTTCCTGCAGAAATCCTAAGTTATATTACAGGCCCTGTGGAAGAAATAAAGGGAAAAAAGGAAAGATAATAGATGTTTCCATACTTCTAAAACCAAATAACTTTACTGATTTGGACTGCTTTTTAACTTACACTTATTTCTCTCCAGAGGTTGAGTTTAATGTATTAGTCTTGTGTCAATAAAATAGTTTCAAGAGGCTGAGGCAATAGAATCACTTGAACCTGGGAGGCGGAGGTTGCAGTGAGCTGAGATCGCGCCATTGCACCATTGAGCTCCAGCCTGGGCGACAGAGGGAGACTCTGTCTCAAAAATAAATAGTTTCTAGGCTGAGCGCAGTGGCTCACATCTGTAATCCTGGCACTTTGGGAGGCCGAGGCAAGTGGATTGCTTGAGGTCAGGAGTTACAGACCAGCCCGGCCAACATGGTGAATCTTGTTGATACTAAAAAAGTACAGAAATTAGCTGAGAGTGGTGGCGGGCACCTGTAATCCCAGCCACTCAGGAGGCTGAGGCAGGAGAATCGCTTGAACCTGGGAGAGGTAGAGGTTGTGTTGAGCCAAGATCGCACCACTGCACTCCAACCTGGGCAACAGAGCAAGGCTGTGCCTCAAAAAAAAAAGTTTCTGAATTTTAACACAATTTAGAAGACCTTACTAATTGAGGTTTTCTGTTGTTTGGTTTGCTTTGTTTCAGATTCCTCCTGAAGACACAGCATCCACCCGATCTTCATTCACTGTCCAAGACCTTAAACCTTTTACAGAATATGTGTTTAGGATTCGCTGTATGAAGGAAGATGGTAAGGGATACTGGAGTGACTGGAGTGAAGAAGCAAGTGGGATCACCTATGAAGATAGTAAGTACATAAGTATATGAAGAAGTAAAGCTATTGGAATTCCAGATGTGAACTGGTTCTGGTTTTAATAATATAGCCTCATTGCTTCTTAGTTTGTGATCATTTTATTCAAACTGCAGTATTTTAACGTTTTAATTTTTAAGGACATTAAGATGTAAAATTGAATATGGATCATTGATAGTATAAGTCTATTTGATACCTAATTAAATTATCATGGAGGCCAGATGCGGTGGCTCACACCTGTAATCCCAGTACTTTGGGAGGCCGAGGTGGGCGGATCACAAGGTCAGGAGTTTGAGACCAGCCTGGCCAATATGGTGAAACCCCTTCTCTATTAAAAATACAAAAATTAGCCGGGCGTGGTGGTGGGCGCCTGTAGTCCCAGCTACTCGGGAGGCTGAGGCAGGAGAATCGCTTGAACCCAGGAGGTGGAGGTTGCAGTGAGCCAAGGTCACGCCACTGCACTTCAGCCTGGGTGACAGAACGAGACTCCGTCTCAAAAAAAAAAAAAATTCATCATGGAATGGTGACTTAGATACATCTATCAGAAAACCGTTAACTGTTGATAAGTCTAGAACATTTTATTCAAGGAGACTTGTCCAGAGATACTCCTAACTAGAGAATCATATCCTGAATCATTAAAACCACACTGTCTAGCAAACTACACCTTAGATCCCCACTATCAAAAATATACTTGTATTATACCTTTTATTCATTTTTTTTCTAATAGCACTTGATAAGCCCCTGGGAAGCGGTTGATCCTGGAATTTTGGTTGGTTAGTTTTTATTTTCCTTTTTTCTCCTATAGATAATATATATGATATAGAATAAAAAAGGCACAAAAAGAGTGTACAGTCTAAAGTAAGATCCTCACTGCAAAGCATCTGATGTTACTAAGTTCAAGAAATAATCCCGTGGCATAGATTTTTCATTTTGAGACCTTCCTATCACAGACTCATCTCTTAGTTATCAATGGCAGTAGCTGTGGCTGAAAAAATCCCCTACCACCTATATCCCTTTACTTCCAGCTCTTCTAGAGGTTTAGGTCATGTGACTTGAGAACATCAAAGGCAGAAAAGTACCCTTCTGCCCTAAGATTTCTCTCATAAATGCTGAGAAAGAAATCAATTTTGCTATTGCTGCTGTGGGAGTCCTCAGCCAGATTGCTTTGTCTTGACCAGGAATTCTTAAAATGAGATACATGGGGAGGAGTTCATGAAATAGTTTAAAATGTAGGTAAAATATTGTGGTTAGTGCCTGTGTGCATTTTTAATGGACAAGTGTACATAATCTTTGTCAAATCAATGCGTGAATGAAGTCTCTGGGTTCCCTTTATGTTAGGAAATATTTCCAGCTCATAATTTTTTTTTAATAATTTCATGTTCTTTATTCTGTTTGAGTGCTGCACTGTACTCATGTGAATTTATCTATTTTAACTTCTGTACCAGCAGCCTTTTTCCCAGCCTTCCTGGTCTGCCTGTCCTATCCTTTCTGTTTTGCTGTCTGTAATTGCCTCTTCATGATTAACATATCAGTACTTAAATTTTTTTTTTTTTTTTTTTGGAAATAGTGCCTCACTCTATTGCCCAGGCTGGAGTGCAGTGGCATGAACACGGCTCGCTGCAGCCTCTACCTCCAAGGCTGAAGCGATCCTCATGCCTCAGCCCCCAACATAGCTGGGACTATAGGCACGTGTCACCATGCCCAGCAAATTTTTGTATTTTTTTGTGGAGACAAGGTTTTGTCATGGTGCCCAGGCTGGTCTTGAACTACTGAACTGAAGTGAACCACATCCCTCGGCCTCCCAAAGTGCTGGGATCGCAGGCACGAGCCACCACACCCAGCCTTACTGCTTAGATTTTATTCAACTCCTGTCTTATTCTACTGACTACCATATCTTGTTATTATATTCATAAAAATTTTGAGAAATCAGTTAATGCCATTGATTTTTTTAAGACAAACTTTTTACAAAAAGCTTAACAATGATAAGTAAAAATGAAATGTCAGTTGATATTACTTATTGCTAAAAAATTAAAAATTATATGCTACATTTAATGGCTATTATAAGTTTTGAAAAATTAATACTACAGGTATTTTTAAAACCGAATTTAATTACTGGTATTTAACAATTTATGTTTTGGCTGGGTATGGTGGCCAAACCCCAGCTACTTGGGTTGCTGAGGTGGGAGGATCACCTGAGCCTAGGAGCTGAAGGTTATAGTGCACTATAGTCATCCACTGCACTCCAGCCTGGGCAACAGAGCGAGACACTGTCTCTGGAAAAAAACCACTATGTTTTATGGATTGCTTTTTCAGATGGTTAGTGATTATCACAACAATACTGTGAATTTGTTTTTATTACATCCCATCACTCTCAATCATCCTTATATAAAGTAATAAACTTATTTTAGTACATTTATCTTAATTTGTTTTATTATTCTTGTGAATATTTAGGAGTAAGCAATGTGTTTAAATAGATTTTCCAGTTTGATTTTCAGCGATAAGTAGTATCAACTTATGTTTATTTCATTTTTATTTTTTACTGTTAAAAACTTTATTTTAAAAAGTTTTTTTCTTTAAAAAATCATATTAACTAATTTTTCAAAATTTTTATAAATATAATTAGAAGACCTGGTATTTAATAGAATAAGAGAGGAGTTGAATAAAATCTAAGCAGTGATGTGTTGATCATGAAGAGGCAATTACAGATGACAAAACAGAAGTGAGGACAGGCAGACCAGGAAGGCTGGGAAAAGGCTGCTGGTACAGGAGATTCAAGTAGATAAATACAGTGCCAGCACACAAACAGAATAAAGAACATGAAGTTATAAGAAAGAGTGATGCCTCTTTAGTTGTTGCTCAGAATACATTTTTACCTTTACAATTTTGAGGTTAGAAAAGAGTTCCAGTATAATTGATCAGGCTATCACCCTGACTAAAGGAAGAGCCAGGTGTTTTGTGCTGGGTTGGGAAAATGCTGGTATAAAGAGGTAGAGACACCATGCAATTGGAGGGCAAGAGTATTAAGAACAAAGTAAAAGAATAATTTGCAGAATTTTATTTTACTGTTAAAACCTTTTTATTTTAAGGAGTTTATGTCTTTTCTTTAGGACCATCTAAAGCACCAAGTTTCTGGTATAAAATAGATCCATCCCATACTCAAGGCTACAGAACTGTACAACTCGTGTGGAAGGTAAAAAATCACATTTATATTTTATCTCTTATAAATCTTTTTTTTTTTTTTTGAAACCGAGTCTCGCTCCATTGCCAGGCAGGAGTGTAGTGGCGTGATCTTGGCTCACTGCAACCTCTGCCTCCCAGGTTCAAGTGATTCTCCTGCCTCAGCCTCCTGAGTAGCTGGGACTACAGGTGTGCGCCACCACGCCCCGCTAATTTTTGTATTTTTAGCAGAGACAGGGTTTCACCACGGTGGCCAGGATGATCTTGATCTCTTGACCTCATGTTCTGCCTGCCTCGGCCTCCCAAAGTACTGGGATTACAGGCATGAGCCACCGCGCCCAGCCCTTATAAATACATTTTGTATGGTATTATGAATGGAGGTCTTTTAAATAGATAAATTTTTATTCATTTTAATAGCAAAGCATTTGATTACTATTTTTACTAAATAGAAAGGTAATGCTTTATATGTATTAATATTATATAGAAGTCAGGTTCATAAACTACAAATAATACCTTATAGGTATTTAAGTACAGTTCTGTGAAAGTATAAGTTCTATAAGAAGAGGAATGTTGTTTTTGTACTTTGGAATTTTCCAGAGTAACTCAGAAAATAATAAAAGTTTGTGATAATCAAAATGTATGCTGGTAAGTGCATGAGTAGATCATACTAAAAAAGAAGGTAGAAAAATACTCAAGCATAAAATAAATAATTTAGACCTACATAGCCACAGTGCAGAATTGATACAGAACCAAAAGCTAACGGAATGATGCTACTTACCCTTTTTTAGTTGAGGTCATGCTTTTACTCTTCATTTAGTATGTACTAGTTTTATTTTAGAACCAAATTTAAAATGGAGATTGTGAATCCTTTCCAGTTAAATATTTAGAGATTTGACATAATGGCATGATTTGTGAATATGAAGAAAAACTGATTTTTTATTCAAGATTTATGAGATTATTTTTAAAAATAAACTATTTTATTACAGACATTGCCTCCTTTTGAAGCCAATGGAAAAATCTTGGATTATGAAGTGACTCTCACAAGATGGAAATCACATTTACAAAATTACACAGTTAATGCCACAAAACTGACAGTAAATCTCACAAATGATCGCTATCTAGCAACCCTAACAGTAAGAAATCTTGTTGGCAAATCAGATGCAGCTGTTTTAACTATCCCTGCCTGTGACTTTCAAGGTTTGTATCTGTGAGATGGAGCCTGACTCTTGGGTGGAAAAATGGTGGTTAGGTATGGACAGGGCTCCCATAAAAAACACAAGTTATCTAAGACTGTCTCCTCAGTATCAGGGATAATCACTTGTTTATTTTTTAATTTTTTAAATTTTATAAATAATGATTTTCTTTTTTTCAGAGACTGGGTCTCGCCAGGTTGCTCAGGCTGGTCTCGAACTCCTGAGCTCAAGCGATCTCCCCTGGCCTCCCAAAGTGCTGGGATTAACAGGCATATGCCACCAAACCCAGCTAGTGATCGCATTTTTAGGAATCAGTCAGCAGACAAATTTCATCAGGATGCAAGAACATTTCCATCACTACATGCTCACTTAAACTTCACAGTAAGCTACTTCATTCATTTAAGCATATTCTGATTACTTACCTGGTTTTTAAAATATTATTTCAAGATTTTGAGAACTTTGTATACATATGACTGAAACGTTTATCTGTAGCTTTATTCGTAGCTTTCAAAGAAGAAAAATTGCAATTACAAACCGAAAGCATTTGAAGAATTTAGGGAAAGCAAATTTTTTTTTTTCTTTTTGAGACAGTCTTGCTCTGTCGCCTAGGCTGGAGTGCAATGGCACGATCTCAGCCTCTGCCTCCTGGCTTCAAGCGATTCTTGTGCACCAGCCTCCCAAGTAGCTGGAATTAAAGGCACGCACCACAATGCCTGGCTAATTTTGTATTTTTAGTAGAGACGGGGTTTCACCGTGTTGGCCAGGCTGGTTTCGAACTCCTGATGTCAAGTGATCCACCTGCCTTGGCCTCGTAAAATGTTGGAATTACAGGAATGAGCCACAGTGCCCAGCGGGGAAGCAAAATCTAAGTTTAAAAATTGACTACTTTACCTGTAAGTTATAATAAAGTGCTTTTAGGCAAGGAAGTATATGCTACAAAAATTGATAAATCACATGTTTTGGAAATGACTGTAAAATATGGAAATTTCAAATTTGTTAATATTTATTATTTCAATATTCAAACTTTGTTTTAAAGCTACTCACCCTGTAATGGATCTTAAAGCATTCCCCAAAGATAACATGCTTTGGGTGGAATGGACTACTCCAAGGGAATCTGTAAAGAAATATATACTTGAGTGGTGTGTGTTATCAGATAAAGCACCCTGTATCACAGACTGGCAACAAGAAGATGGTACCGTGCATCGCACCTATTTAAGAGGTATACCTGGCTAGAAACATCTAAATTGATATCCTTTTTCTAACTCTTTAGGCAGCTTTTTCTTTTGCTTATAGTGTTTTGGTCCGTTGAAACGACTTCCAATTTATCATAGCCTCACTACTTACTAGATGTGTGACTTTCAGCAAGTCATACTTAACCTCTCTGAATTACAGTCTCTTTATGAACAGAGTGGGGTTAATACTTTCTTCTTTTTGTACCCCAATATGATTTTATCGTCAAGGGAAAACTCCTAAAACTATAGAGTATAGAGAAATATAAGAGTCCAACCTTTGCTGCTGATTAGTTATATGTTCTCTGTACCTCATCCTTCACATGAGAAAATAGTTTCCTAGAGCATCTGGATGACTTGTGTAATGTCTTAGAACCATCAGATAGAGGAAGCAGAACTAGAACTCAGATTTCCTTATGTCTTTCAATTGGAAGTAGTAACAAAGGACAGAAGTAATGAATCGTAGCGCTCCAGTCTGTGTGTTATGGTGCTGCTTAAGTGGTTATAAAGTGATACAACAACTTTGAAGAGAAAAAAACTCAGTTTATAGTCTTTTGTTGATAATTAATAATTAGAATTCAGCTGTGAATAATATGGTTAATTAGAGAAAAGCCCTAAGCAGAGAGATTCCTGCCATAAAGTTTTTGAGCTTTAGTCATAATACAGGCTGTTTGGACTTACATGTTATTAGTGTACAGTTTTAATAAGCTTGGTTATCTAGTTTACTGACTTTATCAAATTAAAAACATGGTGGAGCTTAGGAAGTCCTGAAACAGGCTGGAAATAACTATAGAAACTTCTTAAAAAAAAATAAATACAGGGTCTCACTCTGTTGCCTAGGCTAGAGTATGGTGGCATGATCATGGCTGACTGCAGCCTTCAACTCCCAGGCTGAAGTGACCCTTCTGCCTCATCCTCTGGAGTATCTGGGACTACAGGCACATGCTGCCACACTCAGCTAATTTTATTTTTTTGTAGAGAGGGAATCTCACTGTGTTGCAAAGGCTGATCTCCAACACCTGGCCTCAAGCGATTCTTTTACCTCAAACTCCCAAAGTGCTGGTATTACAGGCGTGAACCACTGCTCAGAGCCAATAGAAACTTTTTAAAGCAGCAGCCGATGCGGTGGCTCACGCCTGTAATTCCAGCACTTTGGGAGGCTGAGGCGGGCAAATCACCTGAGGTCGGGAGTTCGAGACCAGCCTGACCAATGTGGATAAACTCCGTCTCTACTAAAACAAAATCAGCTAGGCGTGGTGGCACATGCCTGTAATCCCAGCCATTTGGGAGGCTGAGGCTGGAGAATCTCTTGAACCCGGGAGGCGGAGGTTGCAGTGAGCCAAGATCATGCCATTGCACTCCAGCCTGAACAACAAGAACGAAACTCCATCTCAAAAAAAATAGAAGCTAGCATAAGTTGTGGAGACATTAAGTTTGGGTAGGTAGTCGTATGTTGCTCAGTAACCCTGAAAGCATCACATTAGAGTAGAATATAAAAATTGTTCATTTTTTGGTAATATTGAATCATTAAGAAAAGGTAAAATCTGTTTAAGAAGGTAAAGGAGCATGTAACTTCATGAGTAATAGTTAAGGAATATACATTCTTATTGAAGGTATAAATTTCAATAAAACATTTTCTAATATGTACAGATAATATACTGTATAAATAAGAAAAATTTTAGTGGTGCATGCTAAAAAAGATAAAAATAAAGGAAGTTTGTTTTGGTTTTTGTTTTTTTGAGACAGAGTCTCACTCTGTCGCCCAGGCTGGAGTGCAGTGGTGCGATCTCGGCTCACTGCAAGCTCCGCCTCCTGGGTTCAAGTGATTCTCCTGCCACAGCCTCCCAAGCATCTGGGACTACAGGTGCCCACCACCATGCCCAGCTAATTTTTGTATTTTCAGTAAAGGGGGGTTTCACCATGTTGGCCATGCTGGTCTCAAACTCCTAACCTCAAGTGATCCTCCCACCTTAACCTCCCAAAGTGCTGGGATTACAGACGTGAGCCACAGCGCCTGGCCGAGGAAATTTTTTAAGATACCCTTTTTTCCAACTCGCAAACTAGGACCGTTAGTGCTTTCCCCTAGGTCTTACTGCTTTAGTCGTCTTGCTCCTTAGGCTGTTCTCTCTTGTAGGTAAGACATACAAAAATTGTCAGACTCTATAAAATCCAGAGTAATTTGAGATCATTGTTTTATAAATTCTAAATGTAAATACCATCATTGTTCTTAACAATGTATTTTTTATCCACTGCATTGGCAATACTTTTACAGACAGTTTTACCTGATTAAGCTTGAATCCAGTACACAAAAGACAATGCTTACTTAGAAAACTGCAGTTTTAAAAGAAAATTAAGTGGTCATGAAATTATAATGTAAAAATAAATTACGGTATTAACTTGACTTTTTCATTATGGAAAAACATGCTTAATCTGCTATTCTTGCTTTAGGGAACTTAGCAGAGAGCAAATGCTATTTGATAACAGTTACTCCAGTATATGCTGATGGACCAGGAAGCCCTGAATCCATAAAGGCATACCTTAAACAAGCTCGTAAGTCCAAACTCACTTCTTTGAAAAAAAAAGTTTAGGGCTTTGTATTAACAGAAACATTTTATCGCTTTTAAATAAAGATGTATCTCATTATGTTCAAATGATTTTATGACAAGGAAATTTTACTAGATTGTAAATGATTTTCAGTTAGCAAATGTGTTCACTCTGTTACAGCACCTTCCAAAGGACCTACTGTTCGGACAAAAAAAGTAGGGAAAAACGAAGCTGTCTTAGAGTGGGACCAACTTCCTGTTGATGTTCAGAATGGATTTATCAGAAATTATACTATATTTTATAGAACCATCATTGGAAATGAAACTGGTAATAAAACTGTATCAGTTATTAAGAATCAGTTATTTTTTCCTTAAGCTTTTAAGTACTAATTTAAGTCTGTTCTTCTTATACATCTTATAGTATATTGGCCTCAGGAGACACCTGAGAATTTGCCTTATGGTTACTTTCATGGATTTATTGAAAAAGTATTGTGTTGTGCTTTAGAACATAAAATTATGTCAGAACATTATAAAAGTTGTTTTCCAACAAAAATACTTCGCTTCTTTTTTAACACTTTCACAATGCCAAATATAGGCCAAATAAGCAAAAGCATTGAATAGTTGAATGAAGCACAGTTCTTATTTCTTCCAGCTGTGAATGTGGATTCTTCCCACACAGAATATACATTGTCCTCTTTGACTAGTGACACATTGTACATGGTACGAATGGCAGCATACACAGATGAAGGTGGGAAGGATGGTCCAGAATTCACTTTTACTACCCCAAAGTTTGGTAAGAAATAATGAAGTTTGGTTTTTTTTCTTTCTCAAACTTAGGTTAGAAATGAACTTAGTTTATGTGCTAAAATTGTGTTAAAAAGTACATCTTTGGATTCATGATGATTTTTATATTATCTGGCTTTGGTTGGTGGTTTCTTTATAGAAAGTGTTATTCCTCACCTTTTTGGTATTTTATTAACTGCTTCTGACTATATTCAGCTGTACTAAAAATCCTAAAAGAATTTGTGTATCTTTCCATGTGGGTTCATTTTTTTCACTGGTTTGGGTGTGTTCTTTCCTTCTCTATCCTCATTTCTTTCTTTTATTGAGAGATTACTTGAAGGACTAGTCCACTTTACAGTCTTCACTTCCGTACCTCCCACTCAGTATTTAACATACTGAAATTAGGGGTCCTACCCCACCCCTGCACTGAAACCTCTCTGGTGTCACTCAGAAGACCTCTTGATCATCATATGTACTGCATGCTTTTTAGTTTTCATCTTTTTTCTACTTTTTTTTTTTGGAGGCAGGGTCTTACTCTGTTGCCCAGGCTACAGTGGAGTGCAATGGCATGAACATGGCACACTGCAGCCTTGACCTCCTGGGCTCAAGTGATCCTCCTACCTCAGTTTCTCAAGTAGCTGGGACCAGTGCCACCACATCCAGCTAATTTTTTTTATAGAGATGGCTGGTCTCAAACTCCTGGGCTCAAGTGATCCTTCTGCCTTGGCCTCCTAAAGTGCTGGGATTATAGACATAAGCCACTGCCTCCAGCCTTTTCTGCATTTGACTCTGTTGGCCTTCCATCCTTGAAACTCCCTCCTCCCTTGGGTTTTCTAACCATACTTTTTCTGCTAGCACAGTCTCCTGAGTCTCCTTGTTCTTTGGTGTTTTCTTCTTCTTCTCCTTTTTTTGCTTTTTTTTTTTTTTTTTTTTTTTTTGAGACAGAGTCTCGCTCTGTCACCCAGGCTGGAGTGCAGTGGTGCGATCTCAGCTCACTGCAACCTCCACCTCCCAGGTTCAAGTGATTCTCCTACCTCAGCCTCCCACGTAGCTGGGGTAGAGGTGCCCACTACCATGCCTGGCTAATTTTTTGTATTTTTGTAGAGACGGGGTTTCACCATGTTGGCTGGGATGGTCTCGACCTCCTGACCTCAGGTGATCCACCTGCCTCGGCCTCCCAAAGTGCTGGGATTACAGGCATGAGCCACCGCACCCGGCCTCTTGACCCTGTTTTCTTACTTGCCTATTCAAACTCTGTCCATGGCTTTAGCCATCTTCTCTTTCCTTCCCAAATACATTTTCCCTCCCTCGTTCTATGCCAAAGCCATAAATTTAAATGTGATTACAATAAATGTATTTGTATATTTTTCTCTCACATAAGCTGAGTGTCAAGTCCTGTTGATTGTGCGTACCCTTTCATCATCATTTTCTTCAACTGCAAGCTCCTCATGCTAACTTCTCTTTTCTTAGTGCATTGCCCCCAGTGAGGTCTTCACCTCATCATCTGGCTCTTCTGTATCTTCCCTAAAGCAAACTTAACCAACATTCTTTCTTGCTCCCCCTACATTTTGAATCATTATAGAAAATTACCTTATTTTACCATAATTGTAACCCCCACCCCCAAGTGCCAGCCTAGTTAATGATAAGTAGTAAATTCCATGTGCCTTGTTGGTTGAATGCTTGCTGAATGAGGGAATAAATGAATGAGTGACTACATAAAATAAATGATAAAAGTTCCTGAGCTTTGCTGTTAGGGTCAGTAATGAATATAGTTTCTGGGATAAGGTTGGTCCCATGTGGTGGTATGTTAATAGGTATGTTATTTAAAATAAAACTTTATACCATAATCTTGAGAAAAATTAAAAAATAAACTTAAAAATGTATATTTTATGTATTTCTGTGGAGACCAGCCATCTCTACAGAGCTTTGTATATATGTATGTGTGTGTGTACACACACACATAAAAGCCCATATGTATATTTTTTGTTTGTTTGTTTTTGAGACAGAGTCTTGCTCTGTCTCCCAGGCTGGAGTGCAGTGGTGCAGTCATAGCTCACTGCAACCTCAAATTCCTGGGCTCAAGCAATCCTCCTGCCTCAGCCTCCCAAGTAACTAAGACTGCTGGTAGGCACCACCATGCCTGGCTAGTTAAAACAATTTTTTTGGTAGAGATGGGATCTCGCTGTGTTGCCCAGGCTGGTTTTGAACTCCTGGCCTCAGTCCTCCTGCCTTAGCCTCCCAGAGTGCCGGATTACAGGTATGAGCCACCATGCTCAGCCTAAAATTTTTTTATTACATAGGTGTTCATTATAGGGAATTTAGACTGTACAGTAAAATGTAGAGAGGAAGAAAAATTAGTCCTAGTCCCTTACCCCAAAATAACATATTTGTGTATCCTTTTAGTGTCTTCTTTGTATATATTTTTTTCCTAAAATTAAATTATACTTAGTATTATTTTATAACCTACCTTTTTTCAATTCTCTATCTGTAGTCTCATGGATCCATTATGGCTTCTTCACATGGCTTGAGTCTTGCCAACGAGGACCTTACAGCTTAGTTGAAGAAATTTTGCATAAGTAAATCAGAAAAAGGAGAACCTGTGGACTATGTAGACAGTAAATAGAGTAGGAATTTAAATATACCAGTAGTGGATAATTTTACCTTCAAAGGTTTTATGAAGAAGAAAATACTTGAGCCTTGAGTTAGTATGTGGACAAATAGGAAGAAGGTGGCATCTTAGAGAGCAGCATGAGCAAAGGCACAGGCTTGAAAACATAAAAGCAGATGTTTAATAAAGCAAAGTTTCTGCCTAAATTAGATTTGGCATTTTATATATATATACACACATACATACCCATATCAATATATATATACACACATATATCAATATATACACACATAAATATATATACATACACCCATATATATATATATATGATGCTTAGCATTTAAGAGTTAATATTTGCCAACCCATAGTTTATTCTCAAGCATTTAACTGATTTCTTGATTTCTACTGAGCTTCATAGGATGTTAGTTACTTACAAAGGGATATGTGTGGTGGAAGGATAAAATTAAGTGAATAGTATATGGCTGCAATATTACTTTCATACATTTTTTACTGTAAAAGACTAAGTAAAATTCAAAATTAATCAGGACAGTCATTTAAAAAATCTCCAATGTTAATTATCCCAATTAGTGATTAATTTGATGAACAAGTCCTCTTTTAAATGCAGATGAGGATTTGTGTGGTATTTAGGGATCTTAGGCTTGTTTACTTTTTAGTTTATTCCTACTCGTGCCACTCCTCATGCCCATTGAGCAGCTCCTAAAGTTCTTAGCCCTGTACCAGCTATATCCTCCTTTTGAAAAATGGTAAATAACTCTTAAAACTTCTGAGAGTTGCATTTTTATTTTTTAGAAGGTTAAATGTGTAGTTCAATTATGTTTTTATAGCTTTTCCATTTTACCCAGTATTTATATTTGTTCTGACATAATTTCTCTGTTATACAGTATTAGAACTCAGAGATAAACTTTTACTAAGATTCTACCAAATGCAGATCATAAATGTTACAAATGGTTATGTTTGAAAGCTCTAACCCAGTAGATTACCCGATACACTGATCATTTTTATCCCCCAACCAACATATATTTTATGCTATGCGGCCAGGTTAATGTATAAGACATAAATGGTTGGGATGTGATTTACCAAAGAGAGAAGAGGGTAAAAATCATCAAGTCTGAAGAGACCTTGAAAAATAATTAGGATTGTATTTTATCTTTTCAACAGTAAGTCTGGTTGGGAAGTTGTATTATGTCTTCTTAGTTCATATGTCAACATTATTTCCCATCACACCTCTTTTTTTTTTTTTTTTTTTTTTTTTAAGCTCAAGGAGAAATTGAAGCCATAGTCGTGCCTGTTTGCTTAGCATTCCTATTGACAACTCTTCTGGGAGTGCTGTTCTGCTTTAATAAGCGAGACCTGTAAGTAACTTTATTCATATTTTTGCATTTTCCCCCAGCTTTATTGAGCTGAATTTACATGCAATAAAATTTATCCATTTTAAGTGTACAGTTTGATGAATTTTTGTAATTACATACAGATGTATAACTACCACCATAATCACAATATAGAACATTTTCATCACTTTTATAAAGCTTCCTTGTTCTCCTTTGTAATCTGTCTTCTTCTCAGCCCAACCCCAGGCAGTCATTGATCTGCTTTTCTGTAACTGTAGTTTTGCCTTTTCTAGAATTTTTATTTATCTATCTATTTTGAGACAGAGTTTCACTCTTGTTGCCCAGGATGGAGTGCAGTGGTGCGATCTCAGTTCACTACAACCTCTGCCTCCCTGGTTCAGACTCCTGCCTCAGCCTTCAAAGTAGCTAGGATTACAGGCGCCCACCACCACACCCAGCTAATTTTTTGTATTTTTAGTAGAGATGGGGTATCACCATGTTGGCCAGGCTGGTCTCGAACTCCTGACCTCAGGGGATCCACCCTCAGCCTCCCAAAGTGCTGGGATTACAGGTGTGAGCCACGGCCAAGAATTTTATATAAATAGAATCACATAGCGTGTAGTCTTTTGCGTATGTCTTTTACATAATATTTTTGAGATTCATCCATGATGTTGCATATACTTCTCCCTTTTTTTTTTTTTGAGATGGAGTCTCACTCTGTTCCCTTACTGGAGTACAGTGGCATGATCTTGGCTCACTGCAACCTCTACCTCCTGAGTTCAGGTGATTCTCCTGCCTCAGCCTCTTGAGTAACTGGGATTACAGGCACTTGCCACCATGCCCAGCTAATTTTTGTATTTACAGTTGAGACGGAGTTTCATCATGTTGGCCAGGCTGGTCTCGAACTCCGGACCTCAAGTGATCCACCCACCTTGGCTTCCCAAAAGTGCTGGGATTACAGGCATGAGTCACCACACCTGGCCTACCTTTTTCCTTTTTATTGCTGAACAGTATTCTGTAGTATGGATATATCAAAACTTAGACTGATCTGTTATGGAAGTTTAGGTTGTTTCTAATTTTTAGCTATTATAAATAATGTTGCTATGAATATTCACATACAAAACTGTGCGAGCATATGTTTTCCTTTATCTTGAACAAATAATAGGAGTGAGAGTGCTGGGTCATATGGTAAGTATATGTTCAACTTTATAAGAAACTGCCAAACTTTTTCAGAGTGGCTACACCATCTTGGATTGCCTCCAGCAGTGTTCCATATTATCACCAACACTTAGTGCTGTCAGACTTCTTTCATTCTAGTGGGTGTGTAGTACTATATCGTTTTAATTTTCATTTCTCCGATGACTAGTAATGGATCTTTTCATGTGTCACTTACATATTTTCTTTTGTGATGTGTCTATTGAAATCTTTTACCCATTTTCAAATTGGGTTATTTTGTTTATAATTGAGCTATAAGAGTGCTTTATATGTTCTGGTTACAACATTGTTAAATACGTTTTGCAAACTTTTGTCCCAGTCTGTGCTTTGTTTTTTTGTCTTAACTGTGGCTTTAGAAAAGCAGAAGTTTTACGCCTGTAATCCCACCACTTTGGGAGGTCAAGGCGGGCGGCTCACAAGGTCAGGAGATTGAGGCCATCCTGGCTAACACAGTGGCTAACATCTCTACTAAAAATACAAAAACTTAGCCGGGCATGGTGGCACACGTCAGTAATCCCAGCTACTCGGGAGGCTGAGGCAGGAGAATTGCTTGAACCCAGGAGGCATGGGTTGCAGTGAGCCAAGATCACATCACTGCACTCCAACCTGGGTGACAGAGTGTCTGAAAAAAAAAAAAAAAAAAAAAAAAAAAAGCATAAGTTTTTTATTTTGATGAAGTTCATTTTATCAGTTTTTTTTCTGTGGTTCCTGAGTTTTGTGTCCTGCCAAACACAGTATCAAAATATTTTCTCATGTTTTCTTCCATAAGTTCAATAGTTTCAGCTCTTAGTCTATGATCCATTTCAGGTTATTTTTGTGCATGGTGTGAGGTCAGGGTCAAGGTTCATTTTGTTCCTTCAGATGTCTAATTCCATTGTCATTTATTTTGAAAAGAGTGTCTTTTCCCCATTGAATTGCTTTGGTACCTTTGCCAAAAGCAATTGTCTTTATAAGTCTGTATCTATTTCCATACTCTCACTTCTGTTTCATAAATGTATATATGTCCGTTCTTATGCCAATACCACATTGCCTTGATGAGTATAGCTCTATAGTAAATTTTGAAAATAGGTAGAATTCTTCCAGTGTGTTCTTTTTTTAAAGAAGTTATTTTGGCTAGGTTCTTTGCCTTTTCATATACATTTTAATTCAGCTTGTCAACTTTTTTAAAACTATAGTTTTGATTGGGATTTTATTGAATCTATAGGTCAGATTTAATTGAATCTATAGGAGAGAACTGCAGTCTTTTTTTTTTTTTTTTTTTGATTTAATTCCTCAGCTAAAACAGCGGAAGAGGTGATTTATTATATGGTTGTTACACTCGGCCACAAATAAACACAGAAATAGTCCAGAATGTCACAGGTCCAGGGCAGAGGACCAACATGGGCATTTTGTTTTTGAGCAAGGTGGGTCTCAGAGGTGATCGGCGATCAGAGGGCGATGAAGTTCTAGATCCATTGAGACAAGCTCTAGACAGTAGCATGCAGTCCCACAACTTGTACCAGCATCCCCAGCGTCTGGCATTCCATGTTTCTGCTCCTGTGGCCTCCACGGTGCAACAAGCTAGCGGTTTACTTGGACCTCTGCCTCATCTTTCTTCTTTTGCGCTTCAGCCTGCGCATTCGCTTCTTCCTCCACTTGGCTCTCATGGCGCCGAGGTTTCCAAAAAAATGGCGCTAAGGCCGAGAGAGAACTGCAGTCTTAACGCTACTGAGTCTTTCAATCCGTGAACCTGGTTTATTTCTTTATTTATTTGGGTTTTGTTTAATTTACTTTTGCAGTGTTTTGTAGTTTTCAGTAGACAGGCCTTGCATAACTTTTTTTGAATTCATGACAAAAGTATTTTTTGTTATTATAAATGAAATGTTTAAAAATATTTTCTAATTCTTAGTATATAGAAATGCAATTGATTTTTTAAAATATATTCATCATGTATACTGAGACTTTGATAAATTCATTTATTAGTAGCTTTTTGGATCCTTAGGATTTTCTAGATACACAATCATGCTTCTTGGGAGTAATTATAGTTGTTCTAATCTTTATGCTTTTAGTTCTTTTTATTGTCTTAATGCACTGGCTAAGACCTCTAGTACATATAGTACATCTAGACCATATAAGAGCATTGCTTTGTTCCTAATTTTAGAGGTGAAAGTATTTAGTCTTTCACCATCACATGTGATGTTAGCTGTAGGTTGAAGTTTTTGCTTTGTGGGGTTTTTTTGTTTTGAGACTGAGTTCTACTCTTGTTGCCCAGGCTGGAGTGCAGTGGCACAATCTTGGCTCACTGCAACCCCCACCTTCTGGGTTCAAGCAATTCTCCTGCCTCAGCCACCCGAGTAGCTGGGATTACAGGCATGCACCACCATGCCTGGCTAATTTTTTTGTATTTTTAGTTTAGTAGAGATGGGGGTTTCACCATGTTGGCCAGGCTGGTCTTGAACTCCTGACCTCAGGTAATCCACCCACCTCAGCCTCCCAAAGTGTTGGGATTACAGGTGTGAGCCACCGCGCCCAGCCGCTTTGTGTTTTTTTTTCCCCTTTACTACTACTTGCAGGGGGGAAGTTCTTATTTCTGTTTTGCCTTGCTAGCAATTTTTATCATGAATGGGTGTCACAATTTGGTCAAATGCTTTTTCTGAATCTATTGAGATGATCATATGGTTTTTCTCCTTCCTTCCATGAATATGGTGCATTTTATTGATTTTTCATATAACATCTTTGCATTCCTTGGATTTTGCTGCATTCAGTTTAATACTGTTTGCATCTGTGTTCATGAGTGAAGTTAGTCTGTCTTTATGTGCCTTATCTGTCTGGTTTTAAAATCAGGATAATACTGGCCTCATAAAATGAATGGGAACATGTTACCTCCTCTGTTTTCTGAAAGAGTTTGTATAGTATTAATACAATTGTTTCCTTTTGCCCAGAGTTTTGTGGGAAGGTTTTTAATTAAAAATTCAATTTCTTTATAAATATAGCTTTCTTTTTCTTCAATCTGTTTTGGTAATTTGTGTCTTTCAAGGATTCATTCATTGGTTTGTCTAGGTTGTCAGCTTTACTACTTTTTATATTACTTCCAAATGTTATAGGTATTTCCTACAGGAGAGTCAGTCTGGTAGGCTCTCACTCTTTGAAGCACCATTCTCAGTCACTTTTTTAAATTTGATTTTTATATTTGAACTTTTTTGGTATCAGTGGGAACATTAATTTGTTATCTGGATTCTTTTAATTGGAATACCACAACATGTGGCCTGGGTAAAGATTTTAAGTGGTTTTAATTGCAGAATTTTGAGAGTTTAAAAAAAAATTTGAACACTGATTAGATTTAGCTTTGTTAATTCATTATGAATACATTATAATCCTTATGCATTTTCAACAGTATTTTTCTATTGGTTATAAGAAAAATAATTTTTGTTTGGGGTAGAGTAGGTATTTTTTGTTCATTTAGGTAATTGGTTTGGTTTGTAAGAGTCTTTGATGAACATGTTTAGAAATAGGGACTATTTATTGTTTATTATGTGTGGTTTTACATAGGCCATTTTTCTTTTCTCTTCAGAATTAAAAAACACATCTGGCCTAATGTTCCAGATCCTTCAAAGAGTCATATTGCCCAGTGGTCACCTCACACTCCTCCAAGGGTAAGAGAAAATGCTTCTGAGTTGTTTATAATATACAGACATGTTAGTAGGTATATTGAGTATCTACAGTTAGTAGGTATATTGAGTATCTACAAATGTACCAAAAGATAAGATATTCAAGCTGAATCAAAAAGTAAATGAAGATAAAACAGTACATAACTGAAAATTTTAATCAAAATTTAATATGTATGACATATTTTAGGGGTTTTATCACCATCATAGTATATTTGTTCTGATATTTTAAATTGTTTAGTACACATTACAGATGTTTGGTTGAACTTGCAAACTGAAAACTTGAGGTGCTGAAACTGCTATGTGATGGTAACTACCTCAAGCATTTTGGGTTGAGTATTAAAACCAAGTTCAACAGTTTATCATTTTAGCACTGATGAAATGATCTCTGGGAACCTACTCTAAACTCTGAATTTTAAATATGCCCCAAAGGGGAACTCATTTATATTTATTATCCTCCGGTAGTCCTTAAATTTTATATTAACAGATTAAAATGTATTATGTATTTTTATATTCTACAAAATCTCTGTCATTCAGGTTTGATTTTCCTTAATGTTTTCTAGTTTTCTGTCCAGTTAATCCTAGGCTGCCTAGTCTAGGCATGAAATATTAAATACTACTTGTAGACCATTAGCTTATCAAAATGTAACACCAACAATATTGATTTAGACTACTTAGACTCATTTTATAGTATCTGCATTTTGGGTAGTTGACAGTGACTTAGTGACATAATACAGGTTATTTCTGTACCACTGAGAGTTACTGGGAAGTTTCAGAGATGCATTAGCTCTGTGGCTTTAACTAATACTTGCCATATACAATTTTTTCTCTTCCTTAGCACAATTTTAATTCAAAAGATCAAATGTATTCAGATGGCAATTTCACTGATGTAAGTGTTGTGGAAATAGAAGCAAATGACAAAAAGCCTTTTCCAGAAGATCTGAAATCATTGGACCTGTTCAAAAAGGAAAAAATTAATACTGAAGGACACAGCAGTGGTATTGGGGGGTCTTCATGCATGTCATCTTCTAGGCCAAGCATTTCTAGCAGTGATGAAAATGAATCTTCACAAAACACTTCGAGCACTGTCCAGTATTCTACCGTGGTACACAGTGGCTACAGACACCAAGTTCCGTCAGTCCAAGTCTTCTCAAGATCCGAGTCTACCCAGCCCTTGTTAGATTCAGAGGAGCGGCCAGAAGATCTACAATTAGTAGATCATGTAGATGGCGGTGATGGTATTTTGCCCAGGCAACAGTACTTCAAACAGAACTGCAGTCAGCATGAATCCAGTCCAGATATTTCACATTTTGAAAGGTCAAAGCAAGTTTCATCAGTCAATGAGGAAGATTTTGTTAGACTTAAACAGCAGATTTCAGATCATATTTCACAATCCTGTGGATCTGGGCAAATGAAAATGTTTCAGGAAGTTTCTGCAGCAGATGCTTTTGGTCCAGGTACTGAGGGACAAGTAGAAAGATTTGAAACAGTTGGCATGGAGGCTGCGACTGATGAAGGCATGCCTAAAAGTTACTTACCACAGACTGTACGGCAAGGCGGCTACATGCCTCAGTGAAGGACTAGTAGTTCCTGCTACAACTTCAGCAGTACCTATAAAGTAAAGCTAAAATGATTTTATCTGTGAATTCAGATTTTAAAAAGTCTTCACTCTCTGAAGATGATCATTTGCCCTTAAGGACAAAAATGAACTGAAGTTTCACATGAGCTATTTCCATTCCAGAATATCTGGGATTCTACTTTAAGCACTACATAAACTGACTTTATCCTCAGACTAGCTGAATGATTTTGTGCTGTTTCAGGATGTTTGCACTGAAGAAAAACAGAAAGCTTATCTGAAATTTATAAAACTTTTTGTTTTGCTACATAGAAAACAGAAGGTATTTGAATAATAAGCAGTGATATGCTTAGTGAGCACAGCTATACTGATTTTGATTAGAATAGTCATCAGAGTGGCTTAGGGACAGTTAATATAAAAGAGGAGCAAGGTGTAGACCATCATCTACTTCTGCTAAAATAACTTAAAAAGAGGTCCATAGGCCATAACTACATGAGCCCAGCTTTTGTAATCTGACAAAAAAATGAGGAGCAGCTTCGTGTATATCAGTGTACACGGTATTCCTTAGGTCCCTTCCATTGGTAGTGATGCTGCGAGTTATTACTGGAGAAAAGGAATTCTAGAGCTTTAACTTGGCAGATTAAAAGTACTCATTTTTTATTCATCAATAATTAGTAATCTCACTAGTTTTCAAAAATTTGCATATTATTGACAACCTCTTTGAAGATGCATTTCACAAACTCAACAGAGTGCCATGATAAGAGCTAGGGATCCCCCAAACTATCTCAAGCATCTAAAAAATTGCCATTTTTAAAGGCTTAAATTGTAGTAGTAAAGGGGAAAACAGGAAGTAGTAGTAAAGGGGAAAAAAAACCAATAAAGCATCTAAAAAATTGGCATGTTAAAAGGCTTAAATTGCTAATGTGTGTATATATATATATATATATACACACACATATCATTGACTTTTCTTAAGACTTCAGAGTACTGGGTAGATGAACACTTTATACAGTATATATCTTCAGCTTAAATTTGTTTTGAGTATTTTTTTTATTTTTAAATAAGTAGGCAAAGATTTAAATTTTTTTATTTTTAGTAAATGTTTGAGGCACACTAAGACAACTTGGGCAATATTTGCCAAAACAAAACAGAACCCCAAAAAATGTACATCTTGTTCTTAGCAAATATCATTATTGTAGAGACACTTAATAAAGAGATGGTATTTTAATGTCTGCAGTTCTGAGGTAGGGTGGAACTTAGTTCTACATTGTGATTTAGGAATTTTTAAAACCTTTTTTCTTCAAGGGAGAAGTGACCCAGGCCTCGAGTTTAGTGCTAAAGCCGCTAGTGTACTTATGCTGTCCCCTAACCACCACGTGCGATATGGAAGCAGATGCTAAATATAGGGGTTTTCTTAGAAAGTAAGAGGAAATTAGCAAGCGTTATTAGTGATTGACTACTGCTATCAAGTGAATTCAAAGGAAACAGGTTTTTATGCCATATTTAAGTTACAGAAACCAGGCATGCTTAGAATAGTTTCTAGAGGTTATTGGAGAATAGAAAGCTAAGAAAACTTGGTATACATTTACAATGGAAATATAATTACACTTTTTACTCTCAGAATATTGTTCACATTAGACTTCCTGTTTATCTTTTATATTCTTGCATTTATATAATGCCTCATCCTTTCAAAGTTCTTTCACATATTATATGATCTTCTTTATGAAAAAAATAGATGTTTCATTCTGATATATTCAGTTTCCCACTTTAGGCAAAAGTAGATTAATAGAATGACGAATTCAAAGTAGATGAGGAAAATCAGGCACAGAGAAGTAAAGGTAGGGATAGACCCAAATTTACACAACAAGATAATGACATCTCCAGCTTTTAAGTTGATCATCAAAGGCTGGGCTGGATTTGTCTTGCTGTATGTGTCAGGAAATTTATACCTATTACATTTTCCATTTTCTCAAAATTTAAGTCACATGACTAATATTTAGCTGCAACTTTCCTCATAACAAATAGTGTCATGAAGAATGTTGTAGTGTGAAGTTTGTACATTTCAGGGTCAGATATACAATATGAACTCTTAATCTACAGGAATGAGAATGGAGGATCATTGAAGGCCATGATATAAACAAATTTGCATGTTGAAGCCTGTATAAAACATGGTACAGTGAGTGAATATACCCCCATCCCCAAGAACACTTTATACATATTAAATGGATATATGATTACTGTGCAAAAATTCATTCTGGAAATGAACATATATTTGAGCACTAATATGTAATGTACACCTGCCCTAAGGAGAAAATAAATTATAAAACTTTTTACATTCAAAATTACTTTCCCAAGCATGTCTTAGAATAATCTATGTGTTGATGCATGTAAATTGTACTTTAGGTAGGCAAAGAAATCTGGTTATTTATGTAAAAACTAGTCTAATAAAGTTAGTTAGTGGCTTTATCACTTTAAATCTTTAGTGTCCAAAAGTGGTGTTTAAAGTAATAGCACATCAGAAAACCTTGTCTGGACAAAACTAGTTCACTCACTGCTTCTGCACCTGCAGTTGCTCCCTTTAGGGTTATAAAATAATGACCCAAATGTTACATGTGTTGATATTATAACTTGTCAGTTACTGATGTCTGTGGTATCCTACCCTCATCTCTGAAAGGGATAATACTGAATAATTATTAGAAAACTATAAAACTTCACACTTTGTACCATTAAAACCTAAAATTTTAATCTTGTCCTTTTTTACTATGGATCAGTCGGCACTCGGGAACAGCAGCAAGGAAAAAAAGCAAATTTCATTCACATGTTCTGTGTTCATACCTCTTCTCTACCTAATTGTTCATTTAAATTTCAGCCTTATTCCTTGATAAGGGATTTTACCACATGAAGTCATCCAGTGACCCTAGCTCTTATTGTGAAGTTAGTGGAGTATACTTAGAAATGTTACAACTTTAAAATGTTACAAAACATTCATTAAAGCTCATATTTAAAGTAGAGCATCTAGTTTGAGAAATAGAAATCAATTATTAAAGATGTCTTTTTTCTACCCATTTAACTAGTTAAAACCATGACATGTAAATGTAGAAGTAGAATAATCATAGAATTCCCTAAAATATTTCTGTTTACTAACATATATTGACCAAGTACATCAAGCAGGAGAGATCTTCCTTCATTCTGTTATAGTCCACATCATTCTAATTTTGCTCAGTTGTTATTAAGAGCATATTCCTAAACCATACACTTTTGTTTCAATAAAGTTTTATTTTGTTGAGATGAATAAAATAACAAAGTTATAAGCTGCATAAGACAAAAGTTCAATTGTTCAAAAAAAATTTACTGGGATAGCTTTCTATTACAGGTATTGTTAGATTATATTGTGCTGATAAGATTACTTTCTAAAAAATTTGTACTTTTCTGTAAATTAAAAGAATATGGAGTCATAAAATGGCAAGTGTTTTAGGATTAGCCTAAAATTGGACATTGTCATTGATTTCAAAGAAGGTATGAACTAGCAGTCTTACAGCCTAATTCTTCTTTGGACTGGTCCTTGGCAGCAGTTCCTTTTCAGACTCGATAAACAGAATTCAGATGATGTAAGTCAAAACAAAACTTTACAAAGCCAAGCGTATTATCTTTTGCATTAACCTATTTTTTTCCATCATACATGCTACTAGTATGTGCATTAGCATGATATTCTCATATACATTGCATTAAAAATTAAAAGGTGGCAGCTCAGGGTGAGCTCTTCTGTTGCTCATTTGTTCCTAAATTTTTAAGGGCTTTTTCTCAGTCAATAGTTTGTACAAACTGGTTAGTTTAACTTCATTACCCATTTCATTAAAGTTGATGGGTCGTGTGATGAGATGCATTTAAGGCCGATAGTGATAGATGTTTTTTTTATTTCTTGAACACAGGCTTTGTCTGAATGATGTTCTTTTATCTCTTGAACACAAGCTTTGAATGATAACTACAGGTTTTAAGTGCTGTTACATTAATACCATAATGTGATGTGTTAGAAACAAAGGGATATTTCAAAGGTAGATATTTGAAAATTCTCTAGTCTCAATATGTATGTGTATTGAATATACTCTAAAAATAAATGTGCAATTTGCTAGTAGGACAATGCAGTGACTGACTAGCATTAGGTATGTTTCTTTTATATCCTAGCTATGTCCCACTTTCTTCTAAGTGCAATCCTTTCATGTTCACTTGCTGTTTTACCCCATCTACTCTAACTTCATTTGGAAGGCTTGTCTAGAGTATAGCATGTATTTTTACCTTTGCAGTGAATTGCATGTGCTAATTGTAACCACAGCTATTTTTATGTTGACATAACTCCAAATGTTATATTAAATGTTCTATTATATATTAGCTCTAATCCCTTAAGTAAATTTTAAGAAATAAATACTTGTTCAAATTTTTTTTCTGTATGTGGTTACTATCATCTGACTATGCATATTTGTAACAGCATTTATCATTAGTGGTGTTAGCTAAATAAGCATCTTAGTGTAAATGAGATGCTTCGTGTGGGTTTTGTGACATTTTAAATGACATAATGGAATGTGATTTAAAAGAAAACCAGTACACTATCTTGGTCTTAATAACATAGAATGGAGATGGCAAATTTATCCACTAGTTTTCCAGATTTACTATTTAATAGCTGAGGTCTGAAATCGTAGCATCCTCCCTCCTAGTGGACATTAAAAAAAAAAAAAAAAAAAAAAACCTACTTGGTTGTCAAGAGCCCAAGTATGGAGGTGCTGCGCCATCTTGTGGCCTGTCTGTGCCCACCCTGCACTCTGCTGGAGTCTCCATCCTTGTTGCAGTGAGACTTGAAGTTCAAGATTGATACATGGCATCCTCCTGCTACTTCTTGAGGTTACTAAGTAGTATATGAAACTAATCAGTCAGCAAGTCCACCTGGAAGGAAAAGAAAATCTCAACTATTAATGTGCCTTCACATTGTGATTTTGTCTAAAAAAATGTAGTGAGTCAAAAAACCCACAAGCCAGCCAACAGTAACTCCTTCACATATATACCAGAGTTTATAGAAATAACATGTCAGCTTTGGGCTATGTGCTCCTTTGTTTAAAATCTTCTATTTGGTTATGGCTTGTATAGGCTCAAGCCTGATTTCTTTAAGGTGTGGTGGCTCATCTTATCCTAATGTGTATGATAGATACAGTCCATCCTGCTTTGGAAAAGATTATGTAACTCCTTGAGAGCATACTCTTTCTCTAGCCCAAAGGCAGTGAGAGAGTTTTCTTGTTCAGGATTGCTTAACTTTCCATTTAAGCTTTTTCTTTTTAAATTAATACAAACTTCTACACTTTCAAAATACGAAATATATTACAACTGCGTATAGGCTCTTCCATACTTAAGTCCAGTGCTTGGGCAAGTTAATGGAGTGAAAGACTACAAGCAAAGAGGAACTGAGGTAGAAAAAGAAGAATGTGTGAAAGCAGCAGGAAGCTCAGCCAACTCGAAAGCAGGGTGAACAGCTTGAGTCCTGTTGCTGCTGATCGGGGTTGGCTCTTGGACAACTTAGTAAGATCATGGAAAGGCTGCTTGGGTTCTCCATAGAAAAGTTCTGTCTCCATCAAGGGAGGAAAATGTACCTTTCAACTCAAAATTCAATATTTGTTTTTAAATATAGCTATTTTCCCCAACCGCTAAAGATTTTCAACAGATACGAAGCCAGAGCTTAGTTTTAGAAACCTGTGGACATTCAAACCTGATTCTTTATTCCCTGTGACTATGGTTATGTCATTTTACATGTCAAAAAAGTGTATCTAGAATTGTCATTTCTTATTTTTGAGCTTTTTTTAGTGAGAATTATCCCCTCACTTAAATGGCTTTTTATTTAAACATCTGTGCATTCTGTATGAAATTGTAGTCTTTCTGGGATAACATGGTGAGCTATATGGTGGTAATCCACACACACAAAAATAAAAGCCAAAAAAAAACCAAAACCCTCAGGTAAAGTATTTCTCTTTCTTCAACTGTCTCATTAGCCCTGGCTGTGGATGGTCTTTCTGAGACAGGCTAGCCAGAGTAATTCAACGGCCACAAGTGGTTTCTCCCCCAGAGTGCTGGTTCAAACTCTGAATGAGACCAGCCTGTTGATTAGAAATCTAATACCTCAGTCCAGGCCTACTTTCCTAGAACAATCTTCACTTAGTAACAGGTCCAAGACACAACTATTAAGTATACATCTGGGTCCCTTCCCCGTAGGAAAAGGTTTTCCCTGCAGTCTTGCCTGTAGTCAGAAGCAGCCTGTTGACTAATGATAGCTTTTAAATGAATTTATAGAAAATTCTTGGAAATAGGCTCTATAAGCTTTATGAGAGGGATAATGCTTTTAAAGGAATGGCATGAAGGGGAATATTTAAATAAAAAGGCACTGAGATTCTGACAATAGAAACCATAATTCTGCATAAGCGTTCTGAGAATGAAAAGTCAGCCACTCTTCAGGTCAAAGTCAGTGTGGATTTTGCCAGTTGTTCAATCTAGACATACGAACACCAGGGCTACCCAGCCAGCATCAGTGCCTAGGAAAGGACCTCCAAGAAACTTTTAACTGCCACGGTCAGAATCGAGACTAGACATTGCTGCTGGGGGTGAGGGGCCGCTCCTCTTCAAATGAACCGGCAGACCTTTCTGATCACCTGCTGGGGGCCACATGCCGGAGCAGGGTGTCCAAAGGTGAGCAAATATATGCCATCTATGAAGTGTTTACTGTGGGTTATGAAATCCTAGAAACTTATGAGGTAAATACCAGCACCATTTACAAATGCAGCCTCCAAGAGGTTGAATAACTTGCCCGGGGTCATGTGGTTGACAAACAGTGGAGTTCCAACTCCAACCTGATCCAAAGTCCGCATTCTTTGATGTGTACACCAATTGTACCCAACCACTTAAGCAAAATTCTTGATGACGTCATGCCCAGGCTAGCTTAAGGAGAATGCACACCTGCTTCCCAGGCCCTTCAAACTCTTCTGAGTTTCTCTTCCCCTCATCTCCCTCCCCACCACCCTTATTTGTGAATATGGGGCACCTTGTGCCCTCAAGCAGCCCCCTGCAATTGCCTACCTTGAAGTGTCCTAACTGAGCCTCGAGCCCAGAGCAGTACTTCTCCTTATGCCCTCAAGGTTTACTCCGAGGCTGGCTCCCCACCCCTACTAGCACATACATTTGCTCTGACCCTATAGAGCAACCCCTGCAAAAGAGGTCAATGTGTCCCACTTTCCTGAGAATGCACCCTCACACGACCCCTGGAGTCTCATTCTTTTGGCCAAAGAAAGACTCCTCTAATGGTGGAATCTAGCCCATGGCAACTAGTGACAGGAGGATCTCCGGCAGGGGCTTTTCCTGGGTGCTCAGACCACGGTCCTACCCCAGGTGGTTCTGTCCACAGACTTCCCCGGGCCCGCTGCCTAGCGCGAGCACCCGTTCCAGCCTGCCTCACCTTCACGGTGCCGCCAGCCACTCCTCTCCATCTCCTGCCACTCCCAGAGGGGCTGCCTGCTGCTGCCCCGCTGTGCTGACCTCATTCCCCACATTTGCTTTCTGTCCTTTTGGGGCCTCGCTGGACCTTTCCAACCCCCCAGCTGCACACTTTATAGTTTCCAGAACATACTGAGTTTCTTCTAACCTAGCCCATGCACATGATTTCCTCCCCTAGAATGTTCTCCAGTCCCCAGTCCCTGTTAAGCTGGGAAATTCTTACTGGTTCACCAAAAATCAACTCAAATAGATACCCTCTTGAGGGAAATCTTCCATTCTTCTCTCTCCTTCCCCCTGAGTTAAGGGCCTTCTATATCCTGGCACCTACTGCTGGGCCTCTGGAGAGAGGGCCCCAGCTCAGTCCTCTCCTGGCCCAGCATAGTGCTCGGTGTTTGGCAGAGCTTGCTTATATGAACAGGTAAGTGGGTGAATAAACAAGTTATTTTTAATTTTAAAAAATGTTTAAAATGTGTCTCAGGTTTCTTCTAATCCAGAGTTGCACAGTGCCATAGGCAGTCAGGAATCTGCCTCCTTCGCATCTCAAACCTGGGATCATTTCCTGATTCCCATCCCACCCTGGCTACAGGCAAGAGCTTCCCCCAACCAAGAGAGAGAGAGTCTTGCTCTGTTGCCCAGGCTCAAGCAATCCTCCCACCTCAGCCTCTCAAGTAGCTCAGACTACAGGCAGCACTGCCATGCCCGGCTAATTTTTCTTTTTTCTTTTTTGTAGACACGGGCTCACTTTGTTGGCCAGGCTGGTCTCAAATGCCTGGCTTCAAGCTATCTTCCATCCTTGGCCTTCCAAAGTGCTGTGATTACATCTCTGAACCACCGTGCCTTGGCAAGAGCTTTCATTTGAAGCAAAATATATACTCAATCCAAAAGCAAAAATTTAGAGAAAATTAAAGTCAGATGGATCCTTATTAAATCATTTTATCCAAACTCCTCATCCTGGACGAGGAAAATGAGGTCCAGAGAAGAGGGGCCAGCAAACTTTCCAACAGCACAGGAGAAAACGCTGGGTTTGTGGGTTATAAAAGGACGGCCCTGCCCTTTGGGAAGTTACTGTCTAGTGAGGAAGACGGAGTGAACCAGGATCAGGCTCCGCCTTAAGAACACATCAGAAAGTGCAAGTAGGCTCAGGCCCTACAAACCAGGCTACGACCAACCCCTGGCCAAACACCAGGCAGCTCCCAGTATAAAACAATCCCCCAATTCCTCAACGAGAAGATCCCAAGAAAAGTTTTTGGACAGCTTAACTGTGTGAGCTTTACAGATGTTGATTAAATAGTCAGATGTCTGCCTATGATCCATATTTTAAATAAGATGATGTGGAACAATGCAGAAATATAGAATTGATTTTGTTCACTCGTACTTTATGAAGATAGTTCCATGCAACTCTTCACTTGCAATTGGACACTGAGGTCCTTCCTCGTCATTACCAGATCCCCTTTGTGAATCATAGGCACAGGTTTTGGGAGCTCGTTCCTAACATTTCCATCTAGTTGTGTGAGAGACAGCAGACAATGCTGTCGTGGAAAACAGTATTCAAGCCTTAAGTATCCACTTTTATCTTAAGAGACTTTCCCCCCATCCCAGTAATGTAACCTGTTACCATTTTGCTTTTTAAAATGGTCTTTAAAAAACTTTACACTGAAATCTAACCTAGTTAATATTGAGATCATATCCCAGGAATAATGACTAAATCCCTTGTCTCCTTTTATGCCAGTTCCTTCTGGTGATCTCCGTGTGATTCTCAAAATTAAAAATTAACATTGGATGAGGTCATTTTAGTGAATGGGTCTTTCGCAAACAGAACTTTTGTGTTTAAATAACGAAGAGAGGCCAAGCACAGAGGCTCACGCCTGTAATCCCAGCACTTTCGGAGGCCAAAGTGGGCAGATCACTTGAGGTCAGGAATTTGAGACCAGCCTGGCCAACATGGTGAAACCCCGTCTCTACTAAAAATACAAGAATTAGCCTGGCGTGGTGGTGCGGCACCTGTAATCCCAGCTACTTGGGTGCCTGAGGCAGGAGAATCACTTGAACCCGGGAGGCGGAGGCTGCAGTGAGCCAAGGTCATGCCACTGCACTCCAGCCTGGGTGACAGGGCGAGAATCTGTCTCAGAAAAATAATAAATAAATAAATAAGAAGAGAGAAACTGTGATATGAGAAACTTTGTAAGTACTTTACTAAAGCACTCCCTCTTTTTTGGGGAAAGATTTTTCAGAAAACATTTTATGTTCGGGCAAAAAGCTGTGCTCATCGGGATGCCTTCCTGGAGGAAAAGCATCTTCTGTAGAATTTTGTCGTGCAGGCATGAGCTGGTGACCAGGAGAGCCAGCAGTGTGCACAAACTGTTTTCAAATCAATGTTGCCTCAGTTCTCTGGGTCAGACTAAACTATAATTCTTATTGTTACAATGAGACTTGTATTTCAGGACTGGCCGGAAGAATTTTTGTTGACCCCTCTGAGCAACATCTAGATATTCCCTGCCCTCTTTCCAGCCCTTTGCCAAAGATGTGACTTCAAGCAAGGAGGACCCCTCAGTCCTCATATCTCCATCAGCCCCAGCAGGGACACAGATGGATTTATCTACAACCCATGCTCAAGTGCTCGTGGGGAGGTAATCTTACACTTTTTCTACTCCCAGGACAGAAAGGAATGCCCAAGGTGGCACCTAATCATACACCTCTGACCTTGAGGCAGGTTCAAAAGAGACGTCTAATCACCACCGTGTTTTTGAAACACAATCTCATGCTGTGGCCCAGGCTGGAGTGCAGTTATGCGCTCTTAGGTAACTGCAACCTCGAATTCATGGGCTGGAGCAATCCTCCTGCCTCAGCCCCCAAAGCAACTGGGATGACAGACGTGTGCCACCAGACCTGGCTAATTTTTTAAAAAAAGTTTTGTAGGGATGGAGTGTCACTATGTTGCCCAGGCTAGCCTCAACATCCTGGCCTCAAGTGATGCTCCTGCCTTGGCCTCCCAAAGTGCTGAGATTACAGTTGTGAGCCACTGTGCCAGTCCAACCACAACATTTTTACTACATTTAAGGCAACATCAAACAGGTTTCTGTCTTCTCCAATAGAGTCATGTGTGAATGTAAGCCAGCCCCATTTCCAAACAAGGAGGCTTTCTTCGTGCAGATAATTCTGCAGGTGTCAGATTTTCTACTGATTCCATGCTAAATGAAAGGTCACAATCTGGTGATGTCAAAGGGCCTCCCGTAGCAGAGAGAAGAGTAAGAAACACAGTGGGTGAGATAAGAGAGGTACCCAGGGCACACAGTCATGGGAGGTACTTGGTGCCCTTGCGTGACCCCGAAAGTGAGCACCTCCTTCTGTTGGGAGCCCTAGACTTGCCCCAGTCCAGGCCCTGCTTGGTGATGATGTCACCAGCTGGGGAGCTGGGCTTTCCGTCATTCATCCCATGAGATGGGGACTATTCTAGTTCTTTCTTGTCTTTGAGATTATTGTAACACCTACTTGAGGAATGGACAAGAGAGGGTAAGCCTGAGACAGGACACTACTCAGGAGCACTTTTCTCATCAGGGTGAAGTCTGAAGGGGGCTGAGGCCAGGAGAAAAATAGGAAAGCAAAGCCAGCTCAGGAGCAGCGCGGCCAGACGTGGCGACTGGTTAGCTGGAGGCTCCAGGGAAAGAGAGGGGCAATGAGCCTGTGAGGTGAAGGAAGGGTAGCTGCTTCCAAGCCTGGGAACATCATGTCCAAGGAGAAGCATCCTGCGGAGGGTGAGGGAGGCCTGAGGCTCCAGAAACCAGGTGGCACCTCCCCTCCTGAGGAGGCCTGTGCATTGCTTGCAGGGGCTCATGCAGTGTCCATGCCACGACTATGGCTGTGTCTATGAAATGTGGGGAGGGAGGGTTTCTAGATTGTGGGACTGGCCTGGGACCCTAACAATGGCATCTCCAGGCAAGCACTAAAGGCAAAGAGCTGAGAAATAGCTCGTTTCCTCTTTTTGGACAATTCTAGACAATCCCCTGCCCGGCTTCTCCTCCTTGCCTCCTCCTTTATTTCAGCATCGCCGCCTAGCCTCCCCAGGCCTGCCGTGAGGTTCTGGGGTCCTTCAGACTGGGCGGACCCCTTCTTGTTTGTGGACAGTATCAGGAAGGAGACCCTGAGAGGGGGCTGGAAAATAGGGGACTCTTGCCCTATGCACTCACAGCCAGGTTCACACCTCCCCAGAGTCCACCCCTCCCCTGGCCCCACACAGAAATGAAAACCAATGCAAAGCCACCCTTTAGAAACAGCATGGGCTTTCCTCACCTCAGTTACCTCATCTGTAATGATGACAACAAGCCCCACTGTTACTCACCCCGCGCTTACTATGTGCCAAGCACTATGTGCAGCAAACAGTGGTAGAATGAAGTGGTAGAATCACTGCTTCGTTTCACTGCCCCAATTGTTGTGGTGATACTATTTCACCCATTTTACAGATAAAGCAACTGAAGCTTAGAGAGGTTGAGGAACTCGTGGAAGGCAACAGAGGAGCAGGGAGCAACGCTGGGGCTTAAAATTCAGTCTGACCCCAGTGCTCCTGCTTCAAACGACTACATTCTACCTTCAAAATAGGGGCGCACTGGGCTGGGCACGGTGGCTCACGCCTGTAATCCCAGCACTTTGGGAGGCTGAGGCGGGCGGATCACCTGAGGTCAGGAGTTCGAGACCAGCCTGACCAACATGGAAAAACCCCGTCTCTACTAAAAATACAAAATGAGCCAGGTGTGGTGGCGCATGCCTGTAATCCCAGCTACTCGGGAGGCTGAAGCAGGAGAATCACTTGAACCTGGGAGGCGGACGTTGTGGTGAGCCGAGATTGCGCCACTGCACTCCAGCCTGGGCAACAAGAGCAAAACTCCATCTCAAAAAAAAAAAAAAAAAAACCCAAAAAACAAACAAACAAAAAAAAACAACTAGGGGAGCACCCACTCCAGAGCTGGCCAGGCTGGGATTAAACGAGATAGTCTTTGAAAAACACACAGGACAGTACCTGGTGTGTGTTATGTAAATACGTGCTCTGCATTTTGTATTGCCAAATCTGGCAACAGGATCTGCCCCCATCTCCACCAGCTTCCCTGGGCTTTGCTTTCCACTGCGGGCACCTGCAGTTATCTTTCCACAGCTTCCCTCAGGCTACCGGAGCCTGACTCCTGGCCTCCAAGCACACAGTCAAATGTGCCTGGAGGTTTCATACCCTGTGGGGACAGCTGTTTACTAGTAGACTGAGGAGCTTAGGAGTGTGATAGCCCAGGCCCCTTGCCTGGGGAGGACACGCGCCAAGGACTGAGTCACTTACCTCCAGCATCATCTGGGGATGAGACTGGCGCTGACCTGCAGGGCTCTGCCTGAAATCCCACCCTGCCCTGGCGTCTTCCCCTCCTCTCAAGCCTCCCTCACTCGCTCACCAGTTTCTCTTGGGAATGTGCCCTGGATGAATTAGTTACACCTGGATGTTTGTCTCAGGATTTGCTTTGGGGGGACTTAACCTAAGGTTCCATTCCTAACCCCATCCCTGTACAAATACAGCATTCAGAATTGGGACACTTTGGGCGTGGTCCTTATCTGCGGTGACAGTGTTCACAGGAGGGTCCAGGTGATAGTTGCACACAGAACCACCCAAAGCGTCAGACTCACTCACCAGACCTCAGTTTAGCAAACTCCAGAAAGGCCCATCAGGACTACCTGTTAATGCTTCACGTTTAACACCTAGTCTGGGACGAGGGGAAACGATGGCTGGGTCCTGTCAGCCTGCAGGTGACCTCCTGCCTCTCCACCCACAGCCCAAGCTGACCCCAACCCTATGCCCTCCACCTGGGACCACCCGGCAATGGTCTCCAATTAGACGCCAGCAGGGCATTTTCATTACAACACTTAGCCAGAGATATTCTATCCACCTGGCAACAGAGAGGCAGGCTCCCAGGCCAGTGAGTTTTTTTGGGGACCTACAAAAATATGCTTGACCTGAAGAAAACAATTGATGGCAAATAACCAAGAAAAGAAAATCACAAAATTGAAGAATATTTAATTAAGTGGGTTCATTAGTGATATGATTTGGCTGTGTCCCCACCCAAACCTCATCTTGAATTATATTCTCATAATTCCCACGTGTTGTGGGAAGGACTTAGTGGGAGATAATTGAATCATGGGGGCAATTCCCCCAAACTGTTCTCGTGGTAATGAATAAGTCTCACGCAATCTGATGGTGTTTTTTTGTTTTTTGTTTGTTTGTTTTTTGCGATGGAGTTTCACTCTTGTTACCCAGGCTGGAGTGCAATGGCGCGATCTCAGCTCACCGCAACCTCCACCTTCCAGGTTCAAGTGATTCTCCTGCCTCAGCCTCCTGAGTAGGTGGGATTACAGGCACGTGCCACCACGCCAGGCTAATTTTGTATTTTTAGTAGAGACAGGGTTTCTCCATGTTGGTCAGGTTGGTCTCGAACTCCTGACCTCAGGTGATCCGCCTGCCTCGGCCTCCCAAAGTGCTGGGATTACAGGCAGGAGCCACCATACCTGGCCGATCTGATGGTTTTATAAGGGGTTTCCCCTTTCACTTGGTTCTCCTTCTCTCTTGCCTGCTGCCAAGTAAGACGTGCCTTTTGCCTTCCACCATGATTGTGAAGCTTCCCCAGCCATGTGGAATTGTGAGTCCATTAAACCTCTTTCCTTTATTAATTACCCAGTCTCAAGTATGTCTTTATTAGAAGTGTGAGAACAGACTAATACAATTAGCTTTATTATTTTAGAATTTATAAATGTTATCACACTTGTAAACATGCCGTGAGTTAAGTTAGCTTCCCACCTGTTAAGTTAGCTAAGCCCTGACTCTGACATGGGACTTAGCCTGAGGCATTAAGATGCTCTTACAGGGACGGTGTCCATCTGGAAGCCCTGTCAGTCCATTCTGCTGTCGGCAGCACAGTGACGGGTCACCCATGCTCAGTCACCTAGGCTGGAGTGCAGGCCTCAGGGGTACCGTCCTGAGCTCCTTCACTCAAGGCTCTCTCAGACAAGGAGGTCAGGAGGACTCAAAGGATGATATTCAGGACTCCTGGGGTTTTCATTTTGTTTTGTTTTTTGGAAGATTTTGTGCCGGGCACAGTGGCTCATGCCTGTAATTTCAGCACTTTGGGAGGCTGAAGCAGCAGGATTGCTTGAGGCCAGGAGTTCAAGACCAGTCTGGTCTGAGTAACAAAGCAAGACCCCCATCTCTACAAAAAAACAAAACAATCAGCCGGGTGTAGTGGCACAATCCCAGCCATGTGGGAGACTGAAGTGGGAGGATTCCTTGAGCCCAGGAGATGGAGGCTACAGTGAGCCATGATCACACCACTGCACTCTGACCTGGGCAACAAAGTTAGACTGTGTTTCTAAGAAAAAAAAGATTTTTTTAAAATTTCTTGTTTTATATTTTTGATGGGGAAGGGGTAGTGAGGGGATAAGGATCTAGAAAAGAGTGAAAATTCTGATATATGATGGGAAAACATTGCTTTGGGTTCAAGAGAAGATGCCTTTGGACAGAGCATTCTCCCTTTGTTTAAAGTAAGGTGTTCTCCGGACCCAGCCCCTGAGAAGTCACGAAATCGTCAGTCTAGGAGGCTGCTGTCTTACCATCAGGAAGGAAATCAGCATCCTGCATGCCTGTCATTTTTCCTGGAACTCATATTTTTTCCTGAAGGACAACAAAGTCTGGCTGATAAAACGTCTTGGGAGGTATTTGACGTCCAGAATCCTTAGCATTTGTTGACTTATAGGGAAAAGTGCAATTTTGTTTCTAAGTAAATACATATTATTTCTTTCAAAAGGCCAACTGGATGTGTTTTGTGTCCTGTGGCTTGTTTCCTATGAAGGAAGGTTTGAAATCAAGCCCCTGGGAGATGTGTGAGGTGCACATATGCAGTCGTGGTTTTGACTGAACCAGCACCCTAGGCTTTTCACTAACTGGGGTGCACCTTCCTGGACCCCTGAGCCCTGCACAAACTCCAGCACTTGCTAATCCTTAAGAATTCTGAATTCAGATGGAAGTTCATTTGGACCTTATTGTTATTGGACTTCCCCTTATTCGCCCTTCCATGGGCCTGCGCTTGTGGTTCTGATGGGCCGAGGCCAAGACAGCCCCTGGTTCTACCCCCAGAGTCTGCCCCTCCTGCTCTCTCAGGATCTTGTCCCTGCAGAGCAAGGCCTGTGGGAATCCAGCTGGGCCAGGGACCTGGGATGTCTAATTCTAGGGGCACTGTTAGTGAGCCCCCTGGGCCATGGATCTAGGGCTAGGTTTTCTAGGCCCTAGATCCTTTGGCCCTATAGCTTTGACAACAATAAGATGAGATTTTGATGGGTTTCTGGGCTCAGTTCCCATCAAGCTCCCATTGGGTTCTGATCTCACATAAGACTATATAGCCACAGTCTTCTATGGGCCAGGAACTCCTAAAAGGACAAACCTGGCATCTCGGGAGAAAGTCCCTACATGGAGACGGAGGCTTTAGTTGGGGCCTTCATGCTGTGCAGCCCAGGTCCTGCACACAGAGCGAGTGTGACTGCAGAACTGAGAGACGCAACACCGCTGGCTCCGCAGACGGAGGAAGGAGCCGCAAGCCAAGGAATAAAGGCATCGCCTAGGAGCTGGAGGAGGCAAGGAAGACTCTTCCCTATGGCCTCCAGAGAGGAACACAGCCCTGCCAGCACCTGGACTGTAGCCCAGTGTGACTTCCAACCTGCAGAACTGTGAAATCATCAATTCCTGTTGTTTAAGGCATTGAGCTTATGGAAATGTGTTACAGCGGCAAGAGGACACGAATCCTTGCTAAGTCTGTGGACTCTGAAAGTGTAACTCGTGAGCCAATAACTTATTTTTATTTTGATACGAGTCTCGCTTTGCCCCAAGGGCGCGTGGGGGTGGGGGAGGGGGAAGGAGGGGTGGGAGGAGGCACCCACGTGGTACCTTATTCCAACAGTCATGGGACATCCACTCTTCCAGCAGACCTGCTTTTGCCCTGCCCAGCTCCTGGGGGTGCTTACAGATTCTACACCGTCATGGGACTACCTGCTTCTGTAGCCATCGTAAACCCTTCTGAAGCTCTGGGTCCCTGGGGGCTTCTGTCTTCTTGTCACCAGGGCTGTGAACATGGACATGGTTCCCCTCTCCATCCCCACACCTGCCGTCAGCATTTCTCTTAGACCTCACTGGCTCTAAAACCAGTCTCAAGAGCTCTCTGCAGGCACCCAGGGGAGAGGGGAATGGTCTACACGTCTCACCAAAAAGGGGTCCCCTTGGAGTCTCCACTCCTCTTGATCTCCCCAGTCCCTTGGTCATCTTACTCACCCGAGGTAGAAAAGCACAAGGAAAGTCAAAGGGCTGGGCTCCAACCCCCCACTTCCCGCTTAGAGCCTCAGAGAGCCTCCGCCAAGTCATCTAGCCTCTCTGAGCACAGCCTCCTCATCTGCCACTGGCCAGAGCTACCTACTCACAATGCAGTTGTGAGGCTTACTGGGTACTGCGTGCCACACCTTGAGCACAGCACCTGGTGTTAAATGCCAGTCAATGGTTCTTCATAAGCTTAGTGATGAACAGGGGTCTCTGCGGGTGAATATCACCCTGCCCCAGGGCTTCTCCTAGATCCATGGTGGATGTTTGTCATACACTTGGGTACTTACCAGTCTGTTCTGTGTCCGTATTCCTTGTCCCAAAATTGTTTGGTCTCACTTGCTTTCTACACCCCCTTTTTTTTAAAAAAAATCTGGCAGTCCCCCGAACCAGAATGGGTTGAGTGACTCCCTGCTTTCTACACCTCTAGAAAGTTCTAGCGGTGCAATTTTCTCACTACCAAAAACGGAAACAAGTTCAGCTGCCTGGAGAAGCTGCCAGACGGGCTGTAGACCACGTTCCCTTTAAACCACGGCCTGCGTTGTGACAAGAGTCTGTGGGCAGCCAGAGGGAGAGGAAGATCCAGGGGCTCTTTCTTTCTTTAATGGAAGTGACCCAACTGTGTTTAGAAGCTGAAGGGAAGGAATGGCTAAAGAAAAACAAATTGAAAGTACAGGAGAGGCCGTGGTGGGATGGGCGGGAGACAGAGGAAACAGCAGGCACCTGCCACTCTGAGGTTTCCTGGGAGCCTGAACAGGAACAGGTCAGGGAGCTGTAGCTGCGGCGTAGCCTCAGAGCAGAGAGCTGAGACCCAGCGGCAGCTCCAGGAGCGGGAAGGAGCCTGGAATAGGAAGACAATGAGAGCCCGGGCGTGGGTCTCGGATCCTCCACAGGAAATGCAGGCAGGAGTCATTTCCTGCAGCAAAGAGTGTAATGAGCTGCCGAGTCCTGGTCAACTGGAGCCCTTTCCCACAGCCACCAGGCTTCCCTGATCTCTCACGTATTTACATTGTGGAGCCTCAGTTTAGATAGCTGAGTAGGTAAAACTTTAAGACAGGGTCTTGCTCTGTTGCCCAGGCTGGAGAGCAGAGGCACGATCTTGGCTCACTGCAATCTCTGCCTCGCGGGTTCAAGTGATTCTCCTGCCTCAGACTCCCGTGTAGCTGAGATTACAGGTGCGCACCACCACGCCTGGCTAATTTTTGTATTTTTTGTAGAGACAGGGTTTCAGCATGTTGCCCAGGCTGGTCTCAAACTCCTGACCTCAAGTGATCTGCCCACCTCAGCCTCCCAAGGTGCTGGGATTAAAGGTGTGAGTCACTGCACCTGGCTGAGTGGGTAAAACTTTAATATAGAAGTATAGTATTACATGAAAATAGTATAGAAGTATAGTATTACATGAAAATAGTATAGAAGTATAGTATTACATGAAAATAGTATAGAAGTATAGCATTACATGAAAATGGTATTATGGCTTTTTTGTATGAAAGGCCCAAATACAAAAGCATTTTAAAAGCTGTTCCTATTACCATAACCATGTTTTCACACTCTACTTAATAACAGACTTCTCATGCACATGCATTACAGATTGCATCCGTAGGTGGTCCATGTGTGGAAAAGACCACATACCCAGTCTTCAGAGATGGTTCTCTTGGGGCCACAGATTCAGTCTTCCTAGTTGGAAAACTCTGCATGTCCTTTCTAATTTGCATAGACCACAGGACACCTTTCTCGCATTTTAGTCCACACTTATATTGAAGTTGGGCAGGAAGACAGAATTCTAGTCCTAAAAATGAAATGCATAGTACAAGTATCTCACTTCCCTTGAACAGCCACGAGAGCATTGCTGACAGCAGGTTTTGCCCTCTTGTGGAGTTCTGCCCCTCCCCTGCCCCTTGCTTCTCCCCAGCCCTTTTCATCAGCACACGACAAGCGTCTTGGGCAGCACAGCCCTGCATAGAGCTCTGTGTCAAGGGCTATTGTGGCCTGGGGTCTCTTCCAGCATGGATTGGAGCTGTTTGTGCTTCGGAGCAAACTCTCTCCCCACTGACCCCAGTGTCCAAAGGAAATGAGGACTGCTGTTATCCTTAGTCACACTCCACTCTTCAGGAACCGCCCCCCCCCCCCGCCACAACATAAGAGTGCAAGACACTGACCACACTACACATTTTGATTACAAGTAGGCTTGTCAATAATCAACATTTACGTAGAAACAATTAACAAAATACACCAGTGTGAAATTTCTTTTTCAGATGCCCTACAAAAACAAGTATTTTAAATAGTCAACCAAATGGCAAAGTCCACCCGCTGTGCTAAGGGCCTACTGAGTCCCTCTTATTTCTAGCAACTCAGCTGGTCTGTCAATGTCCCCAGGAGCACGGAGGCAGAGAACATTCTGTAATGTCAACACAGGGACATGGCAACAATAAAAAAAGAAAAGTTTGGCTTCACAAGGATTAAAGCAACACAAATAACTATAAAGTTTCATTAACTATTCCCGATAAATTGACAAAATCAAGCTCACAGTGGTAGACAGCTGATTCTCAGTGGAAAAGGACAAAGGATCCGTCAGACATGTCTGGTGATACTGTAAATCAGCATAACCTTTGATGGGACACAGTCACGCAAAATGTGACAACCATAAAATTCTGACCAGCAATTCCACTTTTGAAAACAGCCCCAAAGAGACAGGACAAAGGTAAGAAAAGATAAATGTTTATCGCATTGCACTCTATACTAGGAGGACCTTTAAACGAATCCTATCAACCAAGGGATGCCTTAGCAAACCACACCATGCAGGCCCGCCATGGGGTTTTTCATGGATGTTCAAAATGCTTTGCTCATGCATGAATTTTTATATATGGGAGAACATAATGTATTCAGTATGATTTGCAATTAGCTGAAAAATGTGTACAGGTGCACACAGATCATGTTAGGAGTTAATTAAGCATGACAAATAATTGCTATTTAAAACTCTTGGGATTACTGCTGTAAAGTTGAATTTAAAACAAATTTTAAATTAGAAAAAAGAGGGGACACCTAGAGGGGAGTCTCACCCATGTGAACACTGTGTGTGGATCTAGAAGGCAGAGGGTAGTTCAGGCCACGACTTCTCAGCCTCAGCACTGCTGACATTTTCTGCCAGATAATTCTTTGTTGTGAGGGCTGTTCTGCGCATTATAAGATAATTTCCAGCATTGCCGGCCTCTACCCACTAGATGCCAGTAGCACCTTCCCAGTCGTGACAATCAAAAATATCTCCAGGCATCACCAAATGTCTGAGGTTTGGAGGCTGGGGGTCAAAATCACTCCTGTTGAAAGACCACTGGTGTAAGCCACCAACTCTCGACCTTAGCTATGGGAAGGGGACAGGAATTTAGGAGGGCTGGTGGGGAACCAGTAAGTGTGTGTGCACCCTTCAAAGAGGGCAGTCCTTATTTGGTCAGAAATTCAGAATGACATATCCTGATTTCTTTTTAATTTGCAGCTAATTCAAAGTTGAAACATAGTGGCAGTCTGAGTTTCATGTCTGTGGGTTATGGTAGGCGTCCACAAATTTTTTCTGCAAAGGGTCAGAGAGTAAACGTTTTCTGCTTTGTGGGAAAAACTCTGTGTTGAAACTACTCAACTCTGCCTTTGTAGGGGCAAGCCGCCATAGGGAATAGGTCAACGATGGGCATGGCTGTGTTCCAATTACACTTTGTCAACACTACGTGAATTTCTTGGACTTTTCTTGTCACAAAATGTTATTCTTTTTGTTTTCAACCATTAAATAGGTCATTATAGCTTTTAGTTCATGAACCTACAAAAACAGGGCCTGGATTTGGCCCGTGGGCCACTGCCCTGGGTGGCAGGGTGCCTGCTGCAGCAGGAGTAACTAGGGGCGTGCTGGAAATGGGGACAGAATCAGACTGGGGTGGACAGGCCAGCACAGGCTTTCCTCGCACACAGAGCATCAGCAGAGCAGCCGGAGGCATCCATACTGTGGGCCTCTCCTTTTTCATCTCTCCCCATCTCCTGCCTCCTCCAGACCCTTGCGTGGTGTTTTCACACCGCTGCCTCCCAAGACACCAGAAGGAACTTGTGGTCTTTTTATTTAAGCCACAGACTGGTTTCTCTGTCATTCTTTAAAAATTTTCTGCTCTTACTGTTAAAGAAAGGCCACTAACCTAGCTGTCTGCATGGATCCCAGGGTCTCAGAAAACTGGTTTATCCATTTTTAATAACCTTGCTAAAACACAAGTCTTCCTGTTTGTGTCCTCACAATGTCTCTGACAGTAAACAGGGAAAACACAGATGGCCTTCTCCAGCCACAGAGGCAGTCCCTGGTGCCCAGAGCGGGGACAGTTGGTGACTCGATCCAGGAGAGGAAGTCACCTGCGCCCTGAACTCTGAGGCTCACATCCTGTGAACCTGCTCAGGAGAGCTAAGGTGTGGCCCACCAGTGCCTTTTGGGGACTCATAGAAACAGCTCCTCTCACCTAGAAAGAAACAGAGCCACCATCTTCCCACCCCTCAAAGGTAATAAAACCATGGAAAATGATCAAAGGAGGCTGATGGAAGGGGAGAAAGGAATGAAAAGAAACAAGAAAACAATAGCAAGTGTTAAAAGATGAGAAGCTCTGGCAGTGGGGGAAAACAAAGCACAAGATAGGGGCAAGAGGAGAGAAAGGAAAGAAGAAATGAAACAGGAAGGGCTGGGTGGGGATTTGCAAATTGTCCAGCAAAAGACGCTTCCAGCTTTGATGATGAAGGAGCAGGGGCCAGAGGGCAACATCCTTATCTCTGGAATCCACTCACAGGAGCCATTGGGGATCCATTTTCTCTCCCATCAAATTCTTAGATTTTAGGTTCAGAAGCTTCATCTACATCCAGGTGTGAGACAGACAAGTTTGGGAGAACTTGTTCCAGGCTCTCCTCTCACCCACCTCCCACAGAATTTGAGAAAATTCCCCCAACTACAGGTGGGCAGGAGGGTTGAAAGAACAGCTGTGGGGGTACCCGTGCCCTCCCCCATCCTCGGGCCAAGACAGGAGGCAAGGCTAGAATCTCCCCATATGTTCATGAATCTGAAGGTGGGGTTGCCAAAGGCCCCATCTGGAACTCTGGGGACAGTGGGCTCACAGAAGAGCCCACACCATAGAAGGGGTGGAGAACAGGGAGAGCAGGGAGAGCAGACATCAGGGGCGGCATGAGAATTGGACGCATCTCTTTTGTTTGGTCCCTTCCTACACCTGGACTTGAGTGCAGGACAACGGGACAGGGGCATTGCCCTAGAGTCTTATTCCCCAGTGCCCTGCCTCGGGCCTCCCTCATTCCTTGGTGTACCAGAAGTCACTGTTCCGTAAACCAGGAGTACTGAGTCCTGGGTGGGTGGTGGGGGGGTGGCTGCAGCCGCTGGAGATGTTAGGAGGACAGAGCTTTGAGAGAGCAGCCACACCTTCCTGTGCCCACAGTAACGAGGCAGCAATTGGCTAAGGTAAGTGGTAGGTGACCCAACAGGGACAGGAGGGACCATAGTAAACACACGAGGCCAGAGACAAAAACACGGCCGGACAAATACATGACCCAGAGGATGCCACTGAGTGACCAACTCTGCCCCATGCACGCTGCGCCATTGAACATCCTCGGCACTCAGAGCCAGTCCCAGGCAGGACAGGGGAGGGCAAAACCCCAAATGTGACTGAGTCACAAACCTACGGCAACTCAGAAATCATCATACTGGGCTGAGGTTACTTTGAAGTGTCAGGTCTCAGGCTGGCAATTAATTTTAGTTTTAGGAAAGTAAAGTGATGTTTTGCACACCTGAGTGGGTGGCTTGCGAAGTTCATGCCTGCAATCCTAGTACTGATTCCTCAAACTCTCCTAGAAAAAATACCATCAGCCTTCCTGGCTGGCAAGTGCTGGGTTCACTGCACCTTGGGCCACTCACTCATTGCCTCGCCTGCCCTGATCTCACCAGCCTCCTAGTGGCCTCCCACAAAGGTCAAGGGAGTCACAGCTGACTCTGTCACTATAGTTACAGGAGGAGCCCAGTACTATCTCAGTGCTGAAGCCAGCAATCCACACTTTCGTGAAAGGCTCCACTAACTGTCACAAGCTCTGTGCTCAGCTAGAGAAAAGGAGCAGAAGTCCTCCTGTTGGGGCTGCAAATTTGCTAGGCATTGCATGTTCCCAGGCCCTGCCCTGCTGCTTCCGGGAAGAGGCCTTTTAAGTAAGCATTCCTGGGCTCTGAACCAGTGTGAGGGGCCAGCGTCCCTATATGACAACCACTGCAATGTCAGGTGCCTTTCTGCTCCCAGGCTGGGTGCTGAATAGAAGGGCAGCAGCAGCTGGGAAGTGGCCCCCTGGAGACTGGACAGAGCTGCGCCCGGCAGCATACATTCCCCAGGGCCCTCCCCATTCCTTGATTTTTTAGTAGTCAATGCAGTCTAAATTGGGGGTGAGGATTCTCAGGTGCGGTGTTGCTACAGGCACTTGAGATCTAAGAGGATGTGAGGAGCCTCAGACAACCCCTTAGGAAGGTCCACTCCACCTCCAGCCCCAACTATGGGGAGAGAGGAAGGCTTCAGGGCTACCTTGTAGGGGAAGACCAGAGCCCAGGCTCCCACCAGACCACCCAAGAGCCAACAAAACAACTGTCCTCTGGCAGCAGGGAAAGGCCTTCTGGAACTCTGAGGCTCAGCCCCAGCAAAGGCTGGGACCATGACCCAATTCCTGGGAGGCCAGATATGTCCACCCTGGGGGTCCTTTGGGCTCAGAACCTGGGCCCTTCCTTCAAAGTCAATCTGTCAGGAGGCCTCGGTGAGAGCTTGGTATCTGAACAAACGAAAAGAGACTGCTGTTCCTTTACAAAACTCGGGCTTATCACCATCCCTTCTTCCCAGTACAAGGTCGCATCTTTGCCGACCAAGTTCAACTGGCAGCTCAAGGGGCAGGGGAAACTTTAACCTAGGCAGGATGTGGCAGGGCCAAGCAAGCGCTGCGTGCCGAGTCTTGACATCTTCTCTGGCAAGGGCCATCCACACTGAGGCCCCGAGGGTCTCATGCTATGGTCGCATTTAGACTTCTCCCTTGGTGTGCTCTGGAAGTTTTTCAGACACAAGAAATTCCCTGGCTGTCACTGAATTTTTCAAATATGGATTTGGGGCTCCTTCCTCACACAGATGATCTGGTACTAAACTTTGACCAGAAAAGAGAAGCTGCTCTTTGGCTTCTGGGCGGGTCCCCTCTGGCATCCTCGAACGTAGGTATTGGGATTTTCTGGGCGGAATCTCAGGTGAAACTGGGAGCTCCTCAAAACTTTTCCCCAGGGGACAATCAGGCCTGAAGGGGCAGGTCACATACCCATTCTTTTCCCCTCCTAAATTGTTTTCCTGACCCGTTCTGGCTTCATCTGTGAAAATTTCTTGCAGAACATTCCCAAAGTTCACCACCAACTTGTCAATCACCAACTTGTCACTGGGGGTGGAACATGGTTTTAAGATCCTGTCTTCTGTGTTCACAGAGTCATCAGACTCCTTCAGGTTTAGCTTATCCTGGAAAAGAAAAAGGGACATCCCAAGTGGTCATTTAGGAGTCACATATGACATAGCCAAAAACTCGTTAGGCTTGGGACAGCAAATGCCCATCTCTGGAACAGCCCCCACCTTCCTCCCAGGCCCAGAAGTGGTAGCCAACCCTCTCTGCATGCCCTTCCACAGAGCTTGGAAGGAGTGGCACATTTCCTGAGAAACAGTGCCCTGGATTCAAACAATTTTTAAAATTTATTTATTTATATGTATATAATTTTTTTTTTTTTGAGACAGGGTCTCACTCCCGTTGCCCAGGCTGGAGTACAGTAGCATGATCACCACTCACTGCAGCCTCAACTTCTCAGCCTCAGGTAATTCTTCCCCCTCAGCTTCCTGAGTAGCAGGGGCTACAGATGCACACCACCATACCTGGCTACTTTTTAATTTTTTGTAGAGATGGGGTTTTGTCATGTTACCCAGGCTGGTCTTAAACTCCTGAGCTCAAGCAATCCCCCCTGCCTTGGCCTCCCAAAATGCTGGGATTATAGGCATGAGCCGCTGTACCCAGCCAATTCAAACAATTTCTTCTGCTAGAGTGTGCAAGGCTATTTTCCACACAATCCCATGTTCACAAAACCCCAGTTAAGATGGAAGAACTAAAATTAGAACTCTTAGGGATGGAAAAACCACATCATAGAGACAGACTTGTTCAACCTCACCAGAAAATCAGAAGTGGCCTCATGGCAGGGACAGTGACTTTGTCATTTGTATCCCTAGGGCCTAGCCCAGCACCTGGCATGTAGTGAGTGATTAATAAGTGCCGGCTCTAGAGGTCCAACCTACGGATTATTCAAAAAGCATGTTAGTTATCAGAGAGCACTGCCTATGAATCCATTTACTCTCTAAATGACATTTAATAAGCAGGAAAGTAAATGGGGGTATAAATCAGTCCAGTATACCGGACTGATAAGAGGAGGAAACAGAAAGAAAGCCCATTATAACAAAAGGCCCATGCTCAAAAAAGACTTCTGAGTGGGAACGAGGACTAATATTTAAAATTTGTGCATCAAGGAAAAACTGGAAACAGCCTTTCAGTAACAAGGATTTAAAGGTTATATTTGATTGGGCTTGTTTCTACGTAAGCAAGAAATTAAACCTTAAAATTTCCCTAACGGTTTTCCACTTAAAAATTTATGCAAATGGAGGGTTTCTAGTTAAGGAATACTCACTAGAAAACCCCAATGCCAGTTAAATAAAGCCTGACTCTGACGTCCCCAGCCTGAGAAAAACAACCTGAGGCAGCCTCAGACTGCCATGCCCATCAACATTCCCTGGTGATATTTAGACAGTCTTTAGATTAATGTGCTCTTGGCTGCTTTGTAAATGGCTTCAAATCCTATAGCCAAGGCTCCTCTCTCTCTAATTAGCCCATCAGGTCAGGAAGGGTAGGGCCAGTGTCTTTATTCTGCAGCATCCTTTATGGGACCAGTTCCACCTGGGAACGCACTGGGTCCTCATGAGCCTGGTGAAGCCCTTTCCCCTTGTCAAAGCATGAAGTCAAAGTCATTCCAGGAAGGCTGAGTCCATCTGCCCTGCCTGCCATTCCCTGAGACTTTTCAACTCCAGTTCTCTTGATGTGAACCTTGAAAAAAGCTCAGCCTAGGACTCTTTCCCCATCTCCATTCACCTCGTCTACCTCCCACGGCAATGATTTCCTTAATAAAAACAGGAGAGTTTACCTTGAAATCATCTCCATGCCATGTGGCTATACTACTTTCAGCAGGGTTGGGAACGGTGGGCCAACACAGATGAGTCAATTTGCTAATGAGAGAGAAGATTTTAAGATGGGAATTGAATCCAAGAAGCATTAGCACCATATGGCTGAGTCAAAAGAGTGAGGCTGTGCTAAAGGGAATTGTAAGTTTCCCTCCTAAATAAGGGCATGTCTGCCTAATAGAACCTGGGAAAGTGGAGTTGTTTTGCGGTGTGTGTTGGGGGGTGACATTGCAAGTTCTCTGTGGGATGTGATCAAAGGAGACTCTCCCCATACAAAGCCTATCTTCCCCTCTCTCCCATCCCAGCATCTCCATACCTGGTCCCAATGCTGTAAATTGCACCATCACAGAGTCATTCCTTTGAGGCTTATCCTCTGGGAAAGACAACATTTTATAAACCTTATAAGCTACCCATACTTTCCTGCAATGGTTCTCCAAGTGTGGTCCCAACCAGCAGCATTGGGATCACCTGGGAACTTGTTAGAAATGAACATTTTGGGGCTTTACCCTAGAACCACTGAATCAGAAACTTTGGGGGTGAGGCCTGATTCTGATGCATGCTAAGATCAAAATGATTACTTAAGTGCATAATGTACAAGAATCTATGCTGGTGGCTTGGTTATTACCTACAGTTGGTAACGGAGGTTGATATTAGCTTGACCATTAACTAAGTGCAGCTGCTTGACAGAGATGACTCACAACTGTCTAATTTGGAGAGACAGCTCAACCAGGGGAGGACCATTAGGGTGCCATAAGGCTCACTGCAGAGAGAAAGTCTAAGACCCTGAAGACATGCTTTCTTCCCCACAGTGGCCAGGGCAAGCAGGTTAAAGGCCCCTGCAGCCAGACCCTCAACACTGCACCACAAGCAAGCAATAAGCTTGCACCCACAGACGACTGGCCAGCACTCCAACACCGTGGAGACACTGCTCCCCGCTCTGCCTGAGACAGAGCTCGCAAGAAGGCCTCTTGCTGCAGCCAGGGGCCCTGCTAGACACTGAGAGAAAGGGTCTGCTCTCCAACTCCAGTCTCAGATGGCAAATGGAGCAGACAGAGCCTGTGGGGCAGCTGGCACTCTCCTGGCCTCAAAAAGGCCTAGACCTGGGCATGGAGCTCTGGGAAACGAAAGTGCTCTTGCTTGGTCAGAATTCCGGTGAGCCACTGAGCGTGGCCTTTAATAACCTCAATAAATACGCACCAAGTTAATAAATGAATGAACACCCCTTAATGGTAGAGTGCCCTCTCCTACGAAGCACCTATGATGACTTCAACCCCTTTTTGTCCCTGATTTTTAAGGCACCCACTGTTGTCTGCAGACTCACTTGGGTTTTTTGAGACCATATGCCACTGTCAGGATAATGAGAATAAGAAGGCCTCCACCAATCAGAGAAGTTATGAGGATAATCTCAAAGACACCTTTGAAAAACAAAGAACAAAAGTCAGTAGTGAGTTCCTCACCTTCTTGACAAAAATCAATGATTAACTTTTTCTTCTAGTAGCTTCAGCAACACAATGTCTTATTAGTTTTCTTTCAGTTAAATTCAATTTCTTTCCACTAAAAAAACCCCAGGTCAGGAGTTTGAGACCTGCCTGGCCAACATAGTGAAACCCCGTCTCTACTAAAGATACAAAAAATTAGCCGGGTGTGATAGTGTGCACCTATAATCCCAGCTACTCAGGAGGCTGAGGCAGAAGAATCGCTTGAACCTGGGAGGCGGAGGTTGCAGTGAGCGCTGATCATGCTGTTGCACTCCAGCCTAGGCGACAGGGCTAAACTTCATCTCAAAAACAAAAACAAAAACAAAAACAAAAAACAGAATTTTGTGCCTCCCCATCTAGGTGTCTTCCTGGCAGCATTCATTCCAACAGCATTCATTCAGTGAATACTTATTGAGCACTTACTTTTTAATTTTTATAAATTTTTTTTGAGATGGGTCTTGCTCTGTCGCCCAGGCTGGAGTGCACTGGCATGATCATAGCTCACTGTAGCCTCGAACTCCTGGGCTCAAGCAACCTCCTGCCTCAGCCTCCCAAGTACCTAGGACTTACAGGTGCAAGCCATCATGCCCAGCTAATTTTTAGACTTTTTTTCTTTTTGAGATGGAGTCTCGCTCTGTTGCCCAGGCTGGAGTGCAGTGGTGCATCTTGGCTCACTGCAACCTCCGCCTCCTGGGTTCAAGTGATTCTCCTGCCCCAGCCACCCTGGTAGCTGGGATTACAGGCACGTGCCACCAAGCCCGGCTAATTTTTGTATTTTAGGCAGAGACTGGGTTTCACCATGTTGGCCAGGCTGGTCTTGAACTCCTGGCCTTGAGTGATCCTCCTGCCTTGGCCTCCCAAAGTGCTGGAGTTACAGGCATGAGCCACTGCGTCCAGACAGCAACTTTAGCTAAGGTGTCCAAGGAAGGAGTGAAATTCAAGCTGATCTTAATAGTGAGAAGGATCCAGCCATGCAAAACCATGGAGAAAAGCATTCCAGGCAGAAGAAACAGTGGATGCAAAAGCTTTGAAGCAGCAACAAGGTAAGGAAGATAAATAGAGGCAGAAAGCAGTAGGAAAAATGTGGTCAGTAAGGGACAGATGATGAAAGACCTTGAAAGTTATAGGAAGGAGTTTGGATTTTCTTTAAAATATAATAAAAGTCACTGTGGCTTTTAAGCAGAGAATTCAGGGTTTGAAACTCTGGCTGCTGTGTGGAAAATGGATTATAGAGGATCAAAAATGGAAGCAGGGTGATTTATAATCTATAGACCAGGGTAGGAAACTTCTAGGTTCCAGGGCTGGATCTTGCCTTCATTTAACCCTTGGAGAAAACTCCTTGAGCTGATGAAATTTGTGCCCAGTGTTGCAAAAATTCAATACAGCTTTAAAAAAATTTAAACAGCATATCAAAAAGAGTTCCTAGAGGGCAATGTTAGTCCATCAAAACAGAATATGTTTTCTCTGTAAAAAAAACATGTCATACTCACATTTTCCAGAGTGATAAAGCATTTTATTCTTGAAAAATGTGATGCATAAGAGGCTTTCAAGAATATTTCAAGCAATTTTTAGCTTGCCTCAGTTATTGCAAAAACTTGGCAGTGTTCCTTCATTTTTAATCTAAAAAGCGTTGTTCATTCTTTAAGACAGTTTTAGTACGTACTTAAAAATCAAATCTCTGTCACTCAAGGACTTAGCAAAATTAATATATATCTGTTTCTCCCATTCTCCTTCCTTCTTTCTGCTTCATCCCCCTCCTCATTCCATCTGCCTGCCTCTAAATATCTCCCTTAACCAGCCATCATATGAAGCTACATTTTATTTTACATTATTTGTTGTCTCTAGTAAATTTTTCTTGCTATTTTTTAATGTAAAAGTGGGTAAGTTAAATATATCATATGTCTTTTTGCTCAAAAAAAACCTCCACAAATGATGAGGTTAAGCCCCTTCCTATGGGTCAGTAGTCCTGAGTTAACCAAGGTTTTCCCTTGAAGGCCCTGTTGTACAGTGATATGGTTTGGCTGTGTCCCCACCCAAATCACATCTTGAATTGTAGCTCCCATAATTCCTACATGTTGTGGGAGGGACCCAGGGGGAGATAATTGAATCATGGGGGCAATTTCCCCCATACTGTTCTCATAGTAGTGAATAAATCTCATGAGATCTGATGGTTTTATAGGGGGAAATCACTTTCACTTGGTCCTCATTCTCTCTTGACTGCCACCATGTAAGATGTGCATTTCACCTTCCACCATGACTGTGAGGCTTCCCCAGCCACGTGGAACTGTGAGTCCATTAAACCTCTTTTTCTTTATAAATTACCCAGTCCCGGGTATGTCTTTATCAGCAGCGTGAAAACAGACTAATACATACCGTAACCTATAACATGCAGAAACTGGTGACTATGAACGGGGAGACAGCCTTGAGATGGGAGCTGGTTTGGTGCTAAGACTGAAGTTGGCATTAATTTGACACCTCCTCCTCCAGATGATTTGTGGCTGCCCATGAGGAACGACCAAAATGACCAGCATTTCCAAATTCGGCTCTCAACTTGCCTGCTCTTCCCTCCCATCTCCTCACCTATATGCTTTCCAGGAAGGTTGGTGAACAGAGAGCAGGATGGCAGGGCACTAGGCACTGCCCTTTCATTTGGCTTCCTCCAGCTTTTGGCAGATGTCATTTCTCTCTGATGTAAGGTAAACGTGAGGGAGAGGTACCTAAGGCTTGAAGGAAATACTCACTGAATGACAATGTCTTGAAATTTATGCTGGTCCCGTTGGTTCCCCCAGCACTGGTGCTGGCCATGACCTGAACAATGTAAGAGGTCTTTCGTTTCAGGGACTCCAGGCCGTACTGCAAGATGCTGGAATTGACTGTCTTGGCTAAAGGAAAAATACAAAGGTCAAACACCACAGCCAAACCAGACTGAAAATTGTGTCCCAGTAGCACCAAAATAAGAGCATTGGAACCTGTGCTTCCAAGCTCAGCTGTCTCATATTCTGACCCCTATTCATGTCCTGCTTAAATATCAAGATGGATTAAGGACCTCAATATAAGAACTAGAACTATAAAAATTCTTAGAAGACAGCATAGGATAAATCTTCACAACCTTGAATTTCACAATGGTTTCTTTGATATGACACTAAAAACACAAACATCAAAAGAAAAAAATAGATCAAGCTGGACTTCACTAAAATTCAAAGTTTTTGTGCATCAAAAGATAATATCAAGAATGAAAAGATAATCCAAAGAATGGGAGAAAATATTTACAAATCATATATCTGATAAATAACTTATATCCAGAATATATAAAGAACTCTTATAAATTCAATAACGAAAAGATAACCCAATTTAAACATAAGAAAAAAGATGAAAAATACACTTCTCCAAAGAAGATATACAAACGGGCTGGCCGGGCGCAGTGGCTCATGCCTGTCATCCCAGCACTTTGGGAAGCTGGGGCAGGCAGATCACCCGAGGTCGGGAGTTCGAGACCAGCCTGACCAACATGGAGAAACTCCATCTCTACTAAAAATACAAAATTAGCTGGACGTGGTGGTGCACACCTGCAATCCCAGCTACTTGGGAGGCTGAGGCAGGAGAATCGCTTGAACCTGGGAGGTGGAGGTTGCAGCGAGCCAAGATCGTGCCATTGCACTCCAGTCTGGGCAACAACAGCAAAACTCCGTCTCAAAAAAAAAAAAAAGATATACAAATGGGCAAAAACTACATGAAAAGATGCCCAACATTATTAGTCAGTAGGGAAATGCAAGTCAATGAGATAACCACTACATACCTACCAGGACAGCCATAATAATTTTTTTTAATGAAAAATAACACGTATTGACAAGGATGCAGGGAAATGAAAACTCTCATACATTGCTAGTAAAAAATGTATAGTGTGGAGTAGTCACTGTGGAAAACTGTTTGGTGGCTCCTCAATAAGTTAAACTAGAGTTACAGTATGATCCAGCAATTCAACTTCTAGGTATATGCCCCAAAGAACGAAAAACACAAACTCAAACACATATTTGTACACAGCAGCATATGTTCGTAGCAGACATCTGTTCATAGCAGCCCTATTCACAATAGCCTAAAGGTTGAAACACCCTAAATGTTCATCAACTGATGAATGGATAAACAAAATATGGAATATCCACACAATGGAATATTATTCAGCCATAAAAATGAATAAGTACAAAATCATGCTATAACATGGGTGAACTTTGAAAACATGCTACATGAAAGAAGCCAGACACAAAGACCACATATTTTATGATTCTATGTATATGAAATATCCAAAATAGGCAATCCATAGAGACACAAAGCAGTTTGGTAGTTGCCAGGGGCTGTGGGAGGAGAGGAATGGGGAGTGACTAATGAATGGGTATAGGGCTTCTATTTGGGCAGAAATAGAAGAGTTCTGGAAATAGTGGTGATGGTTGCACAATATTGTGAATGCTTCTAATGCCACTAAATTGTACACTTTCAAATGTTTAAACTGGAAAAATATTTTACGTGTATTTTACCATAAGAAAAAATTATTTAGCCTAAGCAAGAATCCAAGCCTTGCCCAGTATTTAAGATGTCAGGAGATAAGGTGGACTGAAAAACAAAAGCATGATTTGGCAGGGGCAGTAGAAGTCATGGTGACAGGGTCTGTTCCTCCTCACTCTTTAAGCCAGGCACGCCATTCCTGGGAATGATGGTCGGGGAGCTCCCGGGAGGTCAATTCAGGGCCTAACCAGGACAAATTATAACAACTCCTTCCATTTCCTCAGGACTCTCCTCTCAGGTACTGTCACTTCACTCTCATTTAACCCCCAAAACCCCAAAAGGTGGGTGCTCTTGGCCCCATTTTCAGAGAGATTTAAAGAAGCTAAGTGATTCATGCCAGGTTGCAAGTCACAATGAGATGGGGGAGCCATGCCTACAACAGGTCTATCCATAGCATCTATCTGGGGCTTGGGGTTTTTTTCCACTTCGCTATGGGCGTGCTTACAGAATCCTTTTCCACCTTCAGCTTGGTAAAAGATGGTGTAGTTGCAGATGATACCCTTTCTCTCACTCTTGGGAATCTCTTTCCATGTGATCGTGACCGTCTTCACGCCAATGTTCTCCACCTTGGTCTCAGGACCTTCTGATGGAACTGGAAAGGACAGAGGGATAAATGATAATCACTGAACCGCACTCCAGGAGATCGTTCCCCCACAAAGGCCCTGGCCAGTACTCAGACCAAACCATAGTGCTGGAGGCGACGGGTGAGGGTTGAGTAGGGAATTGATGAATCAGCTTGTTTGGGAAAATTGTTTTCTAGAACCATCTCTCTTAAGCAAGAAGAGAAGTGGCAACAAGACCACTTGAAAAAGTCCTTTCTCATAGATGTCTCCAATTTGGTACCCAGCTTTTTCATTCATATCTGTAAAGTGTAGTTATTATCAAATAGTTGAAGAATATGGCTCCATAGGCTACCTTTGAGTGGCAGAAGATGTTTTCCAGTGTTGAATCTGGAAGACATGAACTTCCAAAAAGATAAAAGTAAAGCTTGAGCAATTCACCAGTAAAGCCTTTGCTTATTGCTACATAATTAAAAATAATTTTTTAACATCCCTAGCTTAGGATGAACTCTAGGCTCCCTGATGTGGTCTTAATTCAGTGTTATTGCTGGTAGCAGCTCTATTTGCACTGTTTATTTGTGACTTTGGGCAAGTTATTTCACCTCTCTGAGTTTTAATTTTCCATTTGTGAAATGAGGGGATTGGACTCAATGATCTCTAATGTCTACCCCAGCTTCAGAATTCAGCAAATTCATAACATACAGAGCTCACTACAAGATGAAGCACAAATGAGCCCTAAGATGGCTGGGAATGAGCTACAGGCACTTGCAGCCTTATCGGCATGTGGGACAGGTCACACTGTTTCCTTTTCCCCACAGGGTCTTGTCCATTCATACCGCCTTCTTTGGCATAAGCCTGGATGGAATATGGCTCGCCAACTTTGTCATGCAACATTGGATACACAGAGATGTTATAGCACCAGAAAGGTTTTAATTTATCTGTGAAAAAGAAAGAAAAAAAAGTGTAAGTGCAGAGCACGGCAGAGTGGGGGGAATACTAGACTAAGAGTTATGGCCAAACACTTATAGAAGATATTCCATTTCTCTACAGTTTCCACCTCTGGAAAATAAACAGGTTAGGTTGAATGGTCTCTAATATCTATTGCTTTTCTCAGATTTTCTAACTAATTCTTATTTTTAAATTTAGCTTTTTAGCTTTTTATTTTTTGGAGGCAGGGAATCCCCAGGTCTGTTCTGACCAAATACTATTGCAGCAGAGAGATCCATAGGATCGCTGAACACGCTGCCTAATTAAGTTCTAGAACAACATATCATCACCCTGTGGATCTCAAACACTGTGACTTCTATCTCCTCTACTTGCCTGCATCCCTGCCTGTGTATTATTCTTAATATGGATGTTTGAAGCATTAAGAAATGATTGTGGTGACAGGATTAAAAGGGTAAAGCCTCATTAGGGAGGCTGAGGCAGGAGGATCACTTGAGCCCAGGAGTTTGAGGTTACAGTGAGCTATGATCGTGCCACTGCACTCCATCCTTGGCAATCAAGCAAGACCCTGTCTCTAGAAAATAAAAATTTAAACAAAATTAAAAATAAAGAGTAAAGCCTCACTCGCATATCTTACGTAGGGCAGGGACTTTCCTGAAAAGAAGGCTATTCCTATAACAATCACCTGGGAAGGGGGCCTAACTCTTAAACAGGCAATCAGAACTGAAGAAAATATCCTAGGTAGGCCAGCTGGGATCCACATTCTGGAGTTATCCATGGGATGACCCAGCTATCCGGGAAGGACTCTCTGATGGTGGGTGTTAAGATGGTGTTTTCCACCTGGAGATCGATCAGATACCTGGTCTGCTTGACACCCACAGCTTTCTGTGCCAGCCTTGCCTTGGAAATACCAAGAAGCGTGTCACTTCATTAAGCTTGCACAAGCTTGACAAATGCTATTAACCACACTAACAGCTTTGAAGCCAAAGTTAAAGATCTAAAAATGGATGAAAATGAAACCAAACCCTGCACTGAGGGAACCTGTGAGTTCCGCCCTGGCTACCTTGCTGGATCGTCCAGTTCGTGGCCTGAGACACAGATTCCCAGGAAAGGGTGGTGGGCTCTGAGTCCACATCCGGAAACCATTCAATCATCCAAGTGTTCACGTCTAGAGCAGAGCTTTGCCACTTCACCACTAGCTGGTCCTCAGCAACGCAGGCCTGCATGACCTCAATGCACTGAAATGCTGAAAGGAGAGAAAAGGACTGCTTCACAGCTACCCAACTCATTCCCCAAATGCAACAACCACACTGGCATCCTCATTGCCTCAGCTGTAAAACAAGGCCAAAGTTCAGGATCTCCACTGCAGCCTCCCCGGATGGGGCTCTTTTCACTCCCCTTATTGCATCCTTTTTCCTTACACAACACCTTGAGGAGTAAGTGGCTTCTTAATCTTCCTTTACCTAACCCCAAATTGACCTGTTTCCAGAAAAGGATCTCACTAGACAGTTGATGACTAAAAAGACTTACCTTCCACAGGTGTCTCTGCAAGTGAAATGGAAAGGAAACCTGAAACAGAGAATCTCCAAAGGTAGAATTTCAGGCTCTGGGGAATTGTGTGGCTGGGAAGCTGGGAGATGGTGACCTTAAAATCATACCAGGGAGATGGCTTTACGCTTTCACTATATAGTCTGGCTCTGCACAAACTGGATATGAATTCCTATCCTCAAGGCAGCAAATATTGCATTTCTACCAGAAAGATAAAGACATTGCCATCCAAATTACCTAGTATGGATCAATACATAAATGGCAACATTTTCTGCAGGACTGGCCAAAATAATCTGGAAACAGGTCACAAGGATTTATTTAATAGAAAAGTTGAGTGTGTGGCTTGCAATCCAACATCTGGAACTTAATCAGAATCAGACAGAGATCTTACTGAAAATATTCGAACACACAGAAGAGAACTCTTGGAGGTGCAGCAAGGCAGAGGTGGAAGGTACAAACTGGGCGGGGCTCAGAAATTCCAGGGCATGCTCTCCCCTCACCCAATCCTCACCAGCGTTGCACTCCTCAACCTGCAAAACTCGAATCCATGGGAAAAGCGTTTCTTTTTCTTTTTCTTTCTTTCTTTCTTTTTTTTTTTTTTTTGAGGCAGAGTCTCGCCCTGTCACCCAGGCTGGAGTGCAGTGGCATGATCTTGGCTCACTGCAACCTCCACCTCCTGGGTTCAAGTGATTCTTGTGCCTCAGCCTCCCGAGTAGCTGGGACTATAGGTACATGCTAACACACCTGGCTAATTTTTTGTATTTTTAGTAGAGATGGGGTTTCACCATGTTGGCCAGGCTGGTCTCAAACTTCTGACCTCAAGTGATCTGCCCAGCTCAGTCGGTCTCCCAAAGTGCTGGGATTACAGGCACGAGCCACCACGCCCAGCCAGGAAGAGTGTTTCAATGAATGTCAGAGATGATCCTGGATACAGGCACAAAAGTGTCCTGCAAAAAAAAAAAAAAAAAGAAACCCAAAAGTCTTTTGAAGCTGGAAGCCTAGGCCACATGTAGGAATCTGGGGTGGGGACCAGGGGTCCTGCATCCTGCTATTCCTTGGCAACAAACCCCAGCAGGCTGTGTGTATATTTAGGAGTCTTGTTCTTGTAAGCCACAGTTGACGGATCCTTTTCCCAAACAGGGTCCTTATGAGACACTCCAGGGGCTAGTCCTAGCAGCAAGGCCAGGTAAGTTGTCAACCTGAAAAGGTAACTCTGAGAAGGACAACTGAGGCATGGAGGAAATGTGAAGCCACAGAAGGAGCAGAGGCCGGGGCAAGAAGCACAGAGCCTGGAGATTGACCCCACCTAACCCTAGGGCTCTGAGTTTCTCCTTCCAGCCTTCCCCTGCTCACCGCCTGGAAGCATACCCAGCCAGTCCTGGCTGAAAGTCCCTGCTGGAGCCTTGGAGATGTAACTAGACTCTTCTAGCAGCCAATGTTGGCGCTCCACCCAGACCCACTCAGCTTCCTTCTTACTGTGTGCTTGTGTTTTGCTTGGCTGGGATGACTATGAGATGTCACTCACACTCTAGATAGAGTCCCCTGCAAGATCCAGTGGGAACCCCCCTCCCTGGGGCTTTTATCTCAGATTGTACCTGTTACAGGTTGAATTGTATCCCCCCAAAGTATATACCCAGTGCCACACAATGTGACTGTATTTGGAAATAGGCCATTGCAGATGTAATTAGTTAAGACAGTGGGCCCTTTATAAGAAAAGAGGAATCTGGGCATGGAAACAGAGACACACAAGAAGCTAGCCATGTGAAGACTGAAGCAGAGATTGGATTTATGGGAGTTACTGGAGCTACCACAAGCCAAGGAATACCTGGGGCCACTACAAGCTGGAAGGGGTAAGGAAGGATTCTCCCCTAGAGACTTTAGGGAGCATGGCCAACCAGCACCTTGATGTGGGACTTCTGGCCTCCAGGACCATGAGACAATAAAGTTCTGTTGTTTGAAGCCCCCCAGTCTGCAGTGCTTCGTTTTGGCAGCCCTGAAAGCCCACCTTCATCTCAGCCTCTGCCCTGTCCTGGCCTGCTTCTGCAGCTTCCTCATCTCCCTGGAGGCACTTTTTTAAAAAATGATTGCCCACAAATCCTGGCCTGAAGAAGCCAGTGTTGGTGTCTAAACCCACACTCCTTCTCACCAACACTGGAGCTCTGAGGAGCAGGGAGATCCGGGTCTAAAGCGCCAAGTGCACTGCAGAGACTGCGGAGACCACAGGGGCGTGGCGCCGGCCCCAGGAAACCATGAGTCAACCTTGAAAGGGGAAAGCCTGGCCACACCAAGGGGCGCCAAAAGGGGAATTTCCAAGTCATCACTCTACTCAATATAAACGAATCGCCGGGTCCTTCCATCATTCAACAAGAGCTTTCTGAGCAATTACTCCAAACATCCCCAGGTGTGGTGGGAAACACAGATCCTTCCTTGAAGAAGCAGGGAGGGGCTTTGACTGTGAAAGCCATTGATTTCTTGTGATCTGCATGAAGACAGTCACCCGGGGCTCACGTGCTGGTGCTGCTTCTCCTTTGCCAACCGTCCTGGCCCATCCTGAGCTCTGCCCCAACTTGGGCCCATCTTCCTCCTCTGGCCTTATGACACAGTGGCCGGGCTTTCCGATGCCCTGCCTGGGACCACGCCACCGCTGCCTGCTGTCTCGGGTCTCACAAAACCCAGGGCGTGCTGAGCAGAAGGAACCTCATTCCAAGCCCTTATTCCAAGAGGGGAACGTGGAGGCCCGCACAGGTCAATAACCAGTTCAGTGTCACACAGCATCTGTGACCGGAATTCAAGTCACTTTATGAATAACACATCTAAGGTTGTGGGATATGGTACAAGTTGGGAATCCTGCAGATCCGAGCTGGAATCATCCCACTCCAGAGACCTTGGGCACATTACTAAGCTTGCCTGAATCCCTTTGCCGTCTATAAAATAGATCTCACAGCATCTACATCATGAGTCATGTCAAGGCTAAAATGGGAAAACCTATGTTATCTTAGCACAATTCCTGACACATACTAGTAGACAATGTATGATAACTATTACTTAATGATAGTTATACTTACAAAAATTATCTTATTATTCTCTAGTTATTATTCTCATTCTCCAGTTGCCTCCACTTTAGTAAGCAAAATTCTGTAGAATATTACTTTCTTTTGTTTGTTTTTGAGACAGGGTCTCGCTCTGTCACTCAGGCTGGAGTGCAGTGGTACAATCTCGGCTCACTGCAGCCTCAACCTCTTTGGCTCAAGCGATTCTTCCCCCTCAGCCTCTCAAGTAGCTGGGACTACAGGCACATGCCACCAGGCCTGGCTAATTTTTGTATTTTTTTTTTTTTTTTTTTTGTAGAAACAAGGTTTCACTATGTTGCCTGGACTTGTCTTGAACTCCTGAACTCAGCGATCCACCCGTCTTGGCCTCAAAGTGCTGGGATTACAGGCGTGAGCCATCGTGCACATCCAGAACATTATTTTCTTTTATGTCTGGGACTAGCATCTGTAAAGTTTCTCTGTAAAGAGCCAGATAGCAAATATTTTAGATTTTAGGTTTTGTGGGCTAGGTCGTCTCTGTCATAACTATTCAACTTAGCCACCGTTGCACAAAAGAAGCCATAAATAATATGTGAGCAAATATGTGTGGTTGTGTTAGAGTGAAACTTCATTTACAATAACAAGTGTCCAACCAGATTTAACCTGCAAGCTGCAGTGTGCCAATACCTGATCTAGGACCCTTATAATTGATGATCACACAGTCGTATCTGACACAAAGCCAAAAAAAACCTAAGTGAATTTAGCATAACTTTAAAGTGTATTTTATAATATTTTTAAAGTCGATAATCTGTGTCTAACAGAAATTTGATCAATCAGAAATTTTATTAAGAATGACAATAAGCCAGGAGCAGTGGCTCACGCCTGTAATCCCAGCACTTAGGGAGGCTGAGGCAGGTGGATCACCTGAGGTCAGGAGTTCGAGACCAGCCTGACCAACATGGAGAAACCCCGTCGCTACTAAAAATACAAAATGAGCCTGGTGTGGTGGCACATGCCTGTAATCCCAGCTACTCAGGAGGCTGAGGCAGGATAATTGCTTGAACCTAGGAGGTGGAGGTTGTGGTGAGCTGAGATCACACCATTGCACTCCAGCCTGGGCAACAAGAGCGAAACTCCATCTCAAAAATTAATAATAATAATAATAATAATAATAATAATAATAATAATGACAATAGTAATAATTAGCACCAGACAAAGCATTTTACATACATGATCTCATTTAATCTTCACTACAGCTCTGTGAGGTAGGTATTATTATATAATAGCTCCATTTTACGAGTAGCTAATCTTCAGAGAAGTTAGGTAACTTGCCCAAGGTTAATGGTATCTTGTGGAAGAGCAAAGATTTGAACCCGGGGCTGCTGGACTCCAAAGCCCATGCTTTTATACCCTATTCTTTACCACCTCCCATCCTGGGGCCACACTGGGAAACTGAGGTTACTATTTAACAGCACCTCTATTAATAAAGAATGTGTGCCCCAATGACACGTGCATTTGTCAGGAACTTCATCACTAGGGTGTTGGACAGGCGGGAACTAGGATGTCAGGAAATGAGGACTACAGGGAGTACTATTAAATGCTAACTAAAATAATATCAAGTGTAGCTCAAAATACAAAAATATAAATATCTAGGAATTATAAAATGAGGGTTTAAGGAGAAGAGATGGAAGGCAGCACAGGCAGAGAATTCTAGAACTGGTTGTGTAAATGTCTGAACCAGTCTAGGTGTAAGCAAATAGAGAAAGGTGGTGAATTGGAGAGAACATTCCTGACTATGATATGTTTCCACAAATAGTTACTGCACACCTGCTCTATGCCAACTGCTCTATGCTATTTTAAGTGTTGGGAATTAGGTTAAAAAAAAGAAAGGAAAACAGACAAAAAATCACTGCCTTCATGGCATTTACATCCTATTGAGGAAGAAAAAGGTAGTAAAATAAATAAGATAATTTATAGAATAAGGGATAGTACTAAGTTTGAAAGAGAAAAATAAGAGAGAAAAGAGGAAATCTATTGTCTGCAATTCTTTGAATGAAAGTTTTTTATTCCAAAACAGGATAAATATGAGTTTGCCTGGGAGCAGTAATATGTCAAAAACTACTTAACCAAAAGTGTAATGAACAATTTATTGGCAAGTATAAACACTAGAATTTTTCCATAGTGACAAATGGAAGGGGAAAAGGAAGAAAACAGGACAGCAAGCATTAAACCAAGGATGGGGATGTGGTGAGTACCCATTTGTGGGGAGAAGAGTTCAAGGGCAGCTTCGGTCACGGAGGACAAATGTGAGAAATAGGACAGTTTCATAGGACTTGACCCAGCTTACATTCACCCAGACCAGAACAAATCAAAGCTGCACACAGAACTTCTAGGTGTATGGCTTTGTATTCTGTAATTTATAAAGTCTCTGATTTTTAACGCAGGCTTTGTTCCAAAGGAACATGACTTCAAGTGATTCATTAATTACCAGCAAATTCTCATTGCTTCACCACAACCTAAAAGGTTCCCACTCCATTTTCATTTTGACTCAAGAGAAACAGCCACCCTTGAGAGCACAGGGACTGCTCCTTGGCCAATTGATGGGACCAGGCACCTAAGGAAGAAGTTGATGCTCTACTTACATTTTTCTTGAATAGCTGGAATCCTCAGGGTGGCCACTGGAGACTTCCCAAGAGAATTATAAGAAATCATAGACACCCAAAAGCTCTCGCCTCCCAGATGCAGTTCAAGCTGCTGGTTAGTAGTGTTCATTGTTTCTGTGAGGTTAGTGTTGCTTTCTGGATAGTACCATATGTTGTAGCCAAGTGTTTTCTCTAGGACTGGGGCTCCTCTTGCCTTCTGAACCCAAAGAAAACAAAATTTATTGCCAATAACAAAGAAAAAGAAAGGCATTGAGACAGTGAGAAGCGGTGGGGGTGAGGGTGGGGAATAAGGCTAACTATTAGATACTAAACTACAATCAGGTAATTACCCTCCAGGGATGAATAAGATCCTGGGCTGTGATAGTAACACTTCAAGTGCCAGAAGAGGGGATTTACTAAATTTCATCTAATTCCATGAGGCTAAACTAGAAGAATGCCCAAAACAATGTAAACAAGCCACCCTTATTTCCTTCTGCCTGTATCTTTCGCTCCATCCCACTCGTGTAAAGGAGTAAGGGCTAAAAAGCTGACACATTCCCTCTCAGCCCATCCAAAGTCTGGTCTGGCTCTGAGTCATCTCTTGCCTGGAGTATCCAAAGGTTGGAGAGTACCCTATGCCCTAGTCTTTTATTTCCATGCCTCTCCCTCTGAGAAGGGAGCCAGCTTCCCTGGACCAGGCGCCCCAGCCAGGCGTCCTAGCTAAGAGGGCCGCACTGCCAGTCCCAAACCCTTGGCGAGAAGTTTAAGGTGGAATCCTGAGGACTTTAAGCTAAACTCTTATTTTCAGCCTTGAACTTGGGCCCACTCACCAGACATTTGCCTAGGAGACAGTATTTCCCAGAATTTATAGGGCTTCCCCTTCTGTTACTGATTATACACATAGATGGAGCGTAATGCCTGAATATAAGTCCAGGACTTATAAGTGGGACTTTAGCAGGCACTTCGTCCCACTGCCTTCCCAGTTCAGGAATTTCCTTTACTTTTATGTCTAGGCATAAAAGGTCAGCTAGAATCTTCCTAATGACCAGGAGCCTTTTATCTCTCAAGACGACCCATTTTCTATTTTATTGTATTTATTTATTTATTTTGAGACAGAGTCTCTCTCTGTCGCCCAGGCTGGAGTGCAGTGGCCTGATCTTGGCTCACTGCAACCTCCGCCTCTTGGATTCCAGCAATTCTCCTGCCTCAGCCTCCCGAGTAGCTGGGATTACAGGTGTGCACCACCATGCCCGACTAATTTTTGTATTTTTAGTAGAGACAGGGTTTTGCTGTGTTGTCCAAGCTGGTCTTGAACTTCTGACCTCAAGTGATCCCCATGCCTTGGCCTCCCAAAGTGCTGGGATTACCGGCCCAGTCCACGCCCAGCCCCATTTTCTTTTTTAAATAACACATATTCTTTTTAAATAACATATTAATATGTTATTTAAAATCTTTTTAAAAAACATATTAATATGTTATTTAAAATCTTTTTAAAATAACATTAATATGTTATTTAAAATCTTTTTAAAATAACATATTAATATGTTATTTAAAATCTTTTTAAAATAACATATTAACATTTTAAATAACTTTTTTAAATAACATTCTTTTTAAAATAATAAAAATTGAGATACAATTCACATTCCATAAAATTCACTGTTTTAATGTGAGTTCAATGGCTTTTATTAATAGTATGTTCAGTCATGCAACTATCACTATTATTTAATTTTAGAGCATTTTAGTACATTCTTTTTTAACCAACTCAAATTCTTAGAGAGCTCTTTCCTTTTGAAGGTGCGGGGGGGCGGGGGGGTGGTGTGGAGAAAAAGACCAGACCCAACAGGCGACGGGGAGGAGGCGGGCACTGAAATCCATCTTCTCTACTTCGCAAGCTGCCCTACTTGGCCCTTCGCCACTGCTATGTAGCTAAGACCACATGTGGGCGTGTGAGGTTGTTGGCTTTCCTCCCCCAAAAATGTGTTGCCACAATCATTTGTTTTCATACTTGATGGCTGAGAAAGACAGCACAGCATCTGGGATTGATTCTCTAGGATTCCCCGCCATCTCTGGCTGTTGTCCCATGCGGCGGCAGCACCGCCTCCGCAACCCAGGGAGTCCCATAGCCCTGCGGGTGTGGAGGGAGTGGGCGATGGTGCGGGAGCCTCCAACCCTGAGGTAATTGGAATGTCATCTGGCAAAGCAGGACACTTGCTCCATTTTCAACAGGATTTTGAACTTGCCTGGACTTCAGCAAATATGAGCTAACATCATGAGCATTTCCTGGGAATTCTGGAGGCACACGAAGGAATTCTGGCATCTCACTCCTCTCTTCCTTCTTCTTCCCCATCTTTTCACTCTTTTTTTCTCCATCTGCCCTTTTCCTTTTCTGTTTATTCCCTTGTCCCCCCATTTTCTACTCCTTCTCTCACTTCCCTCTCTCAGGTCCTCTTCCCTCTTCTTCTTCTCTGCATTCCCCACCTGACTTCTCCTGTTCCTCACTCCCAGGCCTCCGCCCTAGGAAGGACCATGTGGTCCCTCTTCTGTTTTTGTGCCCCACTATTTCAACACACATGTGCCATATATGTTGCCAATGACTCGAGGACACACCAGCAAGCTGACCCTGATCAGAGCTCTTCTGAGACAGCTGGGTGGGGAGGGGGGTTCCGGAGACTTACGCTGCCTTCCAGCAGAGGCTGGTCAGTGATCGTTTCCTCCAGAAGGTCATGGTGCCTCCTGCACTTTCACTTTCTACCCACCCCGAATGTTAATGTTTCAGACCAAAGAGGAGGGGGACCAGCGTCTGTCATGCATGTTTGGGCCATCTGCAAGATGACCTATAGGGCTTTTTTGAGCTGGCCAACCAATGTGAGATTTGGGGCATCATAAAGCCCTCTAGGGAAGGAAATTCTGGGGGTAAAATTTCAAGAATCACAGTTTTTAGAAGGGTAAGAGATCAAGGGCTTTTAAACAGTATAAAGAAACAGGCTGGGCATGGTGGCTCATGCTTATAATCCCAATGCTTTGGGAGGCTAAGGTGGGAGGATCTCTCGAGCCCAGGAGTTCAAGACCAGCCTGGACAACACAGCAAGACCCAGCCTCAACCAAAAAAAAAAAAAATATATATATATATATTTTTTTTTTTTTTTTAATTAGCTGGGTGTACTGGCACACTTCTGTAGTCCCAGCTACTTGGGAAGGTGAAGTGGGAGGATCACTTGAGCCCAGGAGTTAAAGGCTGCAGTGAGTTATGATTTCACTACTGCACTCCAGCCTGGGTGATTGAGCAAGACTCTGCCAAAAAGAAAGAAAGGCGGCGGTGGGGAGGGAGGGAAAGAGAGAGAGAGATAGAGAAAGGAAGGGAAGGGAAGGGAAGGCAAGGCAAGGCAAGGGAAGGGAAGGAGAGGGAAGGGGAGGGGAGGGGAGGGACTGGGGAGGGGGAAGGGGAGTGGAGAGGGGAGGGGAGGGAGTGGGGAGGGGAAAGGTGAGGCGGGGAGGGGAGGGAGGGAGTGGGCAGGGGGAAGGTGGGGGAAGGGAGGGGAGGGGGAAGGTGGGGGGAAGGGAGGGGAGGGGAGGGGAGGGGAGGGAAGGGAAGGGAAGGGAAGGGAAGGAGGATGGAAGGGATGGAAGGGAGGGAAGGGAGGGAAGGGAGGGAAAGGAGGGAAGGGGAAGAAAGAGAGAGAAAAAGAATCCAGAGGGAGGTCACCTTCCATAACAACCGCACTGGCCTTCTTCCATCCGCCTCAGCTGGTTTCAGGACTCTCCACAGTTCCAGGCCACATGGAGCTGTAAGGAACAAGAATGAGGTACTCAACCCAGAGATAAGGGAGTTGCAGAGGAGACAGGAAAGGTTAGCTGGGCAGTTGGGAAGGATTTGCTTGAGGGAGCCATTGGGAATAAGGTGAGGAGTGGAGGGATGGCAGCTTTGCAATGACCAAAGATGTCTTCATTTTGTGGTCAAGGAACTGGAATCAACCAAAGATAAAAAAATAAAACTGCTCTTGAGTCTGATGATTTAATGTAAGATAAAGGAAAAGTATAATAGGCCCCATTGTAATATAATTTGTCACCCAAATCTAGATCAAAATGTGACTATCTAATGTCCTCTAGATCTAACATATATATTATAGCTGGGAATGACACAGATAACTCACAAGGAGATATATGTATATACAATTTATACCAAGTCTACTTCCAAAAAAATAAAACCACATACTTGAGATGTTATAAAATAAAAGAAAAAATTAAATGACAAAGGAATAAGACAATAAGCTTCACTAGGTCCCTCCTTGAGCTCTAAATTTAACGCTGGTTTTCCCAAAATAAAAAAGAATCACATTGAGGTGCCTATTTCCCATGGCCCAATAAAAAGGAAACCTAGAAATTCATATGAAGGGAAACTATTTTCTGGTTACGAACACTGAAATCATAAATGGAATTTATCACGTGGATCTTTTCAAAAAGGACAGAGAGTAACGTAAAAGCCAATATCTGTAATCCCAATAGAGCAAAAGCACAGAAATATCATATATGTGCATTTTTCATAGCTGTTTTCTATAAATAGCCAGGGCATAAATCCTGACACATGCCTTTTTCCAGTAAACAACACAGTCTGAGACAATAGTCCAAGTGTACAGGCTTCTGATGATCTAACCATATAGGGATGAAACAAAAAACAAGGAATTTACATTTCACTTGATTTCTGGACTGTATCTCTCAAATATCCTGTCTCAAGCAAGTTTTGTCAGGAGATGGCTCACTGGCAATTTATAGTTGAATGCCCTGACATGCACCTGAAATATCAAAATGCTGAGCTACTGATTAGAGAACGACCCACCCACCTTAGCCATGAGAGGAAAGCAGAGAGTTCTAAACAAATGTCGAGACGGCTAGCGGCCCACGATTTGGAGAAGAGAGTAAATGTCCCTAGTCAAAGCTGCAGTAGTTGCACTCTGAATTTTTTCTTGAGGAAGTAGCATGGCTGGAGATAATGTAATTAGGTCCACAAAGAATGAGTCTACCACTCAGACCAATATCTAAACTATTTTTTAGAAGTAAGAGATTGTCTTCAGGGATCTTTTAAACTGTAGGTGATTGGATATCTTAAAGTAAAATTACTGGCTGGGCACGGTGGCTCATGCCTGTAATCCCAGCACTTTGGGAGGCCGAGGCAGGTGGATCACTTGAGGTCAGGAGTTCGAGACCAGCCTGGCCAATGGTGAAACCCTGTCTCTACCAAAACATATAAAAAATTAGCTGGGTGTGGTGGTGTGTGCCTGTAATCCCAGCTACACGGGAGGCTGAGGCAGGAGAATCGCTTGAACCCGGGAAGCGGAGATTGTGGTGAGCTGAGATCGCGCCATTGCATTCCAGCCTGGGAAACAGAGCGAGTCGTGTCTCAAAAGAATTGTTTTTAAAAAAGTAAAATAACTGAACTCCAGCTAAAGACAACCTTATAATGAGGAAAATGTACCAAGTACAATTGAGTTAATAACTTGTTTTGCCTTTAATGGAGAGTCACACTTCTACAACTACTCTTGCAGAAGCCAAAGTCTAGTTAACACAGTCTAGCTGTTAGGCCCAGGATCTCCCAATGAGATAAATGCAATTCCATTAGAATTGCTTATAAGGATATTGAACTGTGTTGACTTTACATATTATTTCATCTGAATCCCACTGAGGTGTTGTCTCAAAAGCTCTGCCATGAGTTTTCTGATTTCTCAAAGGCTTTTATTGAATCATAAGACAGGACAGCCGGTACTCAAATTTCTCAGACAGGAAGCAACAGGCTGGTTTCACCCTGTCTACAAGCCAGTGAGATGTAAGCAGTGGCCAAGTTCCTCCCAGAAGACAGCCTTTGTACAGGACTACAAAGTCATTAGACCTTCCAAGGAAACCCGCAGGATTAGAGGGACCTTTACTCCATCTCTCACGTGCAGAATCTCTCTGTTCCAATCATGTGGAGAGTCAAACTTAAGGCCAGTAATATTGAGAGTAAGAAAAAAAAAAAAATCTAAAGACAAGGTGTTCATTACTACCCAGTCCTAAATATTCATCTCAAGGATAGATACAGGCAAAGCTAAACTGATTATTAAATAATCATTCCAGGCACTTGACTAGAAATATGAGTGAAATTCTTCTTGGATTTAGCCCATAGGCAGCCAGGCATGGTGGCACACACCTGTAGTCCCAGCTATTCGGGAGGCTGAGGTGGGAGGATCACTTGAGCCTGGGAGGCGGAGGCTGCAGTGAGCTGAGATCTCACCACTACATTTCAGTCTGGGTGACAGAGTGAGACCCCGTCTCAAAAAAAAAAAAAAAAAAAATTATCTCATAGGCAGCCATTTTGTTTTTGTAGATGGTAATAATAAATGAGTTTAAATTGATATTTTCTTCTTTCATTGAGGCCACTATTTCCTGCAAATATGGTCCAAAGAGAGACAGTCTTCTCAGTATAGACTTCCCACAGATGCAGCTGTTAGTGAAACTGCTGCCTCACTACCATGTAAGTCTTCTATAGTTATTATAGCCAGCTTTCCATTAACCGTAAATTGATCATGGATTTTCAGTTTAATCAAAGGGGGAAATGTAAGGACTCTGAAAAAAAAATTAAAATTTTCCAAATCAACCAAAATGTCTACATATTCAAAGGCATCAATTGTCTGGACTGATGCAGCAACAATTGATGCTATACCATTTCTATGACAGTATGGGCATCCCCACAACCAGCAGCAGTTAGACATGTGCAGGTGCCCCTGCTAGAGACCAACAATAATACAAGCTAGCTCTTAGCAAGTGTCAGTTTCTCTGAATTTTCTCATTTAATGCCCACAGCCCTGTAATCAGATACAGCAATAATGTTACTAATCATCATTTCTGAAGCACAGAGAAATTAAGCAGGTATTCAATATCATAAGCGTTTAAGAAATAAAGCCAGGATTTGAATCAAATTATTTCTGTATCATGTAGTGAGTAGATATTTAAATGCCTAAATATAGGTAAGTAACTCTAATAATCAATATATTGAAATCCAAAATAAAATAGGCAGTGCTTCACATTCAACTTAGAATACATGTTTTGAAACAATTAGAGAGGTTTGAAGTGGTACGCATTAAACAAATGGCATTTCATTGAAATAGGAAAACACACGCTTTATAAATTTGAAAACAAGAAATGAGGATTGGCTGGGGGGTGCATTTTAATCAGTTTCTTCTGGGATCCTGAAAAAATGAAGAAGGACAAAAGCAAAAGTTCTCTAGTGGTGACTTTGATAAATAAGTGTTTGCTAATTAAATCAAGCTAGCTGAACTAATAAATCAGATGAAATAGCAAATCTTTTTTCTGGCAGCAAAACAAGCTGAGAAAACTGACACGAGGGACTGGCTGGTCTGTGATAAGCTTGAGACTCTGAGCCACGATGGCACCAGGAGGTCACTAGAAAGAAGAGTGACAGCCATGGCAGGGGAAGAGCTAGGCAAAACACAATGGCACCCAAGGGAGCACTTAATCATCAGCTTGCCTGCTGAAAAGTGAGGCAAAGGAAGAGAACTATTTGCTAAATGATACTGCATGAACATCTCCAGTGGGGAACACAAAATTCAGAAGGCATCAAATTGGTTCCAGGCATCTGACCATAGTGGTGAATGCACCAAACATCTGTTAATACTAGTGTTAATACTGGAAACTCAACCAGGATCCAAAGGAATAAATCATTATTGTGTGGATGAGGTAGCACAGAAGTTGACCCCAGATGTTATCTGAGACCAGTCTGCAACTTGGGTATGAGACTGAAATCTAATTTTCTATTACAATATGGGTATCCCTAAACCACCTGAAATCATGAGGCCTGAAATCATGGCCATGGGGGGAGTTCATATTCTAAAACTCACATCCCTTATAAATAAATAAGGTTAAAGCCTCAGAGGAAGGTTAGAAGGGTGGGCATTTTAAAATTTCTTGTCCATCATTCAGAAGAAGATGTGTGGCCATCACCAAGTATTCATCCAATTAGTCATTCATTTACTGTTAGGCTGAAAAATGGCCCTCAAAATATCTTGTCCAGGCCGGGCACAGTGGCTCATGCCTGTAATCCCAGCACTTTGGGAGGCTGAGGCGGGCAGATCATGAGGTCAGGAGATCAAGACTATCCTGGCTAACACGGTGAAACTCCATCTCTAGTAAAAATACAAAAAATTAGCCAGGCGTGGTGGTGGGCACCTGTAGTCCCAGCAACTCGGGAGGCTGAGGCAGGAGAATGGTGTGAACCTGGGAGGCGGAGCTTGCGGTGAGCGGAGATCACACCAATGCACTCCAGCCTGGGCGACAAAGCGAGACTCCATCTCAAAAAAAAAAAAAAAAAAAAAAAAAAAAAAAATCTTGTCCAAATCCCTGGAACCTGTAAATGTTTCCTTATATGGTAAAAGGGACTTTGCAGATGTGATTAAGTTAATGATCTTGAGATGGGAACATTATCTTGGATTAGCCAGGTGGGTCCTAACTGTGATCACAAAAGTCCTTATAAGAGGGAGGCAGAGAGGTTTGACACACAAGAGTGGGGAAAGGTGATGTGATGATGGGGGGATAAGTATTGTAGATGGAAGAAGGACCACAAGCCAAAGAATGCAGGCAGCCACTAGAAGCTGGAGAAGGCAAGGAAACAGATTCTCCACTCAGAGTCTCAGAAGGAAATGGCCCTGCTGACATCTTGACTTTAGCCCAGTGAAACTGATTTTGGACATCTGACTTCCAGAGCTATGAAAGAATACATTAGTGTTGCATTAAGCCACTAAATTTGTATTGTTACAGCAGCAATAGAAAACTGATACATTCATCACACATTTATTGATCGTCCACTGAGGGTCAGACTCTGGGCAAGGCTCTTGAGAAAAGTAACACATGCTGAGTGACCCTGAGCTGTTTATTAGCATCTCTGAAACTCAGTTTCCTCATTTCCAAAATGGGAGTGACTCTACATATTTTATAGTGCTTTAAGGAGGATTAAAAATAATAGTAGGAGGATAAATAATAAGAATAGGAAGTCTAGCAGTTAGTGAATATCTACTATGGGCTAAACACATTATTTCATTTAATCTTTAAAATAATACTAAAAAATAGGTACTACTATAAACTCAACTTACATATTCTATTTCAATATAGAAAAGGGGAATAAATGCGAGGAAACTGCTGAGAATGAACTGAGAGTTTAGGTATCTTGCCCAAAGACACCTGGCTTGGGATTTAAGCCAAGGCCACTGACTGGAAGCGTTGCTCTTAATGACCATACTGACACTTAGTAAGCACTCCATCAACCTGCAATCCATGCCTCTTTCCTTTCCTCACTGTCATTAAAAATGTGATTTTTTAAATTGTATTAGTTACACCTTTATTTATTTTTTGAGTAGTAGCTCCAGGATTCACAATATGTATCTTTAATTTATCACAGGATACCTTCAGATGATATGATACTGGCGGGGCACAGTGGCTCACGCCTGTAATCCCAACACTTTGGGAGGTCAAGGTGGGCAGATTACCTGAGGTCAGGAGTTCAAGACTAGCCTAGCCAACATGGTGATATCCCTTCTCTACTAAAAATACAAAAATCAACCGGGCATGGTCGTGGGCCCCTGTAATCCCAGCTACTTGGGAGGCTGAGGCACAAGAATTGCTTGAACTCGGGAGGTGGTGGTGGCAGTGAGCCGAGATCACATCACTGCACTCCATCCTGGGTGACAGAGTAAGACTCCATCTCAAAAACAAAACAAAACAAAACAAATGATATGATACCCTTTCATGTATAGTATAAGAACCTCATGAGTATTAAAATGTGATCCTTTGCCTTTGGGGCACAAAGTTGTGCAGGCTCACTCTCGATGGTACAGGGGGCCCCTGGGGTCATGAGATTCCATGATTCCCAACCAGGTGGTGACAAACCCCACCAAGTCTAGCCCAAAGCAGCCCTACACCAGAGCAGACAGGACGGGAATCGCAGGGAGTAGCTTGCCTTCTTCCTCAGTCATTCCCATTTTTTCTTGGCTCCAGTCACTCCAGAACTTTGACTCCTTGACCGCACATCGCAGAGCTATGACATATTCTGTAAAAGGCTGCAGCCCCGTGAGGTTGTACGTTTGGTTTTTATCCTTACGGTTCTTAGCGAAGTTGACTTCCATCTACAAGACAGAGACAATCCTAAACTGAAATGGAGACCACACGTTATCCTCCCATTTTCCTCTTCACTACCTAGTGTACTTTTACATTTTTAGAACTAGTAACACTCTAAATCAAATTTTAAAATATATCATTTTTATTAACAGACTTCCATATGTGCCTGGGAACAATTGGTACCTACACAGATATGAACATCCCCATGAACCACCAACTCCCTTCCCATTTCCTGTATCTAAGCTTATGGGGCAGAGATTCCTGCCTCTGGCCTGGTCTGGGTGAGCAGAGCTCTGCTGCTTGCTGTTCTAGAAGACGCAAGCCTCATGACCCAGGGCAACCTGGGCCTAGGAGGTGACTCCAACACCTAGAGATACTGCCTCATGGAACAGCAGAAACAGAGACCTTAGCTGCATCAAATGCAATCCTCACGTCATCCACGAGACCCAGGAAAGTTAAATAACCATTTAAATGAAAGTTAGAAGATCTACAGAATAGGATCAGAACACAGATTTCTTCACTCCTCGGCTTTTTCGTTTTACCCAAATCTTTCACTTCAAAGCACTGGTCTTTGGGTGACCAGTCAAGCTGCTGAAAGTCTCAATGGCCTGAATGTATAAATTAATTTTGATACTCTCTTGGGGAGGAAAGAGGTAAATAAAATCAGTTATTTTCTCTAGATGTCAGCTTCTCATTGGTAAAGTGAAGGTGTTGCTTTATATAATTTCTGGGACTCAGCTCTCCAAGAGAAACTAAACATTTAGCTATTCCTTTTCTGAGCACAGTCATTGTTGCTGCAATATAAACCTTTAGTTCAATATAAACATTTAGCTCAATATTAGCTTTATAAACCTAAAGTTTATAAAACCCAAAGCCTAAAGGTTTATAAAGCTTATTTTGAGCTGATTAATAAAAAAATAAACTGCACTAATAGGCATGTCTATTTAACTAGTATGCACACAGCATCGTCCCATGGATCCTGCAAGAGAAGGAAGTCCTGATACTACTTGCATCTATGTCCCAGCTGTGAAAATTAGTACCTAATTGCAGCTCCTGTGCTTTAAGGAAATTGGGCAGAAGGAGGATATGTGTCTATGGCAGAAAGCTGACAGCCGCAGATGGACTTTGGAACTCCCAGCCTGGTGAGATGGAGGTGGAACAAGAAGAGGCAATGACACTTTGGGGGCTAAATCCCAGGTTCCCTGAGCATCCTCTTCAAACAGGCCCCGGAGATGCTGTGATGGCAGACTAGGGTTGTGGAGAGAGTAACTTGAGACAGCCTGTTGTTAGTTAGGGATCCAACTAGAACAGGATTAAGACTGCCAGGAAAGGCCCAACCACATGGTGCCCTCCATATGTGATTTAAAATAAAAATACTAATCCATACAGCAAGTGTAAGGAAGTCTAATAAACCTCTATTTTACTTGTCATGCTTTAAAAAATATATAATATTCTTCTTTTTAACCTTTCAATTTTTCCTCCTGCTTTGTTGTACCCTTAGCACATGCTCAGCCTGTGTAGTGGTTCTCATCACGTACATTACACAGAAAGTTCTGCCTAATGTAGCCACGGAAGCCTCTTCCTCCCAGCCCCGGCCTCAGAGAAGATGAAACGGCTGCTCAGTCTTTTAATCAAGGTGCCTGTAAGGCTCCTTTACTTTGTTATTTTGTCCAGCCAAGGTGCCTCTGGCTCCGACAGGATCCAGGATCAATTGATCCTTTATATACAGGCTTAGATCCAAAACTTCCCCAACTCTGCACAGGCAATGGAACCCTACTAAAACATTAATTAGCTTCATCATGTTCACTGTTAACAATCTATGCTTTGTGCCAAATCCTAACTCACCCAAAGTGTTTGTCTTAATAGATGAGTCAGAAGTTCTGATACAAAACCTAAATCAAATTCTGTGTGTGTGGTTTTTTGTTTTTTTTTTTTTCCCTGACTCTGTTGCCCAGGCTGGAGTGCAGTGGCACGATCTTGGCTCACTGCAACCTCTGCCTCCCGGGTTCAAGCGATTCTCCTGCCTCAGCCTCCCCAGTAGCTGGGGCTACAGGTCCGCACCACCACGCCGGGCTAATTTTTTCTTTTTTTTTTTGAGACAGAGTCTTGCTCTGTCACCCAGGCTGGAGTACGGTGGCGATCTCGGCTCACTGCAAGCTCCACCTCCTGGGTTCATGCCATTCTCCTGCCTCAGCCTCCCGAGTAGCTGGGACTACAGGTGCCTGCCAACACGCCCGGCTAATTTTTTGTATTTTTAGAGGGACGGGGTTTCACCGTGTTGGCCAGGATGGTCTCGATCTCCTAACCTTGTGATCCACCCGCCTCAGCCTCCCAAAGTGCTGAGATTACAGGCGTGAGCCACCGTGCCCGGCCATTCCCGGCTAATTTTTTTGTATTTTTCGTAGAGACAGGGTTTCACTATGTTGGCCAGGCTGGTCCCTAACTCCTGATCTCAGGTGATCCACCCACCTCGGCCTCCCAAAGTGCTGGGATTACAGGCGTGAGCCACTGCACCCAGTCCATAAATCAAATTCTTAAAATACTTTTGAGATCCCTTTCTAAGAGGCTCACATGGCTTTATTATACAAAGGTGCAAACCCTTTAGACTAGGGCCACAAAAGAATCTGGAGGGTGTTGAGGTAAGGTCACATGGATGGCAAACCTGGGAGACAGAAAACCTGAGCTTAGGTTTGCAACTGACAAGCCCTGTGATCTTGAATAGATGATTTAAGCTTTCAACATCTTGATTTCCTAATCTGCAAAAATGGGGATAGCAAGGCCTCAATTACAGGATATTTGCAAGGATTAAATAATTTGGAGTATAAGGAAGCTCTTTGTTACTCATAATATCATACAAATATGGGTCTTGTTAAACGGACATGTTGGAATTTTAGCATTAGTTTTACATGGCTACATTTAAACAAATATTTATTGAGCACAGGCATGCACCAGGCAAAGGGAAAACAGATGAAAACTAAGGTCCCTGCATTTGAAGAATTTACAGTGTAACTGGAAGAGAAAGTTGAAATGCATTGCTGTTAAGTGCAATGACAGAAGCATGCAGAGGAGGGACCAGGCCCAGGCCCTCAGAAGGAAATATGTCAGGCCTGAGTTCTGAAAGGTGGAGATTGGGGCAGGAGAGGTGCAAAAGCAGAGGGTGTTCTAGGAAAGGCACAGAAAGAGTGAGAGAACATGATGCAAGGGAAACAAGCAATTCAGAATGACCAGAGAGGCAAGAGCAAGAGCGTGAAGGGATCGGTAGATGCCAGGTCTCACAGAGTTAATAATTTGGACCCTTTTCCATCAACAATGGAAATCTTTGATAGAAGGTTGGGAAGAGCAGAGTTGGGTTTAGCTGGGATTGCAACTGAGGATAACTGCTTGTATTTGAAAGCTAAGGAGAAGGCCAGGCATGGTGGCTTATGCCCATAATCCCAACACTTTGGGAGGCTGAGGCAGGTGGATCACCTGAGGTCAGGGGTTCGAGACCAGCCTGACCAACATGTGAAACCCCATCTCTACTAAAAATACAAAAAATTAGCCAGGTGTGGTGGCACAAGCCTGTAATCGCAGCTACTTGGGAGGCTGAGGCAGGAGAATCACTTGAACCCCGGAGGTGGAGGTTGCAGTGAGCCAAGATCATGCCATTCACTCCAGCCTGGGCAACAAGAGTGAAACTCCACCTCAAAAAAAAAAAAAAAAAAAAAAAGCAAGCAAGCAAGCAAGCAAGCTAGCTAAGGAGAGAGAAAGAGTAGTACAGACTTCCACCTTCCTTCCTGCATCCTCCAGGAAAACAGGAGGCAGGACATTTTACCTCTGGGACTGGCAGGAAGCAAAGATGAGTACAGATGTGGGTGAGTTTGTTAAAGATACGGGGTACAGGATGCCAAGGGTTGGGTAGTTTATACCCGTTGCCCTCACTTAGTGTTATATGCGGTATAGTAATTTTCCAGAGGGACTCTGGTCCTGGTTTATTTTTCTTGTTGAATCCTATCCCCCAGCAGCTGTAGTAACTCTGCACTCAGCCAAATAGAAGGAATTAAGGGTTTATAGCCAGTAGACTATCCCAGAAGTTTCTCAGGTTCACGGAGACCATGACATGTGGTATGAAGAGGAGCTTGTGCTATACCGGGGACTGCTCTGCTTAGGGGTTCCCCAAACTACAATTAATGAATCTAATGTTCCATGTAGGCAGGTTCAAAGAGAATGGTTCCAGAGCTGGCTTAGAAAGGAAGCTGGGGGGAGAAGTGGCCATTATCATCTCTCTGAACACAGTGATAGAGGCAGAAGGCAGATAAGGGGGGTTCCCAGAGAATCTCTGACCCGCCCAAGTGTTTACATCAGATGCTTTTGTGTAGATGAGGAAACCTGCCCAGGGTCTTGTCCGCGCATGTCGACAACAGACTGGGGACCCGCCTGTGCACTGGGAGAATGGGGTGGAGCCACGGGAAGTTCACGCTTTGTGCAGGGGGAAGGAGCCTGGCCTCTTTAGCTCCTGTGTGGTGGCCTGGTATTCAGTCTGTGAGGTGGTAGCCTGTTAGCAGGAGCCCATCTCGCTTTGCTGAGAATTTTTTTCTCTTTTTTCCTTTTCGCCCAATAAATTCCTCTCTCCTCACCCTTCAATGTGTCCACGTGCCTAATTTTTCCTGTTGACACAAGAACCCGGATTTAGCTGAACTAAGGAGCAAAAATTCTGCAACAATAGGACAAATAATGCTTTTCTGAAAGAGTTCCAGACAAGGAGAGCATGCTGCAGTAAACAGGGTGTCTATGGGTTTCCACAAGGGAAAGGGTCGCATGATAGCCTCCTGGACAAGATAAAAAAAAGTAGGCTGAATGATGATAGTGGTAATTAGGTATATTCATAGAAACCTGAATAAATGACCATATCCAAAGGAGGGGTTGATCCTCTGGATGGTTTCTACTGGTTTACCACAGGGCTCTGATGTAGTCACCATTTTTATTAATAATTAGATAAAGGTATAGAAGGAAGTGTTATCAAATCTGGGGATACTGAAAAGTTAAAAAGTAAAAAGTTAATCATAAGTTTTGGGTGACCAAACAGGATTCTAAATAGGCTGGAATGATAGATAAGACCAACATGAAGACATTCAATAAGAATAAATAAAACACCTGAACTTAGGTTAAAAACCAACAAATGATAAGATAGTAGAGGTATGTTTTACTGGCAAGTCTTCAGGAGGTAAAAAGTCTTAAAGATTTAATTGGCTAATAGTTGATTAAAAGTCAATAATGTGTCTGCTCATGATGGCTCACACCTGTAATCTCAGAACTTTGGGAGGCTGAGAGAGGAGGATCACTTAAGACCAGGAGTTCCAGACCAACCTGGGCAACACTACAAAAAAAATTTAAAAATCAGCCAGGCATGGTGGCATATGCCTGTAGTCCTAGCTGCTCGAGAGGCTGAGGCAGGAGGATCGTTTGAGCCCAAGAGTTCAAGGCTGCAATGAGCTGCAATCACACCACTGCACTCCAGCCTGGGTAACAGAGTGAGACCCTGTCTAAAATTTATAAAAAGGCAATAAATATGAGATGATTACAAAAAGGTGATACAATTTCAGGCTGCATTGATGGAAACTGCAGAATATTTTCTTGACTTTGAGGTAAGAAAACATTTCCTAAGACACAAAAGGCATTAAGCATAAAGGTAAAGACTGATAAAACTCTAACCATATTAAAATTAAGTGACTATTCCTCAAAAGTCACCATTAAGAGAGTGAAACGTCATGCCACATAGTGAAAGATGTTTGCAATACACGTAACAAATAAAAGACTCATAAATAGAATATGTAAGGAATGCCTACAAATCAATTGAAAAATCAGGCAGACCAGCCAATAGAAAAAACATGCAAAAGGCTTAAATCAGCGCTTCCAGAAGAAGGAATCCAAAGGGCCAATAAACATGTGAAAAGGTGTGTAACTTCATTAAAGGTCAGGTAAATGCAAATTAAAGCCACCATTCCATCATGTTCATACTATGAGATACTACACAGCAATGAAAATGTATAAACTACAGCATTATATAGCATGAATAAGTCTTAAAAGCACAATATTGAGAGATAGAAGCCAAACATTAGAAAATACAAAATATATGGATTCCCTTTATATGCTCCTCCTCTATTTCTACTGGGCGCTTCTTCATCCTGGGACTCAAGGAAACAGGGCATAGTCTCTTAAACTATGTTCTTCAGTGATGCAGCCTTAAATGGTAAAAAATGAAAGCAAAGAAGATTACCATGAAAATCAGGGTAACAGCTCTAACAGAGGTCATGAGCAAAGGGTAAGCAGGGGGCTCTGGCATCCTGGAGAAGTTCTATTCTTGGCCGCAGTGGTTTCTACATGAGCACTGACTTAATAATAATTTGTTAAATGTAATATTACGTTTTGTTCACCTTTCCAAATGTATGTTATACCTCATGATTTTATAAAAGGTCAGAAAAATAAAAAATAAAATGGCCAAACCATAGACTCTCTGGTAGCCAACATAGCCAGACACAAACTTGGATATAATGCAGAAGTAAATTTCTCACTCTTTATTATGTCCCTGTGCTCAGAAGGCAAAAATGCCTATTGTAGAACACCCTTCCAATCTAAAAGGTCCAGATGGAAAAATGGAAAACTGGAAGGAGAAGTACTTAGCAATGTCTCTCTTCTATTTTTAATGTAAAAAGTGAAATAATGATTCCAGGTCAACAATAGTTGTCAATGATTCTTTTCCTCTGGGCCTCTAATTGGAATATTATTATAATGGCATAACTTACCCAGCTGGTACTGTTGACTGTCCTGAATCGAAGTGTGTATTTTAAATCAGATGAAACAGGCGCCAACTCAGGCTTTATCCATTCAATTTGAATCATTCGTTTGATGCCCAAAACTGGTTTCACACGGAAAATCTTAGGTGGTTCAGTTTTCGCTGAAAATAAAAATCATACAACTCTCATATCTGCAAAAAGATAAGAATTTGCTAATAGCATCCACCCAAAATTGAAAAAAAATGATACGTGCATTGTGGTCTGCTATATGGAACGAAGATGGCATTTGCAAGGCAGTACAAAAGGAATGTCACCCCCCCAACCCCAACACCTCTGAAAAAGGAATACCCAGTGAGAGAAGGATGCATTCCTGTGATTTTTCAGCAAATCAGCCTCTTATTGATTGGTCATATGCTATGCCAAGCAGAAGGGAGGTAAAAAGAGACCACACAACCAGAAAATAGGCTGTCTCTCTTATTTACTCTCACCTCCCCTAGGCCTCTCCTTCCTTGACCCCTAGGATGATGGAATACCCACTATAAACACTAGAAAATAACTCTCATTTTCCTTGCACACTGCAAACATTTTAGCCTTAAATTTCTCTCTTTGAAAATATGCATTTTTCTAGTTATAAATGTAGCATATGCTTATTATACAACATTTTTTAAGTGTAGAAAAATACAAAGAAAAACTAAAAATCATCCATTATCCCATCAACCAGAGATAACCCTTATTACCATTTTGTTATATTTCCTTTCAGCCGTTTTCCGTATAATTATTTGCATTATCTTCTAACAAAATTGGTATTACGCTAAATAAAGCTTTTGTTTTTTAAAAATAACATTATGCAATCAGCATATATCCCTTTGTATTAATAATTCTTCAAAACATGATTTTTAAGGTTCATAATATTCTACTTTATGAATGAACATAATTTTTTGACTTATGTTCTATTATCGCACATTCATGGTATTACAGTAGGTAGCTAATCAGGCATGAGAAGGACAGGAGAGGGCTCCCCCTACACCCCACCAGGAAAGTCAGGTGACCATCAGGTGATGCTCAGACCATTGTCACGCTGCCTTGCAAACCTAATAATTGGCTGTAGCCAGCACCAGGGAAAGGCAGTTTCCCAATATATAAAAACACCTGTAACTGGTGATTGGCAGCTCCCCAGTAAGATCTCAGGAATTGGGCTGGACGCAGTGGCTCACATCTGTAATCCCAGCACTTTGGGAGGCTGAGGCAGGCAGATCAGGAGGTCAGGGGTTCAAGACCAGCCTGGCCAACATAGTGAAACCCCATCTCTACTAAAAATACAAAAATTAGCCGGGCATGGTGGCGGGCGCCAATAATCCCAGCTACTCAGGAGGCAGGAAAATCACTTGAACCCAGTAGGCAGAGGTGGCAGATTGCACCACCACACTCCAGCCTGGGCGACACAGTGAGACTCTGTCTCAAAAAAAAAAAAAAAAAAAAAAAAAAAAATCTCAGGAACTGGGCGAGTGGGCTCAAGCATGGCCATTAAGAGGCAAAATGGCAGAGTTTAACTGGTATATGAGCTTCTGGGGGCATTCCAATGGAAAAGGGAAGAACGCCTCAGTTGAGCATGCGTACGACTCCAGTAAATACACTGCGCATGCTCACCTCCTAAGTTCTAGCAGGCCGCCGTGCAAGTGGGCAGCTCACCGTAAGGGAAGAATCAAGGGAAATGGGACGCAAGGTGCCGGAAGTAGGCCGGCGTAGAAAACCCAAGGCGCAGAAAAGTCCAAGGTCAAACGGGGCACTTGACCTCCAGGATGCCCACTTGGCCCTCTTCCAAGTGTTCTTTACCTTCTTCCTTCTTTCCATTCCTGCTCTAAAGCTTTTTTTTCTTTTTCTTTATCTTTTTCTTTTTTTTTTTGAGATGGAGCCTTGCTCTGTCACCCACGCTGGAGTGCAGTGGCGCGATCTCGGCTCACTGCAAGCTCCGCCTTCCGGGTTCACGCCATTCTCCTGCCTCAGCCCCCCTAGTAGCTGGGACTACAGGCATCTGCCACCACGCCCAGCTAATTTTTTGTATTTTTAGTAGAGACAAGGTTTCACCATGTTAGCCAAGACGGTCTCAAGCTCCTGACCTCGTGATCCGCCCGCCTCAGGCTCCCAAAGTGCTGAGATTACAGGCATGAGCCACCGCGCCCGGCCTCTAAAGCTTTTTAATAAACTTCCACTCCTGCTCTAAAACGTGCCTCAGTTTCTTCTTCTGTCGTATGCCCCTCAGTTGAATTCTTTCTTCCGAGGAGGCAAGAACTGAGGTTGCTGCAGACCCATACGGATTTGCTGCTGGTAACTCAGATAACTTCCACCGCTAACAATAGTGTTTCTAATTTTTCATTTAAAACTCCTTGAGGACAAAGGCTGGTCTTGATCACAGAGTCTAGAATTAACACCTGACATTTAGCAGGTATCAAATATTTGTTAAGTGAATGAGTAAATGGATGATGGTTGAATTTTCCTTTACATCTCTGGTGGTTTCCCTAGACCCCTTAGCAGAGGCTGACTGGGTAAAAGGGCATGACCATGTTTAGGGCTGCTGTCACACAGTGCCATTTAGCTTTCCAGAAAGGTTATACCAATTTCAGTTTCCATCAACATTGTATGAATACCCATCTCACCAGACTCTTGCTAGCTAGAATTGAATAGTATTATCTTTTTAGTCTTTGTAATTCTTTTTTTAATTTTTAAAATTTTTAATTTTTTGAGTACATAGTTGGTGTGTATATTTATGGGACATATGAGCTGTTTTGATACAGGCATGCAATGTAAAATAATCACATCATGGAGAATGGGGTCTTTGTAATTCTTGAAGAGTTTTAGAAAGCAAAATCCCTACTTAGAGACATGGACTTTAAAACATTAACTGGGTAAAAATATTCAGAAAACTCTTGGTAGCTACTCAAAAAATAATTTGTACTGATGCCTGGACTAAAGGGTGGTCATCAATCCGTGTGGCCACTAGTAAGTAGAGCTGTATACAATAGACATATTAAGTATTTCCATAAAATTATTTATATGTATTGAGCACTTGATAAGTATTTTTTTAGGTGAATCATTTTGTTGAATCCTCTCAACCACCTAACATTTATTATATCCATTCTACAGAAGATAAAACTGGTATTGGAAAAGGGAAAATAACTTTCTAATAAGAAGCCAATCTAAGACTCATTTGTATCCACACCAAAGTTTCTGCCCTTGTTCATTACACTAACCACCTCCAGTCAGAATAAACACAAATACCTACTGTAGTTCCACTTAACTCTAATACTCTATAACCAAGGAGATAGAAAGTATTAGTTATTCCTCTGAATAAAAATAGCTCTCAGAATATCTCATTAAGAACTGATTTATATCAAGTGACATCAGCAAAATGGCAGACTAGGTAGCTCTAAGTTCTTGTTCTCCCATGAAAACATTGAAAAAAAAAAAAAAAAGACTGGACTGGGCTTGGAGGCTCATGCCTGTAATCCCAGCACTTTGGGAGGCTGAGGCAGGTGGATCACAAAGTGAGGAGATCAAGACCATCCTGGCCAACATGGTGAAACCCTGTCTCTACTAAAAATACAAAAATAGCTGGGTATGGTGGTGCGTGCCTGTAGTCCCAGCTGCCTGGGAGGCTGAGGCAGGAGAATCGCTTGAACCTGGGAGGCGGAGGTTGCATTGAGCCAAGATCGCGCCACAGCACTCCAGCCTGGGTGATAGAGCAACACTCCATCTCAAAAAAAAAAAAAAAAAAAAAAAAAGGACAGAAACTGGCTGAACTAAACTTGTAGGAGCTCTGGAAATCAACCCAAGGTTTATAACCATTATAAACACCAAATCAAGACAAAGTCACCTTCAAAGTGGCAGGAAAATAGTTTTGTGGCTGTCTTACTTGCCCTTGCCCCACCCTCTCCCTGAAACATCAGTGGTCTTGGTTTGAAGAAGGTGGCATCTCAGGTCCTATTTCCCTTCTACCAACTAAAGAGAACAGAGCACACTTACTTATATTCCAGCCTGTCTGAGGGCAGACTAAACGACTGGTCTCTGTTTTGCCTAACTTTAATCTCAGGCAGGAAAAGAGCCAGGCACTGCTCATAAAAGCTACAGGGAGACTACAGACACATGGAAGCCTGGGGCAAGAGATTATGTATGCAGACATACAATAAATTATATAAAATCATAAGGAGAAACTGGGTAAGACTCTTTGGGAAATTAAGACATTCAAAAGCAGCTGTGGCCGGGCATAGTGGCTCACACCTGTAATCCCAACACTTTGAAAGGCTGAGGCAAGCAGATCACTTGAGCTCAGAAGTTTGAAACTGGCCTGGGCAGCATGGTGAAATGCCACCTCTACAAAAAAATATAAAAAGTAGCCAGGTGTGGTGTGTGCCTGTAGTCCCAGCCACTTGGGAGGCTGAGGTGGGAGAATGGCTTGAGACCAGGAAGGGGAGGTTGCCATGAGCTATGATGGCATCACTGAACTCCAGCCTGGGCAACAGAGCCAGACCCTGTCTCAAAAAAAGAAGAAAAAAAAGCAGCTGTGTGTATATACAGTGTAACTGAGAAAGCACCAGCCAGGCCTACACAAGATGTATACTCAGAAAAGAACTGAGAAGACTTTAAGTTTTCACCTTGGGCTGATCCCTAGGCTCAGAGTAAGCCCAGCTAATCTATGAAGAACAGCCCCAGCACAGAGTCAGTCTGCAAAGACGTGGAGAGGTAGCTGTTTTTTCCAATGCCCAATTTTTAACAACAACAACAAAAATTGCAAGGCATACAAAGAAACAGGAAAACATGGCCCATTTAAGTAAACAAAACAAATCCACAGAAACTGTCCTTGAGGAAGCCCAGCCATCAGAATTTCTAGACCAAGACCCTAAAATGATCACCTTAAATATGTTCAAAGAGCTAAAGTTAAACATGGACAAATAACTAAAGGAAATCAGGAAAATAATACATGAACAAAATGAGAATATCAACAAAAATATATAAATTATTTTTTTAAAAGAAGCAAACAGAAACTCTGAAGTTGAAAATCACAGTACCTGAAATACAAATTCACTACAGGGGTTCAGCAGTAAACTTAAGCAGGCATAAGAAACAATCAGTAAATGTGAAGATAGAACAACTGAAAGTATTGAGTCTGAGGAACAGAAAGAAAAAATATAAGGAAAAATAAACAGAGTCTAAGGGAGCTGTGGAACAGGATCAAGCCAACCAATAAACACATTTTGGGAGTTTCTGAAAGAGAAGAGAGAGAGGAAGTGGTGGAGAGATTATTTGAAGAAATAGTAGCTAAAAAGTCCCCAAATGTGATGAAATACACAAATCTACAAATCCAAGAATCCCAGTGAATACCAAGTAGGATAAACCCAAAGAGACCCACACTAAGACACATTACAACCAAACCCCAGAAAGACAAAGACAGTATCTTGGAAGCAGCAAGAGAGATACAACTCATCACATACAATGGATCTTCAACTAAGATCAGCAAAAACCTTAGAGCCCAGAAGGCAGTGGGATAATACATTTAAAGTGCTGAAAGAGAAAAAAAATTGTCAACTGAGAATTACATACCTGGCAAAACTATTCTTCAAAAATGAGGGAGAAATTAAGACATTCCAAAATAAATAAAAGTTGAGAGAGTTCATTACCAATAGGCCTGCCCTATAAGAAATGCTAAAAGGAGTCCTTCAGGTTGAAATGAAAGGACACTAGACATTAACTTGGAGCCAGATGAAGATATAAAGATCTCTAGTATAAATACACAAGCAAATATAAAAGCTAGTATTATTGTAATTATGGTTTATAATTCCTCTTTTTATTTTCCAAAGAATTTAAAAGACTAATGTATGAAAAACAATTATAGCTTTATGGTATACAGTGGATACAGATGTAATTTGTGACATCAATGACATAAAATGGGGATGGGGAATGAAGCTGTGTAGGAGTAGAGTTTTATATGCAATTGAAGTTAAGTTGATATCATTTCAAATTAGATTGTTATAACTTTAGATGCTATTTGTAGTCCCCATGGTAATCTCAAAGAAAGTATCTATAGAAAATACACCAAAGGAAATCAAAACACGTCACCACAAAGAAATCAACTAAACACAAAAGAAGACAATAATGAAAAAAAGAGGGATAAAAAAGCTATAAAATATAAAAGAAAAAATTTTAAATGTCAAAAGTAAGTCCTTCCTTATCAACAATTACTTTAAATGTAAATAGGTTAAACTCTCCAACCCAAATACACAGATCAGCAGATAATTAAAGAAAAAAAAATCCAACTGGCTGGGCACAAGGGCTTATGCTGGTAATCTCAACATTTTGGGAGGCCAAAGCAGAGGGTTCATTTGAGGCCAGAAGTTCAAGACCAGCCTGAGTAACATAGCAAGTCTCTATAAAAAATAAAATAAAAAATTTAAATTAAAAAAAGATCTAACTATATGCTATCTACAAAGACTAACTTTAGATCTGAAAATACAAATAGATTGAAAGTGAAAGGATGAAAAAAGATGTTCCATGCAAATAGTAAACAAAAGAGAGCAGGGTGGGCATACTAAAATCAGACAGAATACATTTTAAGTCAAAAACTGATGCATATCAAACATAGCTAAAGTTTATTTATTTAGATACCACTAACTGTAATAATTTATGTCAGAGGCTGGACCAAAGTAAACTCCGGCATTATCTGTGAAAAAGGTTTAAGCAAATTATCACTGTAAACTGGGGGTAGGAAGGACGTATCTCAATTAGAGATCAAAATATATATATTTTTTGAGATGGAATCTTGCTCTGTTACCAGGCTGGAGTGTAGTGGCATGATCTCGGCTCACTGCAACCTCTGCTTCCCGAGTGCAAGTGATTTTCCTGCCTCAGCCTCCCGAGTAGCTGGGACTACAGGTGCGCACCACCATGCCCAGCTAATTTTTGTATTTTTAGTAGAGACGGGGTTTCACCATGTTGGCCAGGATGGTCTCAATCTCTTGACCTCATGATTTGCCCGCCTCAGCCTCCCAAAGTGCTGGGATTACAGGCATGAGCCACCGCGCCAGCCCAAAATATTTTTAATTGCTCTTAAAAGCACTGTCATAGTTCTATCCACTTGAATTTAAATAAGAAAAGTTCTATTGAAAGTAATGGCAAAAACCACAATTACTTTTGTACTAACCTAATTATTATAAAATTATTATGCTTATTATTCTGATATTAAATGCTTTCATTAAAGGATTAAAAAAAATCTTAGTACTTAGCAACACTTTACCAGGTCCTAGAAACATATTATAAAAACAGAGTTTCTTCAGAGTTTAATTTTATAATTCCAGTATTGTATCAATTTAGGCCAAAATTCCTCCTCAAAGTTTTAAGCAGTGGCAATTACAGAATATTTAAATAGATACTAAATCTAGTTGAAAGAAGGACTAGAAAGTTTGCTTTGTTTTGTTTTGAGTTTTCTTTGTAACTGAATTTGCTTTTTAATATTTTAATTGCTAAAGTAATAATACATTTATTTTAAGAAAGTAAAAATAGTAATAATGAAGGTTTTTGAGAAAAAGTGAATAATCTTGTCCCCTTCCAGGTCTATCATCATGAATTAACACCAATGTTTACAGTGTGGAGTAAGTCTTCCAAAGGGAGGTCTTAAAAAAAAAGTTTTATAAAGAAACCAAGTCAAAAACTTCCCACAAAGAAAGCCCAGGCCCAGATGGCTTCACTGAGGAAATCTATTGACAGGTTTAAAAATAATTAACACTAGTCTTTCACAGACTTTTCCAAAAAATAGAAGATGAGGAAACACTTACCAGCTCATTCTATGAGGCCAATATTACCCTGATACCAAAAACAAAGATATCACAAGAAAGCTACAGACCATATCCATGTTGAATATAGGAGCAAAAATCCTCAATAAAAAACCAGGAATCCAAATTCAGCGACATATAAAAAGAATTATACACCACAACCAAGTGGAATTTATTACAGAAATACAAGGTTTGTTTAACTTATGAAAACCAGTCAATGTAAGACACCATTTTAATAAAAGACAAAACCATATGATCATCCCACCAGATAAAGAAAAGGCATGTGACAAGATCCCACACCTATTCACAATAAGGAAATGCTCAACAAACTATGAGTGGAAGGAAATTTTCTCAATGTGCAATGGGTATCTACCAAACCCATAGCTAAACTAACATCAAACTTAAATGGTGAAAGACTAGATGCTTTCCCCCTAAGATCAGGAACAAGAAAAGGATGTCTGCTTTCAACACTTCTATTCAACACTATACTAAAAGTTCTAGACAAGGCAACTAGTCAAGAAAAATAAAACGTATCCAGATCATAAAGGAAGAAATAAGATTATGTTTGCAGATGACATGACCTTGTATACAGACAATCCTAAGGAATCCACCTAAAAAACCTATTAGAACCAATAAACAAGTTCAACAAGGTTGCCAATTACCAAATCGATATACAAAAATCAATTGTATTTATATACACTAACAATGAACAATCTGAAAATAAAATTAAGAAAGCAATTCCATTTACAATAGCATTTAAAAGAATAAAATACTTTGGAATAAACTGAACCAAAGAAATGTACAACTTCTGCACTGGAAACTGTAACAAATTAATGAAAGAAACTGAAGGCAGCCTAAATAAATGGAAAGATATTCCATGTTCATGGATTGGAAGATTGTTTATTATGAAGATGACAATATCCGTATTGAAATCACAGCTGACTTCTCTGCAGAAATTGACAAGCTAATACTAAAATATTATATGGAAATGCAAGGGACCCAACAGCTAAAACAATCTTGAAAAAGAACACAGTTGGAGGACTCACTTTCCCAATTTCAAAACTTATTATAAGGCTACAGTAATCAAGACAGTGTGGTATTGGCCTAATTACAAAAATATAGTTCAATGGAATAGAATTGAAGACCCTGAAAAATACCTTACATTTATGGTGAAATAATTGATTTTTACAAAGGTGCCAAGACAATTCAACAACGTGGGATGGGGCCATGGGGTCAGAAATCATCTTTTCAACAAATGATTCTGAGATAACTGGATATCCACATGCAAAAGAATAAAGTTAGACCCCTATTTAACACCATATACAAAAATTAACTCAAAATGGATCAATAATTCAAATGTAGGAACTAAGACTTCAAAACTCTTAGAAAAAACTACAGCAGTAAATCTTTCTGACCTCAGGTTAGGCAATGGTTTCTTAGATATGACACCTAAAGTACAAACAATCAAATAAAAAATATATACATTTTTGACTTCATATAAATATTTTTCTACCTTAACCATTTAAAAAGTAAAAGAAAACCCACAAACAGGGAGGAAATATTTGCAAATTACATATCTGATAAGGAACTTGTGCCAAGAATATATAAACAATTCTTAAAACTCAACAATAAAGACAACTCAATTATAAATAGGCAAAGGATTTGAATAAGCATTTCTCCAGAGAAGATATACAAATGGCCAATAAACACATGAAAAATGTTCAATATCATTAGACATTGGATAAATGCAAATCAGAACCATAACAAGGTATCACTTCACACCCACTAGGATGGCTATAATTAAAAAAAGATGGACAATAACAAGTGTTGGTGAGGGTATGCAGAAATTGTAACCTTTATAAATTGCCAGTGGGAATGTTAAATGGTGCAGTCACTTTGATAAAGTTTAGCAGTTCTACCAAAAGTTAAACATTGAGTTACCATGTGACTCAGCAATTTCACTAGGTATATATCTAAGAGAATTGAAACATGTCCACACAAAAAATTGTATACAAATATTCACAGCAACATTATTCATAATAATCAAAAGGTAGCAACAAGCCAAATGTCCATAAACTGATGTATGGGTAAACAAAATGTGGTATATACATCCAGTGGAATATTATTTAGCTATAAAAAGAATTAAAGCACTAATACATGCTACAACATTGATGAACCTTGAAAACATTATGCTAAGTGAAAGAAATTAGATAAAAAGACCACATATTATATTTTTATAAAATGTATAGGCAAATCCATACAGGCAGAAAATAGATTAGTGGTTGCCAGAGAATGGAGGAAAGAGAAAACAAAGGATTGAGGACTGACTGCTAATGGGTATGAATTTTCTTTTGAGGGCAATAAAAATGTTCTGAAATTAGACAGTGGTAACATATGTACAACTTTGTGAATACAATAAAAATCACTGAACTGTACATTTTAAAAAGGTGAAATTTATATAATGTGAATTATATCTCAATACAGTTATAATTTTAAAAGTATATGGTGAAAATTAGTCTTTGAAAAAGATTTTTTTTTAAGTCAGAAGTGGTGAGGCATTTTAAAAAATAATAATTTTATGCTCTTTTCGTTTATGAGCAATGACATTGGCAGGGTGGGGTGGTGGGGAGAGACCTTTTTGTTTCTTTGAGTGCAATTACAAACTACAAGAGGAAACCAGTGGCCCACAAAATAGCTTTTGTTTCTCATTCCTTTTTTCCCATTTGGTGAATCCCTCCCTCCCTCCCTCCCTTCCTTCCTTCCCTCCTTCCCCCACTTCCTTTCTTCTTTAATTAGAAGATGAATTTTCTGTATACCCACAACACATATCCTTGAACTTGATGAGCCTACTTTTGAGTCCACAGATACCTCTTGAACAGAGAAGGAGGTAAACATTTAATAAAGAGTATATAAGAGTATCAAATAACACTTACCTATGTTCTCTAATCTCCAGTATGTCATATGAGATTTAATTACACCATCTCCATTTTCAGCTTCCACCTCAATGGTATAATTATCTGGGATCGTTATTCTTGGAAGGAAAAAAGAGCACGAAGCACGATTTTCACTTGTAGAACTATTGGTTGTACAATTATCATGTTTTTCTCCAAAAGCGCTTTGAAAGAAAAAGTGATTCAACATGAGTTTAGTACAATGGTTTGGAAACATAACCATATTTAATGTATTAAGCAGTAATTTGTTAGTTTTTCTCTGGGTTTTCTTGAGAACTGTATAGTCCAGGATATTTGGTTATCCTCTTTCCAAATTCCTTCCTCACCTCCAAGGAAAGGTAAAGGTTACCTGCTTTCTGCTGCCTGAGATGCTTTAGGAGCCATGAAAACCTCTTTGGATCCCTGTAAGTCATGAAAAGCTATAGTTGCAATGCATGTCCTATATAGCATGAAAAGCTATAGTTGCAAGAAATCATGAGTAGGTCCCTGAAAACTCCAGATTCTAGCCTTAAAAATTTATTCTTTTACATATATATGTAAAAATATATTCATATATGTAAGGATTTGTTAAATACATTATGGTAGATACATAAATAGAATGTAAGTGATGGTTTTTAACATACTGTATTTATTGATATGGAAAGATGCATCTACTGCTGGTGAAAAAAAGTAGGATGCATATCATGTATAGAATGATCACAGTTACATAAACATAAAGATATTTACATAACTTTGTGGAGATATCTAGAGAGATCATCAAAATGTTCAAGCTGTTACCCTTGGCAGTGGGATTCTGGGTAACTTTTTACATTCTTTATAATTTTTCAGGTTGAATTTTTGAACATTGGTATATATTGTTTTCAGAAAAATCTTTAAAACAGATAGATAGATGATAGATTAGATATATACTACCAAGCTGTAACTTAATGAAAACAAATACACATATTAGTGGGAATCAGATGGGTGGTTCTAGCTATAGTCCACATGGTTCTGGGGGTTGTGGAGGAGATAAAGCAGGCTGAGAACAGAAAAGAAGGCCCACCTTGCAAGGTACCAGTGTTTGCTGGTGTGTGGGAAGACATATACACATGGAATACATACAGGGAGACATAGACACATAGAATCATGGAATTTTGAAACTAGAAAGGACCTCAAGAGTGGTTGATGGTTATTTTACAGCACAAAAATGGCCTCCAGGGCAATGTGTCGTGGTTATAAGCACAGGTTCTAGAATCAGACCAGGTTTGAATCGTGGCTTTGCCCCTATTAACTGTGTGACTTGGGCAAGTTCTTTAACCTCTCTGTGCCTTAGTTTTCTCATCTGTAAAATGAAGACAGTAATATATCTGTAGCATAGGGTTATGAGGATGAAATGAGCTAATACACATAAGGCACTTTTAAAATGTCCAGCACAGAGTCAATAAATGTGAGCTGTTATTACTATAATTGTAGTTGAATATTTCTGCATTTATTCATGCTGTGACCTTTGAGAAATAAACTTTCTCTCCTTTTCCACACCTCTAGACCTCCTTTCAGCCTCAGTTCAAAAATCATTATCTCCATGAAGGCATCCCCAACTCCCCAGGAAAAATTCTTTCCTATTGTTTCTGGACATCAGAAGGTTTTTGGCTTATTCCATGACCTACTGAAAAGTGCTCCCAGGTAGGCCATCCACAGGGAAACCCTTCCACTTTGCTTGGAAGAGATCCTCTTGGTGATAAATTCACAAAAATGCAAGTGGCCTAGGAGTTCTAGACAGCCTAGCTGGCCTGAGGCCATCAAGGGGAGCTGGGTATAGGCCTGGGGATTCCCAGGTGTTTTCTATTTCTCCATGTCCAACTGGTGATAATAATAACAACCCAAAGGGAAAGATGGAGGAAGAGGGGAAATGTCTCTATAAGACAGAAAAATAGCAGTAAACCTATAAAGGTGCCCAGATTCTCATTCTACTAGCAATTGATATTCAACACTGGGACTAGAACTGACAAATCTGGAAGAAAAGTCATTTGGATCATGGGTTATTGGGCCTTTATCATGCTTATTTTCTAAAACAGGGATAAGCAAACGACAGCCTGTAGGTCAAATATAGCCCATCTCTTGATCTTGCACAGCCTGTAGGCTTAAGACTATTTACATGCTGTTAATGGTTGAAAAATAAATAAAACGAACAAAAATACTTTGGGGCGTGTGAAAATTATATAATATTCACATTTCAGTGTCCATGGATAAAGTTTCGTTGGAAAGCAGCCGCACCCATTGGTTTATATATTGCCTATAGCTGTATGAGTGCTATAACAGTAGTGTTGAAAAGTTCTGACAGAGACCGATCTCCTTCTTAATATTACTATATTTACCATCTGGCCCTTTAGAAGAGAAATTTGCTGACTCCTGTTTTAAAGCATCTCTCTGACATAGGTTCTCGTAGCTATATCAGTGCTGCTGAGAATACTGCTTGTTTTTTTCATTTCTTCCACTGAAAACATAAAGTGGACTTCCCTTGCAATGTGAGATTTAGCTTAAAAATAAAGAATTTGGAATCACAGACTGTTTTGAAATGAAAAAGACTAAAGGTCATCTTACAATGCTTCCCAACATGGGCCCCCTTATTCATTATTCACAAGAAGGAAGTAATGAGCTATGTTAAAAATTTTTGTTAAAAAGGACAGGCACGGTGGCTCATGCCTGTAATCCCAGCACTTTTGGGAGCTGAGGTGGGCGGATCACTTGAAGTCCGGAGTTCGAGACCAGCCTGGCCAACATGGTGAAACCCTGTCTCTACTAAAAATACAAAAGTTGGCCAGGTATGGTGGTGTGCACCCATAATTCCAGCTACTTGGGAGGCTGAGGCAGGAGAATCGCTTGAACCTGGGAGATGGAGGTTGTAGTGAGCTGAGATCACACCACTGCACTCCAGCCTGGGGGACAGAGTGAGATTCTGTCTCAAAAAAAAGTTTTTTTTTAACCTGCAAATATTTACTTAAAACATCTAGCTTTTGGCTAGAATAATAATTAAAAATTATAAAATTTTCATTCTACAGAATTGGAATAAAGAGGGATGCTTGAGGTAGTAAAAAAAATTGGGGAATCATTGTCCTGTGGAATAGTGTTTGACAGAGGTCACACAGCAAATTAGTGGCAGACCATGGTCAATTGCCTGTTAGTTCTGGGTTTACAACCTTACTTACTATATCTGGATCCAGAAAGAATGAACAGTTTTATATAACACATTCTGGAAAGAGGCAGGGTATAGTTGAGTGTAGTAAATAAACAGATTTTTCCACTGTGCTTATAACTGGTGACTCATCTCAGCCAATGGGGAATCCAGGAGGAGGTCAACACTGGCTATGCCTCCCCTCCCTCTGCAGCTCCAGATCCCGTCCACAAGCCACTGGCTGCACACAGTAATCACCCAGAAGCTGTCATTGAGGAAACTTTTTGCTTCATATGGGATGTGAATCATGAATGAATCAGAAGCCTCTGCCTCCCCCATGCCCTGACTGATAAAACACAAGCTCCTGTACTTACTAAGTTCTCTTAACTGTGTACTGGGTATAACTGGTTTCCTTTCCTGGACTCCAAGTGCAGGTTAAATTTTTCCTATAGTAGTAGACACAGGAAATGTTCTCAGGCTTAGCTGGCAGAGCTAAATAAATTAAACACACACACACACAAACACAAAAATTTCAGTACACAATAAATATTGCCAGCATTGAACATTTTTAATGGAAAATATGCTGATCAAAAGCTAGATTTTTTTGGTTAGTTGCTAGGTGTAACCTAGCAATCAGGTTCAATGGAAAGAATCTAACTTCATCTCTTTAATTATTCCCTTTCAAGAGCTAGATTTCTACTTTTTAAGAAATCCCTTTTTACATTCTTACTTAAATGTAACATTTGAGCAGCAAGCATTTTTAAAACACCAAGAAATACATACAAAGTATTTGTGATATACTCAGTAAAGCATCAAATGGTAGAATCACTCTGGATAATTCATGGGTAACAGATGATGTGGGCATAAGCAAGAATACAACCATGCCACACTTCAACCATATGTATCAACAATTTTCTTTTCCAGAAGATTGTACAATAGAGAAATTTATGAAATATCTTCAACTGTATCTTCATATCTTAGAAATCTTGCTCCTGAGAGCTCCCCACCCCATAGCATCCACACTTTCATAGGGAAACCAGATACTACCATCTAGAACAGGGACCTAGATCTTTAAGGGGTCCATGGGTAGAATTCAGGGGTCCATGAACTTAAATGGGGAAAATTTACATCTTTAATTTTCACTAACCTACTGTTGAAATTTAGGATTTCCTTCCATCATAAGTGTAATCAACAAACTACAGTAATAGCATCATTGCCTGTGACTTTGTCACCATTATAAATCACAAATATTTTCATATTATATTTTCGTTGCTGCAGGTACCTTAAAATATTTATATGGTTTGGTTGTGCCCCCACCCAAATCTTAACTTGAATTGTATCTCCCAGAATTCCCATGTGTTGTGGGAGGACCCAGGGGGAGGTAATTGAATCATGGAAGCTGGTTTTTCCTGTGCTATTCTCATGATAGTAAATAAGTAAATAACCCACGAGATCTGACGGGTTTATCAGGGGTTTGCGCTTTTACTTCTTTCTCATTTTCTCTTGCTGCAGCCATGTAGGAAGTGCCTTTTGCCTCCCACCATGATTCTGAGGCCTCCCCAGCCATTGGAACTGTAAGTCTAATTAAACCTCTTTTTCTTCCCAGTCTCGCGTATGTCTTTATCAGCAGCGTGAAAATGGACTAATACAAATATGAAATACTATTATCACTATTTCTGAATTAAGGTAATTATTAATATTAGACCTAAATTAAGGCAATTATTAGGTCTTCTTATTTAATGTGTTAATAAAGAAGACCACATATTACCAGATCACAAATTTGTTTCTTTAATATTTTGATGATTTCATTAATATTTTGATGATTTCATTTCAGTATATTTTGGTATCTTTGTAATGCTATTTATTTTATTTGTGCATTTACAAACATTGTTTTGAGAATCAGCCCATAGACTTCACTAGATGACCAAGGGGTTGATCCTAAACATACACACACACACACACACGCACACACACACACGCACACACACACATGCACACACACATGCACACACACGCACACAAACACACGCACACACAAACACACACACAAACACACACACAAACACACATGCGCACACACACAAACACACACAAACACACATGCACACACACATGCACACACACAAACACACATGCACACACACATGCACACACACACAAACACACACATGCACACACACACAAACACACACACACAAACACACATGCACAACTAAGAACTAAGAGCAATTTTAGACTAAGGGCCATGTTCAGCTCTGAGGCTTATACTAACTTCTTTGTTGAGCCTCTGGAAAGATCATAGTCTTAAGAAGCAGGCATTTTTGTGAGAGGAGGGCAACTTCTTAAATTACCTTTATATATCAAAGGAAGGTCTAGCGCTTCCTAGGAAGGCAGTCTCTACCAGACAAGAAGTAGGAAAAAGCTGATCACTTCTAACAAGTAAATATGGGGGCAGGGATGGGGAGGGAATGAAAGGAAGGTAAAGCAAAGAATTCTGATGTCAGTGTTCTTGATAGAGCGGTACAAACATGCGGATGGGTCCCATGCACCAAGGTCATCTGGCTGGTAGCCTATTTCACCAGGTACAGCAAGTCCGGGGGAGGTTGCCAGGCTGTAGTCTAGCAGGATTCCTCAACCGCTGGGCAAGGTACGGGTCCATGGCCTGTTAGGAACTGGGCCACACAGCAGGAGGTGAGCAGCAGGTGAGCGAGCATTACCGCCTGAGCTCCCCGCCCCCACCCCTACCCCTGCCTCAGAACAGCAGCAGCATTAGATTCTCATAGGAGCTGAACCCTACTGTGAACTGTGCTTGTGAGGGATCTAGGTTGCTCACTCCTTATGAGAATCTAACTAATGCCTGATGATATGAGGTAGAACGGTTTCATCCTGAAACCATCCCCCAACTCCCAACCCCACCCCCTGTCCATGGAAAAATTGTCTTCCATGAAACCGGTCCCTGGTGCCAAAAAGGCTAGGGACCACTAGTCTAGGGGAAGCCTCATGTTCCACTAAGCACCAACTCTATGGTGGCATGGAAGTCCTAACAATGTGCTGGCAGAGGGTGGCCTGGTGCAGCTCCTCATGTGAGCTCTATGCAGGTGAATGTAGCACACAGGGATCCAGAAATTTCCCTGTGCCCTCAAAGTCAGGGGCGAGGATACAGCTGTGAGACGGGACCAGGCCTGGGATGAGGATGAAGCAGCTTCCATTCACAGAGGAACTTCAGGACCATGGACAAACAACTGGAGCATAAGCTGTGGCCCAAAGCACAGGCAAAGCCAGCTGCCCCATGGCAGATGGCAGAGGGGGATCAGACCACACCAGACAGTTCAGGGAAGACAGAGGGCAACACAAGGACTTATTCCCACGCATCCAAGTCTGCAGTCACATAAGCCTTGCTCATATATTCAGACACAATCTTAAGGAGGAGCAGAGGGCAAGGCAGGAACCCCAAAGAGACTGAGCTAGCCAAAGACATCTTAAACCAGAAGAAATGACACAACGTTAACAAATTTAAGTGCTACCCACACCCTCCTCTTTCTCACCCTTGCCTGACTTTCCAGTGGTAAGGGGACTTTAGAAAATGACTCGTTTGATCATAGAAAATAGGGATGTTCCATTTCTCTGCACATCTGAATAATATTATATATATTTCAACTCTGTCAGAGGTATTACCCTATAACAAGAAGGTGGTGTAAAGGGGTTCCAGAATGGGTAGCATTCATTGTTTTGTTTTGTTTAGGTTTGGGATTTTAAAAGGGTTGTAAATGTGTGTGTTTGTATATACATTCATGTATTTGGTCTATGAACTGAGCATTGTCTACATGGGTAAAGGAGCCACTGAGAATGACAAATGAGGGTGAGGGAGAGCTAGATGGCTTCCTGTTGTGTCAACTTTTCTCGCTCTCTCCAGAGAAGCTGCCTTCCTCCTAGTCCTGCACATGAGCCAGGCACCCACAGCACGCATCCAACAAGCAGTTCAAAGGCTTTCTATCTTTGCTACTTGCATGCTGAAAACCATGAGGAAGCCAGTGATCTCCAGATCCAAATGCTTAAAAAGACCAAAGTTAACTGGATCTGAATCAAATAATACTGCATGTTACATAGAGATTGAAAGCTACACCATTAACACATTTCTCAAAGAGCCCACGCAGCTTGGAACCCTCCCTGAGGACTTTTGGGGTCAGCAAACAGAATGTTAACAAACCTCATGCCTCCCAACTGTCAGGAGGAAGTGCAAAGTCCTACAAGAGGTGAACCAAGGGTTAGCTTGCAACACCCAGGAGGAATAACTCACACACTGTCCCACTCACTCCCTGTCTCCATGGCTCAGAGATAAGGGCAGTGCGTGTACAGTGCATGTGTGTGTATGGGGTGTGTGTGTAGTGTGCGGTGTGTATGTCATGTGTAAAATGTGTGTGGGGTATGTGTGTGATGTGTGTGGTATGTGTAGTATGTGTGCATAGTATATGTGTGAATGGTGTGTGTGTAGAGTGTGTGTGGTATGTGTGTAGTGTGTATGTGTACGTGGTGTGTGTGTAGTGTGTGCAGGGTATGTGTGGTGTATGTGTGGTATGTGTGTAGTATGTGTGATGTGTTTATAATGCATATATAGTGTGTGTCCGCTGGAGCGTGTTGGTGTGTGCGTGTGGTCTGTGTGTGTGTGGTGTGTATGGTATGTTTATGGTGTGTGTGATGTGTTTGTGTGGTATGTGTGACATATGTGTGGTGTGTGTAGTGTGTGTGATGTGTTTATAGTGTGTGTGTAGTGTGGTGTGTGTAGTATGATTATGATGTGTGCATGGTGTGTATGATGTATATGTGCAGTATGTGTGGTGTGTGTGTGTAGTGTGGGGTGTGTGGTATGTTTGTGGTGTGTGCGTGGTGTGTGTGATGTATATGTGTGGTGTGTGTGTAGTGTGTGTGGTGTGTGTGTGTGTGTAGTGTGGTGTGTGTGATGTATATGTGTGGTGTGTGTGTGTGTGTGTGTGTCTGTGTGTATATATGTGGATCTATCCTCAGTCTCTGGCCAAGTTTCTTACAAATATTCACAAAAGGGTAGGCTGCCGCACCCCCATTTCGCTCATACTCGTCACACTAACTCGCCGGAGGATTTCAAAGTTGATTCTTGGCCAGAGAACAAGGAAACAAGAAGCCTTTCCCCATTTCCCCAGAATAGTCTTAGTCTTATATTATTCTCATTACGGCCTCCTGCAGTCATATTTTATTTTATTTCCTTTTCATTCTTGCTCTCCCTTGCGTTGGTTGAATCCAAAGCCAGCCACCAAGATATCAATGGAGGAATAGATCCTTGTGGATCTAAATACACTCCAGTCAAACCTAAGTGAATCCTGCTCTTTCCTGTTCTTCCTTAAATACCTCTCCTAAGCTTCTTCAAAAGCTTTGGTTAACATATATGAGAAGCCATAAGCTAAAAAGAGAGTTAAATATCTGTTTTTCAGAACCGTTAAGTGTCACCAGGTGTCAATGATTTTTGGAGCCACCAGGAGAAGAGTAAGTGGTTCCAAAAATGATTTTCCGCTCAACCCAGGCTGTTCTTATGAGACTACATTTGTTTTTCCCTTACTGGTTGGCACATGGTAAGAGAGAACAATAGTCTTACAAAGGCTCTCTTGATATTGGTGTTACAGAAGAGATTTGTGGTAGATAAAATGAATGCTCACCAATATTTCCAGTGCTCATCAATAGGGTGGCCATGGGATTTGCCTTGGCCTTTGCCATGTGAGAGGAAGCGTCCAAGTGATGGCGCATGACTCTCTTTTCTCTCCTCCTCCTGTTACTGCACGCCTTGAAAACGGATGCTGACATGGTGTGTGTGAGGATAGCAGAGCCCCACCAGCCTGAGCCCCTGCTTACCTGTGATGGACATGTAGTTTGCTGTTTTAAATACTAATATTTTAGGCTTGTTTATTATTACAGCATAAACAACTCTCCCTGACTAATACCTAAATAGCCTGTTCTCTCCAGTATTCTCAGACTTGGAGGAGGAATTTAACAATAGCTTTCCCTAGTTTTGTGTCCTCATGACATTTTAATTCTGCATATGAGGATTTTAGATTCATTTTATCACAGATTAGGGGGTTGAGGGAAACTGGAATAAAATTGAACCAAATCAACAATGTTAGACTTCACTTCTACTTTCTAGATTTTCTTTACCTTTTCCAGTTTCAGTTATCTGGAGTGATTCCACATAGCTGAACGACCTTGGCTGTATGTACTAGAACTGCCTTGGCTGGCAGAGCCTACACATCTGTTGTCCTGCCTTCCTCCTTGTTGGCAATCAGTGTGCCTATTTTAAGTCTTATTCAATTCTCCCTCAGAAGATTGTCACAAACATGGGTAAAATTGTGATGCACAATGAAGAACACTTCACCTCTGTTGCCTTTTTCCCCCTAAACCCAGAAATACTTGTCAGTACTCCTTAAGACTGCCACGGTCATGAATAGTAAGGAAAGACTAAGGACCTGTAACAGACCGGCAGAGACCAAGGAGACATGACAATTCAACGCAATGTGGTACCCTAAATTGGATCCTGGAATAGGAAGAAGTCATTCAGGCTGAGCATAGTGGCTCACACCTGTAATCCCAGCACTTTGGGAGGCCAAGATGGGCGGATCACGAGTTCAGGAGTTGGAGACCAGCCGGGCCAACATGGTGAAACCCCATCTCTACTAAAAATACAAAAATTAGCCAGGCATGGTGGCACACGCCTATAATCCTATCTACTCAGGAAGCTGAGGCAGGAGAATTGCTTGAACCCAGGAGGCAGAGGTTGCAGTGAGCTGAGATTGCACCACTGAACTCCACTCCAGCCAGGGCGACAGAGCGAGACTCCGTCTCAGAAAAAAAAATTAAAAATAAAGTAGAAAGAAGTCATTCATGGAAAAACTAGTGAAATCCAAATAAAATTTGGAATTTAGTCAATAGTAATGTGCCAAAATCAATTTCTTAGTTTTGGCAAATTTTTATTGTATTATAAGATAGTAACAATGGATAAACTGGATGAGGGTAGAAAGGAACTCTCTATGCTATTTTCACAGTTTTTCTATAAATCTAAAATTAGTCAAAATAGAATTTTTATTTTATAAATACAAACAACTGAAGGTTAGGCTTGCTGGTCACTCCCATCTTTCTTTCCCTATTCCCTCAAAATACGAACCATAGCAATATTCCCCTATTTCTAGAAATAAGGGGAAAAACATTCATCACTTCCTCTAAGAAAAATTGGGAGAATGTTCTTGCTTATCAGAGAATTTCCCATACGCAAGAGGAACATTTTCCAAAATTATAGAGATGTTCTCCATCTCCCTCCTTCCCTCTATACTCATATCACTTTGGTGCTGTTGCAAAGTCAGTGTTTTGAAAAATATCTTGACATAGAAGAGCAAGGCTGAGCAGGACCAAGGGAAGGATATTCTAGATGAAAAGAATGGTGGATATTGGAGCCAGTTTTGTAGGAGCTGGTATATGTACAACATAGGAAGAGTGGAAAACAGAGATAGAAGACAGAAAAAGACAAGTGGAGGGAAAGGGTGACTTGATAGGAGCCACAGTGTCTGTAATTAGAAGTTTAGATTAGATAACTGGGAGCAATTGCTGATGAGAGGGAGAGCAATAGTCCTGCCTGCCTGTATCATCTATTTTCTATCACAGCAGTCCCCTACATTTTGGCACCAGGGACCAGTTTTGTGGAAGATAATTTTTCCATGGACCTGGGGTACGGATGGTTTCGGGATGAAACTGTTTCACCTCAGATCATCAGGCATTAGATTATCATAAGGAGCACACAACCTATTAATAGATCCCTCATATGCACAGTTCACAATAGGGTTCGTGCTCCCATGAGAATCTCATGCCGCTGCTGATTTGACAGGAGGCGGAGCTCAGGCAGTAACTCTGGCTCACCAGCAGCTCATCTCCTGCTGTGTGGCCCAGTTCCTAACATGGTCTGCAGCCTGGGGGTTGGGGACCCCTGGTCTATCAAGCTCCTGAGTGCCACAGGTGTAACCCCAAGGGGCTAAGGCAGGCCATGCCAGGACAGAAGTCTGAAGGCATTCTCATTATCTCTGGGTCATGACTGCCCTCTTGGTGACCCCAATTAGTACATGTTATAGGCTAAATTATGTCTCTCCAAAATTCACATAATGAAGTCCTAACCCCCAGTACCTCAAAATGTGATTATATTTGGAGATAGAGCACTTGAAGAGGTAATTAAGTTAAAATGGGACCATTATGATGGGCCCTAATCCAATCTGACTGGCATCCTTAGGAGGAGGAGAGACACCAGGGTTGTGTGGGCACAGAGGGATGACCATGTGAAGAGGCAGCAAAAGGAAGGCCACCTGCAAACCAGCCCTGCTGCCACCTTGACACTGGACTTCCAGCCTCCAGAACCGTGAGAAAATAAATTTCTGTTGCTTAAGCCACCCAGTCTGAGGTATTTTGTTATGGCAGCCCAAGCACACGAATACGCTACATGACGCCTTCCCCACCTTCCCACTACCAGACCAGTGTCTCTGCTCTTAATATTGTTTTAAACTTAAGATATAATCAAACAAATGGATCTTAGATCTACAAGCTATTGTATGGATATCAGGCCTGTAGTCTTGAGTTGGAACACTATAGAAATGTTGTTTCATTATTTCCCTTTATGGCAAATAGTATGAAAACTGCTTATTTTTGTATTTATGTATGTGTATTATATGAAGCCATAACAACAACACAAAAACTATGGAGATAAGCACTTCCTATTATAGTAGTTCCCTCTTATCTATGGTTTTACTTTCTGTAGTTTCAGTTACTAGTGATCAACGCCATCTGAAAATGGGTGAGTGCAGTACAATGAGATATTTAGAGAGAGAGAGACCACATTCACATAACATTTTTTTTTTTTTTGAGACAAGGTCTTGCTCTGGCCCAGGCTGGAGTGCCGTGGCACAATCTAGGCTCACTGCAACCTCCGCCTCCCAGGTTCAAGTGATCTTCCCACCTCAGCCTCCCAAGTAGCTGGGATTACAAGCGTGAGCCACCATACTCGGTTAATTTTTGTATTTTTAGTAGAGACGGGGTTTTACCATGTTGGTCAGGCTGCTCTCGAACTCCTGACCTCAAAAAATCTGCCCGCCTCAGCCTCCCAAAGTGCTGGGATTACAGGCATGAGCCACTGTGCCAGACCTCACCTAACTTTTATTATAGTAAATTGTTTTAATGGCTCCATTTTATTATTAGTTATTGTTTTAATCTCTTCATGCCTAAATGTACCTAAACTTCATCATAGGTATATATGTGAAGGAAAAATGTACTATATATAGGGTTTGGTACTATCCACAGTTTCAGGCATCCACTGAGGATCTTGGAACATATTCCCCCACAGATAAGGAGAGACTACTATATTCTAAAACAGTAGATCTCAGCATTTTGGGGGTTGTATCTCCCTTTGAAAATATGGTAAGCCATCTTGCCACATTTGCACATGCATGAGTATATGTGAAATTGCATGCATGTGTGCACACACAGACACACACACAAATTCAGGGTGTTCACAAGTCCCCTTTTCTATCTGTGGATGTCCATAATCCAGGTGTCGCTTTAAAGTTAACAACTCTTGTCCAAAGAAGGCAATAATAATCACATGATCTGTAAAAGGGCCCAGGTCAACCTACCTGCCAGGCTGAATTTGCAGAGTGAGGGGAGCATCCACAGTGCCCAGGTCCACATCATCCCCAGGTTAACACATGAAGGCTGGGGAGAGAGCTGAAAATGACATCAGTCAAGAGTTGGTTTGCTTCATATCTCTTTTCAAAAGCTCTATTTCCAATGGCAAATAGATTCTGGGGATTTTGGAAGGAGGAAGGATCCTATTTTATTTTATTTGTTGACTATCATCACCTAGATCCTTCATAATTACTCCATCAACCCCAGTCAACATTTTAAAGATTTGCAATTACAACACGTTTTCCTTTCGTCCATCGTCTACTCCACTATGTCTTATGAAAAGTATACCAACTACCAAGAATGTGCTCCAGAAAAAAAAATGAGTATGTGCAGCTATGAGGCCATCCTCTGGCCCTTGCCTCAGTGCCTAGGCCCTCCAGCCAAATGGAACAACTCACAGTTTTGCCAAGCACCACGCTATCTCACATCTCCATGCTCTATGCATGCCCACAGTGCTCCTTTCCCCTTATTTCTGACAAATTAATCACCTTTCCAGACTCATTTCAAGGCTCTCCTTCCCTAAGACGCCCTCTCTGAATTCCCGCATGGAGATGCCAGTTGGTCCCTCCTTTGTGCCCCATGCCCCACTATATCATGTGTCCTACAGCATCTGCCACAAGAATGGTGGTCAGCAATTTACCTGACGGCTTCCCTACATACAGGGACCTTCTTAAGAGTGGAACCTCTCTTCTTCCTCTTTGAAGCCTTGGTATCTAAGGCAGTGCCTGGTACCTGGTAGACAATACTGTTTGTGGCATTTACTTGTTTATTGGAACAAAAAGAATGCTGGCTCTTCATCTCATCTAAGATGAAATGGTGGGATAGTCTAAGAATAAAGCAAATGTAAAACCAGTAATTCATTTCAGGAAGAAATAAATGATGTTACATTTTCATCTGCCAGATCATTATAGAAAAAAAAAAGAAAAGGGTTCTTTACAAAATAAGTTACTTTAGAAAAATGTGCATGCAGGATTTCTGGAGAAAATTAGAGGGATAACATTTTCTCACATATGAACCAACTGAAATCCTTAGCGAATTGGAACTGCCTAAGATAATAAAGATAGCCATTTTGATTTAAATGGGTATATAACTCAAAGGGAAACATTTCAATTTTTCAATGAAGAAAAAAGGTGTCTTTAAAAATAACTATAACACTAAGAACATTCTTTTTGTGTCTAATTATTCAGAATGTTGTCTTAATCTTCTCCATCTGTTAAGAAGAAGACACGCCTTTAGTCCTAGCTCACATTATTTACAAGTCCTAAAAGCACATTAAAAAGGAAGGCTATGAAAGCCAAGATGCTGGCAGTCTTAATAAGTGAATCAATGAATAATAATAGATGCTAAAACTAAAATTGCTATTCTGACAAGCGGTTTTGCATTTAAAATCCTATCAATATTAAATGTTGAATAAAATATTAAAATATTTTTAAGTTAATGGTAATTATTGCTTGACTCCTTTACAATAAAAATACTCAGCTATTATTTGTGAAATTTAAAAAAAAAACCTTAGAAAAAAATCAGCAGTACTAAATCATCCCAGAGACAAAACTGGAAAAGTTACAGTAGTTGAAAAGTGTAGCATTCTAGAAATTGAGACTGCCTGAGTTGTGGTCCTGGCCCTCTCACAAACAAACTGGTGACCTCAGGCATTCTTCTATGTGTTCAGCACTGTCCCAGCCATGTGTTAGGTGGTTGGAATCAAAGAAGAGCACATCTCTGACCTCAAAGAGCTCATATTCTAGTTCAGTGATTTTTAACAAAGGGAAGGGAGAAAAGGATGGAGAGGATAGCAGGAATATTTTTGGAAACTACCAATTTCAGAGTGAACTGCTGTTACTGAGGACTCTCATGTCATATTTCTGCAGTAGGTTTGAACAGAAATGGGTTAAGAACCACTGGTCCACTTGCAGAGACAGAAGCCTGGATAGTAGTCTCATATATCACATAGTAAGTATAGTTACAATAGTGAAATGAGCGCAAAGAGCATCTAAAAAGAGAAATGAGCTAATGACTGTGGGAAGTCAACAAGCCTTGCCATTAGGATGAAATCTCTCATTCTAATACTTGCTTGTCCTCCACAGCCTTTCCCACATTCTCCTCTCACCACAAAAAGGACTGCTTGCTGGTAAAAAATGTGAACAAAGGCTGGGCGCAGTGGCTCACAACATGTAATCCCAAGACTTTGGGAGGCTGAGGTGGGCGGATCACTTGAGGTCAGGAGTTCAAGACCAGCCTGAGCAACATGGTGATACCCCATCTCTACAAAACACACAATAAAATCAGCCGGGTATGGTGGCATGTGCCTGTAGTCTCAGCTATTTGGGAGGCTAAGATGGGAGGCTGGCTTGAGCCTGGGAGGTTGAGGCTGCAGTGAACTGTGATCTCATGACTGCACTTCAGCCTGGGTGACAGAGCCAGATGCTGTCTCAAAAAAGAAAAAAAAAAAATGCAAAAAGGTGAGATGCCTCCCAGGGGCTTAGAAATAAGTCCAGTAGAGAGTTCAAGGTGATCCTGGTTATCTGTGGTGGGTAGATGTGCAGTTGATAAGCTTGAGTTCATTCAGGACTCCAGCCAAAGAAACCTGTGTATAATCTCAAAGAGTTGGATTTGGAAAACCTTCATTATCATTTAGTTGCGGGAATCTACTCAACTAATTGTATCCTAAACAGAAGACTTTGAGGAAAGAAAGGAGAGGTCACCTTAGAATGTAAAATATTGATGGTTAAAAAAGACAGAAGTTGGCAGTTTTTATCCAGTACTATCTACGAAAGGAAATTATGAAATTTCCTGTCACTGGAGCGAAAGACTCTGACAGGGCAGCCACAAGACCTCACCATGAACCTGATGAAAGATACTTCAAAACCCCGAATCTCCCTTTCTGATTGCTCTGATTCTCTGATGCCCTCTCTGATTACTAATTTAACGGAAGAAGGCCCTGAACAAAGAATATGAGCCTTCCAGGCATTAGAAAGACTATTTCTTATTGGTTTCAATATATCAGTCTCTTGAAGACTTAAATGAGGTGAATCAGCCTCCCCAAATCTGGGCCATAAGAAATTCCCAAAGATTCTGCTGTGCTCTTGAGGAGAGCCATCAATCATTTCCTGCATCCCTGGGTCATCAGCCTTAACTTTGAAATGCAGCAGTTTTGAATAACTGGTCTTCAAAAAGGGGTCATTTCCTAGAAACAATCTCACATTGGTGGGATCTCATTTGAGTACAGCATTTAGCAGAGCTCTATAAAATCTTCCAACAACACTACAAATATGCCATATTGAACTAAAAGACTCTTAGAATATACAGTGATGCCACTTAAGTAACTAGTGGTGTCCTATGCTTAAAGATGTTGGCCAGGCGTGGTGGCTCATGCCTGTAATCCCAGCACTTTGGGAGGCCAAGGCAGGCAGATCACTTGAGGTCAGAAGTTTGAGACCAGCCTGGCCAGTATGGCAAAACCCCATCTGAACGAAAAATACAAAAATTAGCTGGGCAAGGTAGCCCAAACTTGTAATCCTAGCTACTCAGGAGGCTAAGGCAGGAGAATTGCTTGAACTCAAAAGGCAGAGGTTACAGTGAGCAGAGGTTGTGCCACTGCACCCCAGCCTGGGTTACAGACCAAGGCTCCATCTTAAAACAAACAAACAAACAACAACAAAACCAACAACAAAAGAGATGTAAACCTAGTAGCAGCTACTGTTTGGAGTAGAACGACTGCAAACAAATCTAAGCACTTATTACTGACTACCAGCAGTGGCTGGGAACACAGCGAGAAGAAAGCAAAGATGGAAGCTACTGCCTCTGCTGGGAAACGCTACACATTTCAGCATGTTAAATTATCCCTGCCTCCCCACATCCTGTCTCACAGGACCAAAGCAAAGGAAATAGAGTGTGGCTGTTTTACTCCCACGCAATCCCCCATAAAATGGATACTTCACAGGGTGCTCTTTGGCCATTCAGCTCCCACTCAAGGCTGTGTCCTGGGTGCTGAGCTTCATCTCATTTCACTTGTACAAGAATGTACCACTACGTGATTTTCCCAGGGCTTGCCTTCCTTTGGTTCATTCATTCATACATTCACTCAGCTACTATTTGTTGATTCTCATTCTGTGCCAAACACTATCTCCTGCAGTATAGAACTGGGTTTTTAAAGAATGGCAAACCAGGAGTTCAAGACTAGTCTGGGCAACATAGCAAGACTCTGTCTCTAAAAATATATATATATATATATTTTAAATTATCTGAGTGTCATGGTGCACACCTGTAGTCCTAGCTACACAGGAGGTTGAGGTGGGACAATGCTTGGGCCCAGGAGTTTGAAGCTGCAATGAGCTATGATCACACCACTGCACTCCAGCCTGGGCAGCAGAGTGAGACTGTCTCAAATAAAAAAATAAAAAATGGCAAAGAAGAGGGAGTAACTTCTAGGGCCAGCACTATGGCCATAAGTTCAAGCACCTGCAGACTCATAACACTGAGAGGGAGGTAGTCAAGCGATGCACTGCTCAGCCTCTCTCAGTGCCTCAGAATTCCTCAAGACCCACAGGACTTGGTTTATACTTTCACTGATCAAGTAGAAGGGTGCCCTGTTCTCAGTCTCTTTTAAATGTTTATTTGGAGCTTGCAGTAATGATAATAGTCGCAGTAATAATGGCCTTAGATTTACAAGCACTTTCATGTATACTATCTCCTTAGATTCTTGTCACCCTTCAGGTAAATGAGACAGATATTTTTATATTTTCTATTTATATATTTTATATTTATAGTTGCATATTTTATATTTTATTTCTTTTTTTTTTTCTGGAGACGGGGTCTCACTCTGTGACCCAGACTGGAGTGCAGTGGTGCAGTCTCGGTTCACTGCAACCTCTGCCTCGCGGGTTCAAGTGATTCTCCTGCCTCAGCCTCCCAAGTAGCTGGGACTACAGGTGCCTGCCAACAGGCCCAGGTAATTTTTGTATTTTTAGTAGAGACAGAGTTTCGCCATGTTGGCCAGGCTGGTCTCAAACTTCTGACCTCAGGTGATCCACCTGCCTCGACCTCCCAAAGTGGTGGGATTACAGGTGTGAGCCACTTTGCCCGGCCTGCATATTTTAAATTTTATTTCTATATTATGTTTTAGGTTAAATCAAATGAAATTGCTATTTTTATTAAGTCAAAAACAGTTAAATCTTGGCAATTTCAGCCTAATAAAATAATGACATCCTTACTTTTTGGATGAGGATATTGATTATATATACATTGCCCAAGATGAGATTGCGAGCTGTCAGATGACTACCTCCAGTTTCAAAGTCTATAAATCCATTTGGGTTGTGGGCTGCCTTCATTTAAAGAACATTCTGAGACAGCCAGTAGTGAGACTGGCAAAAGCACTATCATGTTGGAACAGTGACAGCCTGCAAAGTGCTAACTACACTATACAAATTACATCCTGTACTTCTAAAAATCCGTGTAGGGTTTGTATTACTCATCTCTAGTTTACGGATATGGAATCTGAGGCCAAGAGATATCATGTAAATTGTCCAAAAATAATAGTTTGTAAGCAGCATAAATGAGATTCAAACTCACGACTGTCTTATTCCAAACCTGGACTCTTTCCACTAAAATCATGTGGTAGCTATTAGTGATTTACTCTCTCTCAGCTCTCCTGCCATGAAATACCAGTACACACAAGGATTTTCCTCTGAATCCTCTAGGTCTAATTTTCTCTAGCCTAGAGTTTCCTGAAAGATAAATCCATTATTTCAGATATTTTCCCCAATCCTTCACCTCTAACACTCATGATTCTCCATTCTGATCTCAGCATTTTAAAATATTGCCTGCCAAAAGATTAGATTCCCTTAACTATCAACAACCAGTTCAAGGAGAAATTCACGTGGTGGGTCTGACCCATAATTTCACTGAAGAAAACAGAAAAAGACTTTTATAAAGTAGAAAAAGATGATCAAACTATCACTCTTCTAAATGAATTAGCACTCACCTTCATGTATCAGGGGATGTTCCACAGATGTTCTGCTGGCTCAAAGGATTTGCATCAAAGGCAACTCCACCTCCCACAGCACAAGTCAGGACAGGAAGAACAATCTGGACTTTAATTTATCCACACTAAGATGTGGGAGTGTTTCCACTCTGATTGTCTGCGAGCTTTTCTTGTGCTTTTAAGCCCAGCCCAAGTCAAAGTGGCACTTACCCACTTATGCTGGGAAATGGATTGCATTATTGTTAACTAAAAACAAAAGCAAAAACAAAAACACTCAACTCTACAAAAAAAAAGGATCATCTGAAAGACCAGAAACAACTAAAAGAAGTGACTAACTTTTAAATTTTCTCTTCAGGAAGTCCTTACAAATGTGGTAATAGCTGAAACAGTGAGAGTATCTTTAGCTTGAAATGAGAAATACGCAATCATGTTAACTGTCTTTAGACAATGAAGGAGATGAAGGAAAGAAAATAATGGTAGCTGACTCCAAAAAGAGGCTTACAAATTCTTATTTACGTCTAAAGGAAAACATACTGAACTGAGAAACCAGAGCTTCAGTTTAGCCACTAGTAATAATCATCATTAATAATTTGTGGAGCTCTTACTGTGTGTCAGGCATAGTACTAAGAACTTCACATTAATTATCTCTTTTAATCTTCACAACAATCCTATAACATCAGGAGTATTTTTATTCCCACTTTATAGGCAAGGAAACTGAGGTCAAAACAGTAAGCAACATGTCCTACATGGGTGGTGGAGCCAAGACTTGAACCAAGGCAGCCTGACTCTCAGTTTCCTAGCAATCAAAGGTTCAAATTAGATTATTTCTAGGATCCCTTCTAGTACCACAATTTTGCAACCGTTTGTAATGGACTGACAAAACCACGAGAAATAAATAGACCGGGGAAGAGATTATGATGCAAAAGGAAAGAAAACTAAGTTTTAAAACAAGCTATGCTTTCCAGCCCCACATTTTAATTTTTAACCCATTCCCCATCTTCCTTAGGCAATGTTCCACTAAGTAGGAGGAATAAGGGTGAGAAAGAGAGCTAGTCTTTTACCTAGAAGATTATAATTATGAGATATTTAAAATTCCAGCCAGGCGTGGTGGCTCACGCCTGTAATCCCAGCACTTTGGGAGGCTGAGGCAGGTGGATCACCTGATGTCAGGAGTTTGAGACCAGCCTGACCAACATGGCAAAACCCCATCTCTACTAAAAATACAAAAAAATTAGTCAGGCATGGTGGCAGGCACCTGTAATCCCAGCTACTCGGGAGGCTGAGGCAGGAGAATCGCTTGAACCCGGGAGGCAGAGGTTGCAGTGAGCCAAGATCGTGCCATTGTACTCCAACCTGGCGACAAGAGTGAAACTCTGTCTCAAAAAATAAATAAAATAAAATAAAATAAAATTCCATTATAATATACTATAGAGAAAAGCTAAATGCTAGCACAAAAATAGCAAGCATTTCTTGAATTTATTCAACCAATACTTAGTAAACACCTATTACATGCATAACAGCTCACTAAAGGTGTTGTGTATTAAATAGAATTCTGGTTAAGACAAGACCAATTGAGCATATACATTTATCTCTACTCTCTCAGGAAACTCCACAAAAATTATGGCAAAGATATAGAACCACAAGACAAAACAAATGGGAAGAGGCAACAGCAAATAAGAGATGTCAACAAATCTTTGGAAAAAGAGAAATGAATCAAGCCATAACTGAACTGGTAAAGATGAGAAAGCAGAAACCTAGAAATGCCTAATAAGGTTGCCAACAATAAGCAAACATAATTATGCCACGGAATCTCATACGGCTCAGGATTTGAGACACTAGGTAGGTAAAATCAACCCTCATTACTCACAGCTTCCTTATTTGTGAATTCACCTACTTGCTAGGAATTATTTGTAACCCCCCAAATCAATACTCACAATGTTTTGCGGACATTCACAGACACATGCCGTGGTGAAAAACTTGAGTTGCCTGATGCACATTCCCAGCTGAGGTGGAACAAGCTGACACTCTGCCTTCCTGTCTCAATTTTCATACTGCACACACATGTCTTTTCATGGTCTATTTAGTGCCATGCTGGTTATTACTATTTTTTTTTGCAATTTTTTGCCTTTTATGAGTGATTTTGCTGTTTCGAATGCCCCCCAAGCAGAGTGCTGGAGTGCTGTCTGGTGTTCCTAAGCAGAAGGAGGCTGTGCCTCATGGAGAAAATATGTGTGTTAAATAAGCTCTATTCAGGCATGAGTCATAGTACTGTTATTAGCCATGAGTTCAATGTTGATGAATCAACAATGTATATTAAATAAGGTGTCTTTAAACAGAAACACACACAAAACAAGGTTATGTATTGATTAGCTGACAAAAATGTTGTGACCAGAGGCTCACAGGCACCTAACTCTATATTTCCCCCACAGAGAATAATTCAGTATTTTCTTTTTTTCTTTTTTTTTTTCTTCTGAGACAGAGTTTCGCTCTTGTTGCTTAGGCTGGAGTGCAATTGCGCCATCTCAGCTCACCGCAACCTCCACCTCCCGGGTTGAAGTGATTCTCCTGCCTCAGGCCAGCCTCCCATGTAGCTGGGATTACAGGCATGCGCCACCAAGCCCAGCTGATTTTGTATTTTTAGTAGAGACGGGGTTTCTCCATGTTGTTCAGGCTGGTCTCAAACTCCTGACCTCAGGTGATCCACCTGCCTCGGCCTCCCAAAGTGCTGGGATTACAGGCATGAGCCACCACGCTCAGCAGTATTTTCTAATTCAGTGTTTGTGGCGATTTTATTGAACATAATTGCCAGGAATAATGAAGGAATAATGAGAATTGACTATACCTCTGAAACAAAAATCATAAGATTGGTTGAAAATCTGAAAAAGAAATAGACTACCTAATCCTAACCCCACAAAGCCAAATTCATTAAATTTCTCCCATCCCAACAGCAGATGGGGGGAAAAAACTTGAAAGAAAGGCAATGCAGAAAGCAGAATATTTTTTAAAAGAAATATTAGTTAAACCTTCATAGAAAATAAGAAAAAATGTTGTACCCACAAAATATGAATAGGATGCTATGATAAAGGCATAATTAGAGAACAAGAACTCTTGGAGATTCAAAATATGAGAGCTGAAGTCTAAAGACTAGAAAATAAAGTTGAGGAAATCTTCCAGAAGATAGAAGAAAAGACAAAGAGATGAAGAATAGCCAACATCTGACTACCAGCAGTACAGAAGCACAGAACAGAGGAATGGAGGGAAAGAAATAATGAGAGAAGTGATACAATAAAATTCCCAAGAATTGAGGAACATTTGTTTCCAGATTGAAAGGGCCCACTGTAAACAGCATAATAAATGAAAATAAATCTACACTGAAGTACAAAACAGTGAAGTTTCAGAATATCAAGAATAAACAGAAAAAAAATGTTTCCAGATAGGAAAAAAATAAGTCACATACAAAGGATCAAGGATGAGAATGGCTTTAGACTTAATAACAAAACCAGAAGTTAGAAAGCAATGGATCAATTCCTTTATAACTCTATTGGAAAATTATTTCTCACCTAGGATGCTCTACCCATCCAAATGATCCATCAGAAAGAAAGGTAAAACAACGTTCTTGAAACTGCATTTTCCAACATGCCAAGTTTCAAGAACTTTATCTCCCATGTGACCATTTTCGAGATGTTATTGAAAAAAGTGACTACAAAAACAAGAGCATAAGCCAAAACAAAAAGGAAAAATGGGCTCCCAAAAACAGCAAATTTCAAATAGAAGAGAGAGAATTCCAAGAATGGTGGCCAAGGGAGATCCCAAGATGATAAGAGTACAACAGGCTTGGAGAGCAACTAGCCCAAGTGAGTGGCAGACGCCAGGCTCAAGGAGGGATATTTCCAATGAAAAAATACATGGAGGGGACCCAATGGATCTGACAGATGTTGAAACTTGAAAAGTTTTGCAGCACTCTTAGAAAGTTTGGAGAAGGATGAGTAATCGGCTCAGTAAGTTAAGGAAACCAAAAAATGGCATAATTATTAATTCCAGGAAAAAGAAAATGTTATATAAGAAAATATATTTAAAGTCCAATATGTGGCTCAGCTATGAATAACTATAGAGTCACAACAATGAAAACATTAATGGATTTAACAAAAGTTATAACTATATTGAAAGAATGGGGTTAGGAAAGGATGCACATATGTGTGTGTTTGTGTATAGAATTGGTAAGAGACTTCAGTCTTTATCTTCCATAGTTAGTAAGAAGTCAATAGATAATGTCTAAAATTGAAAAAAAAATTAAATTGCAGTATAAACATGTTCTTTATAGATATGGAAATAAACCCCAGAAAAAAAAAAAGCTAAAAGAAATGAAAGTGATTTTTTCTGTGAAGAAAGTTTGGCAATGGGAAGGGATATAGCACTGTATTGCTGTTATTCGTGGTAAGTCTTAGAGTGCCACTTGAATGTTTAAACTATGTATATGTATTACTTTGATAAAATGTAAAATTATATTTTAAAAGTGAATTAATAGGTGAATTAACAAGTGCTCTCCCCATGAAGGGAAATAGATGTCATTCTCAGTCTGACACCTCAACCATTTCCTCCTAGGAGGAGCAATGTGATTTGTTGGGTGGTTAGAGAGTCTAGATGAGAGGTCTTTTGTTTACTTGTTTCATTTTTTTCTTTCTTTATTCCTTGTTTGTTTTGAAAATAAGAAAGTCATAGAAAGAGAGTTCTAAGATAGATAAATGGATTGACGGATGGATAGTGTTTCCCATTTGAAGTGGGCTTTGAGTTGCAGCCCCTGAGGCAGCCCCCCCATCTCACACCTTGTTAGTGGAAAACATAGTAAAAGCATTTTAGATGCCTTTAATCCGGGAATTCCACTTTTAGATATTTATCTAAAAGAAATAATCATGGAGTTTTCCAGAGATATAACATCAAGGATGGTCATCATGGCAATGCTTATAAAAACCAAAACAGATAAATTGTAATTTGTTTTAAAACCCAGAGCTTTTTGGAGAAAAGGTTGATTTCAGGACTTGGGCAACGAAAATACAAAATGTGCCTGGAGTATCTTGTAGTACCAGATAGTAAGGAAATGTTGAAAAAGCAAAAGGATAGAGCATGTCAAAGGGACACAGGAACCAATCTGAAAGAACTTCCAGCCAAAGCCAGAACAATTTGAGCAAAAAAGTGAATAATGTATACTGGATTATAATTCAAAGTATAAAATAAATATACATTACTTCATATTAATATTAATAAATGATTGCATAAATAAATGTGGAAGAAGAGACTAATTTTCCTTATAGAAAAATTCTAAGTGATCTGTAGATACTGCTATCTTTAAGAAGTGAATGAAGTTTAATTCCCTCTCTTCTCCCACCTTCAGGGTATGCTAGACTTGATGACTCACTTCCAAAGAACAGAGTTGGGAAAGACAAAAAGCGTATTTTACAGTGGAGAAACCTGGCAAACACTACCTTAACCAATTAATGAAAGTTAGCATCACCAGTGATGTTATATAGATATAACCAATCCCTGATATAATGTGACAAGAAAGGTATTTCATCTTTGTGGTTTCTTTCCAAAAACCCACAAGCCCAGTCTAGTAATGAGGAAAACATCAGAAAAACCCAAGTTTGAGGACATTTTACAGAATATCTAGTCAACACTCTTCAAAACCATCAGGGTCATGAAAACCAAGGAAAGACTGAGAAACTGTCACAGACCAGAGGAGATTGGAAAGATATGATGACTCAATGTAATATGGTAGCTTGCATTGGATCCTGGAACAGAAAAAGGACATTAATGGAAAAACTGGTGAAATCCAAATAGAAGCCTAGAGTTTGGCTAATAGTAATGTACCATTCATGATCTGGTTTTTAGTTTTGACAAATGTACCATAATAATATAAAATGTTGCCAATGGGGAAAACAGTAAGGGGTATTCAGGAACTCTGCATTATCTTTGCAACTTTTTTTGGCGGGGGACAGAGTCTTGCTGTGTCACCCAGGCTGGAGTGTAGTGGTGCGATCTTGGCTCACTGCAACTTCCGCCTCCTGGGTTCAAGTGATTCTCCTGTCTCAGCCTCCAGAATAGCTGGGATTACAGGAGTGCACCACCACGCCCACCTAATTTTTGTATTTTTAGTAGAGACAGGGTTTCACCATGGTGGCCAGGCTGGTCTTCAAGTAATCCATCGGCCTTGGCTTCCCAAAGTGCTGGGATTACAGGTGTGAGCCACTGCGCCCAGCCCTATCTTTGCAACTTTTCTTTTCTTTTTATTTATTTATTTATTTATTTATTTATTTATTTATTTATTTTTATTTTTTTTTTTTTTTCTGTTGCCCAGGCTGGAGTGCAGTGGCATGATCTCGGCTCACCACAACCTCCACCTCCCGGGTTCAAGTGATTCTCCTGCCTCAGCCTCTCAAGTAGCTGGGACTACAGGTGCACACCACCATGCCCAGCTAATTTTTGTATTTTTAGTAGAGATGGGATTTCACTATGTTGGCCAGGCTGGTCTCAAACTCCTGACCTCATGATCCACCTGCCTCAGCCTCCCAAAGTGCTGGGATTACAGGTGTGAGCCACCATGTCTGGCTAACAACTTTTCTATAAATCTAAATTTATTCCAAAATAAAAAGTTTATTTTTAAATTCCAGAAAGTATAATAGGGCACCTGCTTGAGCACACAGGTTTACCCAGAGTACTGGTATTAGTGTTCAAAATCAGAGAATATTTTGTAACATCATAAAATATAGATTCTTTTTTCCAAGATGGAGTCTTGCTCTGTCACCCAGGCTGGAGTGCAGTGGCATGATCTTGGCTCACTGAACTTTGCCCGGGTTCAAGCGAGTCTCCTGTTTCAGCCTCCCAAGTAGCTGAGATTACAGGCGCACGACACCAAGCTTGGCTAATTTTTGTATTTTTAGTAGAGACGGAGTTTCACCATGTTGGCCAGGCTGGTCTCGAACTCCTGACCTCGTGATCCGCCCACCTCAGAATTTTAAAGCTAGAAGGAGACTTAGAAATGAGTCTGCACCCTTCACTTTTATAGATGAGAAAACTCAGTCTCTGATTTGCCCAAGGTAACATCATTAGCAGCAGAGCCAAGATTAGAATTTATCCAGGTCTTAACATTCCCAGTTAAAATGTACAGAAATATTATGGGGTCAATTCCTATTTTGGAAAGGCAGAGAACCAAACAATACGCATCAGAATATAAAAGTTAAGAAATCATTATGCCTTCAATATTTACAGCTGGGACTTCCAGGTTCTGGTTCCCCATGTAAGGAGCTTAAATGGCATAAATCTGTCCTAACAACAAGTAAAAAGCTAAACAAACTGAAAATCAACAATTCTTCTTAGATCCATCAGAGAAGTGAGGTCACAGGACAAACCACTGTCCCCAAAATTGGAGAGACAGACAGGTGGATATACAGAGAATCACAGCTCCCCAGAACACAAACTCATTTCCACAGGAACCAGTACCAGGGTAGGAAAACCTGAATTATCATTGTTAAATCACTCAAGGCTCAGTGTGGACAAGTATAAGAGTCAAAAACTCCAGGGAGCCCGAGTCATAAAGAGGCCCTCATACTTTGTGAGTTTTACCTACAGGAGCTCGTATAAGAACCACCAAATTCTCATAGCAAAGATTAGAGAAAAATAGCAGGTAGCAGAGGGACAGAGGGGAGTAACCATTTTGAAATATACTAGAGCATTTCGTTCTTCTTAACAAGGCCTGCTGTATTAGTCCGTTCTCACACTGCTATGAAGAAACACCCGAGACTGGGTAATTTATAATGGAAAGAGGTTTCCTTTATAAATTCCACATGGCTCAGGGAGGTCTCAGGAAACTTACAATCATGGCGGAAGGAAAAGGAGAAGTAGGCACCTTCTTCACAGGGCAACAGGATGGAATGGGTGCAAGTAGGAGAAATGCCAGACACTTAAAAAACCGTGAGATCCCATGTGACTCACTCATTATCATGAGAACAGCGTGGGGGAAATAGCCCCCATGTTCCAATTACCTCCATCTGGTCCTGCCCTTGACGTGGGGATTACAAGGATTACAATTCAAGACGAGATTTTGGGTGGGGACACAGCCAAACCATATCACCTGCCCTCAAGAGCCTAACCTAATGGGAAAGAAAATACCCCACTACAGCCCTCTCTTGCCATCCTGTACCACCTAAGTGAAATCCACCTGTACCACAATTAACACAATTTGTGAAGTTCACAGTCCAGAGGCACAGGCTCACTAAAAGACTGAGACCTAATCATAGGGCTGTCAAACACTTCCTCTCCCTTCACATCTTGTCATGACCTCACTAAAGGTCTGTTTACCCCAGTTCCTTTTACCTGGTACATCATGTTCACCTTTCAACAAAATGTTATAAGGCATACTAAAAGGCAAAAAACACAGTTTAAAGAGACAAAGCAAGCATCACAACCAGACCCTGATATGGTATGGATGTTAAAATTATCAGACTATAAATATAAAATAACTATGATTAATATGCTAAGGGTGAGTGGAAAAAGTAGACAATTTGCAAGAACAGATGGATATCTTAAGCACAGAATGGAAATTCTAAGGAAGCATAAAAAAGAGATGCTAGAGGTTAAAAACACTAACAAAAATGAAGAATGCCTTTATTGGGGTCACAGGTAGACTGGACATAGCTGAAGAAATAATTTCTGAGCTTGAGGATTTGACAATGGAAACTTGCAAAGTGGAAAAGCAAAGAGAAAAAAACTAAAAATAAATAAACAATAGTATCTAAGAATTTCAGGACAACTGCAAAGGTGTAACATACTCATAATGGGAATACCAGAAAGGGAAGAAGGAAAAAAGAACAGACACAATATTTAAAGCAGTAAAAACAGAGACTTTCCCAAATTAACATCAGAAAACAAACCAAGGATCCAATAAACTCAGAGAACACCAAGTGAGATAAATTCCAGAAAAACTACACCTAGGTATATCATTAAAACTGTAGAAAATGAAAAGTAAAATGACTGTTTTTCACTTACACATAAACTATATTAATCAGATACATTGTTATAATTATTATTACTTTGAACAAACTTATCTGTTAGGTCAACTCACAATAAGAAAAATAGAAGTGTTTCTTTTACCTTCACTTATTTCTTCTGTGATCTCTTCCTTTCCTTATGTAGATCTGAGTTTCTGACTCATATTATTTACTTCTCTTGGAAGAACTTTTAACATTTCTTGCAAGGCAGGTCTACCGGCAACAAATTATCTCAATTTTTGTCCGAGAGTTTTTATTCCTCCCTCACTTTGAAGGATAATTTTATAGGATAAACAATTCTAGGTTGGTGGGGGTTTTTTTCTCTTAACACTTTAAATATTTCATTCTACTTTCATCTTCCTTATATGATTTCTGAGGAGACATTGGATGTAATTCTTTTGTGCCTTTATAGGAAAGGTGGTTTATTTTCCCCTCTGGCTCCCCAACATCACACAATATACCATGTAACAAACTGGCACATGTACCCCATGATTCTAAAATAAAAGTTGAAATTACAAATAAATAAAGTAAAAAAAAATTCATGAATTAGCAATGGCCATGCTAGCACCAAATATATACCAAACACTTCAATAAAGAAAGCTGCAGAAGGAAGATTGCATTTTACATACACAAACAAAAGGAAACAAAAGAAACCAACTTTAAATATAAAGACACATATAGATTAAATATAAATGGATAGAGAAAGAGATATCATGCTAACACTAATCAAAAGAAAGTTGAAGTAGCTGCCTTAATTTCAGAAACAGCAGACTTCAGAGCAAGAAAAGTTATCAGGGATAAAGAGGGACATTATATAATGGTAAAGGGGCCAATTCTCCAAGAAGACATAACAGTCCTTAATTTGTATGCATCTACCAACAGAGCATCAAAATACATAAGGCAAAAACTGACAGAACTACAATGGGAAATAGAAGAATCCACTATGATAGTGAAGATATTGACACCCCTGTATTGGAAATGGACAAACCCAGTAGGCAGAAAATCAGCAACTACATAGTTGAACTCAAAATTCATAGCTGCAGAATATCATTATCTTCATTCTTTAAATAAGAGCAGGAACTCACTGGCAATATGTAAGATCTGCCACAGAGAACTTAACAGGGAGTGGAGGACATATTTCCCACCACTGACTGCACTACTTCCTCCTAAAGTACTCCAGAAAAATATGACATTTCTTTTTCTGGAAATCATTAGAAAACGTTGTTCACTTCCTGCAGAATCAAGCAATGTTTCCTGAAATCCCAATTTTCTTTCCACCATGATTTCTGGGACCACAGGAAACACTGTGACAAGATTGCAAAAGAAAGAAATGCTCCCTCTCCTTTTTCAAACCTAATTTGGTACTGATAATGTAATTTGGAAATCCTAACTGCATCGACCATGGCTAAGATAAACATGTAAAGTGGATCCCCATGTGTGGGCACATGCATGCAAAAGGGAAGATTAACCTGAACAGAAGGGGTGGTGGGGACAACTTGAGAATGCAGGGCCTAAAGAATTTGGGCAGCAGAAGTATGCTGATGAGGGCTAACATAGGTTGTGGCAGCAGGAAAGACGGGGCAGAGCTGAGCATGTAACAGAGAACACAACAGAGTACAATCCCAGACGAAACTGGCTGGAATGGACAATTAACACAATTGAATCAAGTAACACTAAGGCTGGAAGGGAAGAAATTCAATCCATGAAGCCCAGACTTTCAACGCAATTCCACAAACATAACTCAAAGTTGGATCCTGTGCTTGACACTGCGGAAGCAAAACTGAGTAAAGAACAGGCCCCACCCAGGAAAAGTCCACAACTTAAGTGGGAAAATGGACACGTAAACAAAGTGCTATAAATGAAAATGGCAAGTGTTGTCAGAGGTGTGTATAAAATGCTATGGGAAATGGGAAAGGCAAGTCATTAATTCCGCCCTAAGGGATGTGAGTCCCTGAAAGTTATTTAGAGAAAGGGACATTTCAGCAGAACATGTTAATTGAAAGTAAGTGTTCAAAATGATAAAGTGACAAGTATTCCTGGTAGAGGTGTGGAACAACTAGGCATTTACTGGCACCTGCAATGGGGCCTCAAAGCCATGCTGGTAGCCTTTGACTATACCTCTCATATACTCCCATACACCTCCCATAGTGGGTCCAATAGTGGCCCACAGAAGATATGTCTACCTGGTACCCTAATATGACCTTACTTGGAATTGAGTCTTTGCTGATATAATTAAGGTAAAGATCTCGAAATGTGATCATCCTGGATTAGGGTGGCCCTTAATCTAATAATCAGTGCCCTTGTAAGAAACAGAAGAGACAGACACAGAGGGACACAAGGAAAAACCACGTGACTAAGTAGAGATTGGCATGATGTGTCTACAAATCAAGAAGCACCAAGGATTGCTGGAGCCACAACAAGCTAGGAGAAGGAGAGGCATGAAATAAGACCAGGGGCAGTGGCTCATGCCTGTAATCCCAGCATTTTAGGAGGCTGATGTGGGAGGATTGCTTGAGGCCAGGAGTTCAACACCAGCTTGGGCAACATAGCAAGACCATCTCTTAAAAAAATTTTTTTTTTTTTTTTAAAGAAAAACATGGAACAGATTCTCCCTCAGAGACTCCAGAAGGAACACTGCTGACATCTTGATTTTGGACTTTTGGTCTCCAGAACTGTGAGAGAATACATTTCTGTGGTTTTTTAGCCACCAAGTTTGTGGTAATTTGCTACAACATCCCTAGGAAATGAAGAACACACCCTTTCATCGAGATAGGATCCCAGGTTACATGTGGTTCATAGACCTGGCTAACTCACCGGATCCTCTCACATGGGAATGTGAAACAAAGTCAGCTGAGTGGAGCTATCAGGTGATGGGTTCTGGCAGCCCTGTTTTAGACATGCGAGAAAAGAAAGATGGCTAAGGAGAGAGTGAATAAAAGCAAAGAGAGAAGCAAGGGTGAGAGTCCATGTGATGACTGACAGTTCAGTACAAGTGCTCATGTGGAACACAAGAGACCCTGTTGTATTAAGTCCCTGCCTGTGGATGCCCATGACATTGCCTATTATATCAATGCAATAAACTGCTGCTTATTAAAGTAGATTGAACATGTTTTTGTTCCTTGCAACCAAATGATCCCTGATGTAACCATGATGCTAAGAAGTAACTTAGTTTTAAGAAAACATGAGGAGATGAAAATAAAATGGAAATTGCTAAACAAATGAATAAATTCAAAGTGTAAATTGATTGAGAAAGAAAAGGTAACAAGTGGAAAATTTTAGCAATAAAAGGTCTCTGAATAGAAAAGCAAACAAGTTTTATTTTATAATATAGCACATTGATTGTTTCAGGCCCCAGATTAGATATTCAAATCAGGAGAGAGAATGATAAAGACAGAGTGTCAAATGGTCCAGAGACAGAAATAAGCACAGTTCTACTGACAACCATTTACATCCCCCCATGGAGTAGGTCTTGTGGTCCCTCTGCCTTGGATCAGATCTCAATATCTTAATCCCAGGTTAATTACTTGATTCCTTCAGTCTCTAAAGATGTAGAGAAACATAGGATCTACTATGTGCCAAGGATGGTGGCAGGCCCTGAGATACAAAGATGAAGATCGCAGCCATTATCAGTCAGTGGGCTCATCAAGGAAAGATGTAGAAATGGGCCATCATTACAGCAATGAGAAAAATACAGGCATAAGAAAAACACAGGAATATTCAGGGCAAGCATTTAATTTTGCCTGCAAAGTTCAGAGACAGCTGCCCAAAGGAATACACATTTGAGCTGAATCCTAAAGAAATGAATAGACAGATGTACACCAGCAGAATAAGACAGCAAAGGGCAGTCTAAACACAGAGAACATACAAAGCTTAGAAGGTGGAGAGAATGAAATTTACTATTCCAAGAACAGCAGGTCCTTCAAAATGCCTACTACATCCCAACCCATGAAGGCAGGACATTTTTTTCTGTTCTATTTGCTATTAAATTTCCAAGTCAATCATCAGAATGTAAGTTCCACAAAGGCAGCGATTTTGTCTTTTTTAGTCCTTGTGAAATCCATGGAGCTTAATCCAATGTTCAATTTCCAAACCTTACGTTACTAACCTCATCTTAGCAGCACTTGATACAACTGATTCCTCTCCCCTTGATACTCCATCTTCTCTTGGCTTCCAGGCAGTAGTGTGCTGGTAAATGTTTAACAACAGGTTCTCCAGAAAAATTTTCAAAAGTTCCAATTTGTTGCCTTTGCTGATTTCTGTGATGTAAGTACTTCCACTATGGCCAATTTCAGTCTACCAGCGTGACTGCTGAGTTAGAAAGAGATGAACAGTAGTACACTCCATTATGTAGTATTTCCACCACACAGATGCAACAGCCATAATCTCAGGAGCATAGATACTAGTAAAGTCTACCAAAATAATTAAGAAGTGGGCCATTTCTTTTTAGCCCTGCCGAAGTCAGGTGTCTGGTCTGTTTTGACACCAGACCAGGTAAGAGACAATGATGTTGGGCACCAAAGGTGGCGAGGGGTTTATGTTGAAGGTCCACGGCTTGCCCTGGTCTTGCTTGGCCGATGAAGTGCAGCGTTTCTTCTGACTGCAAAATTCAAAATAAGGCTCAAGGTATTCGTTTCATCTACAACAGAGAAGGCAGGCTGGGTGACAAGGCTTTTGTTGAACTTGAATCAGAAAATGAAGTCAAATTGGCCCTGAAAAAGGACAGAGAAACTATGGGACACAGTTTTGTTGAAGCATTCAAGTCAAACAACGTTGAAATGGATTGGGTGTTGAAGCATACCGGTCGAAATAGTCCTGACACGGCCAATGATGGCTTTGTACAGCTTAGAGGACTTCCCTTTGAATGCAGCAAGGAAGAAATTGTTCAGTTCTTCTCAGGGTTGGAAATCGTGCCAAATCGGATAACATTGCCAGTGGACTCCAGGGGAGGAGTATAGGGGAGGTCTTCGTGCAGTTTGCTTCGCAGAAAATAACCGAAAAGGCTCTAAAGAAACACAAGGAAAGAATAGGGCACAGGTATATTGAAATCTTTAAAAGCAGCAGGGCTGAAGTTGGAACTCACTACAATCCACCATAAAAGCTTATGGCCATGCGGCGGCCAGGTCCCATGACAGACCTGGTTCTGGCAGAGGTTTTAACAGCATTGGCAGAGGAGCTGGCTTTCAGAGGATGAGGCATGGTGCTTATGGTGGAGGATATGGAGCCTGTGACAATTATAATGGCTATGGCTATGGATTTGGGTCAGATAGATTTGGAAGAGACCTCAATTATTGTTTTTCAGGAATGTCTGATCACAAATATGGGGATGGTGGCTCTACCTTCCAGAGCACAACAGGACACTGTATATACGTGTGGATTACCTTACAGAGCTACTGAGAATGACATTTGTAATTTTTTTGACTGCTCAATGCTGTGAGGGTACACATTGAAATTGGTCCTGATGGCAGAGTAACTGGTGAAGCAGATGTTGAGTTTGCAACTCATGAAGATGCTGTGGCAGCTATGTCAAAAGACAAAGCAAATATGCAACACAGCTATGTAGAACCCTTCTTGAATTGTGCAGCAGGAGCCAGCGGTACTGCTTACGGTAGCCAAATGATGGGGGGCATGGGCTTGTCAATCCAGTCCAGTTATGGTGGCCCAGCCAGCCCGCAGCTGAGTGGTGGTTATGGAGGTGGCTATGGTGGCCACAGCAGCATGAGTGGATTTGACCAAGTTTTACAGGAAAACTCATGTGATTTTCAATCAGACATTGCATAGGTAGCCAAGGAGCAATGAACAGCAGCTACTACAGTAATGGAAGCTGTGCATCTATAGGTGTGAATGGAATGGGAGGGATGTCTACCATGTCCAGTATGAGTGGTGGATGGGGAATATAATTGATCACTGACCCTTGCTCAATTTTTTTTTTAAGAAAAACCCAAAACTTCAGTTTAACAGTTTCTGCAATACAAACTTATGATTTATGCTTACTCTCTAAGTAGAAATCAGGATTGTTATGAAGACTTAAGGCTCAGTATTTTTTAACACAATACTCATCTAGGATGTAACACTGAAGTTGAGTAAACTATAACTGTTAAACAAGTTCCAGCTTTGCTCAAGTTAGTTATATTATAGGATGTTCTTAAGCAGTAAGTGTATTGAGGTAAAAGGAGTTGAATTATGTTCACTGTTGCCCTTTGCTACATTACATTGAACACTGTGTAGATGCATGCTGAAAGACATGGGTTTTTTTGTTGTAAAACTCAATATAGGAGCTGTGTCTGTCTACAATTAAAGTGAAACATTTTGGCTTCTTTGTTAATTCTAGTTTTATTTAATAACCTGTAAGGCACATAAGTTTAAGTTTTGTTTTTTTTTAAGTTAATGGGAAAAATTTGAGATGCAATACCAATACTTTAGGATTTTGGTCTTGATGTTTGTATGAGATTCTGAGGCCTTGATTTAAGTCTTCCATTGTACTGTGATTTCCTTTTACGTATATTGAGCTAAGTAAAACTTGTCAAATAAATCCTCATTTTTAAAAAAAAAATAAGAAGAAATGAGTTTTGAGTACTACTTTTTAAAAGTACAATTTATTTAAATTATATAATTTTTACTAATGACCATACTTCAACCTGTTTACTAAATTCCAGAAAATTTACCAATCAGCCCTCGTGAACTGACAGAAGCTGGTTCCAGGATACCATGGCTTCTGGAGCACCACACTCTCCTGGCTCTCCTCCTGCCTCACCGGTCTTTTTTCAGTCCCTTTACCTAGGCCTCCTGTTCTCCCTGACCTCTCTATTGTAGAGTGCCCCAAGGCTTAGACAGAAGGAATGGAGGGAGAAGGAAAGATGGAAGAGAGAGAGGAAAAAAAGAGAAAATCTACAAATGACTTATTTTTACTTTTAGCATATTTGTATTTTATGACATTTTGAAAAATACAACTTTACTGTTTAATTATAAATTACATAATCTTTGTAGTGATATGGCATCTAGAGCTGTGCTGTCCAATGCAGTAGCACTAGCTACAGGTGACTACTGAGCAACTGAAGTGTGACAATTCCAATCTGAGATGTGGTGCTGGAAATCCAATACATACAAGGTTTTGAAGGTGAATACAAAAAAAGAATGTAAAATTCTCATTAAAAATAATTATATTGATCATAATTTAAAAACACTTTGGGTTAAATGATATATATTATTATAGTTAATTTTATCTTTTTTACTTTTTAAAATGAGGTTCACATTGTGATTTTTTTTTTTTTTTTAATATGGAGTCTTGCTCTGTCACCCTAGCTGGAGTGCAGTGGTGTGATCTTGGCTCACCGCAACCTCCGCCTCCCAAGCGATTCTCCTGCCTCAGCATCCCGAGTAGCTGGGATTACAGCTACCCGACAACACCCCTGGCTGATTTTTGTATTTTTAGCAGAGAAAGGGTTTCACCATGTTGGCCAGACTGGTCTTGAACTCCTGACCTCACATGATCCACCAGCCTCAGCCTCCCAAAGTGCTGGGATTACAGGCTTGAGCCACCACTCCCGGCCTCACATTGTATTTCTATTGGACAGTGCTGCTCGAGATCTTTACTCCAGACTTGCCTCTACCTCTCTCCTCCTCTACTCCGCCTCTGAAAATCTTCAGCTGCACTATACTACTTTTTGGTGTTAAGTCAAAGACTATTTTCCTGGCCCAGCTCAAATGGAGGTTGCAAATATGTTACTGTTTCTTTAAACTTCTGACTCCCTCCTTCTTCCTTCAATTTAATAATTATTAAATTATTGTAATTAATAATTATAGCAGGAACTAATTACACAGCAATCTGCCAGTTAATAATTATAGCTCTATGAAAACAATAAGAATCACTGGCAGCCTTTCCATCCAGGTTCCTTATCTGAACCACAAAACACAGAAAAGAATTTAAGTGACTCTTATTTTACCAAGAATGGAACATAATTAGTACCAATCTAAATGTACAGAAGAGAAGTTAATTCCTATCACATACAATATGTACTATATACAATGGATACCTTTAGGGAATCAGGCTTAATTCTTGCACAGAGCCCTGGCTGAGAAAGGCCAGTTGACGTGGATATCCAAAAGGGCAGATGGAATTACTGAGTGTTGAGCAACTGCAATATCCTTGAAATACATTTGTGGTCTTATAAGCAGACACCCTGATGGATAACACTCTTTCAGATTACTAAATTCTGGTTTGTTTTCAAAAAATAAATCTCTAGACTGTATAGTTATGCCTTCTGCAGTGCTCACCTCCAACTCTATACCTTCAGGAAGAAACAATCCCATTCCCAGGGCTTGGGAGCTTAATAGGCTAATCACGGAATATGGTTGTGGTTACACTAACTCAGCAGGGAAAGCTGCAGTAAAATGCCCAAACCTCTGTGCCCACTGTCCCTAAGAACAGTGATGTGAATAAGAAACTTTCAAATGCAGTTTCTGAAGTCTCCTTTTCTGAAATATAATAGAATCACATAACAACTTTCCGAGGAAATACTCACCTGTGGACTCCACTACATATTCATGCCAAGCACTAAAGCAGTACCATGCTTTCTGGAAACTCTACCAGCCTTTCAATCATTCACCTCATTAATCTTCAAAAATATTTCTTTAAGACCATGAAGGGAAAGTATTATTTGCATTTTCATCACATAATTAAGCATAGCTCACAGTTTTTCCACATCATTATAATTAAAAAAGAAACCATGAAGAACCCATAGACACAGTTAGCAGTTGTTCATTTCTTCCTTCATTGTTTTATTATCAGCTGAAAACCAGTCAGTTTGCTACAGAACTTTGCTATTCAAACTGTGGCCATGATCAGTCACATGGGCATTAACTGGAAACTTGTGTAGAAATGCAGATTCTGGCCAGACGTGGTGGCTCATGCCTGTAATCCCAGCACTTTGGGAGGCTGAGGTGAGAGTATTGCTTAGTGCCAAGAGTTTCAGATCACCCTGGCAGCATGGTGAGACCCCCATCTCTACAAAAAAAATAAAATAAAAATAAAAATAAAATAAAAAATTGGGTCAAGTGCAGTGGTTCATGCCTATAATCGCAGAACTTTGGGAGGCCGAGGCAGGCAGATCAGTTGAAGTCAGGAGTTTGAGACCAGCCTGGTAAACATGATGAAACCCCGTCTTTACTAAAAATACAAAAATTAGCTGAGCATGGTGGTGCATGCCTGTAATCTCAGCTACTCAGGAGGCTGAGGCACAAGAATTGCTTGAACCTGGGAGGTGGAGGTTGCAGTGAGCGGAGATCATACCACTGCACTCCAGTCTGGGTGACAGAGTGAGACTCTGTCTCAAAAAAAAAAAAAGTTAGCTGGTACTGGTGACATGCATCTATAGTCCCAGCTACTCAGGAGGCTGAGGAGGAAGGATCACTTGAGACCAGGGGTTTGAGGCTATGATTGTGCCCCTGCACTCCAGTCTGGGCAACAGTGTGAGACCCTGTCTCTAAAAGAAGAATAAACAAAAAAGAAATGCAGATCCCCAGGCTTTGTTGGACCTGCAACTCAATTCAGAGTTCTCCCTCTGCCCAAGCCTGCTCCTGCCCCTTCCCATTCACAGGCATTGATAAACACCCTATGTCCCAAAAGCCCCAAAGTAAAGCAAGCACAGGAAATTTCCACAATACAAGAGGAAGTTGGCCATGCAGCTTGGCTTTTGGCAATATATTAGGCCATGAATATTTATTGAATGAAGGTATAGACAGACCAATCACTGTCTCTTGCAAATCTCACAGCAATCTTTCATATCCAAATTTATGTCTCTTCTAGAGCCATGTTTTTCAACATAAAAAGTTCACTTTTTTTTTTTTTTTTTTTTTTAGACGGAGCTTCGCTCTTGTTGCCCAGGCTGGAGTGCAATGGCATGATCTCAGCCCACTGCAACCTCCACCTTCATGGTCAAGTGATCCTCCTGCTTCGGCCTCCTGAGTAGCTGGGATTATAGGCATGTGCCACCATACCCGGCTAATTTTGTATTTTTAGTAGAGATGGGGTTTCTCCATGTTGCATCCCCCCACCTCGGCCTCCCAAAGTGCTACGATTATAAGCGTGAGCCACCGTGCCTGGCCCACTCTTCTTATCAACATAAAAATCTGACTCACTCCTACTCTCAGAGATAGCACATAGTCGGTGACTTTCTCTACTTGAAAATCTCTGACTTATTGAAGATAGAGTCAGTTCTCTTTGTATCCCATGAGACCAAGAAGATTTAGTCTAACATGACTCTATAATTTTTATTGGGAATGTAATAGGCTTTTTTGGTTTTGATTTTAAATAAAGAAATCTCTATTTTCGGTGAGTCACATTCAACCTTCTGTCTCTTACTTGTTAATCTTTTATAGACAAGATGCGCAAGCTGCACAATTGGGTCACTCAGGGCCTTACAGTGAGAAGGTCCCTGAATTTGGTTTAATGCCTTGCTATTGCTGTCTTGAAATTCTTAAGTTTCTGAGCCCAAGCCCCATATTTTCATTTTGCACTAAGCTCCACAACGTATATACGTATATAGCCAGTCCTGTCCACAGGTCTGGGTTTTTGTTTTGTTTTGTTTTGTTTTGTTTTTTTGAGATGGAGTCTCACTGTCACCCAGGCTGGAGTGCAGTAGCCCGATCTGGGCTCACTGCAAGCTCCGCCTCCTGGGTTCACACCATTCTCCTGCCTCAGCCTCCCTACAGGCACCTGCCACCACGCCCGGCTAATTTTTTTGTATTTTTAGTAGAGATGGGGTTTCACCGTGTTAGCCAGCATGAGTCTCGATCTCCTGACCTCGTGATCTGCCCGCCTCAGCCTCCCAAAGTGCTGGGATTACAGGCATGAGCCACCGTGCCCGGCCAGGTCTGGTTCTTAATGAGGGGTGCTAATCAGAATCATCTAATTCCTTTCCCAAATACACATGGCAACCATAACTAAAATTCATCATTGCAGTTTGCATTACTTTGTCTCTACTGTCACACACATTTTCTGTGATTCCTAGGCTTTCTTCTCTGGTCACATCCTATCTCTCCCATGGCTTTCTTTCCTGGCACAAAGGATGGAAGTTGAGCCCACAGCAGTGAGTGGAATGTAGCATAAGTACCAAGGGGATCCTGGCACAACCAGCCAGCTACCACTTATTGGGCACCCACATATTAACATGCTAGTGCCACACAGTCCCTTCTCATGAAAGGCTCACAGTCTCAGCAGAATGTGAAACATACTTACCATCAAATCAAAGTGAGCCAGTAGGGAAGCCTTCCTAGAGTGATGGGTCTCAAACAGAATTTCAGAAGAGGAAAAACATGTAGCTCAACAGAGTGAGAGCATTCTGAGTAAAGGACTGACAGGTGCTACATCCCAGAGCACAGTGGAGAAGGAGTGTTTGAGGAGCAGAGGAGTGTTTTTGCCAAGCCAGAGCAGTAAGCTTATTGTGAGCTATGTTGGAAAGGCCCTCCCATAGCTCATGTGCTGGATAACTGGGTCTCATAAATTAGATGAAAATTAAGAACCATTGTGAACCTCAAAGAAAGGAACAACAGCATCAAAATGCTATTTGGGAAGGATAATTCACTGGGAATAGCCATTTTCCAAATGGTACCCTAGAAGAAGAACTCACCATTCTCTTTCTCTTTCTTCAAATAGTTCTTGAAATTCATCTTCTTGTGACACTCCCTCACTTAATGAACATGGAATGAATCATTGCTTTCTTATATTTTTCATAGACATCATCAATTTCCTTTAACGTTTGCGGAGCCAGGATCCGCGACCGTCCAAGCTACTGATCGCCGTCCTGATCCATTGGTTGGGAAAGAGATTGGAAACATCACCACAAAACATGCTGCAAACCCCGACTCGGACTCCGCTGGGGCTGAACCAATGCCCCCACACAGCCCCGACTCCCTCCCCAGCAACCGGCCGCCCCTCTCGCGACCAGCCATTTTCCAGGCCTGTGTTAGTCCATTCTTGCATTACGATAAAGAAATGCCCGAGGCTGGGTAAAGAAAAGAGGTTTGATTGGCTCATAGTTCTGCAGGCTGTACAGGAAGTATAGCAGCATCTGCTTCTGGGTGGGCCTCAGGAGGCTTCCAATCATGGCAGAAGACAAAGGGAAAGCAGGCACATCACATGGTGAAAGGAGGAGCAAGAGAGAGGGATAGTGAGGGGGAGGTGCCACACAAGCAACTAGGTCTCATGAGAACTCACTATTAGGAAGACAGCACAAAGCCATGATGGATCCACCCCCATGACCCAAACACCTCCCACCAGGCCCCACCTCTGCCTCCAACACTGGGGATTAAATTTCAAAATGAGATTTGGGCAGGGACAAATATCCAAACTATATCACCACATGAGAATCAAAGCATCCGTTTCCCTGAACAACACAGAGCACAGAAGCCACCTACCTACCTTCTCAGGAGAGGATGACAGAATCAAAGCCAAGGTTTACAAAAATCAAAACCCCTACCAGAAAGGGGTTTTGTCCCTGAGACTAACCACTGCCTCTGACACAGATCTGCCCCAAAGCTGGGACAAGGGATACATCACTGTTAGTCTGTTTTCACATTGCTATAGATACAACCTGAGAGTGGGTAATTTATAAAGAAAATAATTTAATTGATTCACAGTTCCACATGGCTGGGGAGGCCTCAGGAAACTTATAATCATGGTGGAAGGTGAAGGGGAAGCAAAGGCACACGTTACATGGCGGCATTAGCGAGCGTGCTAGAGGGAGGCGGGGAAGTGCCTCACTTTAAAACCATCAGCTGTCATGAGAACTCACTCACTATCACAAGAACAGCAGAGGAGAAATCTGCCCCCGTGATCCAATCATCTCCCACCAGGCCCCTCCTCTGACATGTGGGGATTACAATTCGAGATGAGATTTGGGTGGGGACACAGAGCCAAACCATATCAATCCCACACTGGTAACTGCAATCTTTTCCTTCATTCCTTGGAAGTCTGCAGGATATGTAAGGTGAAAGGGAAGAGTGAGTTAATCTGTTACAAAGTAAAGCCTGTCATAAGGTGGAATATGAGAGCTGATTTAAAACATACATGTACTCTGTATTTATCCTAAGGGTCCAAAGGAGCAGATAAAAATAAATCAAGGTCTAGGGCTACGTGGTATGGAACCACCAGATCCAAACACAACCTGCACTATTATTGGGGTGCTTATTATAATGCATGAATGGAAATCAGTCTTGGCCAAGTAGAGCTAAAGCCAGAGAGCACAGGACTCATATTGCAATTTGTCAAAGAATTTTGAAAAAATCAAAAGACAGTTGACACAGATGGCCATTACATCTTGCTATATGGATAAACTAAAAAACCAAAAGATATGTATGCACACAGAAGGTATCCTGAAGACACTAAGAATATAAACATCCCATTAACCAAGTTGGGATGAAGCTTTCTTTCTTGGAAGATTATGTGTACTCTTCATTTTGTTATCATTGTGTGTGTGTGTATTGTTGTTGTTGTTGCTGCTGTTGTTTTGTGAGAACAATTCTGTAAGATTCTACATTAACTACAACAAGGACGTTTTGTGTTCTGCTTTTGTAATATAGATTTTACGTTGAAGATTACTTATAGTTATATTTGTGGAAAATGTCTTGCTTATTCTAGGTCATAGAACGCTGAGTTCAGACTTTGGCTTAGAATGTAGAAAACTGCAAGAGAATGTATGTCACTTCTACACTAACAACAAAAGCCAGATTACGTACACATATAGTTTGGTGGCCTGTGTTCCTCTTAGTAGTCATGCTCCAAAGAGGGTGACTACAGGGTACATTGAGGGTGGCCAGGTCTTGGGAACAGGAGCTCTCAGCCTTGACAAAGACTCCCTGCCCCAGGATGGCACAGCAGCAGCAAGGCTACTGGCCCCGAAAGCACTGCCTATGGAGCTGAGAGCACCACAACTAACTTGGAAGTAAGCAGTGTGGACAGGCAATTGATAACTGAAGAGTTTCCCGAGGGCTTTGGTGGTGCTCATGACCCTGGAACCTCAGCACAAGCATGAGTGTGTGTGACAAGGTGAGGGGTTCCCCGCTAATGACTGAGATAAAACTTCCAGCTATTCCAGTAGGATGGGGACTGTCAGATTCAAGTTGAATTTTTAACGCTGTGACATTATTACATTCAAGACATGTGGAATAGAATTCAAACCCATACCCTTGTTCTAAATGGTATATCATTCATGCAATAATTTGCATTCTGTGGTAGACAGCTTCTAAAATGTCTCCCAATTCACACTCTTATATAATGTTCTCTTGAGTGTAGGTTGAAACTAGTGAGTGAGTCATTTCTAACAAACAGAGTACAGTAAAAGTAACGGAATGTCACTTCTGAGATCAGGTTAGGAGACTGGAACTTCTGTCTTTCTCACACTCCCTCCAGCCCTCTCACTCGCCTGCTCTGATGAAGTCAGCTACCTTGCTGTAAACTGCACTAGGGAGAGGCACTTATCGTAAGGAACTCAGGGCAGCCCTTGGTCAACAGCTCATAAGAAACTGAGACCTTTAGTCCAACAACCCAAAGGAACTGAACCTTGCTAACAACCCCAAGTGAGCTTGGAAGCAGATCATTTCCCAGTTAATCCCTGAGATGGGTGCATCCTAGCCAACACCTTGATTGTATCCTGTGAGAGACCTAGAACCAGAGTACCCAGCTAAGCCATGCCCAGGCTCCTAATGCACAGAAAGAGTGAGATAATACATGTAGTTTTTCTGCCACTTAGCTTTGGGGTAACTTATTATGCAGCGATGGGTAACTAAAACAAATTTCAAGAAGGCAGAAAATGAACAGAAGGTGTTACTATACATCTACCTAAACATGCTGTCTATATCTAAAGTCTAGCCAGTGGTTCTTGAGCGGGGTGCACATCAGAATAACCCAAGGCTAAGGAGAGTGTTAGAAGAGAGAATATATGGAAAAGGTAAAGAAGGGTCACACAAAAGAAGGAAGGTAGAGTCCATTTCAGGGAGTCCAGTGCCTAAGCCTCTTGTTCAGTCATTGGCAGAGAGGGCTGTCAGGACCACTATCCCAAAATTTGGTCTCCAAATCTTTTTTCTATAAAAGGGCTTTTGCTTGCCACATTTTTTATGTGGTCCCTGAGGATCCTTTGGTTTCCTCCTCCTATCTACCATTTGAATTTAGTTCCCAAATTGCATTAAAGACAAATAACAGTGCAGATGTTCACCACTGGAATGTCATCAGAATCTTATCCCCAGTCCTTAATCCTAAACAGGTTTAACAGTTGGATTTGGGGAAAATGGTTCCAATTGGGTGCTGAAGCCCACAGAACATTCCACAGTTTAATTCATTTGTTCTGCCCTGGCAGAGCTTAAGACAGTTCACAGCAGTCCCAACAGAGTCAAGTGAGGGGATCCATTGCATGTGTGAAGGGTCTTCCCAACTCCTTCCACTTTAGACCCATCAGCTAGCCAAATGAGTGAAATTTCATTTTTAGTCATGTCACTTATTTCTCAAAATTCTTCAAGCTATTCCCAGAAAGGCTTGGCATGATTTAAGATTCCAAAAATCCCTGGAAAAGGTAAACATCAGTAAGGGAAAAAAAAGGATATATGATCTGATAGGGTTTTTTTAAGACTATGTTGACCTTTACAGAACAAGAGACTTTGGTCAAAGAAAAAACAGAAAAGAAACTGTATTCTTCTCAGCTGGCAGACAAAGAATTTACATAGTCTTGGGAAGCTCACTGGAACATGTTAGGAAGGACTAAAATGGAGATGCCAAAGACAAAACCTGCCAAACTCTAGATGTGATGTAGACACTGTTTATGATGTAAAAGAATACTGTATCTCATCAAACCTAAGACTTTTTGATGCCAGTGTTTTCTTGACTTTACACAAGTGTCAAAAGAAGCTTTTCATAGAACTAGATCATAAACTGTTACCTGACACTACAATTGTAGGACATCAATTGTAAAATGCATCCTGCTTTCAGAGATGTTAAAGTGTGAGAAAATGTGCCTTCTAGAATAGATGAGAGTAGTTTTGGGCCTTGACAATAGAAGTGATTTCCTACTTGAGGAGCCTGGTTCCTGGCAAAAAAAAAAACCTGAGTGATTTTTCAGGCCTGATCATAGGCAATTACAAACACTTTATCTGACAGACCTCACGGGTGAAAGCTGCTCTCTCCACATCAGACTTAGTGGCACTGCCAGTGCACTGCAGTCTCTGGAAGTCATTACAGTCCCCTGGTCCACCATGACCTTACACATGGCTGCATTCCTGGCTCAGCTGCCTCCATTTAGAGGTATCCTTATCGGGAAAACTCGAAGATGATTTGCTCCACCCTGACTCAGTGCTTTTGCACTCCTAGCCCTTCCCTCTGCCTCCTGCTAGGCCCTGGGCCCATAAAACTGCCCAAGCCTTTTGTTTGGAGCTCTCAGACAGTGAGGACAACTCCTCTCTCTGTGCTGGTCTACTTGACTTTCAACTAGTGGGCCATTCCATGGGGGCTGTGAGAGGAATGGAATGGAGCAGGTGCTTTCTCTGGTTTAGACTCTTGTTTATACTATTGCAATAAGTGATGAAAAGCTTGACTGTCACTTTTATTTTGATTGTCCTTTAATCCAGTATTCCAACAACACCTGGCAGTTCAGCACTCTCTCTCCAGTTGAGCCGAGCTCCTGACACTACTCAAGACAAGAGAATGCAGTAAAGCAATCTGAGCACAAAGCATGGAACAGTCAGAGATTCTTATGTTTATTACCCAGGATTTCTATGGTGTTCTTGTTTTCTGTGTACTCAAGCAAATGTTAAGCAACTGCCACTTATCAATCACTGAGTTGGATGTGCTAGATGTGATGACACTCAATAATCAAATGGGAAACAATTCACAGCATTGTAGATACATAGTATTTGGTTGACAAAATATTTGGTTGTTACCATGAGTGAGAAATAAATTCAGGGAAGGGAGGGATCAATGTGAACTACAGTAATCAAGGAAAGCTTTGTGAAAGAAGGTCGACTCGAGTAAAGCATTGAACTAGTAAAATTTGGGTAGTACAAAAGATGTCTGGGCATTAGGGTAGAAGAGTCACATTCTCAAAGAATAGAGTGCTTTCTTCACACAGGATATTTGGCAGGTTAGATTTTCAAAATTAGATGTGCATGCCCCTATAACAATAAAATTGTTTCCTCTGCAGAGTGACATGGAATATGGAATGGGACATAATTATTTTCAGAATCTCAACCCTAATTGTTTTGACTACATTCATGTTTACTTTATAATGCCCAAATGCAAACCAATGGATTACAGAAATGACAGCTTAAAATTTTCCTCCACAATTGGTTAGCTAACCGTTATGTGGCAATTAACATGCAATTTGACTAGAATTGCCAGCCATTGGGCTAGAAAGAGGCATTCTCCAAAAAAAGGTATAGCCATTCTGATCTAAGTATCTGCACTTCGCATGTTTACCAGGAATAAGTTTTTGAAATAAAGGTTTAGCTTTGGAAGTCTGGCTTCCCTCCAGCTATTCAATTAAATTAGCTTATTTATTAAGCACTACTTTCAATTCTATTTTAGACATTTTAAAACTACATTAATATTTTCAATCCACAAACATTTTTTGAGCTTACAGTCTAAACTCAATCTAGACTCTAGAGTTGTAGTGTCAGTGTGGTAGCCACTAGCCACATGTGGCTATTGAGCACTTGAAACATGGCTAATGCAATAAGAAATTGAATTTTAATTTTATTTAATGTTTCTTAGTCTAAATTTAAATTTAAAAATTGAGACTTGATTCAGCTGTTGGAAAACTTTCAAGTATGTTTGGACAACTTGGGTGTGTGAATCTACTCTATAACTACACATTTCATACACTCTAAATAAAGATCAAGTATTTCCAATGATAACTTAGTGTCCAAATTGAGATGTAAGCATAGGCAAAATAAGTACTGGGTTTCAAAGATTTAGTACATAAATGTAAAATACCTCAATAATCATTACATTTGACTACATGTTGAAATGACAGTATTTGGGATATATCGACTACATATATGGCTCACATTATATTTTTACAGGACAGTTCTAGAGTAATGATTTGTCCAAGAAAAGCTTAGACAACACAAGGCCACTTTATTACAAGACATAGGAATTGGAGAAGCTCTACTGCACCTCAACTCATGATCATTTTCTGTTCCCCCTTTACCTTCTTCTTCCTCTCCTTCCTCTAACAATGATGTGTACTGAACTCTTAAGAGCTAGAAAGATTGCTGACCCAAGGTTTAAATGATTTACAGTAATTTCTCTCTCGTTGATAGAGGATTTTAAGACAAAAGAACAGTATAATGACTTGGCAACTCAAATATAGGAGTATATTAGTAGCCCAATGGAAAAAAAGGTGTGAAAGAAACAGCTTTGCTTTTCCCCACGGACTGTCTTAGAAGTCATTTTCTAATAAGTCACTAAAACTACTTAATCACTTTTTTAAACTTTTAAAATCCTAAGTTCTGGATTATTTATGAAAGATGAAATATGATTACTTTATTCCAAATTGCATTTATTTTATAAATATTAGATACTAGATTTAAAAAATCATCATGAATGGAGAACAGCTTTCAGCCAAGCATTCTGTACCATCACAGAATGGATTTCAGTTATCATTATCTATATTTCCATGGTCACTCTCCTTCATGCTGCAGAAAGCAGAGAATGGGAAGGTGTCTTATTTAAGAACTCTTAGCAGCTTACACAGATTCCTTGATACGTGAAGATCAAGAAGTCTTGTCCTGACTCAATTTACTACAGAAATCCATTGACCATCCTGGAGAACAACCCATTTCAACAGTATTGGCAAAAACTGCTAGCTGATTCCCAGCTTTCTGAGCACACAGATAAGGCCACATTTCCCAGTCTCTCTTACAGTTACATGTGACTAAGTTTGTAACAGTGGAATCTGAGATGTATATGCTTATTTCTTTGCCTGACCCATAAAAATGTTCCACAAGTCCACTTTGTCTCTCTCCTCTCCAACTCTTTCCCTTTCTCTGGCTTGATAAAGAGAAGCATAAAGATCTTGGAAGCTGTACCAGACTGCAGAGCCACAGGATGGAAGGAACCTGGATTCTTAAGTAACTACTGGGAAGGACACCTACCTACCAGGAATACCCTTTTTGGACAGTCAGGTAAGCAAAAAACATACTTCTATTTTGTTAAGCCACTGAAGTTTTGGGGTTGTAACAGCAGCAAATGTCACCCTAAAGATATAATGAGCAACCCAAAGGACTGTAATTTAGCCTAAGGATAAACTATTTTCACAACTCTTGGTATCACCACTGAATAGCAAGACAGCACCTCATCCTTTGATCCCAATGATATAGGAGTTCAAAAAAATTATTTAGGCAGACAGTGAGGGTAAGGAAGTCCTTGATCAGGTTTCCCTTTTAATAAAAAGCAGCCTTCAAATCATTTCTTTTCTAACAAAAAACAGCCTGTAAAATTGAGCCGCAGACATAGAGAAGCAAGCTAGAAGCTTGCACGGGTGAAAGCTGGCAGCTGTGACAATAGGAAAAGGCTACCTAGGGGCTAGGCATGTTCAACATGGTGGCTCCAACTTCCCTTTTCTTTGTCAGCCATATGTACAGTAGGGAGCAGACAACATGGCACCAGCCAGGTAGAAAATCTGTTTGCATAATAAAAGATTAGATTGGGGTGGCCAGCTTCTTCAACTGTTATATAAACATCACACCTGGTTCAACCAATCTTTGGGCCCTATGTAAATCAGACACTGCCTCCTCAAGCCAGACTATAAAACCCTGTGCACTTCACCATGGGACCAGAAGACCCACTCTGGCATCCCTCTCTCTCTGCAGGAGAGAGAGTTATTCTCTTTTCTCTTTTGCCTATTAAACTTTCTGCTCCTAAATCCACTCCTTGTATGGCCGCATCTTCGATTTCCTTGGCATGAGACAATGAATCTCAGGCATTACCTCAGACAAACAACACCGCTTCACCACCTTTTCTCCACCCCCTTTTATGTGACTGGACAGACACGTAAACAGGTGAAGAAAGAAGGAAACTGCCAATGAGCATATGAAAAGGTGCCCAATATCACTAATCATCAGGGAAATATAAATTAAAACCACAGTAAATGGCTAGAATTAAAAACAACAGTAACACATACTGATGGTGAGGATGTGGAGCAAACAGAACATTCTTATGATGCTGGTGGCTATAGTAAATGGTACAACCATTCTGGAAAACTCTTTGGCTGTTTCTAATAAAAAGTTATACCCTATGTTCCAGCAATTCCACTTCTGAGTATATGCCCAGAAAAATGAGTCCTTGTGTTGACCAAAAGACTTGTAGTAAAATATTTGTAGGAGCTTTGTTCAAAATCTGAAAACAATCCAAATGCCTGTCAATAGGAGACTACAAAAATAATTTGTAGTTATTCATGATACAATAAAAAGAAACTATTACACAAAACAACATGGATGAATCTCACAGCTATTATGTTGAACAAAAGAAGCCATATACAAAAGAGAGATACTCTATGATTCCATTTATATGACGTTCAATAACAGGCAAACCCAATTTATGGTGATAAAAATCAGAATAGTGCTCTGGGCCAGGGAGTTGACTGTAAAGGGGCAAGAGGAAACTGTTTAGGGTGATAGAAATGTTTCACATCTTGATTTAGGTGATGGTTACAAGGAGCACACATAGGTAAACATTTAAGCTGTAAACTTAAGATTTGTGCATTTTATTGTAGGTAAGTTTTATTTCAAATTAAAAAAATTAACTTCCCCAAGATCACACAATTAGTAATAGGATTCAAACTTTGGTTAATCTGAGTCATTTCACCAGAGTAGGGTTCATTTTCCTAGTGAATTACATACACAGATGAGAAAACTACAGGTTTGTTACTATTTAAATAAGTGATTGGCATTACTCTCAGTACATATTTTATAGTATTCACACTATGATAAACTGAACTTATTTTGGCACGTATACATTCTAAATTCTACTCCAAATGATAGTGTTTTCTTTGTGGCATCATAGCAACAGTAATTCTGTTTATAAAACTGAAGTAAATTATTGGAACCAAACTTTCCACCTATCCAGATGACTGCTAGCCCAATAAAATACCTCAGCTGAAGAACAAACATGTTAAGATGAAATTGCCAGAACTTGTATTGCAACATTTAACTGGCATGAACACATTGGGAAGTATGCTTAGCTGATTGGCATCAGTGGATTATCATGAATAAATCTCCAGTAATGGAACAATCTAAGATTAATGAAACAATTGCTAGAGGAGGTATATAATAAGATGCCAAAATGGTCAATTAACAGGCATCACTCTTGCTGTATGATATCCCAAGGGCAAACTGTATCGTAATAGAGATTCAACCACTAGAGTTGGCAAAGTGATCACTGACTTCTTAAGAATCAACTCTCTAAAATCGACAAAGCAGTTAATGCAATACCAGAATAAGACCTGAGCACTAAAATCCAAGTGCACCAGCATTCAGCTATGATACTGAGCCTTCTTACACAGGGCTGCCTCTTAAAAATACTTTATGTAACTGTATGGACTGTGTGACTTCATCAGATGGAGATGTGGGGAAAAAAATCTAGTTATTATCTTCCTTTTACACATAAGCAAATCAAAGCCTAAAGCAGGTCATTGATAACACTAGGTACTACACAAGTCGGCAAATATAGCCAATGTTAAGGCTACTCCAACTAGTATCAGGCTTACTTTGTTATATAGAAGAAGCTTCTCCTGCTATCCATAATTTTTAAAACTATTTTAAAGTGCTTTGATTTCTGTTGAGAATTCTTCAATCTCCCACACGGTAAGCCTCATTCCAAAACTAAAACCAAGTTAAAATATCCAAGATGGTGGGATAGTAAGTTCCTATGTTCAGAAGGAGAGGGAAAAGATTTTTGATTCTGAAAAAGAATCCCACAGAAATATGAGACTCTAAATCCAGAAAACTCTGATGGAGACAAAAAAATCTTTCAAGAAATCTCCCACAGAAAAGTATCTTCCAGATGAGCTACTTTGATGATTTGATAAACATCCTAAAAATTACAGCAAAACAATGAATCACTTAGGTAAAGATCAAAGAACTGGGACAAATCTCATTTGCTCAGTGTCCAGCATCAGTGTCCCCACACACCAACCCCTGGTCCCCTGTCCCCTCCTGGCATGGAATCCCTCATGGCACCATCTGTCTCTAGAGCAGGGGTCAATGTGCAGTTCTTGGCTCCCTTGGGTGGGTCTGTTAATGGATTTCAAGGAGGTTAAAGGTTAAAGCCCCTGCAATTTTATGTAAAACTTGGTTCTATAATTTATGTGATCCAAAGAGATCAGAACTGCTATTCTAAAGTGAGAGCCCGAGGAAAACCCGCGGGGCCAGCCTAGCTGCGCCGCGCCCCACAGTGCCACTCACCTGGGTGTGGCCAGCCCGGGCTCCCGGGGCAGGAACCGCGGTGACTCTCGGCTCAGTCCCCCGATCCTACCGGGCCAACCTCTCGCTCCGCCCCTGGGAAGCCTCCCGCCGCTGGCTGGGAGAGCGTCAGGACCACCGGGTCAGGGCCGCCCGTGGAAGCCCGCCTCCGCGAGCTCGGGACACGCGGGCGGAAGCAGCTTCGCCGCGGCTCCCCGCACACAGCCACCCACCAGCCCGCCCCGCGAGGCGTTCTCCCGGCCAGGGCCCCGGGACATCGACGACTCCTTTCTGGACTGTTTCACGCTGGAGGTACTAGGATCGCGCTTCGGTGTGGACCGGGGAATCTAAATCCAACAGTGAGCATAAGCACATACTGGCAAGTCGAAGTTTTTAGAAAATGCTTTAGAAAACAAAATACCGCCCTATTTCCAATACGCTAAAAAAATCGATGAAGGCCACACCGAACAAAATGAAAAAATGGCTGCTCCCAAGTTAGGGCACTAATGAGAGAGATCTACGCAAACCAGCACAAGTGTGAAGCTATGGGGAAGGTGCGAGGGGAAAACTGACCACTGCTGCCGTCCTATATAATAAAAATGTTATCAAAGCCAGGCACTGTGGCATGTACCTGTAATCCAGCACTTTGGGAGGCCAGGAGTTCGAGATCAGCCTGGCCAACACAGCAGGACCCTGTCTCTAGTAAATAAATAGGGGAAAATGTTGTAAGTGCAAACAGTGAAATCAGAAAAGACATATCTACTCCACCCCCAAGATCCCAGGGACTGGTGGAACAGGTAGGTTACCCATCCTGTGTGATATCAGGTATCCCCTGATGTTCCTTCCCCACTACATCACCATTATTCCCCAACTCTCACATACGTAGCTGGTGTTTGCGTAGCATATGTTGCTCAAAATGGTGATTCCACATTTTGAGCTTCCTTTTAGCTAAGGCCACAGTCTTTCACTCCTATTAAAATGCAAAGAATTCAAAGAAGAAAAGTTAAGCCTTATCAGTCACATCTCAACCTCTGCCTTGAGAGCAGACCTTGAAATAATTAGAAAAAGGACACTCAATTCTAAGGGCTGAGGGGAAAAGTACAAAAATGGAAGAGCTTGCAGAATCTGATGAAAGTTGATCTTGAGTTGCATTAAATATACCTAACGGACCCTTACAGTGGTTAAACTTACATGACTTTTTGACTTTATGATGGTGTAAAAGCGATATGCATTCAGCAGAAATCGTACTGTGAATTTTGCTCTTTTCCCAGGCTAGCAGTATGTGGTGGATGGAGACTGTGATGATGGGCAGCAGCAGCCAGACACAGCTTTTAGCCAGCCATGAGACCACGAGTGTAAACCACCCAAACGCTAAAGCATTCTGTGTGGATGCCCAAGTGCTTATTCTTGAGCCTCACCAGAAGAGAAATTGATTGCCCTGTCACCGTGGCATCCCTGTCATCCAGCAATTCTAGATGTTTCAAACATTCTTTGGCCCAGTGTGCTTTCAGCTGTGTACGTTAATGGTGAGTGCCCATATACAACCAGTTTTTCACTTTCAGTATTCAATAAATGAGATGAGATATTCAACACATTATGAAATCGGCTTTTTATAGACGAATTTGCCCAACTTTAGGCTAATGTAAGTGTTGTCAGCACGTTTAAGGCAGGTTAGGCTAAGCTATGATGTTCAGCAGGTTTAGGTGTATTTAATGGATTTTTGGCTTACTGATATCTTCAACTTACAGTGGGTTTATCGGGATGTAATTCCATTGTAAATTGAGAAGCATGTGTACCTACAACTTATAAAATGATCAAGGGTTAAGATATCTGACACCAAGCAGCAGAAAAACAAATGATCAACATAAGACATGATTTCTTAGGTTAAATTCCAGGAATTTAAAAAGCACTAGTAAAGCAGAAAATTCACTATTATTAAGCAACATTTAAACATATATAGAGTGAGCAAGCGAGCTCTGGAGAATTAAAAACAATTGCTAATAAAACGGTTGAAAGTAAAAAATATATACTAGAATATAAAAGATGAAAAAAACAGGAAAGATACAATAGAGAATTCAGTTCTGGAATCTAATAGAAGCTCCAAAAATAGAGAACAGAGAAAACTTGGGAAAAAAATTATCAAATACAAAAAACACTCCTAGGGACCAAGAAAAAAAAAAAAAACAATTTTCAAAGCACCCTGAGTATCACACACAAGTCGCATTCATCATAAAAGTGAAGACAACCAATATCTTTTGGGATCTTTTAAGAAAATTAACATCAAACCTGGGAAGGTAATATGAAAAATGCATGATCTGTCTCCTTCAAAACAAAAAAACACTACAAACAGGGTAAACAAATTGCTCAAAAATTGTGTGATCCAAATTCAAAGCAAGCTGGTATGTGGAATGGCTTTGGGCAGTTTTCATTTGACCCTGACACTTCCCATTCTCCCTGCAGACACAAAAGTCATAAAATTAGGAAGATAGTAAAGGTGAGGCAATCAAGACTGTGTGAATTGGCCCATCCAGTGAACAATATTTATATAAACACATGCTTTTGATTTTCAATTCTGGAATCTGTGTATATAAGGGAGACTTTATGGTTATAGAAAATGCAAATGTTAACTTGGGAAATGTAAATGTGCAGTTTACAGATGTTATGACATACAAATAGAGGAAAGGAAAAGGTGCCTTTAAAATCATCTCACAGGTATACTTCTACGGCGAGTCAGAGATGTGAGTTAAATCTTCATATATCAAAGTCAACAGACGTTCTGGTTGGTGACATAAAAATACAGGTTGAGCATCCCTAATCCAAAAATTCAAAATCCCAAATGCTCCTAAACCTGAAACCTTGAGCACCAATGTGATGCCTCAGATTGTCCACATGTGACTAAGATAGTGACACCTTAGTTTTCAGACAGCTCAAGGTACACAAACTTTGTTTCATGCACAAAATTACTTAAAATATCAAAACTTATCTTCAAGTTGTATATGAGGTATAATGAAACAAATGAATTTCATGTTTAGGCTTGGGTCCCATCTCCAAGATCTCTCATTATATATTATGCAAATATTCCAAAATCCAAAAAAAAATCTGATATCTGAAACATTTCTGGTCCCGAGCATTTCAGATAAGGGATACTCAACCTGTATATGATGGCAGTGAACAGAAATTGTTAATAATAGCTGATTGTTGGATGTGGAATGGCAATTTGGAAGGGGAGGGGCAGAAAAATATTGCTTTCTATTATAAATGCTTCTATGGCATTTTCTTTTCTAATTTATGCATGTTACTTTGATAATTTTTAAAGAGATGATTCAAACCTATACCTAGAAATGAGGAGAGTAATTAAACATAGGGACATTTACAGTTCATCTGTAATGGTGGTAGATGTATGATACATTTCCTTTCCTTTTTTATATTTGATTCAGTAATGCTACTATGGTAATCTGACAAATCAAGCAAAAGCTTAAAAGGAATCAGTTCAGAGGGAGCAATCTGTTAAAAAAAAAAAAAGCAATGAAAAAAATGAGACAAGACTGGCCTATACTCTTCCTAAACGAAACTAGAAAATTAAGACATACAGATATTACAAATAACAATCCAAACACCTTCATTCATTTAGCCTTTCCCAGAAGTGAGATAACAGAAGAAAAGTGAAATATGTCCCATATTTTTATTAATTGAACTTCCCTTTTTGAGTTTTTCTTGTTGTCAACATTTTTTCTTTTTATTATTATACTCGAAGTTCTAGAGTACATGTGCACAACATGCAGGTTTGTTACATATGTATACATGTGCCATGCTGGTGCCCTTTTTGAGTTTCTATGTTCTTTGTATTCTTCTATTAGTATATCCACATATAAAGAACACTGATAACCACTGTGGTCACAGTAATATTTTTCCTTGTCTACTTTTCACTATTTTTTATGTAGGCAACTAATCTTTCCTTGAGTGATCAAATCTGTTGTTTCTTTTTTGATTTCTGTTCCTTAGCTTAAAGTCAACCCTTCAAAGGGTTAATATTTAACTATTAGCTTTAATATTTTATAATTCACATGAAGTTAATTTTAAATATGGCATGAGGTAGGCATCTACCCAGTTATTCTAACACTATCTGTTGATATGCCTTCCTTTTTCATATGTGATGCCTCATTTATTAACTAAATTCCTATAACAAGATATACATCAGGGACATGTCACTTTGGATTGTTTAGGTGAACAGTAACACTTAATACCAATCATTTTTGTCTCCCCAGTATTTACACCTCACTGGGTCTTAAATATTTGGGTTCGTTCATTTAACAATTAATTAATAACTTCGGGCTGGGTGCGGTGGCTCACGCGTGTAATCCCAGCACTTTGAGAGGTGGAGGCGGGCGGATCACGAGGTCAGGAGTTCGAGACCAGGCTGGCCAACATAGTGAAACCCGTCTCTACTAAAAATTAGCTGGGCATTGTGGCGCGTGTCTGTAATCCCAGCTACTCGGGAGAGGCTGAGGCAGGAGAACTGCTTGAACCCGGGAGGCAGAGGTTGCAGTGAGCCAAGATCACGCCATTACACTCCAGCCTTAGCAACAAGAGCAAGACTCCGTCTCAAAAAAAAAAAGAACTTCATTATTCTAGGCATAGTAAGTTCAAGATATATAATGGAAAATGAAGAAAGACAGGGTTCTTTCATCAATCTTAAAATATGAATCAAAAACTTATGGAAAGAGTAAGCAGCATTGTTTTTTGTTGATAAACGGGTTTGAGTTCTAAGATTGATTTTCATTGCCACATCTGTGCAGTAATGTTTATACATTAATATTTAATTTATGTAAGACTTTGTTCACTGCACTGGTTACGCAAGACACAAAAAAACAGTTTCAAAAATATAGGAGTTTGGGCTAGGATATGCAACAAAGAAAAATTTAAAGTGCTGATGGAAAACTTAAGGGAAAAGTGTTTCATCCTTTATTTCAAGGAAAGATTGTATATTATAAAAATAAACATTGTTATGCCATTGAGTACAGAGCTCCCATCACAAACATTTAACCATTTTCATCATACATCTGATGATCTAAAAATCAAAATCACTTTGAAAGGCTTAAGTATTCTACTTTCTCTTAAAGATTATCACATTATAGTGACACACTACTGTTTTAAAGACTCAAGTAAAAATGAGACCCAGTAATTTTTAACCAAAAGTGTATCATATCCTATTTGCTTGTTTTATAAGATCAATAAACACTATAGTAAGACTTGGCATTTAAACATTAAACATGTCTAAGCCCCCTAAAGAATATACCAGAAATAAGAAAGACATTTAGAATGCTTTAATATTCCCAGTTAACACCATTTGTATCAGTAACTGCAATGTTGTAAGTTTTAGCATCTCACATAACTAGTCAGTAAGGATTTTTTTTTTAAGTGTAGGAGTGAGAATACAAGGACAGGAGCTATGAGAATGTTAAGTTTTATACTTCTGTTAAAAACTCAAAAATCAAAACTATTTTCTTCTCTGCATCAAAACCACAGACTTGAAGGATGTTTTGGCTTTAATCCCATGACTCATCATCTACTGGATTGGGAGCTTGTGAAGAAGAAAACCCAGCTGTGTTCAAAGTGCTCTTGCCCTGGTAATTATTTAAAAAAAAAAAAAAAGAAACAAACAAACATTTAATTTTATGACAGCTTTAAAGTTACATCACTCAGACTGAGAGCAAGGACTCAAAGTATCTACCATGTCTTCCCCAAATAATCAAAGAACTTTATTCTCACTAAATCTGATTCACCTGAAAAAAGGCTCCTGTCAAATGAGGAAATCTAAATTGCACAAAATGTTTCAAGAAAAATATTTTTTAAGTCAATAGTTTTGACAAGTGGGGAAAACTTAATGCACTACACTCAATGAATCAGCATAAATATTTAATTAACATGCTCATTGTTTCTGAATAAAGGCGGTGTTCAGCCTATAAAAACCTGACATACCAGAAAAGACTTGTAGCCTCGTGGCTGGGCGCAGTGGCTCACGCCTGTAATCTCAGCACTTTGGGAGGTTGAAGCAGGTGGATCACTTGAGGCCAGGAGTTTGAGACCAGCCTGGCCAACATGGTGAAACCCTGTCTCTATTAAAAATACAAAAAAAAAAAAAAAAAAAACCAGCTAAGATGGTGGCACATGCCTGTAATCCCAGATACACTGGAGGCTGAGGCATGAGAATTGTTTGAACCTGGGAGGCGGAGGTTGCAGTGAGCCAAGATCATGCCACTGCACTCCAGCCTGGACAACAGAGCCAGACACTATCTCAAAAAAAAAAAAAAAGAAAAGAAAAAGAAAAGACTTGTAACCCCAACAGGTCCTGTATTTTATATTAATTAATGTTGTCAGAATTCAAAAATTAAATAATTCCATCAGAAGTTTAAAAGATTCCAAATTAAAATTTAAAATCTGGGAAAGGAGACTGTTTAGGCATAAATCTCAAAGTTAATTCCTGACCTTTAAAACCAAAAATATGTATATACATAAAATGTTAATGAAATAATAAAGTAGCTACCTTCCAGGCACGAAAACAATGGCTTGATTATTAAATATTATAGTTACTTCACAATATTAAGCACAACATTTACAAAGAGTAACTAGAAGACAAGTTCTCAAGTTTTCCTTTCTACTAACCTTTCTGGTATCAACTGATGCAAACACGTTTCCTCTTGTACTACCACTGAAGCCAGGAATGTATGTACTAAAGGCAATTTCTTCCAACCATGCAGGAACATCCTGTTGAGCCTTTAAAAAAAATTGACTTCATATGCAACATAAAGTATTAAATATTGGAAAAGTTTACTTGTTATATACACATGCATAAAATGTCTACTTTCAACAACAAAGTAAGAAAACTATCCATTCCATCATAAAAGTTTAACTTACATCTGTCAATACTTTTACTAGAGGCTGTGCTAAATGGTTATCCGATTCAAGATCAAAAAAGGAAATTGCTCTGCCAGTATTCCCACAACGACCAGTACGCCCAATTCGATGAACATATTCATCAATGGTAGAAGGAAGATCAAAATTGATAACATGTTGCACATTTTCAATATCCAGCCCTCTGGCAGCTACTGAAGTAGCAACAAGAACTGGGCACTTTCCAAAGCGAAAATCTCCAAGAGCTTGCTCCCGCTCTCTCTGTTCCCGATCACTTGAAAGAAAAGAAAGCATGTTATTAGAACCACTCTTAAAATCATTAAAGTGAATCATTAAAGTTCAACATACAAATTTCTTTTTAATAATAGTATGAATAGCAGCATTTGGCTGGGCGCAGTGGCTCACACCTGTAACCCCAGCACTTTGGGAGGCTGAAGCAGGTGGATCACAAGGTGAGGAGATCGAGACCAGTCTGGCCAACATGATGAAACACCATCTCTATTAAAGATACAAAAAATTAGCTGGGCATGGTGGCATGCACCTGTAATTCCAGCTACTAGGGAGGCTGAAGTAGGAGAATCACTTGAACCGGGGAAGCAGAGGTGAGCTGAGATCGTGCCATTGCACTCCAGCCTGGATGACTGGGCAAGACTTTCTCAAAAAAAAAAAAGAATAGCAGCATTTAACATTAATGTTCACTTCTTACATACCAGGTACTATACTAATTCCTTCCAAGCTACCATTTTATTTAATCCTCAATATAATACTTTGAGTTGCAAAAATTATCCCCATTTGCAAATGAGGTAAAGTAACAGCTAATATGTAGAGACAGACTACAATCTCAAGTCTGACAAAAATCAAATCCTATTATAATCTCTATGCTTTATAGTCTTGACATAAAATATACAACTACTTGATTAGAATGCTTGCTTAAAAACATATTTTTAAAGTATAATTTCACAACACTATATACTACGTGATATTTTAGGATCTACTAATGAAGTGCCCATAAAACGGTATTAATATGACATTTTAAAGCACTCCAATTTTAAAAAGCTCTAAGAAAGATTAGATTTAGCAAAGGAAAATTTGATAAGGGGCCAGAGATCCTTAAGTGAGATCTCTTGAGAAATTTCCACTCCTTATTTTGAGAGTAAGGCAGACCTTTATCTTACCCACCACAACCACTTAGTTCTAAAAACTAAGAATGAGGATGAAAAATAATAGTTTAGTACTCCTGGGTATTATCCTTTTCCTCATATAAAGGAGAATAACAGTTTAGATCTGAGAGAATTCTGAATCCCAATCCTAGGATTATATCATATTAGTTATATAAACTGATGTTTCTTAAATACCAAATAGAAGTCATTCCCCTAATAGGTAATTATATTCATCTACTCACCCATGAATACTTGTAGTTGATATTTTTTCTTGACAAAGAAAAGTTGCAATAAAATCTGCTTTTTTCTTAGTTTCAACAAAGACCATAGTTCTTTCATCCCCTACAAGACAATGAAATTATTAATATTCAAACTTCAAAATCAGGAAATGAAAAATAAAGCAGGGATAGGAGGCAGTGCTTGAATATGAAACTTTGTCCACCACTGTATTTACTACCAGCACCACAGCCAAGCCTGGTACATAAGAGGGACTCTAATTCCAGAATGGATGTCAAAGACACAGGACTGTTTTCCTAGTTGAGGGATTTAAAAAATTAGCTTCTCTTTCCTCCTCCCAGGCCAACACAAGAAGTAGAACCTTAGGGAAAGGTAAATCATATCTGCCTGCCAACTCTTAGTAATATAAAATTGTCTCAGTCCTTTCCTCCCCTCCATTTCCCTCGCTCTATAAATGTTTTTTGCTGTCTACCTCTCAAGATAATCCAATCTTTCATTCTCCCATGATTGCCTGAGGTGTTTACAATAGTGGCATCTGACCTGGGGCTGCTTAACTCTATATAATTAGTGTTCCAAACATTATCTCTAATTCAAATCCCTTCATTCCCAAAATATCTTACATATTAAAAAATTAAATGACAACCTTATCCCAGGGTCTTAACTTGTTAAGGAATATTTACTCCTTAAAATATTTAACCGGTAGAAATTCAAGCATGGGCCGGAGATTTTCCCACACAGGGAATTTCCCTATAAAATGTTGGAGAAGAAAGATAATTTATAGCTTTAAAGCATATAAAAATGTATTACTGTTCATAATCTCTCTCCCCATTTCTCTGTAATCTCACTTCATTCATTTATTCAGCAAACATTTAGTGCCTACTAGATGCCTGTCATGTTTCTGTTGGAAATGCGGAAATAAAAGCCCCTGCTTTCACTATGGGGAGGCAAATAAATATTACGCATTTAGTACTAAAAAGGAAAAAATCAGCAAGATAAAGGGTCCAGAGATGATTACTTTAGATACTTTAAGACAGGCTTATTAGACAGGCCTACTTTAGATACCCCAATTAGATGGTATCTTAGTAAAGATATAAAGATAGTGAACTGTGCAGGTATCTAGGAAAAGAGCTTAAGGAAGAGTGAAAGACAAGTCTAAGCCTCTGAGAAATGCATTTTTTTTTTTTTGAGACGCAGTCTCGCTCTGTTGCCCAGGCTGGAGTGCAGTGGCGCAATCTCGGCTTGCTGGAGTGCAGTGGCACAATCTCGGCTCACTGCAACCTCCGCCTCCCGGGTTCACGCCATTCTCCTGCCTCAGCCTCCTGAGTAGCTGGGACTACAGGCACCTGCCACCACACCCAGCTAATTTTTTTTTGTATTTTTAGTAGAGACGGGGTTTCACCGTGTTAGCCAGGATGGTCTCAATCTCCTAACCTCGTGATCCGCCCGCCTCGGCCTCCCAAAGTGCTGGGATTACAGGCGTGAACCACCGCGCCCGGCCCCTACGGAAGTATTAACACATTAAATTACAAAGTCTCTTAAAGGAATTCTATTCAAATTTGTTTATAAAGATGAATAAAAGAGAAATGTTATCAAGGTAAATATTCCTAAAATCTCAGAAAGTAAAGAAATTGAACTTGCACTTTTGAAAAATATACTTTAAACTATATTAAACTTTTGAAAAAACGTATTACAAGAATCAGAATCATTTTAAGAATCCAAGTTTACATAATTAAGTGAAATCTTTGGTAAATGAGACTAATACCTTTAGTTTAAAAAAAACCAAAACATCTTCTCCCTATTATCAGTGTAAAGCTTAATACACTTACTCTACTTGGGTTTGTTTTTCCTAATGTATAGAGGTTTACTAGCCAAATAAGCTAGTATTATTCCTTCATGATGTTTAAGAGTATGAAAACGGAAATCTGTGTTCAACTAAATTTAGTCATTTATTCAACAGTATTTATGTTTTGAAAAACATCATCTTGAAGATAATTTCCAAAATCTTCAGGTAACTGAAAACAGTAGACAATGCTTGTGTATGACATCTCCCAGTTTCCCATCTCCCTGCTCCCAATTTCCTTTATGAAATAGAAGTTACTATGATTAAAAGATATAATTAACATAAGTGGTTGCAACTACACTAGGAATAACAGTGACAGAAATAAAAACTGTAATTGCTTTTGCTTCAAGGAAAAAAAGTAGTTTAGTGGCTTTCAAACATTTTGGTCAGTGTTACCTTTAAACTCATAAAACACTGACAATCCTGGAGTTTTTCTTGTGTGTTTTGATATTTACCATATTAAAAATTAACACCAAGATAATCTTTATTTGAACAATATTTGCATATTAAAATAAATAATTCTTAGTATAATCATGAAAATTATTTTTACCTTGCAGACCCAATTAGGGGATCTTAGAGAACCTGGGGGAGACACATTTTGTCCTAAAATGTCAGTTTGTTCCAGAAAACTGAAAAAGCACAATGAAAGATAAAACTTGGAAACTGAATTTTATCTGCTTTGATTTAAAACACTTGGGTTAAAATAAGCTATAAAAGGTGTTAATATTCTAGCAAAGGTCACTCAGTTTGTATGGAATTACTTTCTTAATTTACTGTTTAATGCTTTCGCTTATGAGAGTTTTTTTTCCTCAGAGCCATTACACTGGATAAAAAGTTATTCTTTACCTTCCTTGTAATCAGCCTAGACAGCAGAGATTCTGTTGACTTTATTAGGTCTGTTTAAAAAAAAAAAAAGACTAAAGAAGGGAAAAAAAGAAGAAAAAAAGACTAAAGAGAAAAGGTTCCCTATTTATGAAAGAGCTGTGGTTATTTACAACCATGTCACTTTCTATGTTTACTTCTAAATGTTTTGTCACTTCAATTAAATTGATAACCAAATAGTTTTTCTGATACCCACGAATCCTACACTAATCAAATATTCAACTCTCCTCTGACAACTCCTTTTGTCTTTTTAAGATCAAATTAAAAATTTAGAAGAAGAAATTCACCCAGAAAACTTTTGAGATTTCTCAGAGAGAGCCCCAGGAAAAGCACAAAGGTTTATTATTTCATTATAAAGGAAGGGATTCTAGAAATTATTTTTTTTAGATGTATTACTATTTAAGAGTTGTATGGTAAGAGTTGTCAAACCAGAAAAGACTACACTTTTCCAAGATTAAAGAGAATAGATAAAATGTTAATACACGTTGAGCATTCCTAATTTGAAAATCCAAAATCCCAAACTCTTTGAGTACTGACATGATGCTCAAAGGAAATGCTCACTGGAGCATTTCAGAGTTTTGGATTAGGGATGATCAAGTGATAAACGTACTGCAAATATTCCAAAAGTTAATTAAAAAAAATCCGAAACATGGCTAGGCATGGTGGCTCATACCTGTAATTCCAGCACTTTGGGAGGCCAAGGCGGGCGGATCACCTGAGGTCAGGAGTTCTAGACCAGCCTGGCCAATGTGGTGAAACCCCATCTCTACTAAAAATACAAAAATTAGCCAGGCGTGATGGCAGGTGCCTGAAATCCCAGCTACTGGGGAGGCTGAGGGAGGAGAATCGCTTGAACCCAGGAGACAGAGGCTGCAGTGAGCCAAGATCACGCAGTCACACTCTAGCCTGGGCGACAAGAGCGAAACTCCGTCTCCAAAAAAAGAAAAAAAAAATATGAAGCACTTCTGGTCTCAAGTATTTTGGATAAGTGATACTCGGCCTCTATTTTTTGTGTGTGTGTGTGTATGCTTTACGGGAGTCCCTCATGATTTGTAAGTTCTCTCACCATCCAAAGTATACTTTTACCCTCAGGAGAAACACTGCTCAAAATTCTATAAAGTAATTCTATAGAGTTTCCCTATATTTATCAAAGTCTTGAAGGTATGCTGCCTGATGCAATAGTACAGTGTTGCCAGTCATAATTTCACTTTTTAAAACGTCTCTAACCTTACCTCTTTCCTAACTTGAATCTAACATCTTCTTCAGTGGTTCTTCACTAGGGATGTACATCAGACTTACACATGGCATTCTGTAAAAATATAAATGTCTGGACCCTATTCTACATCTACAGGTGAACTCAGTTCCCATTTTGTCTTTCATTGTGCTTTTTCAATGTTCTGGAACAAACTGACACTTTATGACAAAGTAAGTCTTTCCCAGAGTCTCCAAGATCCTCTAAAGAGGTCTGAGAGGTAAAAACAATGATTTCATAATTATACTGCTAAATCTATTTACTTTATATTCTTGATATGAAAAATTATATCTGCTCATTTTCATAAATCAGGTTTCTTCTTTGAAAATAAGCTTAATCAGGGGTGGAGCCAAGATGGCCAAATAGGAACAGCTCCAGTCTACAGCTCCCAGCATAAGTGACGCAGAAGACGGCTGATTTCTGCATTTCCAACTGAGGTGCCGGGTTCATCTCACTGGGGAGTGTCAGAAACTGGGTGCAGGACACTTGGTGCAGCACACTGAGCGTGAGCTGAAGCACGGCCAGGCATCGCCTCACCTGGGAAGCGCAAGGGGTCAGGGAATTCCCTTTCCTAGTCAAAGAAAGGGGTGACAGACGGCACCTGGAAAATCGGGTCACTCCCACCATAATACTGCACTTTTCCAATGGTCTTAGCAAAGGGCACACCAGGAGATTATATCCCACACCTGGCTCAAAGGGTCCTACCCCCATGGAGCCTCGCTCATTGCTAGCACAGCAGTCTGAGATCAAACTGCAAGGCAGCAGCGAAGCTAGGGGAGGGGCACCTGCCATTGCCTAGGCTTGCTTAGGTAAACAAAGCGGCCAGGAAGCTCGAACTGGGTGGAGCCCACCGCATCTCAGGGAGGCCTGCCTGCCTCTGTAGACTCCACCTCTGGGGGCAGGGCACAGACAAACAAAAGGCAGCAGAATCCTCTGCAGACTTAAATGTCCCTGTCTGACAGCCTTGAAGAGAGTAGTGGTTCTCCCAGCACGCAGCCAGACATCTGAGAAGGGACAGACTGCCTCCTCAAGCGGGTCCCTGACCCCCAAGGAGCCTAACTGGGAGGCACCCCCAGTAGGGGCAGACTGACACCTCACACAGCCAGGTACTCCTCTGAGACAAAACTTCCAGAGGAACGATCAGGTAGCAATATCTGCTGTTCACCAATATCTGCTGTTCTGCAGCCTCCGCTGCTGATACCCAGGCAAACAAGGTCTGGAGTGGACCTCCAGCAAACTCCAACAGACCTGCAGCTGAGGGTGCTGACTGTTAGAAGGAAAACTAACAAACATAAAGGACATCCACACCAAAACCCCATCTGTACGTCACCATCATCAAAGACCAAAGGTAGATAAAACCACAAAAATGGGGAAAAAACAGGGCAGAAATACTGGAAACTCTAAAAATCAGAGTGCCACTCCTCGTCCAAAGGAACGCAGCTCCTCACCAGCAATGGAACAAAGCTGGACGGAGAATGACTTTGACGAGTTGAGAGAAGAAGGCATCAGATGATCAAACTACTCAGAGCTAAAGGAGGAATACAAAGCCATGGCAAAGAAGTTAAAAACCTTGAAAAAAAATTAGACGAATGGCTAACTAGAATAACCAATGCAGAGAAGTCCTTAAAGGACCTGATGGAGCTGAAAACCAAGGCATGAGAACTACAGGATGAATGCACAAGCCTCAGTAGCCGATTCAATCAACTGGAAGAAAGGGTATCACTGATGGAAGATGAAATGAATGAAATGAAATGTGAAGAGAAGTTTCGAGAAAAAAGAATAAAAAGAAACGAACAAAGCCTCCAAGAAATATGGGACTATGTGAAAAGACCATATCTACATCTGATTGGTGTACCTGAAAGTGACAGGGAGAATGGAAGAAAGTTGGAAAACACTCTGCAGGATATTATCCATGAGAACTTCAATCTAGCAAGGCAGGCCAACATTCAAATTCAGGAAAGAGAGAACGCCACAAAGATACTCCTCGAGAAGAGCAACTCCAAGACACATAATTGTCAGATTCACCAAAGTTGAAATGAAGGAAAAAATGTTAAGGGCAGCCAGAGAGAAAGGTCGGGTTACCCACAAAGGGAAGCCCATCAGACTAACAGCTGATCTCTCGGCAGAAACTCTACAAGTCAGAAGAGAGTGGGGGCCAATATTCAACATTCTTAAAGAAAAGAATCTGCAACCCAGAATTTCATATCCAGCCAAACTAAGCTTCAAAAGTGAAGGAGAAATAAAATACTTTACAGACAAGCAAATGCTGAGACATTTTGTCACCACCAGGCCTTCCCTAAAAGAGCTCCTGAAGGAAGCAATAAACATGGAAAGGAATAACCGGTACCAGCCACTGCAAAAACATGCCAAATTGTAAAGACCATCAAGGCTAGGAAGAAACTGCATCAACTAACGAGCAAAATAACCAGCCAACATCATAATGACAGGATCAAATTCACACATAACAATATTAACCTTAAATGTAAATGGGCTAAATGCTCCAATTAAAAGACAAAGACTGGCAAACTGGATAAAGAGTCAAGACCCATCAGTGTGCTGTATTCAGGAGACCCAGCTCATGTGCAGAGCCACACATAGGCTCAAAATAAAGGGATGGAGGAAGATCTACCAAGCAAATGGAAAACAAAAAAAGGCAGGGGTTGCAATCCTAGTCTCTGATAAAACAGACTTTAAACCAAAAAAGAACAAAAGAGACAAAGAAGGCCATTACATAATGGTAAAGGGATCAATACAACAAGAAGAGCTAACTATCCTAAATATATATGCACCCAATACAGGAGCACCCAGATTCATAAAGCAAGTCCTTAGAGACCTACAAAGAGACTTAGACTCTCACACAATAATAATGGGACACTTTAACACCCCACTGTCAACATTAGACAGATCGAGACAGAAAGTTAACAAGGATATCCAGGAATTGAACTCAGCTCTGCACCAAGTGGACCTAACAGACATCTATAGAACTCTCCAACCCAAATCAACAGAATATACAGTCTTCTCAGCACCACACCGCACTTATTCCAAAATTGATCACATAGTTGGAAGTAAAGCACTCCTCAGCAAATGTTAAAGAACAGAAATTATAACAAACTGTCTCTCAGACCACAGTGCAATCAAACTAGAACTCAGGATTAAGAAACTCACTCAAAACCACTCAACTACATGGAACCTGAACAACCTGCTCCTGAATGACTACTGGGTACATAACAAAATGAAGGCAGAAATAAAGATGTTCTTTGAAACCAATGAGAACAAAGACACAACATACCAGAATTTCTGGGAGACATTCAAAGCAGTGTGTAGAGGGAAATTTACAGCACTAAATGCCCACAAGAGAAAGCAGGAAAGATCTAAAACTGACACCCTAATATCACAATTAAAAGAACTAGAGAAGCAAGAGCAAACACATTCAAAAGCTAGCAGATGGCAAGAAATAACTAAGATCAGAGCAGAACTGAAGGAAATAAGAGACAAAAAAAACCCTTCAAAAAATCAATGAATCCAGGAGCTGGTTTTTTGAAAAGATCAACAAAATTGACAGACTGCTAGCAAGACTAATAAAGAAGAAAAGAGAGAAGAATCAAATAGATGCATAAAAAATGATAAAGGGGATATCACCACCAATCCCACAGAAATACAAACTACCATCAGAGAATGCTACAAACACCTCTACGCAAATAAACTAGAAAATCTAGAAGAAATGGATAAATTCATGGACACATACACCCTCCCAAAACTAAATCAGGAAGAAGTTGAATCTCTGAATAGACGAATAACAGGCTCTGAAATTGAGGTAATAATTAATAGCTTACCAACCAAAAAAAGTCCAGGACCAGATGGATTCACAGCTGAATTCTACCAGAGGTACAAGGAGGAGCTGGTACCATTCCTTCTGAAACTATTCCAATCAATAGAAAAAGAGGGAATCCTCCCTAACTCATTTTATGAGGCCAGCATCTTCCTGATACCAAAGCCGGGCAGAGATACAACAAAAAAAGAGAATTTTAGACCAATATCCCTGATGAACATTGATGCAAAAATCCTCAAGAAAATACTGGCAAACCGAATCCAGCAGCACATCAAGAAGCTTATCCACCATGATCAAGTGGGCTTCATCCCTGGGATGCAAGGCTGGTTCAATGTATGCAAATCAATAAATGTAATCCAGCATAGAAACAGAGCCAAAGACAAAAACCACATGATCATCTCAACAGATGCAGAAAAGGCCTTTGACAAAATTCAACAACTCTTCATGCTAAAAACTCTCAATAAATTAGGTATTGATGGGACGTATTTCAAAATAATAAGAGCTATCTATGACAAACCCACAGCCAATATCATACTGAATGGGCAAAAACTGGAAGCATTCCCTTTGAAAACTGGCACAAGACAGGGATGCCCTCTCTCACCACTCCTATTCAACATAGTGTTGGAAGTTCTGGCCAGGGCAATTAGGCAGGAGAAGGAAATAAAGGGTATTCAATTAGGAAAAGAGGAAGTCAAATTGTCTCTGTTTGCAGATGACATGACTGTATATCTAGAAAACCCCATCGTCTCAGCCCAAAATCTCCTTAAGCTGATAGGCAACTTCAGCAAAGTCTCAGGATACAAAATCAATGTACAAAAATCACAAGCATTCTTATACACCAATAACAGACAAACAGAGAGCCAAATCATGAGTGAACTCCCATTCACAATTGCTTCAAAGAAAATAAAATACCTAGGAATCCATCTTACAAGGGATGTGAAGGACCTCTTCAAGGAGAACTACAAATCACTGCTCAACGAAATAAAAGAGGATACAAACAAATGGAAGAACATTCCATGCTCATGGGTAGGAAGAATCAATATCGTGAAAATGGCCATACTGCCCAAGGTAATTTACAGATTCAATGCCATCCCCATCAAGCTACCAATGCCTTTCTTCACAGAATTGGAAAAACCAACTTTAAAGTTCATATGGAACCAAAAAAGAGCCCGCATCGCCAAGTCAATCCTAAGCCAAAAGAACAAAGCTGGAGGCATCACACTACCTGACTTCAAACTATACTACAAGGCCACAGTAACCAAAACAGCATGGTACTGGTACCAAAACAGAGATATAGATCAATGGAACAGAACAGAGCCCTCAGAAATAACGCAGCATATCTACAACTATCTGATCTTTGACAAACCTGAGAAAAACAAGCAATGGGGAAAGGATTCCCTATTTAATAAATGGTGCTGGGAAAACTGGCTAGCCATAAAAAGAAAGCTGAAACTGGATCCCTTCTTTACACCTTATACAAAAATCAATTCAAGATGGATTAAAGACTTAAACGTTAGACCAGAAACCATAAAAACCCTAGAAGAAAACCTAGGCATTACCATTCAGGACATAGGCATGGGCAAGGACTTCATGTCTAAAACACCAAAAGCAATGGCAACAAAAGCCAAAATTGACAAATGGGATCTAATTAAACTAAAGAGCTTCTGCACAGCAAAAGAAACTACCATCAGAGTGAACAGGCAACCTACAAAACGGGAGAAAATTTTCGCAACCTACTCATCTGACAAAGGGCTAATATCCAGAATCTACAATGAACTCAAACAAATTTACAAGAAAAAAACAAACAATCCCATCAAAAAGTGGGCAAAGGACATGAACAGACACTTCTCAAAAGAAGACATTTATGCAGCCAAAAACCACATGAAAAAATGCTCACCATCACTGGCCATCAGAGAAATGCAAATCAAAACCACAATGAGATACCATCTCACACCAGTTAGAATGGCAATCATTCAAAAGTCAGGAAACAACAGGTGCTGGAGAGGATGTGGAGAAATAGGAACACTTTTACACTGTTGGTGGGACTGTAAACTAGTCATTGTGGAAGTCAGTGTGGCGATTCCTCAGGGATCTAGAACTAGAAATACCATTTGACCCAGCCATCCCATTACTGGGTACATACCCAAAGGACTATAAATCATGCTGCTATAAAGACACATGCACACGTATGTTTATTGAGGCACTATTCACAATAGCAAAGACTTGGAACCAACCCAAATGTCCAACAATGATAGACTGGATTAAGAAAATGTGGCACATATACACCATGGAATACTGTGCATCCATAAAAAATGATGAGTTCATGTCCTTTGTAGGGACATGGATGAAATTGGAAATCATCATTCTCAAGTAAACTATCACAAGAACAAAAAACCAAACACCGCATATTCTCACTCATAGGTGGGAATTGAACAATGAGAACACATGGACACAGGAAGGGGAACATCACACTCTGGGGACTGTTGTGGGGTGGGGGGAGGGGGGAGGGATAGCATTGGGAGATATACCTAATGCTAGATGACGAGTTAGTGGGTGCAGCTCACCAGCATGGCACATGTATACATATGTAACTAACCTGCACATTGTGCACATGTACCCTAAAACTTAAAGTATAATAATAATAAAAATGTGGCACATATACACCATGGAATACTATGCAGCCTTAAAAAATGATGAGTTCATGTCCTTTGTAGGGACATGGATGAAGCTGGAAACCATCATTCTCAGCAAACTATTGCAAGGACAAAAAAACAAACACCACATGTTCTCACTCATCGGTGGGAATTGAACAATGAGAACACTTGGACACAGGAAGGGGGACATCACACACTGGGGCCTGTCGTGGGGTGGGGGGAGGCGGGAGGGATGGCATTAGGAGATATACCTAATGTAAATGACTAGTTAATGGGTGCAGCACACCAACATGGCACATGTATACATACGTAACAAACCTGCATGTTGTGCACATGTACCCTAAAAAAGTATATAATAAAAAAAGGGTTTACTGTAAAAAAAAAGAAAGAAAATAAGCTTAATCAGATTTTTTGCCTAGTATTTTTTAAATGGCTTTATTACCTTTATTTTGCATGTCATAGAAAAAAATTTATCAGTAGCATTATTCTTATCATGAACCTTCCTCAGACCCTCAATATTTAACAATTACCGGTAACAAATTTACCATGATCATTAAATCTGTCATCTTCAGACAGCTTTTGTTTTCTTTAGATGCTTGCCCAAAGGCTGTGCTGTAAGCTATAGATCAGAGTCTATGTCCTAAAGGACAGACTCCAAGCCTTGTGAAGAACTATTAATACTTCAAAGAATAGAGTCTTGGGTAGAAGGTTCTAAAGTTGACTGCTTTGACAACTTTTAGACCCTATCACTGGACTGAGTGAGATTTCCAGGACTAGTCCTTCTAGAAACAGACAGAATCATGCAAGCTGATCCCTAACATATACAATGAAATAAGAATTACATAAGGACTGAATGAGCTTATGGAGAATATCTCTCTGTGGCCATTTGTTTGCAATACTGTTAATATTATTTTAATATTCTATTTTCTGGATATATGAAGAAGGCTTTTTTCCTCTTAAGCTAGCTGTCATTTACACATTTTAGTAGACTCTGCTTTTGTAAACTAAAATCAAACATTCTAAAATCATATCTGATCTCGCATCTCACTGACACCCCATCCCAACCCAAATTCAGATTTCTTAACTAAGTCTCCTTAGTTTTCATGGTAGTTACCTGCAACAGTTAAATAAGAATCTGTCTGCCTCCTTTAACCAAGATATAAGTGGACAAGTTACCTGTCCAACTAACATCTCACCTGGATTTCGTATTTGAAAATGGAATGGTAGGTAGGACCAGATACTTTTTTTTAAGGAACAAAGGTTGGCTTTCCTTATGGAACCAATGCCTACAAAGACCTCCCATATAAGCTGACCTGGTGCTTGGCTTACATGGCCCAGCCTTGGAGATTTTAAGGAAGGTCATACACTTCCTGACAGGACAGGAACCACAGGAAATATGGGGGACCTTTCGTAGAGTGAGATTCACTCCAATTTATAGGTACTGCAGGTGAAACCTAGTAGAGAGAGTTTCTGAGACTTAGTTTCCTATCCCTTAGATAGCAAATAATAAAGGATTTTTAAAGTTCAATCTGACATTCCTTATGAAAACTTCCAGACAAAAGTTAATTTTGTGACTTTAGTAAGTCAATACTGTTCAGCAAACTTAAGGAGGCCCATTTATTGTTAATGAACAATCTTGCTGCACCCATGCCAATAAGCAAGCCAAACATAAGACCAAACTTCTTGTCATCAAGACTATCTCTGAGATTATTATGGTCATGAGGTAGACACAGGCTGTCAGAAAAAATTATGGAAGAATTTGAAGTAAGCAAAAAAGATTACTGTCTAGCACACTCTTTGTGCCTTCTATATTCTTTTTCATAACTGTTGCAATGGATAGCAATGCCAATGATTCTCAGTAAAAATGCAAATAAAGTTTTCCCCTGAAATGTGATTATTGCATTTGAATAATGACCAGTTTTACATCTACCTCTAAATTAATTTTAGCATTCCTAATTGCCTAAACCAGGGGTGTCCAATCTTTTGGCTTCCTTGGGCCACATTAGGAGAATTGTCTTGGGCCACACATAAAATACCGTAACACTACTGATAGCTGATGAGCTTTAAAAAAATGTTTTTTTAATCGCAAAAAAAAAAAAAAAAAACACCCCATCATGTTTTAAGAAAGGTTACGAATTTGCGTTGAGCCACATTCAAAGCTATCCACATCAAAGGGATGCATGTGGCCTGTGAGCTGTGGGTTGGACAAGCTTGGCCTAAATATACATGTATTTTTTTAATTCTCCTTTTGACTAGCTGTAACATCTTACTGGTTCCTTTCGTAACTAAAGAGCTCAATAAACTCTTTGATCTCTGTTGACTTAAAATTAAAATTATGAAAAAGGCAGTTGGGCTATGCCACTCCGAAATAAACTTATATATTTAAAGGCAAAAGGAAAAAAATAGCATAATTAAGTGAAAGAGTAGAAAAGGAGATAAATCATATGAACAAAATTTATATAATTTGAGGATATACTGGATGGATATTACATGCAAAGTTAAAAAGGTATCAACTATGAACACTAAACCAAAAAAAATATTTCACAGCTTAAATAATACAGAAGTATATCAATAGTGCTCATATATAATACATTGACCTTTTCTCAAGGGCAAACCAGCTCTTCTGAAAAACTCTCTCCTTTTGGATTACTTGCAAAATAAACTTTATCCCACAAGCTCATATATAAAAAAAATCTTGGCCGGGCACAGTGGCTCATGCCTGTAATCCCAGCACTTTGGGAGGCCGAGGCAGGCAGATCACAAGGTCAGGAGATCAAGACCATCCTGGCTAACACGGTGAAACCCTGTCTTTACTAAAAATACAAAAAAATTAGCCGGGTATGGTGGCACGTGCCTCTAGTCCCAGCTACTCAGGAGGCTGAGGCAGGAGAATGGCGTGAACCCGGGAGGCAGAGGTTGCAGTGAGCCGAGATTGTGCCACTGTACTCCAGCCTGGGTGACAGAGCAAGACTCCATCTCAAAAAAAAAAAAAAAAACTTAAGGTGACTATATTAGAAATATGTTCTAACTTCAGCAAAACCATATAGTGCTCATCTCTTCGGCATTAGCAGCATCAATTTATGGTGGACAAGTTATTTGACCTCTCTATATTTGTTTCTTCATCCCTAAAATGGGGATAATGACAAAATCTACTTCATAAGGTTGTTTTGGGAATTAAATGAGCTAACACATGTCCAATAATTAGAACAGTATGTGGCCCATAGCTATTATTATTTTTATATGCTATTAGTGTATATTATGAAACATTTGATGAAGCCAACCAATAAAATTTCTCAAACTCAAGATGAGTATTTGGTTTTTAAAAGTTTTTATAAAACTTAGGACAAATTAAAGACCAGAAGCCTGTAAGTGCTTTTTAAGTCACCTTTCCATTTTTTCTTTTTGCTCATTATTGGAAATTAGCTGATGAACCACCTTCGCATTTCTCTCTCAACACTGACATTCAAGCTGAAACGCAAGTACTAAAATGGAGGGTGTGGATGGAGAAAGTGTAACATGTAAGTAGACCTAGCCTATGAGGTAATGAGAAGGTATTAAAATGAACATATTTAAAATTTTTGCTTCCAGTCTCAAAATAAGGCTAAACAACCGAACTAAAAAAAATGACTTCAAAAATAAAAATTGGGCCAGGAATGGTGGCTTACACCTGTAATCCCAGCAGTTTGGGAGGCCAATGTGAGTGGATCACTCGAGCCCAGGAGTTCAAGACCAGCCTGGGCAACATGGTAAAAACCCCATCTCTACAAAAACTAAAAAACTGGTTGGGCATGGTGGTGCACGCCTGTAGTCCCGGCTACTCAGGGGACTGACGTGGAAGAACTGCTTGAGCCTGGGAGCTTGAGGCTGCAGTGAGCCATGGTCATGCTACTGCACTCCAGCCTTGGCAATAAAGCAAGGCCCCGTCTCAAAAAATTAAAAATAATAAAAAGTAAAATTGGGGTGAGTACAGTGGCTCATGGCTGTAACCTCAGCACTTTGGAAGGACAAGGTGGGAGGATTGAGGCCAACAGTTCAAGGCCAGCCTGGTCAATAGTGAGACCCCTATCTCTACAAAAAATAATAGAATTAGCTAGGCATGGTAGCGCATGCCTATAGTCCCAGCTACTTGGGAAGCTGAGGTGGGAGGATCGCTTGAGGCCAGGAGTTTGAGGCTGCCATAAGCTATGACTACACAATTATTTCAGGCCGAGCAACAAAGTGAGACCTTATCTCTAAAAAGATAATAAAAATAAAAATTGATTGGGGGAGTAGAGGAGAAAAAAAAATTCCCACAGATATTGTGAAGGAAGAGAACTAGATCTTAAGCCCCTTTTAGCTAAAAAAATTATTCAAATCTATGAATTTGGGAAGCCTTAGGAAGCAAGAGCTAGGAACCAGAAACAGAAAAACAATCTGCTTTTGATGGAGTAATAGTGTGATGTAAATATGTGTCACTACTAAGCCTTTCTAGTTTCCTAAAACAAAAAATAGATACATTTCTGGTGGAATAGTTAAAATGAAGTCTCAAATCCTTCCTATTTTCAAACTTAATGGTGGAGAAACGACCATATTTTTATATAATTTACCCAGAAAACTGAATCATAAAATTTTTTATAAAAGAGCTTTAGAGGGAGAGAGACTTAAAACAAACTTATGAAAAGTCAGACCAAACAATTCTTTAGTGATTTTTTAAATTATTCATTAAAAAAAATCAAAATCATGACAAAAAAATGTATCAACGTAAGATACCTATGTTTCGCAGAATTTCAACGAGCTTTTCTCTTTTTGAGAACTGGCCAACTTGGAGAACGGTCTGCTGAACATCTCTACATGCTCCACCCACTTGTCCAACAGCAACAAACAGATAATTTGACTTTAAAAACTCTGCAGCCAACCTTGAAAAACAAAAGATTATTCTTTAACTTATCCTCCTCTCCATCAGTATCCATAATATCCACTGAATTCCTGTAGGTGTTATCTCAATATTAATCAGACAGCAGATTATAACAGCTATAAGATGGTTGGTTACTTATATCACCCAAGTACTATTGTGAAAGATCAGTATAAAATATTAGGATTTTGCAAAATACATAACTACTAGAAAAAAAGTTTGTCAAAGTATGGATATGGTAATTACAAGTGGATTTGCTATCCACGCAAAACTATATAAAATATGTGTATAACACTTAAAAAAAAGCATGAACTAAAAGAAATAAACTGCAATAAGCAGGAATTATTTTTTAGTAAAACCTGAAATGTAAGCCTGAGACACAAATTCTGTTCTCCACTCATTGCTTTTATTTATGCTATTATTAGTTGTTTTCTGAAAATATTACCTATTAAATTACTCTACTTCAAATGAATGATTTCAAGCAAACCAGATCTTAGGTCAGTGCTCTGTCTGTCACGACACACATAGAAAGTAGTATTTGCATAGCACAATTGGGCAAAACAAGTGAGACGAGATGAAAGGCCCAGGGACATAGCGGAATCAGGATAGGTGTGCCTGCCCCAAAGGTTAAGGGTATCAATATCTTGACACACAGTTAACTCACTATCAGCTGCAATTGAGAAGTCTTGCTTTAGATCACATAGAAATATAGGGGAGTGGACAAAGTTGCTAATGAGAAAGATGAGTTTTTAGGGATAAATGGGGAGGCCCAAATCTCTCTTCAATGCCTCTCCCTCCTATGTAGCAGTCCCTTATTTACCAGCTGAGTCCTTCATGAAAACAGCTCAAATTCAGCATATCCAGACTCTTAATAAATCACTGCTTCTTCTTTCTCCTTACTTGATCTCTTATCATAAAAGAAAAGCTTTTTTATACCTTCTTTTAGAGTCACTCTCTCACCCAGGCACAAATCTTGAAATCATCTGAAATTCTTCAGATGATTATCCATCACCCTTTTCATTCACTAAAACTACTGAGTGTTTTGTGTCATGTGTACAAGGTACTGGGAGTACAAAGATGAACATGATGGTGTTAGCCTATGAGATCCTCACTTCAAGTAGGAAAGATATATTAAGAAAAATTACAGTTTAGTGTTAGAATAGTTAATGTTTACTGAACACTATGTTCCAAGAAATGTGCAAAGTGACTTAAACAGTTTCTTTCACAAGATACACTGGCAGGAAATGGATGAAATGATGTCTATTTAGAAAAATCCTCCAGTTTGAGGCGGGGCACAGTGGCTCATGCCTACAATCCTAGCACTTTGGAAGGCCAAGGCATGTGGATCACCTGAGCCCAGGAGTTTGAGACCATTCTGGCCAACATGGTGAAACCCCATCTCTACAAAAAATAAAAAATTAGCCAGGTGTGTATGCGCATGCCTGTAGTTCCAGCTACCCAGGAGGCTGAGGTGGGCCTAGGATCGCTTCAGCCAGGGAGGTCAAGGTGGCAGTGAACCATGATTGTGCCTCTGAACTTCAGCCTGGGCGAGAAGAGTGAGACCTTGTCTCCAAAAAAAAAAAAAAAAAAAAAAAAAAAAAAAAAAGAAAGAAAGAAAAAAAGAAAAGAAAAGTCTTCAAGTTTGAAGCTTGATCTAGGGAAGCAGCAGGCAAGAATGTGGAACACTAATGATTGTGGAAAGGCATTCTAAGCAGTAGGAAAGAAGAAACAAGCACAAATAATGAGGAAAGTAAAATTCAGCTTTCTCAGCCAAGAGGAAATAGCTCTAGTAGACTAGAAACACACGACTCCAGGTAAGAAAGTAGCAGGTGAGCCTGAGACTGTCATGTGTTAAAGAGTTTAAAAATCAGTCTATGAAGATGGAAAGATATGGGAAGGTTTATTTTAAATAAATGTTTAAAAGAATCAGACTTTATTTTGGCATTGCCACTAATGCAGAAGTGACACTAGAAGCAGGGAGACAGGTTAAAAAGCCACTTCCAGTGAGCAGGGCAAAATTGATAAGGACCTAAATTAAGGTGGGAAATAGAGAAGCTAACAGATGTGAAATATTTTAGAGATTACTACCGTAATGGTTAATATTTGGTGTCAACTTGATTATATTGAGGGATGCCTAGATGGCCAGTGAAACATTGTTTCTGGATGTGTCTCTGAGGGTGCTACCAGAGGAGACTGACATTTCAGTTGGTAGACTGGGAGAAGAAGGCCCACCCTCAATGTGGGTGGACACCATCCAGTTGGCTACCAGCGCAGCTACAAGAACGCAGGCAGAAGAAGGTGGGATAACTTTGCCTGCTGACTCTTCTGGCTCTCTTTCTTCTTCCCATGTTGGATGCTTGCTTCTGCTCCTACTACCCTTGGACATCATACTCCAGGTTCTTTGGACTTTGGACTCTGGGACTTGCACCAGCAGCTTCTTGGGGGAATCTATCAGCTTCCTTGGTTTTGAGGCTTTCAGACTTGGACTGAGCCACTACTGGCTTCTCTCTTCTCCAGCTTGCAGACAGCCTATCATGGGACTTCACCTTGTGATTGTGTGAGCCAATTTTCCCTAATAAACTTCCTTTTATATCTACATATATATTATTGGTTCTGTCCTTCTGGAGAACCCTAATATCACTGCCACGTTGTACTGAGACAGGGTCTTAGTCTGTTGCCCAGGCCAGAGTACAGGGGCACACAATCATGGCTCACTGCAGCCTCAACTTCCTGGGCTCAAGAGATCCTCCCACTTTAGCCTCCTGAGTAGCTGAACCTACAGGTGCGTGTCACCACACCCAGCTAATTTTTTAAATGTTTTTTATAGAGACAGGGTCTCACTATGTTGCCCAGGCTGGGCCTGAACTTCTAGGCTCAAATGCTTCTCCCTCTTTAGCCTCCCAAAGTGTTGGGATTATAGGCATGAGCTACTGCGCCTGGCCCAAGTTCAGTATTTTTAAAAGCGGAGTTAAAAGACTGTGAGAGAAGAATCACCACGATTCAAACAATTCTGGCTTTAAAAGATCATGATGCCAATAACCAGAATAAAGAAAACGGGAAAAAGGGAACTGAAGAAAAATTACGTTCTATTTTGGACATGAACGTGAGTTACTAGTCATTCATCTGGGAGAACAAACACCCCAAGAAGTTAAATTTAAAAGTCTGGGCCGGGTGCGGTGGCTCACGCTTACAATCCCAGCACTCTGGGAGGCTGAGGCGGACGGATCAGCTGAGGTCAGGAGTTCAAGACCAGCCTGACCAGCATGGAGAAACCCCATCTCTACTAAAAATACAAAATTAGCCGGACGTGGTGGTACATGCCTGTAATCCCAGCCACTCAGGAGGCTGAGGGAGGAGAGTCGCTTGAACCCTGGAGGCGGAGGTTGCGGTGAGCCGAGATCGTGCCATTGTACTCTAGCCTGGGCAACAAGAGCGAAACTCTGTCTCAAGAAAAAAAAAAAAAAAAGGTCTGGGGCTACAGAGAGAGATTAGGAATACAGGGAAGAAATTTGGGAGAGTTACAGGTATAAGTAGAAGCCAAGGGAACGGATATATCATAACTCAGGGAATATGCACATTGAGAAAAGGACTTCGCACAGAATGATGGGCAACTGGTAACATTTAAGAACAGATAAAATGAAGCAACTGAGGGAGAGTCAGGAAGCAAAGAATGTAAACAACTCAAGGTCAGATAGGAGCTTATTTTGTTTAACATATATCCCCAGAGCTTATAATCAAATATGATTCACAAAAGATCCTCGACAAATATTACTGACTGACAATAGTACGTTTGCCATTTTGGGTGGCCAACATACAAATACTTTCCCATTTCAGGGTGAATCTAAAAAGAGTCAGGCTGCTAATTAGATAGTTACCAAAGCAAATGGTGGGAATGCAAATACCCCATTTCCACCTGAAAATACTATATAGGGCTGGGTGTGGTGGCTCATGCCTGTAATCCCAGCACTCTGGGAGGCTGAGGTGGGCAGATCACCTGAGGTCAGGAGTTCAAGACCAGCCTGGCCAACATGGTGAAACCCCGTCTCTACTAAAAATACAAAAAAAAAAAAAAAAATTAACCAGGCGTGGTGGCAGGCGCCTGTAATCCCAGCTACTTGGGAGGCTGAGGCAGGAGAATCGCTTGAACCCGGGAGATTGAGGTTGCAGTGAGCCAAGATCGCGCCATTGCACTCCAGCCTGGGGGACAAGAGCAAGAGCAAGACTTCATCACAAAAAAAAAAAAAAAGAAAGAAAATACTATTCAATTGTTAAGAAATGATTGTTTTATGTACCACTAAGAAAGAAAAATATCCTGCCAATTGACCTAATGCTGTCTTATGAGTTCTATTTTCCCCCAATAAAGAACTCTTCCTAACTTTACACAAAGATTTACCATATAAAAAATAAATCAATAGCCAGCACCACTATTCAAGGGTTTGGGAATGTTTGATATACTAGCACAGGATCCCATGTAACATTCTATCAAACCAGGGGACCAACTTTAAAGCAAAAGAGGTGTTGGGACAGGCCCATAACCATAGGATTCACAGGTAATATATATACTGCACCACTCAGAAGCTGCCAACCTGAGAGAACATTGGAACATTGGAACTGTCTGCAGAAAAAACAGTTCAAGGGTGAGTTTGGAGGCAACTCTTTATGAAGACAGGGCATTATCCAACATGACACGGTAATTCCTCAAATCAAATATCCATATATGGTGCATGAGTCTGGGAATCCAGGAGAGCAAGCACTACTGGCCCACCTACCATCACTCTCAATGACCCACTAGGGAAATCTATGCTTCCCATCCCTTCTTGTCCTCCAACTTTATGTTCTACAGGTTTTGACGTCTTGGTTCCCAAAGAGAACGCAGTTCCACTAGAGAAAATAGCAAGAGTCCTGCTGAATTACAGATGGTTCCCAACTTACAACAGGGTTAACATCCCGATAAACCTATTTTAAGTCCAAAATATCTTAAGTCAAAAATGCAATTAATACCTATGATAAACCATTATAAAGTAAAAAAATCATAAAATCTTATGTTGAACCATAGGACCCATCTGTATAAGCTTCTGCTGTTGCCTGGGCACTTCTGGCTCCTTGAGACAAGGGGCTGGCAGGAAAAAGAGTCACCATTCCAGTAGGGATGTGTCACCCTAATCTCTGAATTCATTAGACCCCATGGTATATAACATGATCCTCAAATATCTGCCAATAATTGGTATATGAATTTTCTACCAAAGCCTCAGTTCTCCCAAATCCTATAGATTTAGGTTTGAAAAGAAGGCATAATAATAAAAATAACTTAATTTAGTAAGCACTTATTAAACCCTAGCTGGATTCTATGCAACAACAACAACAACACACACAAACACACACACACACACACACACACACACACACTTTTTAAATAAAATGTGATGTTAACACAAAGCCAGGAATAAAGGTAAGAAACAATGGAAAATGTGGCAAACGTTTTAGAAATACATCTACTTTTTAAACTACCTATATTAAAATCTTAACGACAAATCTCTAAAAATAGGATATTCACAGTGCTTCCACTTTGATAAAAGTATGTATATATATATAATTAAATTATTTTTAAGAAAAAAACTTAACCTTTGAATTTCCTCTGGAAAAGTTGCACTGAACATAAGGGTTTGGCGCTGTTCCTTTGATGGCATTCCTGGGCAAGAAATTAACTTCTTCATTTCTGGACCAAAACCCATATCCAACATGCGATCAGCTTCATCCAAAACTAAGTATTTGATCTGTTTGAGACCAATCTTTAAGGATATTTTCAAAGGTAAAACAGAAAATGCATATTAGTTTATATTAAACTATTCTCTACAATTCCAACTGTTAAAATACTGTTAAGAAAAAAAAAAAAATACAAAAAATTAGCCAGGCGTGTTGGCGGACGCCTGTAGTCCCAGCTACCTGGGAGGCTGAGGCAGGAGAACGGTGTGAACCCGGGAGGCAGAGCTTGCAGTGAGCAAGATCGCGCCACTGCACTCCAGCCTGGGCAACATAGCGAGACTCCGTCTCAAAAAAAAGAAAAAAATAAAAATAAAAAAAAATAAAATACTGTTAAGAAAAAAGACTAGAAATTAGTGTATAAAATGAGAATTGATATGCTTAGATAATATTACTGTATATTTCAGTTCAATTTTCTGTTATAAAGCATTTTTAAAATTAAGTCTAAAAGAAACCAAATGTCTAGATCAACACTGTGCAATAAAACTTTCTGCAATTACTTAAAAGTTCTATTAACTGCGCTTTTTTTTTTTTTTTTTTTTTTTTGAGAAGGAGTCTTGCTGTGTTGCCCAGGCTGGAGTGCAGTGGCACAAGCTCAGCTCACTGCAACCTCTGCCTCCTGGGTTCAAGTGATTCTCCTGCCTCAGCCTCCCAAGTAGCTGGGGCTACAGGCACATGCCCCCATGCCTGGCTAATTTTTGTGTGTGTGTGTGTGTGTTTTTAGTAGAGACGGGGTTTCACCATGTTAACCAGGATGGTCTCTATCTCCTGACCTCGTGATATGCCTGCCTCGGCTTCCCAAAGTGCTGGGATTATAGGCGTGAGCCACTGCACCCAGCCTATCTGCATTGTTTAACGTGTTAGTCATTAGCCAAAGGTAGCTAGCTATTAGGCGCTTGAAATGTGGCTACTGTGACTTGGAACTGAATTTTTATCATTCTTAAATTTAAATTGTTACATGTGGCTAGTGGTTACTGTATTGGACAATACAGATCTAGATTATAGTATTTGATAAAGTTAGACTCTAATGTAAGAAAGAAAATATCCTAACAGCATGACATATTCAAATATCTTCTAACTGGTAAAATTTTTTCTAACCTCTTTAAATCCTTAGTAAATTCTCCATTCTCTAATCACTCGGGAACAATCAGGAACCTCTTACCTTTGCATGAACATCTTTTACTATAAACAGAAGAACACACTTGCAAAGTGATTTTGGTACCACTATGAAGATGTTTAGCAAGAAAGTAAGGTAGATATCTCTGGGTCCTTTTAATAAGTATACTAAGAAAGGTGTGTTTATGCAGAAATAACATTTTTTTGAGTAACCCAGAGGGATGAAAATGACTCTTAACTCAGAAGCACCCTTTAAAGAGTTTTTAAAAAGCAAATCTGGTTCATTAAGGTGAACTGAAAGTACTGATTGAGAGATACAAAAATATAGTATATGAATTCCTAAATAAGTACATGGCCCTAAAATCTTTTTAAAGATTTAGAAAATTAACAATCCTGGTTAATATCATTCCCATGCTTACATAGGAGACAGAATTATTGATGCCACAAAGGGTTTCTTACAGGAGAAAAACTATTTCCCCAAGACATGTATGAAACCAGATAAAAAGTTATTAACTACATTTTTCCCCCAGCGTAGTGGGATGTAGAATATGGATTCTGGAATCAGACCCAGATTCTAACATTAGCTCTATACTTACTAGAGCTAACTCAGGGATTTTTAAAATAAATTACATAATCTCATTGAGTTTGTTTTCCCAAGTATAAATTAGAAAACACTATTCCCTGCGATTATCTTGAGAATTATATAAGAATGCATTCAAAGAATGTGATGGAGGCTAACACATAAATAGTGCTCTACTAAATACATCTGTCTTTACCTCATTCTTTCCTTTTCCCATACCAAACAAAAAGTATCAATCTCACAACTTCATTATTCCTATAAGGCGTACCTTTTCTTTGCCTATGATATCCATCAGTCTTCCAGGAGTAGCACATAATATATTACAGCCTTGTACTATTTGTCGAATTGAATGTCCCAGCTGGGTTCCCCCATATATAACAACAGCTCTTACACAAGTCCTATTAACAAGAAAACTAAATGTTATTTTCTAGTTACTTAAAAATTAGGCATCTGTTTCTAACAAGATATAAAACAAAATCCAAAAAGAAAAAAACAAACATTCAACTATCTAAAAAAATATTAAATTCTGGCTGGGTGCAGTGGCTCACGCCTGTAATCCCAGCACTTTGGGAGGCCAGGGCGGGCAAATCACCTGAGGTCAGGAGTTTGAGACCAGCCTGGCCAACATGGTAAAATCCAGTCTCTACTAAAAATGCAAAAAATTGGCCAGGCATGGTAGCATGCGCCTATAATCCCAGCTACTCAGGTGGCTGAGGCAGGAGAATCGCTTGAACCCAGGAGGCAGAGGTTGCAGTGAGCCGAGATCCCACCACTCTACTCCAGCCTGGGCAACACAGCGAGTCTCCATCTTAAAAAAAAAAAAAAAAAAAAAAAAGGTGATATTTTACTTGATTTTTTTTTTTAATTACAATACTTTTGGGGGAACAGGTGGTATTTCGTTACATGGATAAGTTATTTAGTGGTGATTTCTGAGATCTTTTACTTGATTTAAAAGCCTGAAAGCAACATGTTACATGAGGATTAGCAAGATATAAACACTGAAATAAGCAATCCACATGTTTTTCCAAAAGATCTATCAGGTTTGATATTAAAGTGATTTCAAGCATGGAAAAGAATAAAATCACCTGTGGTGGTTTTAACATACATATACAAATTCTTCAATATATTCCTTCCTTCAAATATGGATTCTACCTTCCCCCTTCAGTGTGGGTAAGGCTGGCCTCATGAGTGTGCAACCTGTCCAGTCACACAGAGTCCCAAGTTCAGAAGAATCCCGTGTTTCATTTAATGCTCTGTTGTCGCTGCCTTGAAATTTGTAATAATTTTACAACAAAGGACCCTGCACTTTCAATTTTGCACTAGTTCCAATAAATTATAATATAGCCACTCCTGAGTGGGGTCAAACTTAGTGACTTGCTTCTTACAAAGAGAATGTGGCAGAAGGACAATGTGTGACTTCTGGGACTATTTCATAAAAGCTATTACAGCCTCCTCTTTGTTCTTACTGATCACTTAATCTAGGGGAAGCCAGTGCCATTTAATCATGCATCCCTATGGAGAGATCCAATGAAGCCCTCAGATGACTGCCTTGACATCTTGTCTGGTTGACAATAAAACCAGAATTGGTTGACATCTCGTTTACAATCTCATAAGAAACTCTTAACTCAGAAGGACCCAGCTAAGCCAAGCTGTTCCCCAATTCCTAAGCCCCCAAAATGGTGAGACAGTAAATGTTTATTGTTGAAAGCAACTATGTTTTAAGGGAGTTTGTTAGGCAGCGATAACTAAATGTTGGCAAAGGGTATACTGAAATTGGACTTCTGATAGACTGCAGGCACAAATATACATTAATTACAAGCTTTAAAATAAGTTCCTGCTCTTTAACATTAAAATTGATAAAACTCTATTCTAAGAAAATACTTAAAACAGAAAACTGTTGGTTTTTTTTATATATAAGTCAAGGTCTCACTGTCATCTAGGCTGGAATGCAGTGGCGCAATCACAGCTCACTGCAGCCTCGACCTCCCAGGCTCAGGTAATCTCTCAGGCTCCCAAGTAGCTGGGACTACAGGGGTGCACCACTGCACCTAGCTAGTTTTTGTTCTTTTTTGTAGAGATGGGTTTTCACCATGTTTTCCAGGCTGGTCTTGAACTCCTGGGCTCAAGCTATCTGCCCATCTTGGCCTCCCAAAGTGCTAGGATTACAGGTGTAAGACATCATATCTGGCCAAAACAGAAAAACTATGTAGCAAGATGTACATTGCAATTTTGTTTACAATAGCCCCAAGTTAGAAAGAACCTAAATACCTCAGAACAGAGAAATAAAATGTATACACATGGGCAATTTAAAAGTCATTAAAAATCAGTTCTTATTATGAAATAAGAATTTTCTGTGTTATAAAGTTTTATGTAAAAGAATAGGAAATTATTAGAATACCCTGAGTTCATTTTTAAATATACATTAAAAACTACCAAGAAATAATACCAGTATGTTCACTATTTTCTACTTCTAGTATTATCTGTTTTTTAAATTAAAATTTTACTTTTTTGGAGACAGGGTCTCGCTCTGAGTGTGGTGGTGCAATCACAGTTCACTGCAGCCTCAAACTCCTGGACTCAAACAATCCTTCTGCCTCAACCTCCTAAACTCCTAGGACAACAGGTGTGCATCACCACATGCTGGCTAGTTATTTTATTTTTTGTAGAGATGGGGTCTTGCCATGTTACCCTGGCTGGTCTCGAACTCCTGGCCTCAAGCAGTCTGCCTGCCTGGGCCTCACAAAGCACTGGGATTATAGTCATGAGCCACCAAGTCCAACCTATTAACCTAATTTTTAATAAGCATATTTCTTTTCAAAAATGAAAAGGATTCCATAAACAAGATAATAAAAAAATACTTTAAGTAATGCTAAAAATTACATGAGTGCATTATTACTGAGTTCTTCCAAAAGTGAGGGGAAAAAAATCTCTAAAGAAAAAACTATTTTGTGAGTAGCACTCTGATGTACTTACCCAAAAGAAAATTTTCTGGCTTCCAAATAAATCTGGTTGACCAATTCTCGAGTTGGTGCTACAATAATACACTCTGGTTCCTGCAACTCTTTAAAACGACTGGCAGTTATTCCATCATGCATCATATGAGCCAAAATTGGTAGGAGAAAAGCCGCCTAGAAGTTAAGTTGCTTAGTTTACAAACTTATAGCACAACACTTTTATCCCTATGGAAAGCTAATCCTCATGTCCTTATAGCCTTTAGACTCTACTTCCATCTTACTGGTAAATTTAAGATGAGAAATGAAAACAACTTTCATTTCAAGGTGTTCTTAACATTTATGTCTTTATGCTCTTATTATACAATATAAAATTTGGTAAAATTAATCTAACCTATCAAAGTTTTTCAGTGTATTTTCAAAAGCATACCCACGAATTCTAAACAGATCAACAACATTAGCATATTTATAGAGGAATATGATAGATGTAATCGCTGCAAATCATTACAGTGAACAATTACTCTAAGTTAGTCCTTTTGAGGTCATAAAATTATCATTCAGAATGGATGACAAAAGTGGCCCACAGAGTAAAAACTTAGAAATCATCATCTGTATTACTGAACACATTACCCTTATTGAAGTTACATCTGGCAACAGAAATTTTGTGCTACAGTTTTCTCATTTAAGCAAATAAGACACTTGCTAAAATCCACCTCCAAAACCACGTTTAACACTCTCATCAGCTGCTATACAATACCTGTTTTTCCCTACAATTCTACTATGAAGGCTGATTAAGACTAAAATGGTATGACCTCATGGACTCTATGATCATAGAAATAAGAGTCTCATCTTATGGAGTCGTTAATTAACACACAAATCTCCCAGATTAGTCCTAAAACCAACTGGTTTCATCAGACTTCTTTTATAATTAGCATAACCTGAGGTCACTGAATACTAAGGAATCATGCACAATGCATAACTGTTTCTCATTCTTTAATCTTTTGACTTCGAGTGTACCAGCTATAATACAGAAATTACTTTCTCCCTCTCTGTTTTATAAGCTCTGCTTTGACTTTCAGTCACTTTGTTTAAGATACTACCATGTTTCAGAAAGAGCTGCACACAGAAAAGATTAAACATCTATGGACAGCAACACCACCCCAGGAATAGTTCAGAATTCTTTCTTCCGAAGTACACAAATCCTAATAAAAATCAGAAGCAAAACCATCAATACTTATGACAGGTAACTGAAACCATCTACAAACCTTCTACTCAAAAGAAGAAACCAAGTTACTAAGGAAGAACCAAAGCTCAAAAAACCTAACAGTTTGGACATGTGGGGAAAGACTTACAGTCTTCCCAGACCCTGTTTGAGCGCAAGCCATCAAATCTCGTCCTGCAAGTATGATAGGAATACTGTATTTTTGCACAGGAGTAAGCTTAGTATAACCAGCTTTAGCAATGTTGTTATTCAGTGTCTGACAGAGATTAGCTTCTTCAAAAGTCTGAAAATTTAAAAAAAAGCAGTGATTACATTCTATATATCATATGCAGATCATTTATAAGCATATTTCATTCGAGCTACTTTCCAAGTTCTGTTAATTCTACTTTATATACTAAAGTGACTTTAGTAACATGCCTCCACTCAGAAGTAAATATTCAAAGCCTGTATATTATAATATGATTTGACAGAATCATGAAGTATTCTCCACAAATGGTGGCTTTAAAAACATTTTTCCTGCCCCCTTAAAACCTATGAGATATGAAGAATTCTGCTCAGTAATGGCTTGTTCTAAGTATAATTATCAATAGGAGACAGAGGGCTCCCCCTCTCAGAAAAATCACTGCCCTAAGACACACTTTCTCACAATCTTGGGAAAACATCTTGAATCACTAGGAAAAGCATTTTTTAAGTAAGTTTAAATAAAATTCTCATCCTGGTATGGGGAGTGGGGATGAAATCTATTACTCTCTTTTGACATAGCAATTAATTCTATTATAGATGGTAAGACATCATTCTAAATTTCCAACCTAAGACCTTATATACGAAAGGTGAAATCTATGTGTTGATATCAGCTTTACAAACTACATAATGTATTTTAAAGGCAAAGTGTGCTACATAGCTAATACAGAAACAATTAATACACTGACCAGAATTGCTGGTGGTGCATCATGTCCAGACACTTCCACAAGAATAGTGTCGTATTTGTCGAAGTTTATGCCTGTCTGATAATGTGCAAAGATGGAGTCCTCATCCTCAGGTGGAGGAGGGGGTATGTAGGTCACTTTTGGTCCTTGGAATTTAAATTAAAAACATAATGTACGTTACAGAGACTACAAGAAAATATAAGAGAAAATAGACAAAAATTGACAAGATCAAATTTTAAATACTATGGAACTTCCCACTGCTTACCTTTAAAGTTTTCACTGTTCAAATTTTTAAAAGATAACTTTGTTTTTAAGTAAAATACTTAAGCATTATTAAAACACAACATACTTCTATGTGAGTCACACAAATGTTAATATACCTTGAGTATCACTACTTTCTCCTCCTTCTGCTTCTGACTTCCAAGAATCTTGAAGAGGATCAAATAAAAAAGAGATACATGTTTTTTAAAATTGAAAGGTAAAAGAACTCTCACTATAAAAATCAAACACCTTGTTTAAGGAAAACTTACTCTTTCCAGAGCCTGTTATTACTTCTTCATTTAAACCTTTGTAACCACCTATTAAAGAAATTCATAAGTGACAATCGGTCAAGATGTAAGGCTGTGCACATCTTTATTTTCGTTGCTTGTCTTCAAAGAGAACAAGTTCCAAAAAACTTTAAATTCCCTTCTTACAAATACTTGAAACAATTAAATAGAACCTTGTACATTTTTAGTTTCTGTAGTATTCAAGATGATTTTACGTAGAGGAGACTATTACATATTACTACACTTTGTTTAAACTGTTATATTTCTTTCCTAATCAGCAAAGGAATGTATTTTCTAAAAGAACCTGTGTTGGAGGGGTGTCCCCAAGACCATTCCCAGTTCAGTAGTTGCTAGGAAGACTCACCAGACTCAGAATATAGTCATACTCATGGTTATGATTTATTAGTGAAAAAATAGGGAGTACTATCAGCAGAAGAAAAGGCACATAGGCAAAACCCAGAGAAAACCAGGCACCAGTTTCCAAGTGTCTTCTACTGCAGTCACACAGGATGTGCTTAGTTCTCCCAGCAATGAGCTGTGACAACACATGTAAACTCTACCAGAGAAGAGTATTAGAGACTCAGAAGCTCATTAGAGACTCAGTACCCAGGGTTTTTATTAGGGGCTAATAATGTACTCACCTTCTGCCTGGCACATACCAAATTCCAGATTCCCAGAAGGAAAGCAAATATTCAGCAAAAACCACAATGCACAAATGGTTTACACACAATGAGTTGCTCTTACCAATCAGGATGGTGGGAACCCGTCCCAAATCCAAGTTTTCAGATGCTAGCTGTGATGGTTAATTTGCGGTGTCAATTTGACCAGATTAAGGGATACCCAGGTAGCTGATAAACCATTATTTCTGGGTATGTCTGTGAAGGTGTTTTAGAATAGACTGGCATTTGTATCAGTGGACAGAGTAAGAAGATCGACCCTCATCCAATCTGGGCAGGCACCATCCAATAGGCTAGGGGCCAGACAGAACAAAAAGGCAGAGGAAAGGCAAATTTTCTCTCTCTTCTGGAGCTGGGACACCCTTCTTCTCTTGTCCTTGGACATCAGAACTCCAGGTTCTCTGGCCTTTGGACTCTAGGACTTGTACCAGCAATCCCCCGCCCCCTGACTCCGCCCCACCAAGAGGTTCTCAGGTCTTTGGCCTTGAACTGAGAGTTACACCATCAACTTCCCTGGTTCCATCATTCTCAGCAAACTATCACAAGGACAGAAAACCAAACACTGTATGTTCTCACTCATAAGTGGGAGATGAACAATAAGAACACATGGACACGAGGAGGGGAGTATCACATACCAGGGCCTGTTGGAAGGTGGGGGACAGGGGAAGGGATACCATTAGGAGAAATACCTAATGTAAATGATGAGTTGATGGGTGCAGCACACCAACATGGTACATGTATACCTATGTAACAAACTTGCACATTGTGCACATGTCCCCTAGAACTTAAAGTATTAAAAAAAAAAAAAAAACTTTACTGGTTCCTTTGGACTTGAATTGAACAATACTACTGGTTTCCCTGGTTCTTAGCTTGCAGACAGCCTATCATAGGACTTTCTCAGGCTCCATAATCTCACGAGCCAATTCCCCTAATTAGTTCCTTCTCATCCATCCATCCATTCATCCATCCATTCATCCATCCATCCATCCATCCATCCATCCATCCATCCATCCATCTCCTCCCTCCTTCCTTTTGGTCTGTCTTTGTGGAGAACCCTAACTAATATACACTAGCCAAGGAACAGCCTTTTAAGTAAGATTTTCAATTTCGTTTACTGATGAATTTTTGATGAACAATCAGGCCTGTTAACTCCTTTCTATATATTACCTTTCTGGTTTTTAGATAACGAGTAATCTGTTGTTCCACTTTTAGGTACTATGACTGCATTAGATTCAAAAGCTAATGAGATGTAACATTTTTTATATGTGAACTCTAATTTTCTTATCTTGTATGTCCACAGGTCTTGAAATCCTCCTTCATATAGGCTGTGAATATTTGTAGGAGATTTGGTTTAGCTAGTCTTTAATAAACTCTTTCTATATTGAAGAATCCAAGAATCAGCAGGGGTGGGGGAAATGTCACTCTGAATTCTCTCAGACTAATAATAATTACTGAGAATCTTCCAAATACATCGAGCAAGCTTCATTGATTTACTAGTCTGGAGAGCATTTTAACTTTTATATGACACTGAAGTATTTATACTTTGAAAAAACTTTAAGGTCAGGCGCAGTGGCTCATGCCTGTAATCCTAGCACTTTGGGAGGCTGAGGTGGGCAGATCACCTGAGGTCAGGAGTTTGAGACCAGCCTGGCAAAGGTGAAACCCCATCTCTACTAAAAATACAAAAATTAGCCAGGTGTGGTGGCAGGTGCCTGTAATCCAGCTGCTAGGGAGGCTGAGGCAGGAGAATGGCTTGAACTCTGGAGGCGATAGTTGCAGTGAGCCGAGATCACACCACTGCACTCCAACCTGGGTGACAGAGTGAGACTCTGTCTCAAAAAAAAAAAAAAAGAAAAGAAAAAACTTTAAGAGTAAAAAATTATATATTGAGCTAACTTTATCCTTCAGACCAAATCAACTATTCCATAAGAAAAAGCATATTGTTTTAATAAGGATTTGTACATATTATATCTGTCTTTAACTTCCACACAGCATCTCATTTCATGATTATTATTTTATTAAACAGTTTTTTTTTGTTTAACAAACAAAAAACTGGTGACAGTCTCGCTCTGTCACCAGGCTGGAGTGCAGTGGTATGATCTCGGCTTACTGCAACCTCCGCCTCCCGGATTCAAGCGATTCTCCTGCCTTAGCCTCCTGAGTAGCTGGCACTACAGGCACACACCACCATGCCCAGCTAAGTTTTGTTTTAGTAGAGACGGGGGTTTCACTATGTTGGCCGGGATGGTCTCATCTTGACCTTCTGATCTGCCTGCCTAGGCCTCCGAAAGTGCTAGAATTACAGGCATGAGCCACCGCACCCGGACTTAAACAGTTTTTTATTTATGAATTTTAGGTGATTTTCAGTTTTTACTTATTATAAATGACATCTCAGTGAACATCCTTGTACATTTATTTCCAAATACATCTATAGTATATAATTCCTATAATGGAATTGCTGGATCAGAGAGGCAATAACCTGGAGGGTATTAAGGAACTATCTAAAACAGGCTGTGTAAATTTATGGTCCTCACAGTGTATAAAAGCAATAACAGTTACCTTTAACTTCAAAAATTAAATTTGTTTCCAACCAGTGAAGTACAGAAAAAAATTAAATTTGGAATACAATGATTTTAACTTCTTTCGGGTAAACAAAATAAGAACTTACCTCGTTCACTTCCACTGCCACTTCTGCTTTGAGAAGTATCACCATTACCTGTAAGGCATTGTTTCACAACATATTTAGATAAAACACAGCTGCTGCTCAAGCACACAAACCATGTTGTTATTTCTATTCAACAAAGTTATTACTTAGGAATCCTGGTCCTTTAACCCATCCATCTCTTAATTTTAGATTTAACTTTTTTTTTTTTTTTTTCAAGTCTCACTCTATCACCAAGGCTGGAGTGCAGTGGCGTGATCTTGGCTCTCTGCAACCTCCATCTCCTGGGTTCAACCAATTCTCATGCCTCAGGCATCTGAGTAGCTGGGACTACAGGCACATACCACCACGCCCAGCTAATTTCTGTATTTTTAGTAGAGATAGGGTTTTGCCATGTTGGCCACGCTGGTGTCGAACTCCTGGCCTCAAGTGATCCACCTGCCTCAGCCTCCCAAACTGCTGGGATTACAGGCATGAGCCACCACGCCCGGCCTCTAGGTTTAACTTTAACCTTAACCTCATTTGAACATTTTTCATCAATTGTGTTTTCATTTTCACTTCAACTCACACAAATCCTTTTCCCCTAACTCAGAATCCTTTATTCCTCTAGTTAATAATTCACACCTCAAATTAACTGGTAGATAACACAGAATAAATAATTCACATTGCACAAATTTTATAAGGGAGACAAAATTGTCCACATATTTTTACCTACAGATCTAAAAGCAGAGAAAATCATAAGCCAAACTAGTATACTTTAACATATATATTAGGTTTACTAATCCTAGTGCTAAAAACATACATCAGTAACTAATATTCAGTAATAAGTTCTATTTCTCACCTGTGCCACTTAATACTGGTCTTCTAGAACCAAAAAGGCCACCAGTGCGCTGCATACATTCGTCTGGGTCTAAGTCATTATCTTGATTTGCAGAAAGTAAAATTAGATTACATTACTTTGAAGAAGTTTTTTAATCGTTCAGTAAACAGAAAAAAATCAAGTTATGGTATCAGAAGTTAAAAGATGCAGGGTAAAATAGAAAAATACTGTCCTATTAAACTAAGTTAAACTATTCTATTAAACTAAGTTAAACTATTCTATTAAACCAAGTTAAACTAAGTATTGTGCAAAGGAATTCTCTACAAATAATGTCCTTCAATGATAAATTACTTCCTCAAAATGTATTTAAAATATTTCGTTAAATAAATTAGGGCCAGTGCTATGCCAAAATATGATACAAGCAAGTTAAATCTCTAGAAATTGCCTGAGAAACTTCACATTGCATCATTTCACTACTTATTCTTCAAAATAGCACCCCTTGCTCCCACTGTTGCCAAATCAAACCTTACCAGTCCTGCATGGTAACCCTTCAAAATCCCTAAACTTCTGTGAAAGTGACAATTCACTAGTCTGCTACGCATCTATTAAATCATTATTACAAATTTATGTTTTTAGCTTCCAAAACCATAAATCTGTTCTCCTCTGTTAAGAGGCACATACATTCCAACAGTGACCTCTGAAGTCAGTACCTTATCTCTAAAAAATGATGGCTGGAAAAATTTAAGGTAGAAAGCCACACTGGTGAAAGAAGGTATGTGGGGAGGTAAAGCCACATAGAAGGTCACCTGTTTATAAGGTCAGCCATATTATCAAAGCTCTAAAACAATGAACAGTATGTAATATTAAAGTACTGAGTCACTCAAACTTATTTTTTAAATTCATATATTTTAACTTAACCAATATGCAATCAAATCTCTCTAAAAAATAATGTTATATACAATGTGGTGATTAATGTGTATTAGTCACTGAGCTAAGCTATTCTCATATAATCCTCATAACAACCTTCTTTGATACGTATTTTTTTAAATCATTTTCTTTTTAACAGTTAATGAAGCACATCATTTGCAAATCCAGTACTAACTTGGACTTCCTAGACCAAATCCTCCACGGCAACCTCGGAAACTACCTCTTCCACCTCTTCTGTATGGCCCTGAAGCTTCTGAATTATTTCCATCTCGATAGCCTATAATGTTAAAACACACACAAGAACAACACAAAACAACAACAAAGAAATCTTGGGGACATGGTCAAATTTAATTTAAGCCTTGAATAATTCAGTAACTTTAAACAAGTGTTTAAAGGCATTGTTGTCAAAAAGAAATGACATTTTGACCTATTAAGTGTTCAATTTTACTAATATAAATAGATATGGCTACAATTTTTTAAAACCTCACTGCTTGCTTTGAGAATCAAGTCTAAAAATCACCTAAAGGAAAAAGTAGCACTTGAATTAAAACACTAAAAGTCACCAAAACTGCACCATTAACTGGATTTCCACAATGCACAAAAGAATTAAATAAATCCTAGGCTTGTATCTGCTCCATATAGAATATAGTAAACATCTTACTCAAAGCACAGACATGCAGGCACATATAAAGTCTGATTTCCAGGTAAGAACAATTTTTAATTGAATTGAATACCAAAAGATTAGTAGAAGCAGTTCAAGTAAAATTTAATTGCACATAGAGCAGACTCATAGGGCAGACTCATAGGGCAGAACCAGATTAATGCAAAACCAAAGTGCCAACTGGGCAGGAAATAAAGACTGTTCCGTTTGTAAACTTGCAACTATTTATACTTAAAGAGAATGATGAATAAAGATAAATTCTATATATGCTATTTCTGAATATTAGAGTATATGTATTTTAAAACCTATTTAAAAATGAAACAAAACTCTTCAAAAAAATTGTATCTTCTGGAACCTTTTCTGTAAAGGTATATTTTCATGAAAGTAAAAGAACACATATGTAAGTTAAAAATATAATAAAATGAAAGCTTATCTCCACTGCCCAGATTAAGACTAAAATGTTTCCAACATATTTGCAGCCCATGTTTTTCTTTTGCCCTATGCTTCTCTTCTCCCTGAGCACTCCTTCCAACTAACATCCAACAAGCCAATATCCTGAATAGTTTTTCATTTCCTTGCTCTTAATTTTATCAACTATGTACTTAGCCTTAAGCAACATATTAGTGTTATGTTAGAGTTTTACGAACTAAATGGAACTTATCGTCTTCCACATCTTTTTTTTTTTTGAGGCGAAGTCTCACTCTGTCACCCAGGTTGGAGTGCAGTGGCATCATCTCGGCTCACTGCAACCTCTGCCTCCAGAGTCCAAGCGATTCTCCTGTCTCAGCCTCCCAAGTAGCTGAGATTACAGGCATGAACCAACATGCCCAGCTAATTTTTGTATTTTCAGTAGAGACGGGGTTTCACCATGTTGGCCAGGCTGGTCTGGAACTCCTGACCTCAGGTGATCTGCCCACCTTGGCCTCCCAAAGTGCTGGGATTACAGGCGTGAGCCACAGCGCCTGGCCCCACGTCTTTTTCCTTTTATTCAACTTTGTTGACATATGAAACTACCTCATTTTCTTTTACTGCTGAACACTCTATTGTATCTGTTTCTATTTCATTTATGTCTACTACCTTTTTTATTTGAGTTTTCTCCCTTCTAACTACTTGGCTTGAACACTTAACTCATTATTTTTTCTGAGAAAAGAAATATTTAAACTATTTTTAATCTAGTCTTCTTCCTACAAAGTTCTGTCCTACTAGATTTCCTCTATTAGCAAGTTTTACATTTTATCCTTTCTCTGATGCATTTAAGGCTATAAAATTTCCTCTAAGAGGCAGCTGCTTTAACTATATCCTCAAAGTTTTCATGTGCTCTGTTCTTACTGTTATTAAATTCTAAATATTTCAGGATTTCCATATGAACTGTTATTCATAAACTGAGAAATTCAGTTTCTAAATCATGAAGGTTAGACTTATTGATTTCTTTTATTTTAATAAGAGAACATGACCTATGATATATTTATCATAGGTCATCCTTAAAAGATGATCAAATTGTACATATTTTCCATACATGCTGGAAAAATATATGATTTATAATTTTAGAGTATATGATTCCAAACAAATATTAAATCAAGCTGAGTAAGTGGCATTCAGATCTTCTATATTCTTATTAATCTCTGTTCTGCTGTCTCAACTTACTAGGATTTGCGAATTTTTCCTTATGTCTATTTTCCTTTGTGCATCTTAGTATATTGTTAGATTAGAACCATGTTCAGAACTATAATGTCTTCCTGATGAATTTATCCTTAATAATTCTACCTTACAGTATACTTTGTCTCTATTTCTATTCAGCTTTGAGTTACTGAACACTTTTTTCTCTTTACTTTTAAGTTTCAGGGTACGTGTGCAGGATGTGCAGGTTTGTTACATAGGTAAACGTGTGCTATGGTAGTTTGCTGCACCTGTCAACCCATCACCTAGGTATTAAGCCCAGCATGCGTTAGCTCTTTTCCCTAATGCTCTCTTCCCCCACCTGCCCTCCCCCGACACCTACAGCACCTAGTATTCCTAGGCAGTCTCCCATCCAAGTACTAACCAGGTCCAACCCTGCTTAGCTTCCAAGATCAGACGAGATCGGACACGTTCAGGGTGGTATGGCCATAGCCTATTTTCTAATTTAAAAAAAAAATTTTTTTTTGTAGAGACAAGATTTAGTTGCTCAGGCTGGCCTTGAATTCCTGGCCTCAAGAGATCCCTCCCATGTTGGCCTGCCAAAATGCTAGGATTACAAGCATGAGCCACCATGCCTGACCTCTTTACTTTCAACTCCATATTGAAATATGCTTACCTATATTATGATTACTGATACATAGGTCTTTTATTTCTACAATCTTTGTGTTTTCTCTTTACAGAGTTTTTTCGATGCTTTTTGTTCTCCTTTCTGTCCTGTTTTCCCCAAATGGTAAAGCTATGTATTTTATTTTTACCAATTTTCACCACGAATATTTAGGAAATAAACTATTTTCAATCTACCTTCCTTCCTACAAAGCTCTGTCCTTCTATTGGATTTCCTCCATCAGCAAGTTACACATTTTATCTTATCCCTTCTCTGATTACCCTTCATTTTACTTATTAAGAAATATTTTTCCTTTCAACTGAGCTGGCAAGAATTTCAGTCTTTTCATTTGCTAGTATTTTAATTCACTTTTGTTTCTGGAACCCCTAAATTAATAGTCATTATTGCTAGTTTATATAGTCAATACTTATTTAAGTTTACCAATATGTTTACCTGTTTTACATATCTTTTTTTTCGCTCCTCATTGCTTCTTGTTTCCTATGCCTTTCTTCCTGCAATCAGTTGTCTTACTACTGTATACAATTTAGTAGTTCTTACTCAACAATATGAGAGTATTAAACACCATTTTTATCTGAATGGCATTATTTCTCCCTGGCACCTAATTATCTGAATATAGTTATTTGGATTCAGAGCTATTCTCCTTCAGCATTCTGAATATACTATGCTATTACATTCTGAAATCTACCTTTACTGAAGAAAATTCTGTTGTGAATATAATGTTCTTCTAAAGGTGAATCTACCTTTTTTCTCTAGTAGTTTTATAGGTTTTAAAAAATCTTTGTAATACTATAATTTCAATACATGCATAAGGGTATGAATTTTTTAATTTTATTTGCTGAGGACTCTTGTGCCTCTCTAACTCTGGAAAAGTCTCATCTATTCTCTTTGAATATTCTTCTTTCCTGTCCTCCTCCCATTTTCTGGCCACTCCTCAGGAGACAGTCATATGTTGAACCACAGGTCTTAGTCTATCTTCCATACCTTATTTATTAACCACTCTCGTGTTTTCCATTTCCAAGTTTAGAGAATTTCCACAGATTTATCTTTGAATTAATTCATTCTCTTCATCTGTGTTTAATCTTTACCTTTAATCACTCTGTTCTTTTCTGTAAGTTTCTAAAAATTCAAATTGAGTCCTTTTCTTGTTTTTTGTTTTTTGAGACAGAGTCTCGTTCGGTCACCCAGGCTGGAGTGCAGTGGCGCCATCTCAGCTCACTGCAACCTCCACCTCCTGGGTTCAAGTGATTCTCCTGCCTCAGACTCCAAGTAGCTGGGACTACAGGGCTGCACCACCACGCCCAGTTAATTTTTGTATTTTTAGTAGAGACGGGGTTTTAACATGTTGGCCAGGTTGGTCTCAAACTCCTGACCTTAGGTGATCCACCCACTTCGGCCTCCCAAAGTGCTGGGATTACAGGTGTGAGCCACTGCGCCCGGCCAACAAAATATATTTCTTAAAGTAACCTGAGTCCTCCCAGAAGGTATAGTCTGCATTTCATAAGGGACAGCTGACAATCTAACTCTTAAAGATGTTTGGTGACAATATCTTCAGAAAGAAATTACCTTATAAATCCTCTAACCTTTGTATAAAAGAAAATGGAACATCTTTTATTACTTTTTAAAAAAATACTTACCAGATAGTTATTATATTTCTACATACTAATGAATAAAATGAAAACACTAAAATGATATGTATCACTGATATCAGCAAAAATGGCCAAGTAAGGAACTCTAAATTCCACTACTCCAAAAAGGCAAGGAAAAAAATGGGCAAGAACTGTCAGAATTAACTTTTTCCAAACTCTAGAAATCAATAAAAGGCTTGAAGCAACCCAGGGAATTTTTTCTTTTAAACAGCAAATTTCGCAGCATTTTAACTTACCTAGTTCCATCTCCCGGCAACTCAACTTGTAAGTATATAACCAAAAGATTTGAAAACAGGGACTCAAACAGATAACTGTAGGTGAATGTTCATAGCGGACTTACAATAGTCGGAAAGAAGAAACAATCCAAGTGTCCGTCACATGGATAAACAAAATGTGGTAAATACATTATATTATTCAACCATTAAAAGAAATGTAGTTTTGATGCATGCTACAACATGGATGAACACTGAAAACAAGATGCTAAGTAAAATAAGCCAAATACGACAGGACAAATATTGTACGATTCCACTTGTATGAAATACCTAAAATAGACAAATTTCATAGAGAACATGGAATAGAGGTTACCAAAGACCAGGGTTAAGGGAGTACACAGGGAATTGTTGTCTAACGGAATACAAAGTTTCTATCTGGGTGATGATAGTGATGACAGAATACTGTGCACTTAATGCCAAAAATTATACACTTAAGAATAGTTAATATGGGAATTTTATGTTATAGAGATCTTACCACAAAAAAGCTCAAAATATCCCAAGTTTCATGAAAACTATTAATCTATAAATCCAAGAAGCTCAACTCCAAGGAGGGTAAACCCAAAAAGATCCACATCTAGACACATCAATATAAAACATCAACAAATGGTGCTAGAACAACTGGGTATCCATATGCAAAAGAATTTGGACCCCCACCCTACACCATCTATAAAAATGAATTCAAAATGCATCAAAGACTTAAGTGTAAGAACTAAAACTATAAAATTCTTAGAAGGAAACAAAGGAAAAAGTCTGCATGACTCTGGATTAGGCAACAGTTTTCTAGTTATAACACCAAAAGAACATAAAAAGATAAACTGGGTTTGATAAAAATGTTAAATTTTAGTGTTTCAAAGGGTACTATCAAGAAAGGGAAAAGACAACCCACAGGAGGTTATTAAACATTTGCAGGCCAGATGCAGTGGCTCACACCTGTAATCCGAGCACTTTGGAAGGCCAAGAAGGGAGAACTGCTTGAGCCCAGGAGTTTGAGACAAGCCTGGACAACACAGTGAGACCCCATCCCTACAAAAAATAAAGAAATTAGCTGGGCATGGTGGCACATGCCTATAGTCCCAGCTACTCAGGAGGCTGAGGTGGGAGGACTGCTTGAGACCAGGAAGTTGAAGCTGTCATGAACCATGACTGTGCCACTGCACCCCAGAGTCTGGGTGACAGAGCGAGACTCTGTCTCAAAAACAAAAAAAAAAAAATTAGATAAATTAAAAAAAAATAAACATTTGCAAATCAGGTAGCTGATGATACTCACATTGAGAATATATAAATAAATCTTAGAACATAAAAAGACAACCCAATTGTTAAAATGAGTGAAGGATCTGAAAGACATTTCTCCAAAGATATACAAATGGTCAATAAGCATATGAAAAGCTGCTCAACATCACAGTCATCAAAAAATGCAATCAAAACAACAATAAGGGCTGGGCACTGTGGCACACATGCTTGTAATCCCAGCACTTTGGGAGGCTGAGGCAGGCAGATTGCTTGAACTCAGGAGTTCAATATCAGCCTGCGCAATGTAGTGGAACCCCATCTCTAAAAAAATACAAAAATTAGCAGGGCATGGTAGTACACGCCTGTAGTCCCAGCTACACAGAGGGCTGAGGTGGAAGGATTATTTGAGCCTAGGAGGTTGAGGCTGCAGTGAGCCGAAATTGTGACAGAGCCCTCCAGCCTGGGTGAGAGTAAGACCCTGTCTCAAAAAAATAAAAAAACAAAAAACCCACAATGAGATACCACTTCATACTCAGTAGAATGGCTATAATTAAAAAAACACCAGTAATAACTAGTATCGGTGGATGTGGAGAAATCAGAACCCTCATAACATTGAGAGTGGTAATATAAAATGGTACAGCTACTATAGAAAATAATTTGGCAGTTCCTCAAAAAGTTAAACATTAAGAGTTAGCACATGACACAGCAATTCCACTCCTAAGTATATACTCCAGAAAAATGAAAACACAGGTTCACATAAAAACTTGTACACAAATGAATACGGCAGCATTAGCCATGATAGCCCAAAAGTGGAAACAACTCAAACATTCATCAGCTGAAGAATAAACAAATGTGATGTAACCACACAACAGTAGAGCCCTCATGAATGGAATTAGTGTTCTTATAAAAGAAGCCCCAGAGAGCTGCCTGGCCTTATCCACCATGTGAGGACACAGAGAGAAGACACCATCTATGAACCAGGAAATGGGCCCTCACCAGACACTGAATCTGCTGGTGCCTTGATCTCAGACTTCTGACTCTCCAGAACTGTGAGAAATAAATTTCTGTTGTTTACAAAGCTACCCAGTTTATAGCATTTTGTTATAGCAATGCAAATTAAGATAGCTTTTTCTTCTGGAAATTGATTAAGCTCATTCTAAAAATCACACAGGAATGCAAAGGACTAAAAATAACAGGCAATCTTGAGGTTTTTCATTTGTTTTGTGTTGTTATAAAGGAATACCTGAGACTGGATAATTAATGAAAAAAAAGGTTTATTTGGCTCAAGATTTGATATCTGAAAATGTTCAAGACTGGGCATCTGGGAAGAGCCTCAGGCTGCTTCCACCCATGGCTGAAGGTGAAAGGGAGCTGGTGTGTTCAGAGATCATATGATGCAGAGGAAGTAGAGGGTACCAGGCCCTTTTAACAACTAGCTGTCAAGGGAACTAGTAGGCAACTCACTCAACAGCCCCACAAGGAAACAGGTCTATTCATGAGAGATCTGCGCCCCCATGACCCAAATACCTCCCATTAGACCCTACCTCCAACTCTGGGAATCAAATTTCAACATGAGAAGGACAAACATCCAAACCATAGCACTTGAAAAACAAGCACTTGAAAGACTTACAATGCCAGATATCAGGACCTATTATGAAACCACAGTAATTAGATTATGGGGCAATGGTACAAAAATAGAAAAACTGACCAACGGAATAAAACCTAGAGAAACAGATACACATATATAAGCCACCTAATTTAGGACAAAGGCAGCCCTGTAGTGCAAAGCAGAAGGGACAGTCTTTTCAGTAAGTGATACTAGGTCAACTGAACATCTATATGGAAAAAAAATGTATATTGATTCCCACATTATATACAAAAATAAACTCCAGATTAATGACAATTACTTTTTTTTGTTTTAGACGGAGTCTCTCTCTGTCGCCCAGGCTGGAGTGCAGTGGCGCAATCTCAGCTCACTGCAACCTCTGCCTCCCAGGTTCAAGCGATTCTTCTGCCTCAGCCTGCCGAGTAGGTGGGACTACAGGCATGCGCCCAGCTAATTTTTGTATTTTTAGTACAGACGGGGTTTCACCATATTGGCCAGGCTGGTCTCGAACTCCTGACCTTAAGTGATCTGCCCGCCTCCCAAAGTGCTGGCATTACAGGCATAAGCCACCGCGTCCGGCCTATCTGTATGTACTATTCTTGCAACTTTTAAGTTTTAAATCATTTACAAATAAAAAGGTAAAAGTAAAGATACTCAACAGAAAAATGGGCAAACGACTTGACAAAAGATGTCCAGATGTCCAAATGGCCAATAAACATAAGAAGTGCTCCACATTCCATTAGTCCAAAAAAATAGAAATTTAATACAAAATGAGTACACCACCACACAACCAGCAGAATGGTTAAAAGGAGAGAAAAAGAAAATACCAAGCATTGGTTAGAATGTGAGTGTATCTTAGTTTAAACGCTGAAAACATTTGACAATACTATTAAAGCCAAAAATATATATAGCCTATGACCTAGCAATTCTTCTTCTGAGTATGTACTAATGACAACCAAAAGAATACTAGAATGTTTACAGAAGCACTTTCACAATGGCCCCAAACTGGAGGTAATCCAAATACCTATCACTAATAGAAAAACAGTAAAACAAAAGAATACTAAACAGTAATAATGATCTACAATTGCAACAAACACACTAAGAAGGTAAACATAAAACACTACATACTATATGATTCCATTTATACCAAGTATAAAAATAGACGAAATTATCGTATGCTGTTAGAAGTCATAACAGAAGTTTTGGGGGTAATGAGTCATTAGTGAGTAAAAAATGAACATGAAAAGGGGCTTTTGAGGTGCCAGTAATTTGTATTTCATGACCTGAATGCTGGTGAACACACTGAACTCAAGTGAGTTCAGTTTGTGAAACATAATTGAACTATACACTTATGGTATGTGTACCTGTCTACATATTTTAATATAAACATATATACACACGTGTATTTTCTGAGTGACCCCTATATGCAAACTTCCTATCCTCAAATGTATACATCTACAGAGAATGGAAATCAGGGATACCCTGCAAAATGGCTGTGCCCCTGCTAATTATCCTACACTAATCTGTAAGTCAGGACCAAGCACATAGAGCTGCAAATGGTTTCGACTGCCTCATTTAAATATGAATTAAATTGATTTAAAGTAAATGTTAATAGTACAAAAGATATTCACTGGTCTGAAGAAAAAAATTTCAAATATGAGCTATGTTTTAGGAACATTAAGTGCCAAAAATTGCTTGTTAAAAAAAATATGGTAAAAGATGAGTCTTGTTTTTTCTTAGCTTAACTTTCTCCCCACCACCACCCCTCTCCACAATTATCATAAGAAGTAATTAAGGAGACAGTCTTCCCTCATTATGAAATCCACAAGTCCTACCTTCACTAGGGAGGGCCTAATTCAGCCAGCTACCTACCTAATGGGCAAAGGAAAAGAATGTCTCCAAGGTGCGGTAAAAACACTGATGTATCTGATTACTATGTAGTTCCAAACAATAAAACCTCTTATCATAGATTTGCACATCCTCAGCAATTTTATAGTAAGTTCACTATATTCTTCATACGTTTTGTTGTCATTGCTATTTTAACATGACTGCCCATATATAATCAAGAATTAAGCATGGTAATTTTTGATACAATCTCATCTCAAATTCAATAGAAGCTGAATTACCAGAGTATGGTGAAATACAGCTAGACTTGAACAAAAAATAATCTACAATTTCTTCCCCCCTCAAATTTCCAATGACTCTATTCAGAGACAAAGACATCCCCAGTTCATCTAAATTGCAACTGACCAAGATTCACATTGTCCCTCTTCTGTAATTGATAGCACATTCTGGAGATCATAGGGGGGAAAAAAAAACCACAACCAACAGATCCAGTGACATTAGAAAGTAAAACAAGGACAGGCACAGTGGCTCATGCCGGTAATCCCAGCACTTTGGGAGGCTGAGGTGACAGCTCCTGAGGGTCAGGAGTTCCAGACCAGCCTGGCCAACATAGTGAAACTCCATCTCTACTAAAAATACAAAACTTAGCCAGGCATGCTGGCACATGCCTGTAGTCCCAGCTACTAGAGAGGGTAAAGGCACAAGAATCACTTGAACCTGGGAGGTGGAGGTTGCAGTGAGCCAAGATCACACCACTGCACTCCAGCCTGGGTGACAGAGTGAGACTCCATCTCAAAAAAAAAAAAAAAGTAAAAGAAGGCATTATTTTTGTGCTCTCTATTCTGTTCCACTGGTCTAGGTATCTGGTTTTGGACCAGTACCACGCTGTTTTGGTTATTACAGCCTTGTAGTATAGTTTGAACTCAGGTAATGTGACGCTTTCCAGCTTTGTTCTTTGTGCTTGGGATTGTCTTGCCTATTCATGCTCTTTTTTGGTTCCATATGAATTTTAAAATTGTTTTTTTCTAATTCTGTGAAGAATGTTATTGGTAGATTGGATCTGTAAATAGCTTTGGGCAGTATGGCCATTTTAACAATATAGTGGATAGGAATGCCACTGATTTTTGTACATTGATTTTGTATCCTGAAATTCTGCTGAAGTAATTTATCAGATCAAGGAACTTTGGGGCAGAGATTATAGGGTTTTCTAGGTATAAAATCATACCATCTGCAAATAGGAATTCCACACACCTACAACCATCTGATTTTTGCCAGGGTTGACAACAACAAGCAATAAGGAAAGGATTCCTTATTCAATAAATGGCGCTAGGATAACTGGCTAGCCATATGCAGAAGATTGAAACTGGACCCCTTCCTTAGACCGCATACAAAAATCAACTCCAGACGGATTAAAGAATAACATGTAAAACCTAAAACTATAAAAACCCTGGAGATAACCTACAAAATACCATTCTAGACACAGGCCCTGGAAGATTCTGTGATGAAGATGCCAAAAGCCACCGCAACAGAAACAAAAATTGACAAATGGGACCTAATTAAATGAACAAGCTTCTGCACAACGAAAGAAACTATCAGCAGAGTAAACAGACAACCTACAGAATGGGAGAAAATATTTGCAAACTATGCATCCGACGAAGGCCTAATATCCAGAATCTATAAGGAAATTAAATGTACAAGCAGAAAAACAAACAACTCCGTTAAAAAGTGGACAATGGACATGGGCACGTTTCAAAAGACAATATACAGCCAACAGGCAGATGAAAAAATGCTCAGCATCACTAATCGTTAGAGAAATGCAAATCAAAACCACAATGAGATACCATCTCACACCAGTCAGAATGGTTATTATTAAAAAATCAAAAAATAACAGATGCTGGCAAGCTTGCAGAGAAAAGGGAATGCCTATACACTGCTGGTGGGAGTGTAAATTAGTTCAGCCATTGTGGAAAACAGTGTGGCGATTTCTCAAAGAACGTAAAACAGAACTACCATTCGATCCAGCAATCCCATAATTAGGTATATACCCAAAGGAATATAAATAATTCTACCATAAAGTCACATGTACACATATGTTCACCACAGCACTATTCACAATAGCAAAAACACAGAAATCAACCTAAATGCCCACCAACAGTAGACTGGACAAAGGTAATGTGGTATATATGCGCCATGGAATACTAGGCAGCCATAAAAAAGAATGACATAAAGTCCTTTGCAGGAACATGAATGGAGCTCCATTATTCTAAGCAAACTAATGCAGGAACAGAAAGCCAAATACTGAATGTTCTCACTTATAAGTGGGAGCTAAACACTGAGAACACATGGACACAAAGAAGGGAACAACAGACACTGGGGCCTACTTTAGGGTAGAAAGTGGGAGGAGGTACAGGATCAAAAAACTACCTATCAGGGACTATGCTTATTATCTGGGTGACAAAATAATCTGTACACCAAAACCCCATGGCATGCAATTTACCTAGATAACAAACCTACACATGAACCCCTGAACCAAAAACTTAAAAAAATAAAATAAAAGAGTGAAAGGAGGGGCACCCACTGAATACTCACTCAAATATTAAAAGCAGAAAACATATACCAAAGTATTTTTCTTCAAAGGTTTTCACGATCAGTGTTTTTCATCCAGCTCCTTCAAAATCAGTTTTACCAGTTTAGTGTCTCTGTGTTAAGTACAAATTGTTCCAAAATGTGGTCCTTACCGCCTCTCTTGGAAAACCCTCTGTTCCGTGTTGGATTATCTTCGCAGTCATTACTAGACTCTTCAATAAAAATTTAACATGTAAATAGCATTTAATTAACTTAAATGATGCAATATATAAAGAATAGCACTGTCACAAGATAAATTAGTAAGAAGACAAAATATTTTCATAAGTTAAAATATAAACATATTTCTTCAAATAATTTTAACAGATATATAAAGACATTACTCAGAGTCGATTCCCTATACAAATCATCTCATGTATCTAAATATTAAATGTTTATTATATGAAATTGAGAACCTACTATTTGCCAAGCATTATACTACGCAAAGCAAAACAAAACAAAAAATAAGAATTTCATAAATTTCAGTTTGACCAAAAATGATTTCAGGAACATCTAAGCTATTAAGTAATCAAGTGGTTCTCACATAAGGTCCATAGACCACTAGACTCTTCTATTTATAATGTCATATCTTTTCTGTAATTTACTTTATTTTTGGAGATGGAGTCAAGCTGTATTGCCCAGGCTGGAGTGCACTGGCACAACCTCTGCTCACTGCAACCTCCGCCTCCCGGGTTCAAGCGATTATCCCCACCTCAGCCTACCGAGTAGCTGGGATTACAGGCATGCGCCACCATGCCTGGCTAATTTTTGTATTTTTAGGAGAGATGCGGTTTTGCCATGTTGGCCAGGCTGGTCTTGAATTCCTGAACCTCAGGTGATTCGCCCACCTTGGCCTCCCAAAGTGCTGGGATTACAGGCGTGAGCCACTACACCCGGCCAATTTACCATTCTTAATAAACTCAAGACATTTGTGCTTTCTTAAATATATGCAAACTTTCCCCCATTCATGCTAATGAAATAATTTGGGGATATCCTAGCTTCTCCATTTTTGATATTAGTAAGTAACATTCCCAGAGTTTTAAAATAGTAGTATGAGAGATTACTATACTGAAGGCTGCCTGAAAACTACCTGGAGAGTTGGTTAAAAATAAATTCCTAGACCCCATTCCCAGAAATGTTTATTCTGAAAGGAATGATTTTTCGAAATGTAAAAGTTCTATGTTATTACTATGACATCAGGCTTTCCAGAAGATTCCAAAAAAAGTCACATTTGGGAATACAAAGATGGTTTCAAGGGATCTTTGTACATATCATTAATATTTAATATCTGGGAACATTAAGTCAAAATAATGACAGCAAGTGACCAAACAGCTTGCAGGTTATTAGCTAAGTTCCTGTGTGAAAGTCCCAATCCATTTAACAACTAATAATGTTCTACAATAAACAGTGACCCAAAGCTCTTGTTGCAGTCTCCTATTTCAGCTGCAGCTGACAACTGACAAACAATCCTGAAGAGCCATTAACAAGACAACTTTCTGGAAGGCAGGACTTAATACAATGTAGAAGGGCAGGAAAGAAATAAGTTTTGAAAAGTTGGCCCTGGAATAACAATGATGATAACTAATATTTACTGCTTTCGAGAAAAAAAAAAAAAAAACAAAACTACTAATCTGGGACCTGGCAAGGGAAAGAGTCTCACAATATCTTTGGCCAATTATTTCCCTAAAATAAACCTACAGTTATTTTGATCACAGTGGGAATAAAAATAGAAAACATTAAGAGAAGTTGGGTGATGGGTACATGAAAAACCTCTGTACTATTTTTGCAACTTCTTATGAATAAAACTATTTCAAAATAAAAAATTACTTTAAAAAATAAGTGATCTCTATACAGTTAGGAAATAAAGCTAAGCACAAACAAAAATGAGATAATGATACCAAGATTAGTTACAACCTATTAATTATACAAAAATAACATATGGCCTGGCGCAGTGGCTCATGCCTGTAATCCTAGCACTGTGGGAGGCCGAGGCAGGCAGATCGTGAGGTCAGGAGTTTGAGACCAGCCTGGCCAACGTGACGAAACCCCGTCTCTACTAAAAATACAAAAAAAAAAAAAAAAAAATTAGTCGGGCGTGATGGCGGGCCCCTGTAATCCCAGCTACTCAGGAGGCTGAGGCAGGAGAATCACTTGAACCCTGGACGCAGAGGTTGCAGTGAGCCAAGACTGTACCACTGCACTCCAGGCCAGGTGACAGTGCGAGACTCCGTCTCGAAAAATAATAATAACAACACATAAAGTATGTACCTGGCCGTGTTCTAAATGTATCACATGTATTAACTTTAGTCTAAAGTTTCACAAAAACCTTGTGAAGTAGATATAGTCATCATTATACAAATAGAGAAAATGAAAAGCAGAAAGTTACAGGCTTTTTCAAGATAATACAATTGCCAGGAGGAGGATCTGAGTCTCACACCTACGTGTTCAAATCCAGTATCTGAGTTCCTTATCACTACAATATACCAGCTTAAGCAAAGTAGATGACAGGGGAAAAAAATTTAAAAACATACTATCCATTTGTGTCCAGAGTAAAAAGCTTCTACCGTGAGCTCAGAACTTGGGCTTGCTAACAACTGAGACAATGAATGAATTCAATCCATATATATATATATATATATATATTTTTTTTTTTTTTTTTTTAGGGGAACTAAAAACGAAAAAAGAAGAAAGTAGATCAAAACAAAGCAAGCAGGCCACTTCGGAGAGAAGTTCTCTCAAGTGCCATGAGAAACTGGAATTTGTATTCAAAAGCTCCCTGGCCCACCATCTCTACAAAGGGGTCAAGTAGGTAGAAAGGTCTGTGTATAAGTAGAAATGATCTTGAATATTAAATGAGTTAAAAGAGATCAGAACAGAAACACATAGAAATGGAAAAGAATAAAAATGATGGTATTTTTCTTCTCTCACAAATACTAGTTCTACATCATATATGTTTTCATTTGAACGGGATAGGAGAAAAAAAGAGAAGTAGGGAGAAAGAGACTGGCAATAGTTTGGAGAAACAGTCTCATTTGATAATTAAAATCCGGCCTTATACCAAAAGTGTTTTAAGGTGATCAGGTCTAGGCTTGGTTTTGACTTTGGGAATCAAAGTGTTTAATAAGATCAGCTTCAAATATTTAATGAAGATAGATGGATGACATCTGAGTGTTTGTCATGAATGTGTCTGGTATTCAGCTGTGTGCTTTTACACGCATTCTCACTTAGCCTGCCTAACCACCTATAAAATGAATACCTTCCATTCTATGGAACAGAAAACTGGCTTAGAAAAATTAAGCAACTTGTTCTACTTCAACTAGCAGGTAGCAAGGCAGAGACATGAAGCCAAGTTTGGCACCCTAAAGTGTTCTATGTTATAAAGATTTCATACATCAATGATTACCAAACACAGGAGGTATCAGGATCACCATGGATGCTTTTAAATACAGGTTCTAAGACCTCACCCAAATCGACTCAATCAGATTTGGGAATGCACTGGTTTATCGTAGTCCATCTTCTGGTATCATTATTTTCATCATTCTCATCATTCTCTGTATTCCTGTAGAGTGTCAGTACCTTCAATGGAATTGTCTTTAATTTCAGCACTGATTTACATTCTCATGAAACTTTTTCTTAGATTTATTTGAATCTAAATGTGACCCTATACATCACAAACTGTATTTATATAGAGAGTGAAGTTTCACTTCTTGACTACTTCTTTTTATTATCTATCCCCATTTTCTTAAGTTTCAGAGCATTCAAAAGTTGTACCTCATGGATTAAGGCAGATGGCAACAGGCCAAATTAGGATGCCTGAATTCTTTATGTACAAAGCAGTAATATCCTTGGTTAAGGCTTTGGATATAGCTACTTCATAAAATCTGGTTTAAATAAGTTAGAATTGGCCCGGACTAAGAGACTTAATCTTAATTTCTCTTTTTTAGCATGTACTCTTGACATTAAATTTTAAAACACAAAAATATCAACCTTACCTCTCCAGAAACCAGAGCTATCACCATCTTCAAACCTGCTGTTTGAAAAACCTATACAAAATATAAAATGAAACAATTTCCTGTACCTCTGTGGTAAAAATGATAACCACACAGGAACTACTAGTTATGATGCCTTCTAAGATAAGCGATACACAATTGTATACATAGCTATCACATGCAAATTCACTCAGGCTGTACAACAATTTCTGCTTTGTGTCAGTTTATCAACTCCATTCTCTTAAGGTTAAAAACAACTTTCTTTTCAGCCAATTCTGTATTACCTCAATTGTCATATACTCCTCTGTATGCACATGGGCAAAACAGAGGAATATGTCAGTGTAACCACTATATGTTTTCTATTTAAAACCATCAAAATTCTCAAAATTTTACAAACTCAATCTCTTCATCTGCTAAGGACAATACAACTAAATTATAACCCAATAACTCAATGATTTTCTCCTCAATAACATGAAAATCTTGTTAGCTTCTTTTTGTTTACTCTTTTTTAAAAAGTCGTCAAGTTTTGCTTTCAAACTTATTTCCTAAAAACCTATGTCTAAGAGTTATGCATCTCTGAAGCATACAGACATGTCTCTAGAATTAATTTTAAAAGCATTCATCAGTAATCTTTCATAAAATTAAAAAATGTTTTTAATAAGTTTTAATAAGATAATCTTTAGTGCAAAGGCACTCACAGAATATATACCTTGAAATTAAATGTCAATATGGAATGTCTGTCAATCAGTATTTAAACTCAATTATTAAAAAATCACTCAAGTTTTGATTGTAAGATATCATAACCAAGTAATTACCTCTGTTTCCAAAACTCTTTCCAACTCCAAAACCACCCATTGTGGATGTATTATCTCGCTTATTACACTCACCAGCATCTGAAAAAGGGTGGACAGTTAAACTCTTTAACATATAAAATTAAGTGTGTCATCATCAAAAACTAAGAATTAAATGAATTTCTGGCGTAAAGAGACTTCCAAGGATGGGAAAAGAGTAGCACAGAAACCTAAAATTAATTAATATACCTGCAACTTAAAAGAAAAACTCTTAAATTATGATACCAAGGTAAAAACAAATCTACTACCGGTGAAACACAGCTTTCTACTAGTTGGTATTATATTGGAGACCTTCAAGCAGGAAAATTCTGCTCCATAGTTTTCTATATGTTGAATTCTCATCCTGATAGAGCCAGCTATTACGCTCTGCCCTGTGTGAAAGTCACTGCTATTGAAAATCTTACACTCGTGTCCTGTTTAACTGTTCTATTTTTTATTTTTCTATTTCTTATATTTATCATATCCTTTCCATTTTTAAAATTAAAACAAGGGGCTACATAAGGGAAAAACCTAAGACTACCACTCCCCTCCTGGCCTCCCCATCTCGCCATACTATTTCCCCATACTAACCTTCTTAGCTTTGTTTCTCACTATGTAATTCTAAACACCCAACATTTTAATTCACACCAAACAACTCCAATACTCCACACTGTCAACTGCTAATATTTTGTATCTTTGTACATGCTATTCCTTTGGCATGGCATTCCCTACTTTCTTATTTGTCTTATCAAAATTCACTTCATTCTTCAAAAAACCAATTATGTGAAGTCTTCCTTTAGCCCTCCAGTCATAATTTATCCTTCTTCCACATTCCCACAGCATACTATCTGTACCTTTTTAAAGTAGTATTTCTTTCCATGTGTTTCTCTACCACTAAATTAAAAATCTCGAGAGCAGAGATGTGATAGCAAGAACGATTATTTAAAATAAAACATTAAAAAAAGAACAGGAGAGACATCCAAAACAGCATAAAATGATGCTTTAAACTATCACTGAGAAAAAAATTAAAGCATTCCCTGTGATCCCTATATACTGTCTTACTTACCTCTGTAAAACCCTTGTAGAGGGGAGTTAAAAGGGATCTGTGTAACTCCTGAAACCACCTGTAAAATTGTGTATGCCCAACTATAAAAGTATTTTAATCAGATTTCAAAGATGTGTGATTCAAGAAGTCCAAGCTACTCAGACATACTTCACAGGACATAACAAGCTAGTCGATATTTTAAGCAATGAAGAGTCAACTTCAAAAACCACATTATTAGTTATGCAAGTTCTACTGAGAAGAAAATCAAGATTGAAACTATACAGTCCAGGCGTGGTGGCTCACGTCTATAATCCCAGCACACTGGGAGGCCGAGGCAGGTGGATCACCTGAGGTCAGGAGTTCAAGACTAGCCTGGCCAACATGGTGAAACCCTGTCTCTACTACTAATAAAAAACAATTAGCTGGGCGTGGTGGCGCACACCTGTAATCTCAGCTACTCGGAAGGCTGAGGCAGGAGAATCACTTGAACCTGGGAGGTGAAGGTTGCAGTAAGCCGAGATTGTGCCATTGTACTCCAGCCTAGGCAACAAGAGCAAAACTGTCTCAAAAAAGAAAAAGAAAAAAAAAAGGAAACTATATAAAATGTTAGAAGAATCATATGGAAAATAAGTTATACTCATGGGTCTACAATGTCCCAGGTAATATAAAGCTAATTGTTTAAAGTATTAACAACTGAGAGTTCTGATCGGAAATTTTATGTGTATTTCAACCTAAAACATGAAAATAATTTGTGGTAAAATCTGCCTCAGTGATGATTTTCTCACTGAAAAAGGTTTTATTCAATAATATTTAGAAGCCTGTATCAAAATATCACATAACCTCTACTAAAATATAATTTTAAAAGATACGTAAATAATAAATATGCTCCTAAATGTAATATTAAAATATTTCTAATTTTAATAGTAGCTAACAAAATCTCATCTGAATCTCTTAGCACAATTACATTGTCCAAATAAACAATGCATCTTAATATGCAGGCTTAAAAACCAATATATATGTGTATATTTGAATAAATCATTTCTATTAGTGGCAGAAACATGTCAAAATATAAAACTCAAATTTGTGTTTATTGTATCTAAAGAAATTAAATTTTCCAAATGTCAAATAAAACATCATGCATCTTTTAGTTTCCACAGCAAAAATATCTGCAAGTCTCAATAGAGTTTTTCAAAAAATAACATCTCATAAATTCAAGAATAAGTGTCAAGTATGTTTAACAAATAGCCCTCGCTATGGCATCCCCTAAAAGATAAAAAAATGACCGTATGGATTTTCAAATAAATTTAACCTGAAGTTCTAATATGTTATTGCACTATAATAAAATATAGCACATATTTCTAGCATGTTAATATTAAGTCTAAAAATGGACTGTAGAAAGGTGTTTTGCTGTGTCATTATCTGTCATATCAGGTGGTTGTTCTAAAAGTAAAATTTAAAAATCCAATAATGGCAAAATAAACTCTTAAAAAATTAATACTAATGAGCTAACAAATGTTTCCTATACTGCCTTTTCTTGAAAAATATAAAATTCAAGAAAGAGTCCCTCTCACCTCTAATCCCTGAAGCTTTTACAAATATTCTTCCCACATCAATTGTTGGAAATCAATATCACAAACACATTAAGCAGCAGCTCTGTGAATCATCCATCCATCCAACCCATCCATCCCTCCAACCAATCTGTCTAATCAACTTAACACTACTCCCTACTATCCCAAAGAAGTAAAACAGAAAAAAGAAAATGAACTTGGAAAAATGATGAACTCATTATCTCAACACCAAGTCTACTACACACTGACTTACAACAGACTTAGCTTTGTACCAAATGGCCATGAAAGCCTCTATATATCCAATTATTCAACAGTTCAGGAGATTAAGGAAAGACAAAGATGCTTACCTCTGTTTCCAAAATTCCGCCCAGAGGCAAATCCACTTTTCATGAAATGATCTCTTCGAGAAGGTCCATCATCCATTTCTAAAGCAAACAACATTTTGAAGTAAGTCAAATAAAAACAAGTATCTAGTACTTGCAAACCTTAAGCCTTCTGTGCCACATGTGGCAAAGGAGAAATTTTATATAGCAGTAAAAAAGGTGACAAACAGCCCAGTAAAAAAAAAAAAAAATGGCTACATGAATAGACAGTTCTCCTAAAGAAAAATAAATTGTGACTAAATCTGATTCATAAAGAACTAGAAATCAAAAGACAGCAATTTTTAACCTCATAATTGAATGGAAAAGTCCCTTCTATTCCCTGAAAGAAAATAACAAAATAAATAAATTTTTAAAAAATGGAAAACAGTCTTAAATTTGCTAATAGCCAGAACAAGGACACAGGGAAACAGGCACGAAACATACACTGTATTTAGATTATAAACTAGATCAATCTTGATCCTAATTTAAAAGGCATATACTCTGAAAGTACAGTAACATGAATTTCTCCTCTGGATATAATCACATGGTTATCCAGACAGACATAAAAAAATTTTTATAAGCACTGTCTGTAATACCAAATAAATGATCAAAGTGGAATAAAGAAATTATGGTCATCCATACAATAGTATGCACAAGGATTCCAAAGAAATATACAGCATTCAACATTAAAGAGCTCACATTCTTCAACAATGGAGAGTGTTTATAAACTGGCCATGTAGAAGGGCCATAATGCAAATTCAACAAGAGTTCAATAATCAATTCATATACATGAGATTCTCTTATCACAATGCAATCAAATCAAAAGCTATTAAATATGAAAAAAATTGTTTAAAATCCCATTTGGTGACGTATTTTTAAAAACATTTCTATATAACCCACAGCTCAAAAAAAAAACTCACAATGGAAGTTTAAAAATACTTCAAATTATATGATAAAAATGTGACTTTATCAGTATTTAAATATTTATACTAGAAAATAAGAACTCAATAAGCTTAATAGCCATCTCAACAAGAATATTAGAAAAACAAAGTAAATCACACAAAAGTAAAGGAAATAAAGAACGAAAATTAATAAAATAGGAAACAGCTTTGGGAGACCAAAGTGGGAAGAGATGCTTGAGGTCAGAAATTTGAGACCAGCCTGGGCAACATAGCAAGACAGTATCTCTACCAAAAAAAAAATTTAAGTAGCTGGGTGTGGTGGTGCACACCTGTAGACCCAGCTATTTAGGAGGTTAAGGCAGGAGGATCACTTGAGCCCAGGAATTCAAGGCTGCAGTGAGTTATTATTAAACCACTGCACTCCAGCCTGGGAAACAGAAAGAGACCTTGTCTGTCTGCCTCTTTTTTTTTTTTTTTTTTTTTTTTTTTTTTAAGGAAACAAACGTAATACAGCAGCTCAAAAAGGCCAAAACTTGGTTCTTCGAAAAGACCTATAAAATTTGCCAGGGTAACCAACTACTAGAGGACTAATAATGGGGGTGAAGGGAGAACAGATACAAAGACACAAGTGAACAGTATTAGAAATGTGTTTAAAAAGAATCTCAAAGAACAGAAAGACAACTAGAGAACTTCTCTGAACAACTTTATGCTAGTAAATTAAAAGAAATGAAAAAGTTCCTAGAAAATTGACTCACCAGAAGTGACTCAAGAATCAATAAAAAACCCAACTCTCCTACAGAAGTTAAATCAGTACTTAATTTTCTGCATCAGAAAGATGCAGAGAGATCGGGTTTTACAGGTGAGTTCTACCAAACTCTCAAAGGACAAATAATTCAACTGTCATACAACTCTTCCAGGAAACAGAGAAATTACTCACCAACTCATTCTACAGACCAACATAACCTTGATATGAAAGTTCAGAAGAAAATTATAAACCTTACTCATAGATACAAAATCTCAAAAACAAATATTAGCAAACCAAACCCAACAGTAAACTGAATGGATAAAATATATTATGACTAATTGGGTTTATCCCAGTATGCAAGGGTATTTAACACTACCATATCTAAAAAAAGGTAACACACAACATTAATAAAAAATAACTAATCTCTCCAGATAAAGTATATTACATAATTTAACACCTTTCATGACTTAACATATACTTAGCAAACTAAGGAATGATGAGAGTTTGTTCATAACAGCAAAAAAGGAAACAACCCAAATGTGCATGAGAATTTTTTTGTTTTGTCTTGTTTGAGATGGAGTCTTGCTCTGTCACCCAGGTTGGAGTGCAGTGGCACAATTTCCGCTCACTGCGACCTCTGACCCCCAGGTTCAAGCAATTCTCCTGCCTCAGCCTCCTGAGTAGCTCGGACTAGAGGCGTGTACCACAATATCCAGCTAATTTTTTTATTTTTTTGTAGAGACAGGGTTTCACCACATTGGCCAAGCAGGTCTCGAACTCCTGGCCTTAAGTAATCCACCCACCTCAGCCTCCCATAGTGCTGGGACTACAGGCGTGAGCCACCGCGCCCGGTGGGTAATGTTCTTAAAATTAGTGGTGGTTCAAAACATTAAGCTTTATGGTTTACATAAGACTTCAATACAGTAGATTTTTTTCATGAAAAGGTCTTCAATAAAGATTCTACAATAAAGTCACAGGGTAACAATTATTCTTGGGAATCCTACCTCTCACTAGTTGGAAAAGAAGTCATTATATGAAAAGATACTTGCAAACGCATGTTTATAGCAGCACAATTCGCAATTTCAAAAATATGGAACCAGCCCAAATGCCCATCAATCAATGAGTGGTGTATATATACACCATGGAATACTATTCAGCCAGAAAAAGAAATGAAATAATGGCATTTGCAGCAACCTGGATGGAATTGGAGACCATTATTCTTAGTGAATTAACTCAGGAATGGAAAACCAAATAGCAGATATTCTCACTCATAAGCAGGAGCTAAGCTATGAGGATGCAAAGGCATAAGAATGATACAATGGACTTTGGGGACTTGGGGAAAGGAGTGCGATGAGGGGTGAGGGATAAAAGACTACAAATTGGGTACAGTGCATACTGCTCAGGTAATGGGTTCACAAAATCTCACGAATCTCCACTAAAGAACTTACTCATGTAAGCAAACACCACCTGTTCCCCAAAAACCTATGTAAATAAAAAATACATAAAAATGATGGTACAAGAGTAGAAGGTTCTAAGAAAGAATTAACCCAGTTTACCTTGTTATTAGCACACAATCCTAAGGAAAATATACAATTATTTCCTTTCCATTTTTTAGTAGTTTTAAATCTCACAGTACTTTCACATGTAAATGTGAAAGTTTACATTCACTTTCATGAATGTAATGATATGCTGTCATTGATATATATCACGGCAATCCCCACAATACATATTATACATAGCAATAAAAATAAATAAGACTCTAATACCAATAAATGATGGAGTATAGATGCTCTTCTTGAATGCTATGAAATCCACCAAAATAAACCAAAAGAAATAAAAATGAAGTCCATTTAAAATGAATTTAGTGTTAGTGTACACAATCCCCAACAACTGACCACAAAGAATATCTCTCAATATAGTTACACTTGGACCAAATCCAAAGAGGCTCAAATATTGAACAAGAACTTAAAAAAAATTCCATATACTAAAACCACCAAGCAAAAGAACCCAATTATGTATGAGACTTCAGTATGCGCTCTAAGACTCTATAATCTTCCAACCTTTCTCCACAGTGATTTGCCTAAACCAGAGTGAGGAAAATTAAAGGAAGATGAGAAAAGACTTAGGGGCAAAGAGTTTTGAAACTATTTAGTGGTGCTTAGGGCTGCCAGCTCTCCTGACTTCTAATCCCTTTCATTACCCCAAGTAGCTGAAACACTAACACTTAGAATTCAGTGTCAAGTCTTCCAAATAGAGACTTCAGAGTGTAACAGTAATGTGCATACAAATTACCTGGTGATCTCATTAAAACACACATTCTGATGCAGTAGTTCTGGGTGCAGTATGAGATTCTTCATTTCTAACAAGTTCCCAGGTGATGCCAATGCTACTGTTCTGCCAATCACATTCAGAGAAGATTTTTATATCCACCGAAAGACATGAATTGGAAAACATTCTTAAGAGAACCACTCATAACAGGCAAATACTGGAAACTATAAAAATGACCATCAATATTTTAATTTACGGTATATTTACATAGGGAATATCATACATCCACAAATAACCTATAACTACTTCTAACAACCTGGAGAAAACCTCAACAAAAAAAGAACACAATGTATGACGCCATTTTATATGACTGCCATTTATAGGGAAAACTGATCTATGCTGTTAGAAATCAGGATAATAGTCACTTCTGGACAGAGGGACGGTGCCTGGAAGAAAAAGGAAGGCTTCAAGGGTGCTGTTAATAATGCTGTTTTTCTTGATCTGAGTGCTGGCTTTCAGGGAGTGTTCAGCTTCTGATAATTAAGTGAGCTGTACATTTATGCTGTGTATCTTACTGAAATACATATTGAATCTATGTGTACATTATGCTTCAATAAAGTTTAAAAAAAAAAAGAATCTGCCCTGGCCTAGACAGTTTTATGAACAAATTCTATACAACTTGTAAAAAAACAGGTAATTTTCATGTTCCGGAGCTTACTGGAAAACATGAAAAGCTTGAAACCAAAACCAAGTGAGGACGACATGACAGAAGAAAACTATACGCCAATCTTACATTAATTCAGAAGTGCTAAATAAAATATCTAATTTCATCCAATAGTACAATAAAAGAGTCACGTAAGGCTTAGCCCAGGAACACAAAGTTCATTTAAAAATTCATTTACTACATTAATAGATATAAGGGAGAAATAATAGAAATCAGTAATTCTAAAAAGCCATTTGATAACATTCAACTGCCATTCCTGAACAAAACAAATATTCAAGTAGAAATGAAAAGAAACTCTCTTGGCATGATTTTAAAAAATAACTATTAGTAGCCTAATGCAAACATCATAATTATAAAAATTTGGGAGCATTCCCATTGAAGTGAGGAAAAGCCTAGATGTTTGTTATTTCTACTACTCGTCAATGAACTGTAGATTTTATCCAATGCTTTAAGACAACAAAGAACAAAATCGTTTAAGAAATGAAATTTGCATCACACATCAACAAGGAAAAGACAGAATGCTTAGATGGTGCTGGAAAAAACTAGGTTGTTATAGGGACAGAAATAAAATTGGATCCCTATTTCTCACCATATTGAAAAAAAGGGATTCAACGGTACATTTAAAAATGGTTACTACCATCAGAGAATACTACAAACACCTCTATGCAAATAAACTAGAAAATCTAGAAGAAATGGATAAATTCCTTGACACATACACTCTCCCAAGACTAAACCAGGAAGAAGTTGAATCTCTGAATAGACCAATAACAGTATCTGAAATTGTGGCAATAATCAATAGCTTACCAACCAAAAAGAGTCCAGGACCAGATGGATTCACAGCCGAATTCTACCAGAGGTACAAGGAGGAACTGGTACCATTCCTTCTGAAACTATTCCAATCAATAGAAAAAGAGGGAATCCTCCCTAACTCATTTTATGAGGCCAGCATCATTCTGATACCAAAGCCAGGCAGAGACACAACAAAAAAAGATAATTTTAGACCAATATCCTTGATGAACATTGATGCAAAAATCCTCAATAAAATACTGGCAAACCGAATCCAGCAGCACATCAAAAAGCTTATCCACCATGATCAAGTGGGCTTCATCCCTGGGATGCAAAGCTGGTTCAATATACGCAAATCAATAAATGTAATCCAGCATATAAACAGAGCCAAAGACAAAAACCACATGATTATCTCAATAGATGCAGAAAAAGCCTTTGACAAAATTCAACAACCCTTCATGCTAAAAACTCTCAATAAATTAGGTATTGATGGGACGTATTTCAAAATAATAAGAGCTATCTATGACAAACCCACAGCCAATATCATACTGAATGGGCAAAAACTGGAAGCATTCCCTTTGAAAACAGGCACAAGACAGGGATGCCTTCTCTCACCACTCCTATTCAACATAGTGTTGGAAGTTCTGGCCAGGGCAATTAGGCAGGAGAAGGAAATAAAGGGTATTCAATTAGGAAAAGAGGAAGTCAAATTGTCCCTGTTTGCAGACAACATGATTGTATATCTAGAAAACCCCATCGTCTCAGCCCAAAATCTCCTTAAGCTGATAAGCAACTTCAGCAAAGTCTCAGGATACAAAATCAATGTACAAAAATCACAAGCATTCTTATACACCAACAACAGACAAACAGAGAGCCAAATCATGAGTGAACTCCCATTCACAATTGCTTCAAAGAGAATAAAATACCTAGGAATCCAACTTACAAGGGATGTGAAGGACCTCTTCAAGGAGAACTACAAACCACTGCTCAACGAAATAAAAGAGGATACAAACAAATGGAAGAACATTCCATGCTCATGGGTAGGAAGAATCAATATCGTGAAAATGGCCATACTGCCCAAGGTAATTTACAGATTCAATGCCATCCCCATCAAGCTACCAATGACTTTCTTCACAGAATTGGAAAAAACTACTTTAAAGTTCATATGGAACCAAAAAAGAGCCCGCATCGCCAAGTCAATCCTAAGCCAAAAGAACAAAGCTGGAGGCATCACACTACCTGACTTCAAACTATACTACAAGGCCACAGTAACCAAAACAGCATGGTGCTGGTACCAAAACAGAGATATAGACCAATGGAACAGAACAGAGCCCTCAGAAATAACGCAGCATATCTACAACTATCTGATCTTTGACAAACCTGAGAAAAACAAGCAATGGGGAAAGGATTCCCTATTTAATAAATGGTGCTGGGAACACTGGCTAGCCATATGTAGAAAGCTGAAACTGGATCCCTTCCTTACACCTTACACAAAAATCAATTCAAGATGGATTAAAGACTTAAACGTTAGACCAGAAACCATAAAAACCCTAGAAGAAAATCTAGGCATTACCATTCAGGACATAGGCATGGGCAAGGACTTCATAGGGCAATGGCAACAAAAGACAAAATTGACAAATGGGATCTAATTAAACTAAAGAGCTTCTGCACAGCAAAAGAAACTACCATCAGAGTGAACAGGCAACCTACAGAATGGGAGAAAATTTTCGCAACCTACTCATCTGATAAAGGGCTAATATCCAGAATCTACAATGAACTCAAACAAATTTACAAGAAAAAAACAAACAATCCCATCAAAAAGTGGGCAAAGGACATGAACAGACACTTCTCAAAAGAAGACATTTATGCAGCCAAAAACCACATGAAAAAATGCTCACCATCACTGGCCATCAGAGAAATGCAAATCAAAACCACAATGAGATACCATCTCACACCAGTTAGAATGGCAATCATTCAAAAGTCAGGAAACAACAGGTGCTGGAGAGGATGTGGAGAAATAGGAACACTTTTACACTGTTGGTGGGACTGTAAACTAGTTCAACCATTGTGGAAGTCAGTGTGGCGATTCCTCAGGGATCTAGAACTGGAAATACCATTTGACCCAGCCATCCCATTACTGGGTATATACCCAAAGGACTATAAATCATGCTGCTATAAAGACACATGCACACGTATGTTTATTGCGGCATTACTCACGACAGCAAAGACTTGGAACCAACCCAAATGTCCAACAATGATAGACTGGATTAAGAAAATGTGGCACATATACACCATGGAATACTATGCAGCCATAAAAAATGATGAGTTCATCTCCTTTGTAGGGACATGGATGAAATTGGAAATCATCATTCTCAGTAAACTATCTCAAGAACAAAAAACCAAACACCGCATATTCTCACTCATAGGTGGGAACTGAACAATGAGATCACATGGACAGAGGAAGGGGAATATCACACTCTGGGGACTGTTGTGGGGTGGGGGGAGGGGGGAGGGATAGCATTGGGAGATATACCTAATGCTAGATGACGAGTTAGTGGGTGCAGCGCACCAGCATGGCACATGTATACATATGTAACTAACCTGCACAATGTGCACATGTACCCTAAAACTTAAAGTATAATAATAAAAAATAGAAAAGAAAAAAATTAATAAATAAATAAAATAAAAATGGTTAAGACAGTAAATTTTCTATTATGTCTAGTTTACCACAGTTCACAAACAAAACTCCTCAATAACTAGAGACCAATGGTCAGGGCTGACCAGAAAAACTTTAGCGTCAAAGATTCCTTTTTTGTGAGTCATTTAGGTATATTCATACTGCATACACTATGTCTTGATTTGACACTCAAATAAATATGGCCACCATGATTCAAAAAGGATGAGTTCAGACGATTAAAAGCTCAATGTGAAAGGCAAAAGTCTAAGGAAGATAATGTAGGAGGCTACTTTTTGACAGAGATGGTGAAGAATTTCTTAAACTACAAAATCAAATCAAGAAGCAAAAAAATTATTTAATAACTTCAGAATTAAATTTTTGATTAATAAGGCATACCATGAACAAAGCTGACAGACAACAGAATGGAAGAAGATATTCAGTGTCTAAATCAGGAAAGAGCCTAAAATCTAGAATATTAACAATGCCTGCCAATCAACAATAGGAAAAGCTAGCTCAATAGACAAATAGACTAAAAATACAAACAGGCAACTTACAAAAGTAGAAACTTACAGAATAACAACATGTATATGAAGAGACAGTCAGATACATGCATAGTAAAGCAATGATGCTGGGCATGGTGGCTCACGCCTATAATCCCAGCACTTTGGGAGGCCAAGGCAGGAGGATCACTTGAGCTCAGGAGTTCAAGACCAGCCTGGGCAACATAGCAATACCTCATCTCTGCTAAAAATTTTAAAAATCAGCCAGACATGGTGGTGCAAGTCTGTAGTCCCAGCTACCCAGGAGGCTGAGGCAGGAGGATTGCTTGAGCCTGGGAGATTGAAGCTGCAGTGAGCTATGACTGCAGCACTGCACTCCAGCCTGGACAACAGAGCAAGGCCCTGTCTCAAAAAACAACAACAAAAAAAAGATTTTACTTTATACCCAAATAGACTGGCTAAAATTAATTAAAATTAAAAATGTCAAATGTTGGTGGGAATATAGGGACTATGAGAACCCTCACATCCTAATGATGGGAGTATAAACTGGTATAGCTATTCTGGAGAGCAATTTTTGAAATATTTAGACAAATTAAGTACATTACTCCTTTCCATAACCCTGTAATTCTACTCGAGTCCACTATCCAAAGTAATTCTCACTCTGGCCCATAAATGAACATATACAAGAATGCCCATCCTATGGTAACAGAGGGGAACAGGAGGTAATCTCAGTGCCTATCATGGAGGAAGAATGGGAGTAGATAAAACTTGGTGATAAAAGTATATGAAATACCACACAGTCATTAGAAATAAGGAAATCAATTATCAATTAGGAATATATCTTAAACAGTGATGAGGGGGAAAAGTAAAAAAAAAATTCTAAGTTAAAAATACACATCAAAATATGCTCAGAAAACACACGTTTAAAAACATACACAGAGCAGTCATGTCCTCCACCCTTCCCTTCTGTGCTGATGCTGCCCGGCTCATGTCAGCCTCTAGCCTGCCTTCAATTAGTTATGGAGTTCCAATGAAGAAATATTTGAGGTTAATGTAGAAATTGCCAAACAATCTATACTATCAAGATCACGTTGGAAGATTTGGGAATGAATGATTGAAGGATATGATGACCCAGTCCTCTACCAAATAATGAAGCAGTATTTTAAAAGGTCATTCAGTGGTGCACCCCCCCATAAAGATGACCCTCCTCCTCCTCCTGAGAATAATGAGAAGAAAAATGAAGAGATAAAAATCCTGTTTGGGACCAGGAATTCCTGAAAATTCACCAAGGAACTCTCTTTGACCTTATTCTAGCTGCAAGCTATTATCAAAGGTTTGTTACATGCAAGACTGCTGCCAATAAGATCAAGGAGAAAACACCTGTGGACATTCCCAAGACCTTCAATATCAAAACGACTTTACTGAAGGGGAGGAAGCCCACGTACACAGAACCAATGGTGTGAAGAAAAGTGAAATGTGCCTGACACTGTAAAGATTGTTCCAAATACTAGTTGCACTGCTTTAGAGTTTATAATTATTAATATAAAAAAGTAGACAAATACAACAGCAAATCGACTGCATTAGCAGAATACTGTCATTGCATGTGTAGTTTGAGTACAGATTCCAAATCTATTGCTGAGTTTTTTCTAGTGTGATTAAAAGTTTTTTTTTTTTTTGCTCTGAATAAAACTGAACTGTGGATTCTCTACAGAAACTGACATTTTGGTATTTCCCTCCTTTTGTAAAGCAATTTCTGCCTAGTTTGTAATCCAGTTAACTTTCGTGGCCTTTCAAAGGGCATTGCAAATAAAACAACTTGCAAAAAGTTTTCTGGGAAAAAAAAAAAAAAAAGACACACACATACAAAAGAATTGCTCCTTTGGGGAAGGGGAGGGCAAAAAATCCCTAAAACTTCCTCCCACAAACAGCTTGTTTCAAATCAAACATGAGTAATAAAGAAATCAGCAAAAGCAACATAGAAGCTGTACAATATAGTGAGGACAGAGTGGGAGGAAGGAAAGGCTGGAACTAGCATATACAGTTACAAAAACTTAAATCTCAGAGACTAGAGGATCCTGCTCTCCCAAACAAAACAGCCTAGCCCTGGCCCAATCACTTGACGGTAGAGCCCATCAGTGCGTCCCTGCACAGAGCTGACTTTCTAACCAGGATTTTAATGATCCACCCTCAAATACAAGGCAGGCAAGGTTCAGCAGAATTTTTTTTTAAGAGACAGGGTTTCACTCCATCAGCCCTGCTGGAGTGCAGTAGTGTGATCAATGCTCACTGTAACCTCAAAATTCTAGGCTCAAGCAATCCTCTTACCTCAGCCTCTTGAGTAGCTGGGATTACAGGTGCACATCACCACGCCCAGCTAATTTTTAAAAATTTTTTGTACAGACAGTGTCTCACTTTGTTTACTTTGTTTCCCATGCTGGTTCTGAACTCCCAGTTTCAGGCAATTCTCCCACCTCAGCCTCCCAAAGCAAAGGGATTACAGGCATAAGCCACTACACCTGCCTCCTATTGACATTTTAAAGCCAAGTAATGTGAAATTGTTTTCGCTTAATTTTGGAAATAATCAGATAATACCAGTTGTTTAGAAGGGTTTCCATGACTATTAAATAAAAGCAAGATGTGATATAACACGATTCCATTTCTATAAAATACAGAATGAAAAGACGCATGTCTAAATACAATTTTAAGAGCATGAAAAGGGCATGGAAGGTAAGCATGGGTAAGCAAAGGAAAAACAAGACAAGTATTTATAAAAAAGGAACATATGTATTAATATATTATGCCAGTGGCATACGATCATGTATGTGGGAATATACACAGGAATCTAAAAAATCAGAGTCAATAGACATCAATGGTAGCTAAATTTAGGGGCTAAGATTTCATATTTTATTTCTCCCTTTTTCCTTTTTTTTAAAACAATAAGCATATTTAGGTATTGGCTTGGCTTACATTCACTGTCCTGGTTTATATTTCTCTAATAAGAAAATTTTCATAAAAAAATAAAAAATTATGAAGAACTACAAAAAGTACTTGTTATCTAGAAGAAGGTAAGCAGGCAATCAATATTTTTCATTAGTGATTTTCATTAATGATTTCATTTCATTAGCCTAAACATTCATAGGTCTAATGCTAAAAAAAAAAACTTAGCTTTTAGTTGGTGGTTATTTCAGTCTAGTTTCTTGAAAATTCCAATACAAAACAGTGTTATGCGTTAATATACTATAGACCTAAACTTTCATTCCTTTACAAATATTGGCTTCTGTTCATACCTCAAAAAACCAGGTTTCTCCTGATTACACAGCAATCGATGTAAATAGACATGTTAAAAGGTATCTATTACGTTTATCCATTTGTCTTTCTGGAATACTCTAAGTACACACAGAGTTTATATGGTAGAAGCAAAATTAGCCCTTTGCTGGGGTTTCAGCAGGCAGGATTCCAAGAACTTCTGAGAATCTGAATATTTCTGTATTAAACCACTGTGTTTAAATGCTTATAAAAGATAAACATATTTTGAAAATAGCAAAGTCATCTCTTTTAAACTTAACTTTTGTCAAGATATTTACCCTGAACTTAAGATGCTCATGAGAATTAGATTTGCTTTAACCTGATAAACTGACTCTCAAACTATCCTCACATTTTGGAAACTACCTCACCATGGGTGTTTTCCACCATAGGCCAGGTTTCAGTGAGCATGCAGCTCCCTTGACCATAAAATGTTTTACCTCATCTACTAATTTTTTATAAGAAAAATGATAAAATTACTACCTGATACCACCAGGCCCTCTTCCTTATGCTAGTCTGCCTTAAAAATAGTAGTAACTCGATTTAGAGACTCATAGTAAAGTTATAGTAACTCAAATTCACCGGAAGTAGATGGTGGTTGCCAGGATCAGGGGAGAGGAGGAAATGGGGAGTTATTTTTCAATGAGTACAGAGTTCCAGTTTGGGAAGACAAGAAAGTTCTGGGGGTAGATGGTGGATGATGGTTACAGACTAATGAGACTGTACTGAATGCTGCTGAACTGTACACATTAAAATGGTAAATCTTATGTATACTTCATCATAGTTTTTTAATGTTTTTGTTTTGTTTTTAGAGACAGGGTTTTGCTCCATTGCCCAGGCAAGGGTGCAGTGGCATCATCATAGTTCACTGTAGCCTTGAACTCCTGGGCTCAAGCAATCCTCAACCTGCCAAGTAGTTAGGACTACAGGCACAGGCCACCATGACCAGCTAATTTTTAATTTTTTTTGTTTTTGTTTTTTGAGACAGAGTCTCACTCCATCTCCAGGCTGGAGTACAGTGGCGTAATCTCGACTTACTGCAACCTCCACCTCCCGGGTTCAAGCGATTCTCCTGCCTCAGCCTTCCGAGTGGCTGGGACTGCAGGCATGCAGCACCACACCCTAATTTTTGTATTTTTAGTAGAGACGGGGTTTCACCATGTTGGTCAGGATGGTCTCAATCTCTTGACCTTGTGATTCACCTGCCTCAGCCTCCCAGAGTGCTGGGATTACAGGCATGAGCCACCATACCCAGCCTAAATTTTCTGTAGACAAAGACTCCAACTATGTTGCCCAAGCTGGTCTCGAATGACCTCAAATGATCATTTGATCTCCTGGCCCCAAATGGTCTTCCTACTTCGGCTTCCCAAAGTGCTGGGATTACAGGCATGAGCCAGAGTCCGGTCAAAATTATTTTAATATAGTAACAATTGCATTTCATCCTGTTTTGGACTTCAACAATGTGAAAAACTACTGCCATGAGTTCAATTTCCCAGCCTAGTCCTACCACTTCCACCCATCTTCCCATCTACATCCACTCTGTAAAATAGAGTTGGACAACCCAAGGGGAAAAATGATGGTGGGAGGGGCAACCAAAGTGAAAACAAGTTCAGAGTGGGGTTGGGAGGAGGGCGCAACAGGAAGGATATGGGTTCCTTTACCTTGACACGTTTTTATTGTTCTCCTAAGACCTTTCCCAAATTAGTTTTCTGATCCCAAAGAAACTCAAGATATCCTGATGGTATGACAGATTTGGCTTAAACAGTTATTATCCTGACAGGTCATCACCATTGTAACCTGCTTCGACAACCTTATAGTCCTATATTCTACTCCCTTATGTCAGGAACCCTGATGATGATGATGCCCTAGCAGCCTGGAAGCTGAATGTGCAACTTCCAAGTTAGGCAAATGTTTTATAGTAATCCATTAAATCAAATAATACAGTCTATTCTTTTCCCTCTCTCAATTCCTCTAACTAGAAGTACCCCCATTCCACAATATCCAAATCAGAAGGAACTTTCACTAAGAAATTTTTTAAAACACCCTCTACAAGATGTCTACTAGTCTGCTGCTCTTCATTCACTAGATGAAACCCTTAAACTAAAAAGGGTTTTACCTTTTTCCCATAACACATACCTGATGATGAAGCTGGAGTCCTGTTAAAATTGTCTCCATTTTCTCCAGAATACCTATCCTGTGAGAAAGAAGAAAGAAAAAACTAGTTTCCTACTTTGAATATGAACGTGTCATTTATTTCACAAATACTAGAAAATTATAACAATTGAGCTTTGTTCAGAACAAAATAATGATAGACTGTAAGGTTTTCTAAATCACTGGATGTTCCTTTACTAATTATTCCAAGACATCTTCACTTTAACACTGTATATATAGTACTAATATATATCAATAGAACAGTGGTCAGAAAACTACAGCCACCAGCCAAATCTGGTGGGCCACCTGATTCTGTAAAGAGTTTGATTGAAGTACTACAACAGCAAAGTTGTGACAGACAGGTAAGGCCTATAAAGTCTAAATTATTTATTATCTGGCCCTTTATAGAAAGGGTTTGCTGACACCTGACTTAAAGTAAAAGTTTAGTCATTTAAGTCACCCATATTCCTGAAAAGTACAATCAGGCTGGGTGTGGTGGCTCTCGTATGTAATCCCAGCACTGTGGGAGGCTGAGGCAGGAGGATCACTTGAGCCCAGGAGTTCAAGACCAGCCGGGGCAACATGGTGAAACCCTAGCTTTACTAAAAATACAAAAAGTTAGCTAGGTGTGGTGGCATGAGCCTGTAGTCCCAGCTACTCGGGAGGCTGAGATGGGAGGTTCACTTCGCCTGGGAGGCAGAAGTTGAAGTGAGCTGAGATCACACCACTCACTCCAGCCTGGGTAACAGAATAAGACCGTCTCAAAAAATAAAAATAGAAAAGAAAATATAATAAAATATCATTATAAAATCTGACAAGTAATACATGAATAAATCAACACTGGTCAATACACACTATTGTATGCCAAGTTCCATATATTACAGTATATTCATCAATATTACAGAGTATTAGTGATTTAACACTAATCTTTGCTCTAGAAAAGTACTACAGAAATTTTTAAAATCTCTACTGCATTTATAGTGAAACCAATTAATGGTACTCTCATGTTTTAAAAAGGAATTCACTGGCCGGGCTCAGTGGCTCACACCTGTAATCCAAGCACTTTGGGGAGGCCAAGGTGGGCAGATCACCTGAGGTCAGCAGTTCAAGACCAGCCTGACCAACATGGAGAAACCCCATCTCTACTAAAAATACAAAATTAGCCTGGCATGGTGATGGGCGCCTGTAATCCCAGCTACTCAGGAGCCTAAGGCAGAAGAATCGCTTGAACCCAGGAGGCAGAGGTTGTGGTGAGCCGAGATCGTGCCACTGCACTCCAGCCTGGGCAACAAGAGCAAAACACTGTCTCACACCATCTCAAAAAAAAAGAAAAAAAAGGATTCACTGTAAAGTAAATTCACTTATGGACTGGAAACAATTTATATATGCAACCTGCCACTGCACTACAACTACAATGAAAAGGTATATCCTCAGCTGTAGCATCAGAATATTCATGGTTAATTTTAATCACATTTGTCACAGCAGTAGCTGAAGACTGTCTTTGCTCCCAAATACTAACTGTTCACTTTCCCTACTTTAGGCTAAAGAAAATCATTTACTATTAACACACATGCATTACATTAGCAGTGGTAGAATGACTGCCAGATTTAGAAAATTCAACTTATTATAAAATCAATAGCTGAATGCAGGTTAATTTTGGAACCTTCCAACATTTCTCTGGATAGCTCTAGATTAATGACAATTTGAGTAATTTTTTTCTCACTAACTCTTAGGGTGTCCTTATCATCATTAATCCACATCTTTATTTCTTCTCACGTAAACTTCCTTTAATTATGGCAAAAGTTCAGAATACGGCTCTGAAATTCTTGCACATGACAATCAGAATTTAATAATTTAAGAATGAAAGGAAATCTACAGATGATCTCTTAATCAACTAACTATATTACAACAGTTACAATGTTCCTTCAAATAAGTTCATTTAACTAAGTCCCAAACCTAGAGAGAATGCACCAAGGTAGGCTTCTTTAGGTAACATCTATTTGCTAAAATTTCTTTCTCAAAGACACTGACTTTTAAAACTACTTTTAAAAAGCTCAAGAGTCATCCAAACATTTTTCCGAGTCATCATTAAGGGCACAAAAATAACAACATACTTGAAATGACTTGGGGTTTTGGTAATTGCTACAGTAAAAAAAAGTTCCAGTTTATTACTACCACAGACATTAAAACAAGAACAATTATCCAATATTTTCTATTTAAAATCTGAAGACTTTTTTCTTGTTTGTAAGGCTCAAAGTACTATAGAGTGAATAGAGGCAAAAAAAAAAAAAAAAAGGCTGGTTTTACAAGTGTTATAAAACACTCTTACACTAAAGAACTGAAAAACTTATTATTAAGCTTCAAGCTATGGAACTTAATATCCCACATACATCCAACTTACAAATTCCAAGATGAATTTTGAAAAAATACATCAAAAATAATTTCCAACAGAATTTTATCATTAAAAAAGCTTAACTGGTTGGGCGCGGTGGCTCACGCCTGTAATTCCAGAACTTTGGGAAGCCGAGGCAGCCAGATCACCTGAGGTCAGGAGTTCAAGACCAGCCTGTCCAACATGGTGTAACCCCATCTCTACTAAAAATACAAAAATTAGCCAGGCATGGTGGCGGGCACCTGTAATCCCAGCTACTCAGGAGACTGAGGCAGGAGAATCGCCTGAACCCAGGAGGTGGAGCTTGAAGGGAGCCGAGATTGCGCCACTGCACTCCAGCCTAGGTGACAGAACAAGTCTCTGTCTCAAAAAAGAAAAGAAAGAGAGAGAAAAGGGGTCACAGCAGATGAAATTAAGTTAAAGATTTTGAGATGAGATTACCCTGGATTATCGGCATGAGTCCTAATTGCCATCACAAGTGTCCTTATAATAGAGAGGCAGAGGGAAATAACACAAAGACCCACAAAGGAGGTGCAATGTGAAGACAGAGCTAAGAGATATGCAGCCACAAGCCGAGGAATGCCCTTAGCCACTAGAAGCTAGAAGAAGCAAAGATTCTGTCCCAGAACCTCCAGAGGGAGGGCAGCGCTGCTGACACCTTGATTTTTAACTTCAGGCTTCCAGAACTATGAGAATAAATTTATGTTGCTTTAAGTTACCCAGTTTGTGTTAATTTGTTATAGCAGCCACAGAAAACTAACACATTGGCCTTCTTGTTGCCCTAATACCCCAAGTTTGTTCCCTCCTCCTTCTCAAAGGTTCCTTGAGAACCTTTGCACCTGATGTCCTGCTGGGACTCCTTTAAGTCTCAGGCTCATGAGTCACTGTCTGAGAGAAGCCTTCCCTCTCCAACTAAATCCACCCCACACCAGTCTCACACACACATTTCTCTAATTTTTTATAGTACTTTTCACTATAATTATTTGGTTCTCAAACGCGCTTATTCTGTCTTCTCCAGTAAAATACAATGTAACAGCAAGCACCTTATATTCACCACTCTCTCTCCAGCACCTACTAGAACTCAAAAATATGTTGAATGAATCATAGGTCTTGTCTTTAGCTTACCTCTTAAAATACTTAGCTGTAAACCATTATTATCTCTCAAACCACCCAAATGCACCAATTCAGAAATTTCGAATGTTTAACACATAAGTGTTCTCACATGCAGCTACAAATAATCCTTTTGCATTTTGATGAACACATTTTTTTCACCTGTATTCTTACTTTCAATTTTGTAATATCATATATATGTTTATTTTCTTATCTCAACAATTATTGCTAACATTGCTACTGCTGCTTAATAAAATTATAATTGTGGATGGTCTAATTACTCAATTACTGTTTCCACTTTAACCACAAGAGATTTTGCCTTCTGAAATGTGCCACAAAAATGGCAAATAGATCAGACAGAAGTGATCACTATACAGGCTTACATTCACGGTCAGTTAACAAGAGGCCTCACAGCTAGTAAGTAAGCAACGGAATTATCTAATACACTCACCATACCCATCCATTCTAACACTCACCCCAATAAGCCTGCAGGCAACGTGCAAATGCCTAATGGTTGAGATTTCTGGACTATATAATTGCCACATTATAAAATCTTTCTTAACTTCACATCTTTCGCTGTTCTATTCCCAGGTGGTACACTCACTTTAAAATTTAGAATTGAGAAGTTCTACCCAAAATTCTATCTGTTATACTAGAACAATGACAAATTATTTCAAAATTATATAAGCGTATGTCAACATTAAGTCTCCAAATAAAGCTCCTGAGAAGCACTCAGAAAAGGATGATCACAGATAAAGCCGCTATAAAAGAGAAGGCCAGCTTTTTCTTGAAAACCAAATTCAGTTAGAACAAATCAAAATGGTGTCTTTAAAAGAAACGGAATGAAAGACTTTAGATTTGTTCTACATAAAAATGTAATGTATTCATCTCTAGTTTCTGCACTTTTTTTTTTTTTCAGACAGAGTCTTGCTCCATTGCCCAGGCTGGAGTGCAGCTGCCCGGACTTGGCTCACTGCAGTCTCCACCTCCCAATTTCAAGAGATTCTCCTGCCTCAGCCTCCCAAGTAGCTGAGGCTACTGGCGTGTGCCACCACTCCCAGCTAATTTTTTGTATTTTTAGTAGAGAAGGGGTTTTGCTATGTTGGCCAGGCTGGTCTCGAACTCCTGGCCTCAAGTGATCTGGCTGTCTCAGCCTCCCAAAGTGCTGGGATTACAGGCATGAACCACCGCACCTGGCCATCCTGCACTTTTTATTCAACCTAGGAAGGCAAATAAAGATCCTGATTGCACCATGTTCCTTCGAGTCAACTAAGCATAGAACTAATGGCACAACCAGCACAACACCAGGTGTTAAGTTTGCAGACAAATGCAAAAGATACACTACAAATTCACCCAACACAAATGTATTAAGCATCATAAGGTAGACTGGTCAACATATTCAATTTAGTATTCCCAATGTGAAGAAACTATGTTATTGAATAGCATAAAGATCCCAAAAAGGGAAATTTGAAAGATTTGACAGTCATCCTTAATTTCAGAAACCCAATGCAATAAATATGCACAACACGCTATAGTGCAGTGTGCTGCTTAAACACTTCATGAAGACAAAAATCTCAAACTAAGAAAAAAGAAATTGGACAGATGGCTATTAAGACCAGGGGGAATAAAGTATCTATCTGTGAATTAAACTTTGTGTTATAACAAATCTATTGAGAACAAGGAGGAAAAAGAATGATAAAAAATGTCCTCTGAACAAGTAATTCCATTTTTGAAAAAAATTACCAAATTAAAACAAGTAAGATGTAAACATTAATGACAATACACAGTGAGAAGCTAACACCACTGAAATTCCCACAAAAGTTGTAATATGGAATAGTTAGTGCTGAAGTGTCAAGAAAGATGGATTCAAAAGTTACTGTTATATGGCTGGGTGTGGTGGCCCATGCCTGTAATCCCAGCACTTTGGGAGGCCAAAGTGGGAGGATCACCTGAGGTCAGGAGTTTGAGACCAGCCTGGCCAACATAGTGAAACCCTGTGTCTACTAAAAATACAAAAAAAAAAAAAAAAAAATTAGCGGGGCGTGGTGGCACACACGTGTAGTCCCAGCTACTTGGGAGGCTGAGGCAGGAAAATCGCTTGAACCTAGGAGGCAGAGGTTGCAGTGAGCTGAGACTGCACCACTGCACTCCAGCCTGGGCAATAGAGTGAGACTCCATCTCAAAAAAAAAAAAAAATTACTGTTATATACTATCATCAAAACTATATAAAACATGTTTGGGCTGGGCACGGTGGCTCATGACTGTAATCCAGCATTTTGGAAGGCCCAGGTGAGTGAATCACCTGAGATCAGGAGTTCAAGACCAGCCTGGCCAACATGGGGAAACCCCATCTCTACTAAAAATACAAAAATTAGCTGGGCGTGGTGGCATGCGCCTGTAGTCTCGCTGAGGGAGGTTGAGGCAGGAGAATTGCTTGAACCCAGAAGGCAGAGGCTGCAGTGAGCCCACACTGCATGAGTGCACTCCAGCCTGGGTGACAGAGCAAGACACTGTATCAAAAACAAACAAAAAATGTTTGGAAAAAACAGAAGAAAATTGACTAAAAATTTTAACAGGAGTGCTTGTCTATTGGGCAAGATTTGTAGGTGACTTTCTCCACTTTTCCCAAAAAAGCTATATTTTTATTATGAGAAGAGAACTATAAAAAGATAACACAGTCCAGGTGCAATGGCTTGCGCCTGTAATCCCAACACTTTGAGAATGTCGCCTGAACTCAGGAGTTGGAAACCAGTCTGGGCAATATAGTGAGACTTCATCTCTACAAAAATTTTAAAAAATAAAAAAAAAGGTAACATGTTATTTCTTTTAAAAAGTTCCAAGAAAAGAAACATGATAAATTTATATTAGTATTTTGGGTATTTTAATATAAACTTCACATATAGATCAAATTCAACTAAGACAAAAGATTGCATATTTTATATTTTTGTCTAAAATAAGAACTTCCACTAAGGCAAAACTTGAAATCAGAAAGTGTCAGAACTGACATACACTCAAACTGGAAATTCTGAAGGGGAACAAAAAAATCAACTTGTAGAGACACCATATAGTAAGTAACACATGCAAAAATAATCTATTATCTTTTAAAGTACCTTCTATTCATCTTTTTAAAGCCAATTTCCAAGTCAGAACTGAAGCCCAAAAAACTTACCCCACTGTCCCCTAAATTACAATGTAACTCCCCAAATGCCATTAAGAAAAAAGATCTGAAGATTCATACAAACTGATGTTACCAACTCAATCAGCCTAGTATCATTTATCCTGAGAACCCTCCTTGCACAAAATCAATTTTCAGAATTTAAAATATCTCCCAAAACGTAATTATTGTTTTCAATTTTCCATACAAGCGTCTTTCACTGATATCAACCACATTTGCCCAAGTTTGCTTTCACCTGAGGAAGTCCTAAATCATTGAGATTTAAATTAGGTCATTAATATTTTTACATCTATTTTAGCTTTTAATTATCAAATTGCCTCAAGCTATTGTATCCTATACGAGGCTTAGGTTGTCTCTTATTCCCCATATAATAGTTAATAACAATCACATGGAGATAAACACTGACACAGACTGTATAATTTAGAACTCTCACCACAGTGATTTTCAACTTTGATAAAATCCGTAGCATTTAATAACTAAACTTTAAATGTTATTACCTTCTCAAATATGGGAACATAGGAAGACATATGAGGGTTGATTTCTGCTTCCCAATCTTCATCTCCCATGGTGGCTTCAAGTTCTATTCATAAAAAAAAAAAAATGCACATTTGGACTCAATTAGATCAGAATCATAACTTTAAAAGCATAAACTCATTGTTTCACATACATCTTGAAACTACCCAACTAGGTGCTGATACCCCAAAAGTTTTTTCCAAAGAAGGAATTAGGTCTCTTCTTATCTAAAGGTGGCATTTATCTCCATCCTTTCTTAGCTTTAGAAACTAGTTGAACCTCTTACCTAGTCATTCTAGCAATCGCCATGTCCCCAGCAAGACTTAGGCTTTTCCCAAACATCTGTTCATAGACTTTATCTCCTCCCTCAAAGGGTCCCCAAACGACTTACTGAATATTAAGGGAGAGGCAACTTTTTTCAGAAACTACTTAAGATTTCTCCCTTCGCATGATTAACATCCAAGGTGGATAGGATGTTTGCTTTGGGGTGTTTGTGGCGTGCGTGGGGGCGGGGACAGGGGTACGGGAGTCGACTGGGTAGGGGGGCGGCGACTCGGTGAAGAGGGAGGCCTTGGATTTTAGTGGGGAAGGGAAGAAGGGTATGGTTGCCCAAATCCTGCCGACAAAGGACAACCAGCTTCATCAAGAAGGATTTGTACACAAATGGTACTCGGACCATGTCTGTTCAGAGAAAACGCAGTGAAGAAGCCAGGAATAAGGCCCCTTCGCCTCCTCTGCAGGCCTCAAGCCCAGACTTTGGGCACCCGTGGGACTCTGAGACCCCGAGGCAGAAAGGCTTCGAAGGACGGCTTCAAAACTCCTCCTACTCCATCCACACTTTGGCCAAAGGTCGGTTACTGGGGAGCCCGTACGGCCGAGTTCAGGCCAGTTCCCGTAGAAAAGCGGCCCACTCACCTCTCCGCGGCTTGCTCTCCCAAGCCCTCGCAGGCGCCCACGCGACTTAAACGGCTGCACGTGCAAGACGCCCACTGCGTCAGGTGCGTGGCTCCAACAACAAATGGCGTCTGTTGACGATTGGCTGGTGACTAGCGCCACCAGCCAATCAGCGCTCAGACGACCAGTGGCGTCCCGCCTCCACTTCTAGCCTGCGGATTCCCTAAACGCTAGCGTTCGGGCCCCTATGGCGACGCTCTGGCCTCATAGCCAAGTGGCCTGTTGGGCCTGTGGGTACAAGGCTGGCTGAGGGCCTACTTGTGTCCACGTTCTCTCGTGGGATCCTTATTCTGGAGACGCTCTGGATTTTCCTTGTGCAAGCTTCGCAAGCTAAATATGTCCACCTGCCTTTTTCTAACAAAAAATAATAATAAAAGGGGAAAGGGATAATGTCCTCCCTACTTGGCCTCTTTAGTGCTCTCTCCCCTTTTACCCATCACAGTCCATGGGTTGGCCCCTCGGGTTCTGCATTTCAGAGACTCGCTCCACATCCGGGGATTCCAGGTGCCTCAAAGTGCAGCTGAGGCTCATGGAGGAGGTGCATTCCCTTTTCCTCCCAGTAAGGGGGGCAGGGATGAGACTCCGTCCAGCTGGGACCCCAGGAAATCGTAAAGAAAGTTAGACTCGGCTGGGCATGGTGACTCACGCCTGTAATCCCAGCACTTTGGGAGGCCGAGGCGGGCGGATCACATGAGGCTAGGAGTTCGAGACCAGCCTAGCCAACATGGTGAAACCCCGTCTCTACTAAAATTAAAAAAATTAGCCGGGTATGGTGGCGGCTGCCTGTAGTCCCAGCTACTCAGGAGGCTGAGGCAAGAGAACCGCTTGAACCCGGGAGGCAGAGGTTGCAATGAACCGAGATCATGCCATTGATCTCTACCTGGGCGACAGAGTGAGACAGAGGAAAAAAAAAAAAAAAAAAAAGCCTGTAAGATTTCGGGGGTCCACCACTTTGGAAGGAAACAGGCTCTGATCCAGAAGGAGGGAGGAAATTGGTGCTGGCATAGGTCATTCATCAAGGCTTGGATTTGTGGCCCACCTGTTTATATTCCTACGGGCACTAGCCAAAGTGGCCAAGGGTTATTTTGATACTTCATGCTGTCTTCAATCAGATTTTCTTGTTCTGCCCCCACCCCCCACCCCAAAAGCAGGTAAAATCCCTCAGTATTTCCCCAGCCCTTCAAAACGCGTGACCATGGGCTGTTTTAAAAGTGTAGTTCTCAGAGGCCGGGCGCGGTGGCTTACGTCTGTCTGTAATCCCAGCACTTGGGGAGGCCGAAGCGGGCGGATCACGAGGTCAGGAGATGCAACCATCCTGGCTAACACGGCGAAACCCCGTCTCTACTAAAAATACAAAAAATTAGCCGGGCGTGGTGGCGGGCGCCTGTAGTCCCAGCTACTCCAGAGGTTGAGGCAGGAGAATGGCGTGAACCCGGGAGACGGAGCTTGCAGTGAGCCGAGATCGCGCGACTGCACTCCAGCCTGGGCCTCAGACCGAGACTCCGCCTCAAAAAAAAAAAAAAAAAAAAAAAGTGTAGTTCTCATTTTTGTTGTCGTTTCTGTCATTTTCCCTTCTCTGAATCTGAAGAAATTCCTATCTCATTCAGGAACATAAATAGCAACACAGTTTGATACTGGTACATAAAGGATAAAGCACTTAATAGGCTCAGGCTTGCTTCATACTTTTTATCTCTAGAACCATCACCACCAAGAATTTCAGGATTCATCTAGTTAGCAATAAACTTTGTCAGACTATTCTCAAGATGATCAAAATGAATATATTTTTTATTTATTTATTTATTTATTTTTGAGACAAGGTCTCACTCTGTCACCCAGAGGGGAGTGCACTAATGATCATAGCTTACTGCAGCCTCAACCTCCTGTGCTCAAGTGATCCTGCCACCTCAGCCTCCCGAATAGCTGGGACTACAGGCACAAGCCACCATGCCCAGCTAATTTTTAAAAAAAATTTTGTAGAGAAAGAGTCTCCCTGTGTTGCCCAGGCTGGTCTCCAATTCCGGGCCTCAAGTGAGCCTCCTGCCTCAGCCTCCCAAGAGTCTCCCTGTGTTGCCCAGGCTGGTCTCCAATTTCTGGCCTCAAGTGAGCCTCCTGCCTCAGCCTCCCAAAGTGCTGGGATTACAGCCATAAGCTGCCACACCCAACCTTAAAAGATTATATTTAGGCTGGGCACAGAGGCTCACGCCTGTAATCCCAGCACTTTGGGAGGCTGAGGCAGGTGGATCACGAGGTCAAGAGATCAAGACCATTCTGGCTAACACGGTGAAACCCCGTCTCTACTGAAAATACAAAAAATTAGCCGGGTGTGGTGGCACGCACCCATAGTCCCAACTACTTCGGAGGCTGAGGCAGGAGAATAGCTTGTTCAAACCCAGGAGGCAGAGATTGCAGTGAGCTGAGATCGCGAGACTCGGCTCAAAAAAAAAAAAAAAAAGATTATATTTAACAAAGGCCAAACCAAAATACAGTTTGATATAATTCATTTTAAATAATTTCCATTTTTAAACCAAATTTTCACATCACATACCCTCAAGGCATGGTGGAGGACAGCAACCAATCTTCAAGGTTCTGAATTTGTATTCCTCTGAGGTATTTTAATTCAATTCAATTGAATTAAATTAATTCAATTCAAATTAGAGATTGTTCCTGCAAAATTTTTAATTCTATGGGAAAATATTTACTAAGCAGAAAAAGCAAGATATAAAATCATGTAGAGAGAATGACAACTAGGTTTTTTTTCAAGTATGGAAAACTTGGGCAAATTTTCTAAAATGAAGACATTTTTTAAAATCACTTAGCAAACATTCTCTGCTATTCACTCACTTGGAGAGTACAGATTCTTGTTGCTTTCAGGTATTGCAATAAAATGACTTAATGAAAAAGTCTGCATGTATAGTGTGTGAGAGGAATCCTTGGTTAAGAAAAAGCGAATTCTGATGAGAACTGAAGTTCAATATTGAGGAAAGGATAAATAAGCAGTGCATAAAAATAATATAATTCAAATATTGACCATGAATAGTGAAAAAAGACAGTTTTGTAAAGATTTGCTCCTTCATGTGTGTTCCAAGAAAGTGAAACTAATATTCTATTTTCTGATTCCCTCTTATAGATCTTAACTTGGTGTTAGTGATATTCTGTAACATAGAGAAAAGGTAGGAATTCGCTTAGTTGTAAAATAAGCCTTAAATGAGCACCTACTATACACCAGGTACCAGGCTAGGTGCTAAGTAAAATTGG